>NC_000019.10:50365874-50990874 GCF_000001405.40 Homo sapiens
CTCCACCGTCACCACCTCCCACCCCCCCATCCTTCAGCTGCTGTCAGTTTTACTTTTAACTTTCACATAACTTTTCTGAGACTTATTAACCACAAGTGTTTCCTTGGCCAAGTGGGAGAGACCAGCAGGTATCTGTGAAGGGCCTGGGGGAAGGGAGAAAGGACATGATTAGACACCTGCCCTCACATATGAAGTGGGCCCGCATTTCAGGACCCAGTCTCTTACTGTTTTATTTGTAGGTGAAGTATGTTTCTTGTTGACAACAGATCATTGGGTATTGTTTTTTGTTTGTTTGTTTTTGTTTTTGTTTTTTGGTTTTTTTTTTTTTGAGACCGAGTTTCACTCTTGTTGCCCAGGCTGGGATTACAGGCATGCGCAACCACGCCCCACTAATTTTGTAGTTTTAGTAGAGACAGGGTTTCTCCATGTTGGTCAGGCTGGTCTAGAACTCCCGACCTCAGGTGATCCGCCCGCCTCAGCCTCCTAAAGTGCTGGGATTACAGGCGTGAGCCACTGCACCCAGCTGATTCTCAATTATTTCAATCTCTTTGTTAAATTTATGTGATGGAATCTGAATTCCTTCTGTGTGTTAGCTTGAATTTCTTTGAGTTTCCTCAAAACAGCTATTTTAAATTCTCTGTCGGAAAGGTCACATATCTCTGTTTCTTCAAGGATTGGTCCTTGGTGGCTTATTTGATTTGTTTGGTAAGGTCATTTATTCTGGATGGCCTTGATGCTTATAGATGTTCATTGGTGGCTGGGCATTGATGAGTTATTTATTTATTTATTTATTTATTTATTTATTTATTTATTTAGATGGAGTTTTGCTCTTGTTGCCCAAGCTGCAGTGCAATGGTGTGATCTCAGCTCACTGCAACCTCTGCCTCCCAGGTGCAAGTAATTCTGCCTCAGCCTCCCGAGTAGCTGGGACTACAGGCACCCGATACCACCCTGGCTAAATTTTTTTTTTTTTTTTGAGATGGAGTTTCACTCTTATTGCCTAGGCTGGAGTGTAATGGCGCCATCTTGGCTCACTGCAACCTCTGCCTCCTGAGTTCAAGCGATTGTCCTGTCTCAGCCTCCCAAGTAGCTGGGATTATAGGCGCATGCCAGCTAGTTTTTGTATTTTTAGTAAAGACAGGGTTTCATCATATTGGTCAGGCTGGTCTCGAACTCCTGACCTCAGGTGATCCACCTGCCTCGGCCTCCCAAAGTGCTGGGATTACAGGCATGAGCCACCGCACCCAGCCTACACCCAGCTAATTTTTGTATTTTTAGAAGAGACAGGGTTTCACCATGTTGTCTAGCCTGGTCTCAAACTCCTGACCTCAGGTGATCTTCCTGCTTCAGCCTCCCAAAATGCTGGGATTAGACATGAGCCACCATGCCTGGCCATGTTAGGTATTTATTGTAGTCTTTGCAGACAAGGCTTGTTTGTACCTGTCCTTTTTGGGGAGGCTTTCCAGGTATTCAAAAGTACTTGGGTGTTGTGATCTAAGCCATGTCTGCATTAGGGGGCTCCCCAAGCCCATTAATGCTGTGGTTCTTGCAAACTCATAGAGGTACTATCTTAGTGGTCTTAGATAAGATCCAGAAGATTTATCTGGATTACCAGGCAGAGACTCTTGCTCTCTTCCCTTGCTTTCTCTCAAACAGAGTCAGTCTCTCTCTCTCCCTCTCTCTCTCTCTCTCTCTCTCTCTCTCTCTGTCTCTGTCTCTCTCTCTCTGCTGAGCTACCTGGAGCTGGGAGTGGGGTGACACAAACACCCCATGCCTACTATCACTGGGATTGCGCTGGGTCCTGCCCATGGCCTCCTGTAACCACGACCTACCTGCCTACTGCTTATGTTTGCTCAAGGCCCTTGGGCTCTAAAACTAGCAGGTTCCAAAGGCAGCCATGCTTGCATCCTTCCCTTCAGGGCATCAAGTTACCTCAGGTCCCAGGTGGGTCCAGAGATACAGTCAGTGAGCCAGGGACTGGAGTCAAAACCCTTAGAAATCGGCTGGATGCGGTAACTCATGCCTGTAATCCCAGCACTTTAGGAGGCTGAGGCAGGCGGATCACTTGAGGTCAGGAGTTCGAGGCCAGTCTGGCCAACATGGTGAAACCCTGTCTCTACTAAAAATACAAAAATTAGCCAGGCGTGGTGGTCAGCGCCTGTAATCCCAGCTACTCGGAAGGCCGAGGCAGGAGAATCACTTGAACCTGGGAGGCGGAAGTTGCAGTGAGCCAAGATCGCGCTGCTACACTCCAGTCTGGGCGACAGAGCAAGACTCCCTCTCAAAAAAAAAAAAAAAAAAAAAAGAAACAAAAGAAAGGCTAGGTGCGGTGGGGGTGCGTTTGGGAGGCTGGGGGTGTCATCCCAGCCCTTTGGAAGGCTGAGGCAGGAGGATCGCTTGCGCCTGGGAGTTGGAGACCAGCCTGGGCAACAAAGGGAGACCCTGTCTGTACAAAAAAAATGTAAAAATTATCTGGGCGTAATGGCACACTCCTGTAGTCCCAGCTACTGGGGAAGGTGAGGCTGGAGGATAACTTGAGCCTAGGAGGCTGAAGCTGCAGTGAGCCGTCATCACGCCACTGCACTCCATCCCAGGTGACAGAGTGAGACACTGTCTCAACAGAAATAAATAAATACATAAATAATGGTAAAGATCCACTTTGTGCACTCCTTGCTCTGGGGGATTTTCCTGAAGCAGCCGAACGTGTCCCTGATAACTGTCACCACCCCCCTTTGTTTTCTCAGTCAGAGCACTCGATCTGGGCCCCTTCAACTCGCCCCGCACGCTTTCCGTCTGCAGCACCCCATCCAACTGCACCCAAGCGCCCTTAAGTAGTTTGAGAGGCCGTGCCTGCAAATTCCCAATTGGCCACAAGGTGGAGGTGTGGGCCTGTTTTCCCAGCCAAGATTCCCCAGCCGCCACCCGTTTCTAGAGCTGGACCCCTGGAACACCAGGCTCTCTCCAGCTTTCCTGCTTCCGCCCTAGCAGTTCCCACCGCCTGGAATGCCGACTTGCTCGCTCTCTGCACCCCACGGGAAAAGGAGCAGAACAGGCTTCCTCCCTGACTCCCCTGCCCAAGCGTACTGGGAGATCTCCTGCCGAACACGGCCCGGCCAATGGGACCTGGATCTCCCCATGTCTTGTCTCTCAGGGGGTTGTGACCGAGTGGGCCTCCACCATCAGAGGAGCACAGTTTCCAGAATCGCCCAACACAATCTTTCCCGAATCCCCTCAGGAAGTGATTAGGTAAAGGATTGCCAGATTTTTAAACCCGTCATTTTATTTACTAACCTTGTAAGAAAGGAATTATCGCCCACATTTTACCGGGTTGGGGAGGGGCTGCTGCGGTGCAGCAAGATTAAGAGGAGGCAGCCCAGGTGCACTTGGAGGGGAATTGAACCTGGTTCTTGAAGCTGCAGACACCAAGTAATCAGCCCAGATGCCTCGCATCGTCTTTGCCAGGATTACTTTTGCCCCTGTTCCATTGGTGGGAATCTGTCACGTGGTTGCTCCTGGCTGCAAGGACGACCCGGAAATGTAGTCCAGTTGTGTGTCCAAGAGTGGGGGACCCTTTGGGTGACTCTCAGGCACTGTGGGCCACATCAGACCCCACAAGGCCTCAAGTTCGGACCTGCGTTCCCTCTATGATCTTATATCGCACCTTCCCGAGGTCTCGCATTAGTGTTTTTTTTTTTTTTTTTTTTTTTTTTTTGAGGCAGAATCTCGCTCTGTTCAGGCTGGAGTGCAGTGGCTGTGATCTCGGCTCACTGCAACCTCCGAACCCCCAGGTTCAAGCGATTCTCCTGCCAATTTTTGTAATTTTAGTAGGGACGGAGTTTTGCCATGTTGGCCATGCTGGTCTCGAACTCCTGACCTCAGGTGATCTGCCCGCCTTGGCCTCCCAAAGTGTTGGGATTACAGGCATGAGCCACTGCACCTGGCCTACTCAAAATATTAAACATAGGCCGGGCATGGTGGCTTACACGTGTCATCCCAGCACGTTGGCAGGCTGAGGTGGGAGGATTGCTTGAGCCCAGGAGTTCCAGACCAGCCTGGGGAACATAGTGAGTCTGTCTCTACAAAAGAATTACCTGGGCTTGCTAGCGCATGCTTGTAGTCCCAGCTACTCTGGAGACTGAGATGGCAGGATCACTTAGCCCAGGAGGTCGTGGCTGCAGTGAGCTGTGACTACGCCACCCCACTCCAGCCTAGGTAGCAGAGTGAGACACTGTCTCAAAACAAAACAAAACAAAAAGTTAAACATAGAGTTACTGCATGACCCAGCAATCCCACTCCAAGGTGAAATGAAACATATGTCTACACAAAAACTTGTACATGAATGTTCATAGCAGCGTTGCAGCCAAGAATAGAAACATCCCACCTGTCCATTAACTGGCGAATGGGTAGGTAAAAGGTGGTATATCCATACCATGGACTATTACTGTGCCATAAACAGAAATGAAGTACTGATACATTCTACAAAGTAGATGAACCTAGAAAACGTTATGCCCAGTGAGAGATGCCAGTCACAAAGAGCTACATATTCCAACGATCCATTTATAGGAAATGTCTAGAATAGGAAAATTCCATAAAGTCATATAATTTTTTCTTTTTTTGAAACAGAGCCTTGCTTTGTCACCCAGGCTGGAGAGCAGTGGTACCATTATGGCTCACTGCAACCTCAACCTCCTGGGCACAAGTGATCCTCCCATCTCAGCCTCCTGAGTAGCTGGGACAAGAGGCATTCGCTACCCTGCATGGCTTAGTTTTTAATTTTTTGTAGAGATGGGGGTGGGGGTGTCTCCCTATGTTGCCCAGATTGGTCTCAAACTCCTGGGCTCAAACAATCCTCCAGCATTGGCCTCCCGAAGTGCTGGGGTTACAGGCATGAGCCACCTCACTCAGCCAGATATAGATTAATGGCTGCCTCAAGCTGGAAGAAAAGGGTGGGAGAATTGGGTATAACTGTTTTTTGTTTGTTTGAGATGGAGTCTAGGTCTGTTGCCAGGCTGGAGGGTAGTGGCGTGATCTAGGCTCACTGCAACCTCTGCCTCCTGGGTTCAAGCGATTCTCCTGCCTCAGCCTCCTGAGTAGCTGGGATTTCAGGTGCCTGCCACCATACTCGGCTAATTTTTGTATTTTTGTAGCGACGGGGTTTCGCCTTGTTGGCTAGGATGGTCTCAATCTCTTGACCTTGTGATCTGCCCTCCTTGGCCTTCCAAAGTGCTGGGATTACAGGTGTGAGCCACCGTGGCCAACGGGTATATCTGCTTATGGGAATGGGGTTTCTTTGTGGACTGACCAAAATGTTCTAAAATTGGTTATGGTGGTGGTTGCACAACCCGTGAACTTGCTAAAAACCATTAAATTGTACTTGAAAGTGCTGAATTGTTTGGTGTGTGAACCAAATCTCAATAAAGCTATTACCAAAAAAATTAGAGAATATTGGGTTACTTACAAATGAGAACCTTGGTCCACAGCTACCTTCAGACAACAAAACTGCCAGTGACCGAGTGCTTCTGTATGCCAGGCACTGCGCTTCCGGGATCCTCATACCCTTCATAAGAAATAAGAACAAGAGGCCGGGCACGGCAGCACACGCCTGTAATTCCTGCACTTTGAGAGGCCGAGGTGGGTGGATTGCCTGAGGTCGGGAGTTCGAGACCAGCCTGGCCAACATGATGAAACCCTGTCTCTATTAAAAATACAAAAAATTAGCCGGGCGTGGTGGCAGGTGCCTGTAGTCCCAGCTAGTCAGGAGGCTGAGGCAGGAGAATGGCGTGAACCCGGCAGGCAGAGGTTGCAGTGAGCCGAGATCACGCCACTGTACTAGAGTAAACTCTGTCTCAAATAAATAAATAAATAAATAAATAAGAACAAAGCCGGGCGTGGTGGCTCATGCCTGTAATCCCAGCACTTTGGGAGGCTGAGATGAGTGGATCACTTGATGTCAGGAGTTTGAAACCAGCCTGCCCAACATGGTGAAACCCCGTCTCTACTAAAAACACAAAAATTAGCCGGGCATGGTGGTGCGCACCCGTGATCCCAGCTACTCAGGAGGCTGAGGCAGGAGAATAACTTGAACCCGGGAGGCAGAAGTTGCAGTGAACCAAGATTGGGCCACTGCACTCTAGCCTGGGTGACAAGAGCAAAACTCAAAGAAAAAAGGAAGAACGATTTATCCTATTTACCAGTAGGTCAACCGAGACTGAGTGCAATGTGACTCGTCCCAAAAGTGTTGTAATTCCTCTTCAGCCTATTTCAGGACTCTTGCACTTTTCTAACAGTGGAAACTTAGAACTACTTTAACAGCCACAAGAATCAATACAGGCTGGATGAGAGGCTCATGCCTGTAATCCCGGCACCTTGGGAGGCCAAGGTGGGCAGATCGCCTGAGTCCATGAGTTCAAGAACAGCCTAGGCAACGTGGCGAAACCCCATCTCTAACAAAAATGTAAAAACTTAGCTGGGTGTGGTGGCTCATGCCTGCGGTCCCACATACTCTGGAGGCTGAGGTGGGAGGATCACCTGAGCCCAGGAGGTCAGGGCTGCAATAAGCCAAGATGGCACCACTGCACTCCAGCCTGGGCGACAGAGTGAGATCTTATCTTAAAAAAATAAATAAATAAATAAATAAATATAAATACAGTTCCACCATATCAGGCACCTCATTTGAAACCCACCCTGTTTATGCTTTTACCTCATTTAGTCATAAGAGTAAGGCAACAAGGTCATACTCTTGATCCCGGTGGGCTAGGGGAAGTCCCCATATGCTGGTGTGGGACCTCCACCCCAGCCAATGTCCAGGCTCTTGACACCATCTCGGGAAGGAACTTGAGGACAAGTGGGAAAATACTGAAAGTACAAAGATGTATTGCAAAGTGAAAAGTACACACTCAACAAAGAGGAGTACAGGTGGACTCCAGAGAGAGTCTCCTGCAGGGGGGGTTTGGGGCTGCTACCTTAATGGGTTTCTCTCTTTTTGTTTTGAGACAGTCTTGCTCTGTCCCCAGGCTGGAGTGCAGTGGCACGATCTTGGCTCACTGCAACCTCCGCCTCACGGGTTCCAGCGATTCTCCTGCCTCAGTCTCCTGAGTAGCTGGGACTACAGGTATGTACTATGGATTTCTTTAATCAAGGAGTGGAATATTCATGAAGATTCCTAGAAAAAGGAGATTTTTGAGAACTGTGGTGCCACCCACTTTTACACCAAATATGGGTGTTCCTGTAACCGTCCTGGTGCTGGTGGGTGTGTGTTTATGTTAATGAGCATATAACGAGGTCCTAGGTGAGACCTAGGTCATATGTAGGGCCTTGTTGGGTCCAATGTGTCTTAGCCAGGTTGGTCCACACCTAGGGTTTTCAAGAGTCTTATCAGCCCCCACCTGCTGCAACTATTTCAACAGTTTCCTTTTGCTAGTCATGTGAAACTGCTGCCTGGAATTTTCTATTCTCCTGTGACTACCCTGTGTTATTCCTGTCTCGCTTTTTTTTTTTTTTTTTTTTTTTGAGATAGAGTTTCAGTCTGTCGGTAGGCTGGAGTGCAGTGGCGCGATCTCGGCTCACTGCAACCTCTGACTCCTTGGTTCAAGAGATTCTCCTGCCTCAGCCTCCCAAGTAGTTGGGATTACAGGCACGTGCCACCACGCCCAGCTAATTTTTGTATTTTTAGTTGAGATGGGGTTTCACCATGTTGGCCAGGATGGTCTCCATCTCCTGACATCGTGATCTGCCTGCCTCAGCCTTCCAAAATGCTGGGATTACTGGCATGAACCACTGTGCCTAGCCTCCTGTCTCACTCTTTTTAATTTTTTTATTTTTATTTATTTGTTTATTTATTTATTTATTTTGAGACGGAGTCTTACTCTGTTGCCAGGCTGGAGTGCAGTGGCGCGTTCTCGGCTCACTGCAACCTCCGCCTCCTGGGTTCAAGTGATTCTTCTGTCTCAGCCTCCCAAGTAGCTGGGATTACAGGCACGTACCACCACGCCTGGCTATTTTTTTTGTATTTTTTTTAGTAGAGATGGGGTTTCATGGTGTTGGTCAGGCTGGTCTTGAACTCCTGACCTTGTGATCCACCTGCCTTGGCCTCCCAAAGTGCTGGGATTACAGGCGTGAGCCACCGTGCCCTGCCTTTATTTTTTTATTTTTGAGATGCAGTTTTGCTCCTGCTGCCCAGGGTGGAATGCAATGGCAAGATCTTGGCTCACCACAACCTCTGTCTCCCGGGTTCAATTCTCCTGCCTCAGCCTCCTGAGTAGCTGGGATTACAGGTGCCCGCCACCATGCCCGGCTAATTTTATATTTTTAGTAGAGACCAGGTTTCAGCAAGTTGGTCAGGCTAGTCTCGAACTCCTGATCTCAGGTGATCCACCTGCCTTGGCCTCCCAAAGTGCTGGGATTACAGGCATGAGCCACCATGCCCGGCTTTCTCACTCCTGTTTGCAATTTACAGGCAAGGAAACTGAGGCACGGGGAGGTTAAGGAACTGGGCTCAGTGTTACACAGGAAGGAAGTGACAGAGACACCAGGTTCTGCCATTTCCAACGCTCATGTTAATCACTTGTTTCGCTTCTAACATCCCTAGGTGGAAAATTCCACAATCTCAAACGATGGGCCTGAGTAGACATAATAAGTTACAGAAGAGCATGGATCACATAGTCCCATTTCTTTTTTATAAAGGCATACACATATGTCAGAGGCATTCCAACCACAGCGATTCTGTCTTGAATAGGAGCTTGGTAAAATAAGGCTGAGACCTACTGGGCTGCGTTCCCAGGAGGTTAAGGCATTCTTAGTCACAGGATGAGATAGGATAGGAGGTTGGCACAAGATACGGGTCACAAAGAGCTTGCTGATAAAACAGCATATGCAGTAAAGAAGTCAGCCAGATCCCAGCAAAACCAAGATGGCGATGAGAGTGACCTCTAGCCGTCCTCATGGCTCATTATACACTAATTATAACGCATTAGCATGCTAAAAGTCACACCCACCAGCACGATGACAGCTTACAAATGCCATGGCAACGTCAGGAAGTTCCCCTATATGGTCTAAACGGGGGAGGAACCCTCAATTCTGAGAATTGCCTACCCTTTTCCTGGAAAACTCATGAATAATCCACCCGTTGTTTAGTATATAATCAAGAAATAACTATAAGTATAATCACAGTGAACAGCCCAAGCCGCTGCTCTACCTGGAGTAGCCATTCTTTTATTCCTTTATTTTTATTGCATTTTATTTTTGAGACGGAGTTTCGCTCTTGTTACCCAGACTGGAGTGCAATGGCGCAATCTCGGCTCACCGCAACCTCGGCTCACCGCAACCTCCGCCTCCTGGGTTCAAGCGATTCTCCTGCCTCAGCCTCTCCCGAGTAGCTGGGATTACAGGCGCCCGCCACCATGCCTGGCTAATTTTGTATTTTTAGTAGAGACGGAGTTTCTCCATGTTGGTCAGGCTGATCTCAAACTCCCGACCTCAGGTGATCTGCCCACCTCGGCCTCCCAAAGTGCTGGGATTACAGGCGTGAGCCACCGCGCCCGGTCCGAGACTGAGCTTTTTTAATTCTTCCAATCACCAAGTTATTGAAACCATTTTTGCAAAATTTTAACAATGAGAAAATTCTGACATCTCAAATCTGGCCAGGCACAGCGGCTCACGCCTGTAATCCCAACACTCTGGAAGGCCGAGGTAGGTGGATTGCCTGAGGTCAGGAGTTCGATACCAGCCTGGCAAACATGGTGAAACCCCATCTCTACTAAAAATAGAAAAATTAGCCGGCCGTGGTGGTGGGCACCTGTAATCCCAGCTACAAGGGAGGCTGAGGCAGGAGAATCGCTTGAACCCAGGAGGCGGAAGTTGCAGTTAGCTGAGATCGCGGCACTGCACTCCAGCCTGGGCAACAGAGTGAGACTCCATCTCAAAAAAAAAAAAGTAAAAATAAGCCCGGTGCCGCAGCTCACGCCTGTAATCCCAGCACTTTGGGAGGCCGAGGCAGGCGGATCATTTGAAGTCAGGAGTTCGAGACCAGCCTCGCCAACATGGCGAAACCCTGTCTCTACTAAAAATACAAAAAAATGAGCCGGGCGTGGTGGCACATGCCTGTAATCCCAGTTACTTGGGAGGGTGAGGCAAGAGAATCTCTTGAACCCAGGACGCAGAGGCTGGAGTGAGCTGAGATCACACCACTGCACTCCAGTCTGGGGTGACAGAGTGAGACCTCTCCAAATAAATAAATAAAAATAAATAAAACTAACAAGCAGCACGACTCCAAAATCAGAAAACTTGTAACGACCAAAAAAGTGCAAACGTGCCTTAAATCAGTCATGTGCGACAAGCAGCTATAGCTAGGGTTTGGCCGCAGGCTCAGAGAAGCGCATGAATGAGCTAAAGCCACAAAGCGCGGGGCTGGAGGTTTGGCTCCCAAGAAGCGAGGAAATGGGTTCGGAACTCTTCTGCCAAGTCCCAGTAGATCTACCCGGTAAACTTCCGGTGAGTTTCCAACTTCCGTGCGGGGCAGCAGCTTCGGCTGGTCCTAAGCGGACCGGAAGTTCGTCAAGTTTCACGCTCCGCCCCTCTTCCGGACGTGACGCAAGGGCGGGGTTGCCGGAAGAAGTGGCGAAGTTACTTTTGAGGGTATTTGAGTAGCGGCGGTGTGTCAGGGGCTAAAGAGGAGGACGAAGAAAAGCAGAGCAAGGGAACCCAGGTAGGTGCACCCGAGAGTGGGGAGACGCAGGAGGAGCCCCGAACCCGGGGCTTCTCGGCGCTCCCCGCGTACTCCGCTCTGCCCCCTTCTCTCCTTCCATTTCCTCCCCTCGGTAATTCGCGCCTCCCGCGGCTGTTTCCAGGGCAACAGGAGTAGTTCACTCCGCGAGAGGCCGTCCACGAGACCCCCGCGCGCAGCCATGAGCCCCGCCCCCCGCTGTTGCTTGGAGAGGGGCGGGACCTGGAGAGAGGTGCGAGGGCGGAGCATGAATGGAGGAGGCGGGGCGGGGCATGATGGGAGGTGATGGGGCGGGACCTGCAGCGCGGTGCGGGGGCGGGGCATGAAGGGAGGAGGCGGGGCTGGGGGCGGGGCATGATGGGAGGAGATGTGGCGGGGCCTGGAGCGAGGTTGTGGGGGTGCAGTAGGAAGGGAGGAGGCGGGGCGGGGGCGGGGCATGATGGGAGGGGATGGGGACCTGGAGCGAGGTTGTGGGGGTGAGGCTTGGAGGGAGGGATGCATATGGGGCGGGGCAAGGTGTTGGGAGGCCCATGATGGGGGCTTTAGGGGCTGAACCTGGAAGGTTGAGGGCGGAGCATAGTAGGAGGAGGTGGGGTCAGAATGAGAAATAGGGATGCTTGGGGCAGAAGTGAGGTAGAGTCTTAAGAAGAGGAGGTGGGGGGAAACTACATGGCATGGAGGCCGTGAAGGCAGAGCATGATTAAAGGAGAATGGGCCCTACCTAGAAAAAGCAGGTGGATTGGACCTGAGGGGGCGGGGCCTACAGCAGGGGCGGGGCTTAAGACCAAGCTGAAGGCTGGCGTGGAACAGAAGGGGGCAGGTCTTGTTAGAAGGATGGGGAGGGTTTGTAGGCTGGCAGGAACCAGGGTTGTGGCTGAGAGTAGGGTCTTTGGAGAGATGGAAAAAAAAGGGAAAGCCCTGTCAGGACCTGTAACTGACCTAACCTAACCCTTCTTAGCCCCACAAGGCTCTCAATCCCCTGTATTCTACAGGCTGCTCCGTGACCCCACCATGTCCTCTCCTACCACGAGTTCCCTGGATACCCCCCTGCCTGGTGAGTGACTCTCTTCCCCACCCAGCCCTTATCACACACGAGCAGAAGCTCACTGTACCTCTCCCGGATTCCACCCTCTTCCAGGAAATGGCCCCCCTCAGCCTGGCGCCCCTTCTTCTTCACCCACTGTAAAGGAGGAGGGTCCGGAGCCGTGGCCCGGGGGTCCGGACCCTGATGTCCCAGGCACTGATGAGGCCAGCTCAGCCTGCAGCACAGACTGGGGTGAGACAGGGCCCTGGAGTTGATGTGGGGGCTTGGGGAGGGGTTTAGGAAGGGAGAAAGAAATAGAAATGGGAATGGGAGGCCCTGATCTTTGCTTTTTGTTCTTGCTTTCTCCTTAACATATACATCTTTCTAAATTGCAATTTCCCTGAATGTGAGCAGCAACTCCTCTCTCCCTCCATCCTCTGGCTCTTTGCCTGGGGATCTCCTGTGGGCCCATCTCTCTGGTTCCTGTTTCTCCTTGTGGCTTTCTCATGGCCTCTACCTACCCACCCCAGTCATCCCAGATCCCGAAGAGGAACCAGAGCGCAAGCGAAAGAAGGGCCCAGCCCCGAAGATGCTGGGCCACGAGCTTTGCCGTGTCTGTGGGGACAAGGCCTCCGGCTTCCACTACAACGTGCTCAGCTGCGAAGGCTGCAAGGGCTTCTTCCGGCGCAGTGTGGTCCGTGGTGGGGCCAGGCGCTATGCCTGCCGGGGTGGCGGAACCTGCCAGATGGACGCTTTCATGCGGCGCAAGTGCCAGCAGTGCCGGCTGCGCAAGTGCAAGGAGGCAGGGATGAGGGAGCAGTGTGAGTGCAGCGGGAGGGGGCGGTGCCGGCCTGGCCCCCCGCCTAGCCCTGGGGTTCTGCTGAGGCCTGCATCCCCCTACAGGCGTCCTTTCTGAAGAACAGATCCGGAAGAAGAAGATTCGGAAACAGCAGCAGGAGTCACAGTCACAGTCGCAGTCACCTGTGGGGCCGCAGGGCAGCAGCAGCTCAGCCTCTGGGCCTGGGGCTTCCCCTGGTGGATCTGAGGCAGGCAGCCAGGGCTCCGGGGAAGGCGAGGGTGTCCAGCTAACAGCGGCTCAAGAACTAATGATCCAGCAGTTGGTGGCGGCCCAACTGCAGTGCAACAAACGCTCCTTCTCCGACCAGCCCAAAGTCACGGTACTGCCCCCTCCACAACCTTGAGTGTGACGGTCCCAATGGGGTAGAGCCAGCTGGGCCATCACCCAGGGTGTGGGAGAATGAGGCTCCAGAGGGCAGGGGCTTTGGGAAGAGGATCCCCCAGGGTGCAGGCTTGGCCTCAAGGTGGCCACCCAGACTTAGGCTCACAAAGACCTGGGAGTGACCCTGGTCTCCTGTGTCCCAGCCCTGGCCCCTGGGCGCAGACCCCCAGTCCCGAGATGCCCGCCAGCAACGCTTTGCCCACTTCACGGAGCTGGCCATCATCTCAGTCCAGGAGATCGTGGACTTCGCTAAGCAAGTGCCTGGTTTCCTGCAGCTGGGCCGGGAGGACCAGATCGCCCTCCTGAAGGCATCCACTATCGAGGTAATGGTCCATCTGCCCACAAGGAACCCCAGAGATAGCTCCAGGACAGATGCTGGGAGCAGAGTTAAGGAAGACCAGTGCTTGCCGTTGTAGGATGACATTCCACGGCGAATAGAGTCTTCTATGAGCCAAGGAGAGAAAGGAAAAAGGGTCTGAGGCTGAGAAAATTGAGGATCAGGCTAGAGGCGCTATTGCAGAGAAAAGTTGCCAAAAAGGCTTTTCAGAGGAGTTAGCATTTGAATCAAAGTAGGGATAACATATAAGTATTGAGCACGTGCTGTATGCCAGGCTCTATTCCAAGTGTTGGCATATGGGGCAAAGAACAAAGCAGATCAAACCCCGTGCCCCAAACCTTGTGCTCACCTGGGGAAAGAGTATCCTAAGGAGATGGGGATGCAGCATGTGCGGAAGCCTGAAGTGGAGAAAGAGCTCGGGCTGTCTCACGTGATGGCTGCACGCTGGTGTGGCTGAGAGAACAGGGGGGAAGGGGACAAGGGATAATCCTGGTGAGATTAGACCCCCATTTGGGCCAGGAGGGGAGGGACTAGCAGCTGAAGGGTCACAGGGCTCAAGCTCCCCCTCCCGCTGCCGCCCTTAGATCATGCTGCTAGAGACAGCCAGGCGCTACAACCACGAGACAGAGTGTATCACCTTCTTGAAGGACTTCACCTACAGCAAGGACGACTTCCACCGTGCAGGTAGGGCCCAGGGGAGGCTTCGGGGAGGCTTGGCGCCCCTGCTGGCTGGAAGACCTGGGGCCAACTCATCCCTGTTGGAGTCTCTGTTTCTTTATCTCCAAAGTTGGGGTGAGGGTTGAGCCAAGGTGAGAGTGAGGTAAGAGTGCATGTGCCACGTGTGGTGGTGCACGCCAATAGTCCCAGCCACTCGAGGCTGAGGAGGGCAGATTGCTTGAGGCTATAGTGAGCCGTGATTGTGCGACGGCATTCCAGCCTGGTGACAGAGAAGACCGTGTCTCTATTTTTTAAAAAAAGCATGTATTGAGTGCCGACTCTGTACATTGGGTTGCAGTGGAAGTTGAGATGGGAGGAGCCCTGTTACCACATCAGGCATCTTGGTGGGCATTAGGAAAAGCATTCCCCGCCCCCGCCAAAACGTGGTCTCACCCAAGGGAGGCGGGCTGGAGCTCGGTCCATTGTGAAGCGGGCAGCCTTCTTTACTGTCTAGGGGAGCACTGCTTCCTGCCCTCTGAGAGCGCTAACCTGCGTGGGTGGGCTTCTGGAAGAAGGCCTGGGCAGTGAGAGGCACTGCCTAGGAAAAGGGTGGGAGGAGCATTGCTAGTGCTGCAGAGCATGCACCAGGGCCTCGCTCCCTCATTGTCCCACAATCTCTGGGGGACCTCTCTGTATTTCCCGACATCTGTCCAAACCCCACCCTCTCCCCTTCCTCTTACTCCGGCCCTTTCACCACCCGAGACGGTCCCAGTAACCCTTTTAGTATGAGCTTAGCAGGGCAGGGCTGCAGGGAAGCGTTTCTGGCAGAGGAGATTGGCGATTGCAGAGGCCCTGAGGTTGGGGAGAGCTGGTGGTTTGGAGGAACTACAGGGAGGCCCAGGCAGCTGGAGCACAAGGAGATGGGGTGGAGAGGAGGTCGGGAATCCCACCCTACCCCTTCCCAGCCGCTCCTCTGCCACCACCCTGGAACACTGCCAGGGTCCCCTTGAGGGGCCGCCTGCCTCCACCCCTGCCTGATGGGGCTGCTCACAGCACAGGCAGAAGGGTCCTGTCAGCACTTAAGGCTGCCCACTTCCCTCCTCCGCTCAGAACCCTCCGCGGCTCCCGTCTCACTGGGAGAAGAGCTAGAGTCCTCTCTGTGGCCCACAAAGCCCTTTAGGACCTGGCCTCGCTCACTCTCTGCCCTCAGCTCTCACCCTCTCCCCCTGTTCCAGCCACTCTGGCCTCTTACTGGCACCCATCCAGCATGCTGCAGCCAAGGGCCTGTGTACTTGGAGTTTCCTCTGCCCAGAACTAGGGGGACCAACTGGTCCTAGTTTGCCCAGGACCTTCCCAGTTTTAACACTGAAAGTCTCATGGCCTGGGTAGCCCCCGTCCCAAGTCATGGGAACAGCAGACGTTGGTCACCCTCACAATCCCTCATCTCCTTCGGATTGGTCACTGCTCCAGCGTCACCCAGAGCGCAGCCTTCCCTGCCCGCCTTGTGTAAAATAGAACCATGGCTCAGCAGGGCCCTTCACACTTCTCTGCACTGCCTGGTTCCATTGAACTCACAGCCCTCTGACAGGCTGGGCCTCTTCCTAATGTGTTTGTCTATGACCGGTCCCCTAGGCTCTCAAATGTAAGTGCTGGAGCCTGGCACGTGGCAGGTACTCAGTGACATTTGATGACTGAATGAACAAGTCAGTTTTGGGAATGAGTTTGGGCTTTACCTTGAGCAGTGGAAGCCAGCGCTGGGACCAGCACGATGTGACCTAGGTTTTAAAAGCTTCCCTTTGCCTTTGTGAAGGGGACAAGAATAGGGACTCGGGAAGCTGCAGCCACCGCCCAGGTGGGAAGGGAGGGTGGTGATAGGATAGTAGAAAATACTGAAGAAACATGCACCCTCATTCATTCCTTCACTGGGCAGCATGTGTGGCACACCTACTACATGCCAGCACTCATGGGCACGGGGCACAGGTGGACAGAAATGACAAGAACGCTGTAATTACTGCTGTGTTCCCAGCCCCAGAGACTGTGGGCAGCGCCAGGGTCCAGGATGTGGGGCACGGTTTCGGGCTGAGGGAGTCACGGGCTGCCTCCCGCCCCGCAGGCCTGCAGGTGGAGTTCATCAACCCCATCTTCGAGTTCTCGCGGGCCATGCGGCGGCTGGGCCTGGACGACGCTGAGTACGCCCTGCTCATCGCCATCAACATCTTCTCGGCCGACCGGCCCAACGTGCAGGAGCCGGGCCGCGTGGAGGCGTTGCAGCAGCCCTACGTGGAGGCGCTGCTGTCCTACACGCGCATCAAGAGGCCGCAGGTAGGGCCCCGCAGAGCCTCTGCGCAGAGCCAACTACGTCCCGCGGCCCACGTGGTCCGTTCAGGCTGGGTTCTGCCAGCCACACTGCCCTCCCCTCCGCAGAGTCTTTCCTCAGGCCCCACCCTGCTCGACTGGGAGCCAGGTCTAGTCCAAGCACAGAGGCGGGCCCCACGCTGGCTCCCACGCCTGGTCGGGGAGGGGCCCTCCTTTCTGTTGGGGTGGGCCTCCCAAAGCCTGGCAGGGCAGGGGCTCAGCCAGCGCCCACCTGCCTCCTCCCTCAGGACCAGCTGCGCTTCCCGCGCATGCTCATGAAGCTGGTGAGCCTGCGCACGCTGAGCTCTGTGCACTCGGAGCAGGTCTTCGCCTTGCGGCTCCAGGACAAGAAGCTGCCGCCTCTGCTGTCGGAGATCTGGGACGTCCACGAGTGAGGGGCTGGCCACCCAGCCCCACAGCCTTGCCTGACCACCCTCCAGCAGATAGACGCCGGCACCCCTTCCTCTTCCTAGGGTGGAAGGGGCCCTGGGCCGAGCCTGTAGACCTATCGGCTCTCATCCCTTGGGATAAGCCCCAGTCCAGGTCCAGGAGGCTCCCTCCCTGCCCAGCGAGTCTTCCAGAAGGGGTGAAAGGGTTGCAGGTCCCGACCACTGACCCTTCCCGGCTGCCCTCCCTCCCCAGCTTACACCTCAAGCCCAGCACGCAGTGCACCTTGAACAGAGGGAGGGGAGGACCCATGGCTCTCCCCCCTAGCCCGGGAGACCAGGGCCTTCCTCTTCCTCTGCTTTTATTTAATAAAAACTAAAAACAGAAACAGGAAAATAAAATATGAATACAATCCAGCCCGGAGCTGGAGTGCAAGATGGAGAGGGCGCGGGCTTCTAGGGACCTCAGTGACACTGGGTGCCCGAACCTGATTGAGCAGGTGGGACTGGGTGTCCCCAGGCTGTTGGGAAAAGGGTGGCACATAGGGTCCCAGTGTTGGGTGGTGTGTCGCCTGCTGTGAAAGTTCAGGACAGAGGCCTCAGCCTCAGGGTCACCTCCCTGGACAAGGTGAATCAGAACTCACCCTTGAAGGATAAACAGGATTTAAGTGAATGAGGGGACCTGGACTTCTGTCCGAACAACAAGTGTTTGCTGAGGCCTCCTGTGGGCCAGGCACTGGGTTGGCCATTCTAGAGATGGAGACATTCACCCAATAAATGTTTCCAGAGCATTAACTACAGTTAGGCACAATTCTAGGCACTGGAAACATCTGTGAACAAGATAACCATCCTCCTACCAAGACTCGGGGGATAGGGACTTTAATGAGCGTGGCACTGTGGTGGGGCTAGAGGAAATCAGGGAAGGTATCACAACAGAGGCAATCGCTGGGACCTAAAACAAGAGCCTGGGGGCTGGGCCTCCAAGTTGAGGGAACAGCACGTGCAAAGTTTGAAAGGAGAGACGCCAGGAGTTCGGAGCGAAGCGACGAAGTTCCTCCAATCCTTCCTGCCCCTGTGCCAGCCCTGAAGGAGCTGAATGAGCAATTCCAATCGAGGGCGAAAGGGGGGTTGGATGGAGGGATGCAACTTAAAGGTGTATTTATTTGGGGCGGGGAACAGCGGAAGTGAGAGTAGTTACCAATGATCACCTTATCCTAAGAGTAGTGTACCGGGCGCCCCACAAGTGTCCCTATCATGCGTTGTTGAGTCTAATTTACGTATAGGGAAACTGAAGCTAGGATGAAGGAGAACAGATCAAGCCAGGACTCTACCGCTTATCGGCCAGCCTCTGCGGGGATCTTGGGCGTCAGGTCACCAGCTGGCTGCTGGGCAGCGACGGGGCAGCGCTCCCTACACGGCCCCGGGCGAGAGGCGGGCGGGGGGACGCGGAGGATGCGCGCGCAACACCCGAGGGTGGGAGGAGAGAGAACAGAACCGCGGCGCGCCCAGACCGCACGAGGTCGTGAAGGTAGCCGCGCGGAGGGGCGTGGCTTCGGGCAGACAGGTCATGGGGAGGCGGAGTTAAGGGAATTTTTCAGCAAGGGGGCGAGGCCACTTCGGAAGCTGAGAGAGGGGGCGGGGCCTGCCCTGCAGTCGAACAAGCGGGGCGTGGCCTTGCCCGCACTTGGGCAGGCGGGGGCGTGGCCCGTCTCTGAGCGCCGCGGCTCTGGGCTTGCGCGCGCGGGAGTCAGGGGTCACGGCGGCGTAGGCTGTGGCGGGAAACGCTGTTTGAAGCGGGTGAGTAGAGGGGAAAAAGGGAGTTCGGGGCAGTGGGCCTGGTAGGGAACGGGGCTTGAGCAGCCAGGCACATAGATCTGAGAGACGGTTGCGAGGGCACCCTTTGGCCCGGGGGCGCGCAGGAGAGGGCAGGGGCCAGGGGTTTCCTGGGCGAGGGCGCGGGGACGAGCAGGAAAAGGCCGGGGTGGGGGTGGAATTCCTCGGCGGGCAGGGGGCGCATGCGCCGGGCACCGTGGGGCGGGACGTGGCCCGGGAGGAGCTGGGGGGACTGGGTGGTGCACGTGCGGGCTTGGTGTCATCCTGGATTCGCTGGGTGTTTGAGTACTCTGTGCCAGGCACTTTTCTGGAAGCAGGAACAAGTCAGAGAAGTCCCTGTCTCGGGAAGACAGACGGTAGACAAGTGATGAGTTTTAATAGATCAGTAAAGCAGTGCTCTGGGGCTGTGAGATGCTCTCAGAAGGAAACTAACGCAGGGTAACGTGATAATGAGCGAAGAGCCTGTTGCTTTAGCTGGAGTGGTCCAGAATCGACCGCTCTGGGACCCTCAAGTGCAAAGCCCTGAGGTGGAAGGAGCTTGGCGTATTTGTAGCAGGAGCCGAGGGGACGAGAGAAACACAGATGAGGTCGGAGTCATGATGGGGAACTAGATCCTATAGGGCCTTGTAAAACTTGGTATGGAATTTCTCCTTTATTCTAGGTTCAGCGGGGAGCCGTGGGAGGGTTTGAGCGTGGAAACAACACGATTCGCCCCATGTTTTGAAAAACTCACCACTGAGTGGAAATTGGATTGTAGCAGGAATAAGAATGGAAGGAGGGAGATCTGTTAGGAGGGAGAGCGTCCTGCAGGCAGAGAATCAGGCTCCGGTTACCTTTGCGGGCGGAGACAGGGGGACTGGCTGATGGACTGGGCGTAGGAGCAAGGGGAAGAGTCCAGGATGACTCCTGGGTTTGTGGTTTGAGCAGCAGGCTGGATGGGGAAGGCTAAGGGAGAAGCAGGTTGGGGTTGCCGCTCTGAAGGCAAAGATTAGTGGGGGAGTGAGTGGGCAGGGTTTAGAGCGGAGCCAGGAGTGGGCAGGGCGATGTCAGTGCCTCGCCTCAGCCCTTCCACTGAAGGAACTTGTTGCCACTGTCTTCTCTTTTTTTTTTTTTTTTTTTTGAGACAGAGTCTTGCTCTGTCACCCAGGCTGGAATGCAGTGGTGCAAACTCAGCTCATTGCAACCTCCGCCTCCCGAGTTCAGGCGAGTCTCGTGCCTCAGCCTCCTGAGTAGCTGGGATTACGGCACCCACTGCCATGCCCAGCTCATTTTTTGTATTTTTAGTAGAGATGGGGTTTCGCCGTGTTGGCCAGGCTGGTCTCGAACTCCTGACCTCAGGTGATCCACTTGCCTCGGCCTCCCAAAGTGCTGGGATTACAGGCGTGAGCCACCACGCACGGCCGCTTCTCCTCCTTCCTGCACTTCCCCCCCACAGGTCTCTCTTCCCCCTAGAGAGGTTCCTTCCCTCCCCCTGAAATGCTCTTCCCTCTCTTATGTGTTTCTGACAGCTGCTGTTTGGACAGGCCCTCTGCTGAGCACTGGGGAGCCAATGATCATTCAGTTTGGTTGGGGAAGGACAGGAGATTTCAGTCCAGAGTGCGCTGAGCTATGGCGGAGCAGTGATAGTCTTTGGGAGCCAAGAGAAGAACCTGTGCGCTCAGGGAAGACTCACCAGAGTGGTTGATATTCACAGGGAGTTTCAACTCACATGTCTTTTTTTTTTTGGTTTTTGAGACAGGGTCTTGCTCTGTCGCCCAGGCTGGAGTGCAGTGGCGCGATCTCGGCTCACTAACCTCCACCTCCCGGGTTCAAGCGATTCTCATGCCTCAGGCTTCCGAGTAGCTGGGATTACAGGTGTGTGCCACCACGCCCAGCTAATTTTTGTATTTTTAGTAGAGACAGGGTTTTGTCATGTTGCCCAGACTGGTCTCGAATCCCTGACCTCAAGTAATCCTCCCACCTCGGCCTCCCAAAGTGCTGGGATTACAGGTGTGAGCCACCACACCCGGCCTAAACTCATGTCTTGAAGTAACCGGACACTGTGCAGAGTGATGCTGGAGACCCCAACTTGGGCAAGATGCTGACTCCTTTTCTCAAGGAGCTCACAGGCTGAAAGGATCCCAGCTCTGCATTGTGCAATAACGAAAGTGGCACAAGGCGTTGTGGGAACCCTGAAGGGCAGCTGGTCAGCTTGGAGGAGCTAAGCCTGAGCTGAGTCTCTGGATGCAGTGGAGTTTCATGCAGCGAACACTGCCTAAGGCCTCCTGGGGGCCCACCCTGTGCTGGGTGATGCTAAGGTCCCAGAGGAGAGTCAGTCCTTGCTCTGCCATCCAGAGGTCCCTGGCTGGTAAGGGAGGAAGACACACACCCAGGCAGTCCAGAGACAGCAGTCACAGAGGCCTAGGGGAAGGACAAGGCCGAAAGCATGCAGGTGAGCCTGGGCAACATAGCAAGACCCTGTCTCTACAAAAAATACAAAAGCTAGGCCGGGCGCGGTGGCTAAGGCCTGTAATCCCAGCACTTTGGGAGGCCGAGGCGGGCAGATCATGAGGTCAGGAGACCAAGACCATCCTGGCTAACACGGTGAAACCCCGTCTCTACTAAAAATACAAAAAATTAGCCGGGCGTGGTGGTGGGCGCCTGTAATCCCAGCACTTTGGGAGGCCGAGGTGGACGGATCACTTGAGGTGAGGAGTTTGAGACCAGTCTGGCAGACATGGTGAAACTCTACTAAAAATACACAACTAGCTGGACATGGTGGGCGCCTGTAATCCCAGCTACCTGCGAGGCTGAGGCAGGAGAATCACTTGAGTCCAGGAGGCGGAGGTTGCAGTGAGCAAGATCCTTTCCCAAAAAAATATATAAATAAAAATAAAGCTGTGAGATTGGGCAAGATTGGATGAGGTCATTGAGGAAATGAGTGTCTCACTCATCGAGAAAACTGGTGTCTGGCCTGCAGCGAGCACGTGGTGTCATTTTGTTGCTGAATCTCTGTTAAGTGCTTGCTACCGAAGGGTCGTGAGAGGGGCAGAGGACAGTGTTTGCCAAGCTCTCATCCTGTGCCAGGGCCAATGAGAGGGGACACACAGGGGCCTTTCCTTCCTAATGCTGCTGTGCCTCCACTAACAAGAGCCCAGGTTTTGCCCCTGGTGACACCGTCCCTCCCACCGCACCCCCGCAGCCACAGCCAACTGACCAAGGGCAGCCAGTCAGCTCCTTCCTTCCTCCTCCAGCTTCAGCACTGACTCTGGGCTCCCACAAGCCCCTGCGCTTCCTCTGTCCCACCCGGGTCTCTCCTCGCAGATCATCACTCCCTGTCCCTCTCTGGCTACTTGCACAACCCGAAGCCAGAGCCGCTAACGACGCTTGCTTCTTCCTGTAAGTCACACATGTACGCGGTTGTCACCCAAAGAGCACAAACGCAGTCAAAGTCTTCCTCACACAAAACCCCCTGCACACGCTCACGGCTGCACCACTCACAAAAGGTGGAAGCAACCCTAATGTCCATCCACTGATGAAGGGATACGTCAGACGTGTTCTAGCCATACAGCGGAAAAGTACTCAGCAAAAAAGGGACACAGCACTGACGAAAGGCCGCCACACACATGAGCGATGAACACATTCAGAGAAAGCAGCCAGACACAAGAGGCTGCATATTCCAAGATCCCATTTATAGGAAATGCCCAGAATAGGCAGATCCATGGAGACAGAAAGTTAGATGAGTGGCTGCCAGGGGTGGGGGCAGATGGGCTGAATGCAGGGAGAGAGCTAAAGGATTTAGGCTTTTTGGGGTGATGAGAGAGTTCTAAAATTGACTGTGGTGATGGTTGCCTAACTCTGAACATACTAAATACCATTGAACTATATATACTTTAAATGGGTGAATTGTATAGTATGTGAATTATAGCTCAATAAAGCAGTTAGCAAATGAAGTCTTCTACCCTGTCCCCCAGGAAACCAGTTTCTTAGCTCTCCTTATAGAATGATGCATTAAAAGCAAATAGATTTATACATATGCCCTGCATTACAATAAAAAAGACGTCTACATACTCCCTGCATTACAATAAAAAAGACGTCTACATACTCCCTGCATTAAAAGCAAAAAGATTTCTACATACTCTTCTGCCCACCTTGTAAATTTGTTACTATTTTCATTTTATATATTTCCCCCTTAATATTTTGAAAAGTTTCAAACCTGCAGAGAAGGTACAAATTGAGTACAGTGAACAGCCATGGCCCTTTGCCTAGATTCACTGGCTGTTGGCATGACACCTCATTTGCTTTATGCTTTATCCAAGCACATGCATATACCTGTACCTTTTGTCCTTTTTTTGGCTGAACTATTTGAAAGTTGTGGTCATCATGATACTTCACCTCTGAAAACTCCAGCAGTTAACTCTTTTTTTTTTTTTTTTTTTTTTTTTGAGACGGAGTCTTGCTCTGTCACCCAGGCTGGAGTACAGTGGTGCGACCTTGGCTCACTGCAACCTCTGCCTCCCAGGTTCAAGCGATTCTCCTATTGCAGCTTCCTGAGTAGCTGGGACTATAGGCGCGCACCACCACATCTGGCTAATTTTTGTATTTTTAGTAAAGATGGGGTTTCACCATCTTTGCCAGGCTGCTCTTGAACTCCTGACCTTATGATCTACGTGCCTCTGCCTCCCAGAGTGCTGGGATTACAGGCATGAGCCACCGCACCTGGCCTCTTTTTTTTTTTTTGGTACAGTATTTTACTCTGTCATGCAGGTTGTAGTGCAGTGGGGTGGTCACAGCTCACTGCAGCCTCGACCTCCCCAGGCTCAGCTGATCCTCAGCCTCTCGAGTAGCTGGGACTAAAGGTGTGTGCCACCACACCCTGCTAATTTTTATATTGTTTATAGAGACAGGGTGTCACCATGTTGCCTAGGCTGATCTCAAACTCCTGGGTTCAAGCAATCCCCCTGCCTCGGCCTCCAAATGTCCTGGGATTACAGCCGTGAGCCACCGTACCTGGCCTCCAGCAGTCAGCTCTTAAGAACAGGGATGTCCGCCTGCAGAACTACAGTGTCATTGTCATCATCATGCAGTTTAACATGAGACAGTGACGTTATTGAATAGACGATTCTTATTTAGATCTGCCACGTGTCCCTGTAATATTCTTCAAGGCTATAAATAATTTCTTATTTTTTTTTTTTTTCCAAGACTGAGTCTTGCTCTATCGCCCAGGCTGGAGTGCAGTGGCACTATCTCGGCTCACTGCAACCTCTGCCTCCTGGGTTCAAGCCATTCTCTTGCCTCAGCCTCCCGAATAGCTGGAATTACAGGCATGCACCACCACGCCCGGCTAATTTTTTTGTATTTTTTGTAGAGACGGGGTTTCATTTTGGCCAGGCTGGTCTCGAACCCCTGACCTCAGGTGATCCGCCCGCCTTGGGCTCCCAAAGTGCTAGGATTACAGGCGTGAGCCACCATGTCCAGCCTGTTTTTTTTTTTGTTTTTTGTTTTGTTTTTTTTTTCTTTTTTGAAACAGAGCCTCATTGTCACCCAGGCTGGAGTGCAGTGGTGCGATCTTGGCTCACTGCAACCTCCACCTCCCAGGTTCAATCAATTCTCCTGCCTCAGCCTCCCGAGTAGCTAGGATTACAGGCGCCTGGCACCACGCCCAGCTAATTTTTATATTTTTAGTAGAGACAGGGTTTCACCATGTTGGCCAGGCTGGTCTCAAACTCTTGACCTCAGGTAATCCACCCACCTCAGCCTCTCATAGTGTTGGGATTACAGGTGTGAGCCACTGCGCCTGGCCAATAATTTCTTTTTTTCTTTTCTTTTCTTTTTTTTTTTTCAAGTTACATGAAGTAAATTTATTATTTACAGCTAGGCAACAAGGGAAAACCGAAGCATAGGATTCATTGTGAGCCAATCTCCCGAGACTCAGGAAGGTTGCCCCGGGAGGATGGAGTCTCATTTGTGTGTACCCCATTTGTACCTGGAAAGCAGACCATCTTGGGTTTTATATTCTGGAGGCAACATGACATGTTGGGCTAAAATGATGAAGGACATCCTGTTTCTAGGAGGGACTGGAACAGAGCCTGGGCTGTTTCAGCCAGTCCCTCCTTATCTCAGGATATTGCATTCCTAGCACATTCTACAGTTATTCTTGAGAACTATTTTTTTTTTTTTTTTAGTATTTATTGATCATTCTTGGGTGTTTCTTGGAGAGGGGGATTTGGCAGGGTCATAGGACAATAGTGGAGGGAAGGTCAGCAGATAAACAAGTGAACAAAAGTCTCTGGTTTTCCTAGGCAGAGGGCCCTGCGGCCTTCCGCAGTGTTTGTGTCCCTGGGTACTTGAGATTAGGGAGTGGTGATGACTCTTAAGGAGCATGCTGCCTTCAAGCATCTGTTTAACAAAGCACATCTTGCACCGCCCTTAATCCATTTAACCCTGAGTGGACACAGCACATGTTTCAGAGAGCACGGGGTTGGGGGTAAGGCCGTAGATTAACAGCATCCCAAGGCAGAATTTTTCTTAGTACAGAACAAAATGGAGTCTCCTATGTCTACTTCTTTCTACACAGACACAGCAACAATCTGATCTCTCTTTCCTTTCCCATTTCCCCCTTTTCTATTCGACAAAACCGCCATCGTCATCATGGCCCGTTCTCAATGAGCTGCTGGGTACACCTCCCAGACGGGGTGGCGGCCAGGCAGAGGCGCTCCTCACATCCCAGACGGGGCGTCGGGGCAGAGGCGCTCCCCACATCTCAGACGATGAGCAGCCGGGCAGAGACGCTCCTCACTTCCTAGACGGGATGGCGGCTGGGAAGAGGCGCTCCTCACTTCCCAGACTGGGCGGCCAGGCAGAGATGCTCCTCACTTCCCAGACGGGGTGGCGGCCGGGCAGAGGCTGCAATCTCGGCACTTTGGGAGGCCAAGGCAGGCGGCTGGGAGGTGGAGGTTGTAGCGAGCCGAGATCACGCCACTGCACTCCAGCCTGGGCACCATTGAGCACTGAGTGAGCGAGACTCCGTCTGCAATCCCGGCACCTCGGGAGGCCCAGGCGGGCAGATCACTCGCGGTCAGGAGCTGGAGACCAGCCCGGCCAACACGGCGAAACCCCGTCTCCACCAAAAAATACAAAAACCAGTCAGGCATGGCGGTGCGTGCCTGCAATCCCAGGCACTCAGCAGGCTGAGGCAGGAGAATCAGGCAGGGAGGTTGCCGTGAGCCGAGATGGCGGCAGCACAGTCCAGCCTCAGCTCGGCATCAGAGGGAGACTGAGAGGGGGGAGGGGGAGGGGGAGGGAGAGGGAGAGGTCTTTTTTTTTCCCACTCCCCCGCTCTTGTTGCCCGGGCTGGAGTGCAATGGCGCAATCTTGGCTCACTGCAACCTCCGCCTCCCAGGTTCAAGCGATTCTCCTGCCTCAGCCTCCCAAGTAGCTGGGATTATAGGCGCCCGCCACCATGACAAGCTAATTTTTGTATTTTTTTTAGTATAGACGGGGTTTTCACCACGTTGGCCAGGCTGGTCTTAATCTCCTGACCTCAGGTGATCGGCCTGCCTCAGCCTCCCAAAGTGCTAGGATTACAGGCGTGAGCCACTGCACCTGGCCCATCATTTTACTTTTTTAATCCAAGTTCTAACCTAGGATAACACACATTGTCATGGCAACTTTTTCATTTTTTAAGACATGTCTTGCTCTCTTGCCCAGACTGTATTGCAGTGGTGCAGTCATGGCTCACTGCAGCCTTCACCTCCCAGGTTCAAGTGATCCTCCCACCTCAGTCTCCCAAGTAGCTGGGACTGTAGGTATGCACCACCATGCTTAAGTAATTTTTAATTTTTTGTAGAGATTGACTAATTTTTAATTTTTTGTAGAAATGGAGTCTCACCATGTTGCCTAGGCTAGTTTCTAACTCCTGGCCTCAAGTGATCATCCCACCTCAGCCTCCCAAAGTGTTGGGATTACAGACGTGAGCCTCCTAGCCCAGGCAACTTACTTTTTCATGACATCGACAGTTTTAAAGATTACAGACCAGTGTTGTCACCCCTCACCTTGGATTCGTTTGTTTCTTTTTCTTGTTTTGTTTTGAGACAGAGTCTTGCTCTGTCACCCAGGCTGGAGTGCAGTGGCGTGATCGCAGCTCACTGCAACCTCTGCCTCCCAGGTTCAAGTGATTCTCCTGCCTCAGCCTCCCAAGTAGCTGGTATTACAGGCACCCACCACCACGCCTGGCTAATTTTTGTATTTTAGTAGAGATGGGGTTTCACCATGTTGGTCAGGCTGGTCTGGAACTCTTGACCTCAAGTGATCCACCCTCCTTGGCCTCCCAAAATGCTGGGATTACAGGCGTGAGCCACTGCACCCAGGCTGTTTGTTTCTTAATGACTAGAATCAGGGTAAACGTTTTCTTAGACATTGTTTTTCAACACAAAAGATAAAATTGTGAGTGCACCACTGTGCATCTTGCTTTATCTACTGAACAATGCCTCTTTGAGAACCTTCCCTATCAGTACACAAAGAGCTTCCTCATTCCTTTACACAGTTGCATAGTATTCCATTGAACGGACTTAACATATTTAAATAGCCCCCTGGGGGAGGACAGTTAGGTGGTTTCCAGTCCTTGGGGATTTCAAACGATGCTTCCGGAAATAACCTTATAAATGCAGTTTTTCTTATGTGATAATATATCTACAGTGTACGTCCCTAGATGTGGAATTGAGCCTCCAAACTTTTATGTTTATAATTGAGGTGGCATTTACATGGCGTGCCATGCCCAGGTCTCCAGTGTACAGTCAGCTGTATAGTGTGTTTTATCACCCCAGAAACCCCCTCATACCCTTCCCAGTCTCTCCTACCCTAGGAGCAGCCACTAGTCTGATTTCTAGCGCTGTAGATCACTTTAGTGTATTCTACAACTTTGTCTAAATGGTATTGTACAATTTTTATGGAGGTAAAATTAGCCATTTTAAAGCAAACAATGGCTGGGCGTGGTGGTTCATACCTGTAATCCCAGCACTTTGGGGAGGCCAAGGCAGGCAGATCACTTGAGCCCAGGGGTTTCAGACCAGCCTCAGCAACATGGCAAAACCCGTCTTTACCAAAAAACAATTGGCTAGGCATGGTGGCACGCATCTGTCTTCATAACTACTCAGGAGGCCAAGGTGGGAGGATCACCTGAGCCCGGGAGGTCAAGGCTGCAGTGAGCTGAGATCATGCCACTGCACTCTAGCCTGGGCAACAGAGTGAGATCCTGTCTCAATAAAGAGAGAAAGTAATAATAAAGCAAAGAATTCAGTTGGTACGTTCACAGTGTTGTACAACCATTACCTCTGTCTAGTTTCAAAACATTTCATCACCCCTACAGAAAACCCCATACTCCGTAAGCAGTCACTCCTCATTCCCCCAGTGTGCACTTTGCCTTCTGCACAGCCTGCTTTCAAGATTCATCCGTGTTGCATGTCTGTCAGGAGCTGGCCCCTCTCTAATGCTGAGTGTCTGTTATGAACCTCCCTGAACATTTCTAACATATACTCCATCAGTTCAGAATTTTTCCATGCTTATTTCAGGTCTAAGCTGTTGTACCAAGGAGCCCCCAAAACACAGTGGCCCAAGAAAGATACAAATTGATTTCTCCACATAACGCTTTGGAAGATAGGCAAGTGTGCAGGGTTGGCAGACAGCTTTGCTCTGGAAGGTTGTTGGGGAGCCCAGTGTTGTCCCTGTCCTTGTGGTTGGCTCTCCCACTACATCCATGTTCCAGCCACTGTGACGGGGAAGAGGGTGGGAGGATGTCCCAGTAGCTGCACACCTCATGATCACTCTCATTCCTGGAGGGAGAACTTAGTCACGTGGCCCTCCTGGCAGCGCACACTGGGAAATGTAGCCTTTGGCTGGGCAGCCTGTGGCCACTCCGGACACGCAGGGTTGGAGGGGTGTGTTCTATTGCAAAAAAGCAAAGCAAAGCCGGGCGCGGTGGCTCACACCCATAATCCCAGCACTTTGGGAGGCCGAGGCGGGCGGATCATCTGAGGTCAGGAGTTCCACACCAGCCTGGCCAACATGGTGAAACCCCATCTCTACTAAAAATACAAAAAAAAATTAGCGGGTATGATGGTGGACGCCTGTAATCCCAGCTACTCGGGAGGCTGAGGCAGGAGAATCGCTTGAAGCCAGGAGGCGAAGGTTGCAGTGAGCCGAGATCAGCCACTGCATTCCAGCCTGTGTGACCGAGTGAGACTCCGTCTAAAAAAAAAATAAGTAAAATAAAAAGGCAAAATGAGGACTGGATATGGGGCAACCGTTATGAGATCCAGGGATAGACAGCTGACCTGCTCACCTGCCTCTTCCCAGCCGCATCTAGGATCTGCCCTAGGTTCCAGTAATCCCCTCTGTCTCAGCCTGGACCCTGGGGGACAAGTACTTTGTTTTTGTTTGTTTGTTTTTTGAGACAGAATTTCACCCTTGTTGCCCAGGCTGGAGTGCAATGGCGCAGTCTTGGCTCACTGCAACCTCTACCTCCCAGGTTCAAGGGATTCTCCTGCCTCAGCCTCCCAAGTAGCTGGGGTTCCAGGTGTGCGCCACCATGCCCAGCTAATTTTTTTTTTTTTTTTTTTTAGTAGAGACAGGGTTTCACCATGTTGATAAGGCTGGTCTCAAACAACTGACCTCAAGTGATCCACCCGCCTCGGCCTCTCAAAGTGCTGGGATTATAGGTGCGAGCCACGGTGCCCAGCTGGGTACAGGTACTTTTTAAAAACTTCTTTCTCTGACAATTTCAAATTAACAGGAAGGTTGAAAGAATAAATAGTGTAGGCCGGGCGCGGTGGCTGGGTACAGGTACTTTTTAAAAACTTCTTTCTCTGACAATTTCAAATTAACAGGAAGGTTGAAAGAATAAATAGTGTAGGCCGGGCGCGGTGGCTCACACCTATAATCCCAGCACTTCGGGAGGCCGAGGCGGGCGGATCACGAGGTCAGGAGATTGAGACCACAGTGAAACCCCGTCTCTACTAAAAATACAAAAAAATTAGGCGGGCGCAGTGGCGGACGCCTGTAGTCCCAGCTACTCAGGAGGCTGAGGCGGGAGAATGGCGTGAACCCGGGAGGCGGAGCTTGCAGTGAGCCGAGATCGCGCCACCGCACTCCAGCCTGGGAGACAGAGCGAGACTCCGTCTCCAAAAAAAAAAAAAAATAGTGTAAAGAACACCTGCACGCCCTTTGCCCAGATCACCTGTTTCAACATTCTGTCCTATTTATGATTTGCATGGATGTTTCTTATCTCCCTTCTCTCTGTATACGTACACTCACTTTTTACAAAGAATTCCCAATACCTTGCAGACATTATGGCCGTTTACTCCTAAATACTTGAGTGTGTATCTCCTTAGAATATTCTTATTGAACCACAATAAAGTCACCCACTTAAGTTTAACCTGCATATAACCTTGTCTAATCAACCAGAGGATATATACTTTTTTTTTTTTTTTTTTTTTTTTTGAGACAGGGTATTGCCATCTTGTCCAGTCCAGTCTTAAACTCCTGGGCTCAAGCGATCCTCCCACCTTGGCCTCCCAAAGTGCTGAGATTACAGGCATAAGCCACTATGCCCAGTGAACTTTTTTGTTGTGGTTGTTTTTTTGTTTGTTTGTTTGGGTTTTAATTGTTGTTGTTGGTGGTGGTTTTTTTTTGTTTTTTTTTTTGAGACAGAATATTGCTGTGTTGCCCAGGCTAAAGTGCAGTGGCGCGATCTCGGCTCACTGCAACCTCCACCTCTCGGGTTCAAGTGATTCTCCTGCCTCGGCCTCCCGAGTAGCCATAATTACAGGTGTGTACCGCCACACCCAGCTAATTTTTTTGTATTTTTATTAAAGATAGGGTTTCACCATGTTGACCAGGCTGGTCTCGAACTCCTGACCTCAAGTGATCCACCCGCCTCAGCTTCCCAAAGTGCTGGGATTACAGCGTGGGCCACCGTGCCTAACTCTAGTCAACTTTTATATTGTATATCTTGTACATTGTATATCTTGTCAAGGATATTGTATATCTTGTCAAAATACACCCCCAAAATAATAATATATATATATATTTTTTGAGATGGAGTCTCGCTCTGTTGCCCAGGCTGGAGTGCAGTGGTGCAATCTCAGCTCACTGCATGCTCTGCCTCCTGGGTTCACACCATTCTCCTGCCTCAGCCTCATGAGTAGCTGGGACTACAGGCGCCCACCACCATGCCCGGCTAATTTTTTTGTATTTTTTTAGTAGAGACGGGGTTTCACCATGTTAGCCAGGATGGTCTCGATCTCCTGACCTCATGATTCACCTGCCTCCTAAAGTGCTGGGATTACAGGTGTGAGCCACTGCTCCCAGCCTCCAAAATAATCTTTTATAGGTTGTAATTAAGAAAACACAGGCCAGGCTTGGTGGCTTACGCCTGTAATCCCAGCACTTTGGGAGGCCGAGGCAGGTGGATCACCTGAGGTCAGGAGTTCAAGACCAGGATGGCCAACATGGCGAAACCCTGTCTCTACTAAAATACAAAAATTAGCCAGGCATGGTGGTGGGCACCTGTGATCCCAGCTACTCAGGAGGCTGAGGCAGGAGAATCTCTTGAATCTGGGAGGCGGAGGTTGCAGCCAAGATCGCACCACTGCACTCCAGCCTGGGTGACAGAGCGAGACTCCATCTCAAAAAAAAAAAAAAAAAGAAAACACAGGCCAGGCTTGGTGGCTCACGCCTGAAATCTCAGCACTTTGGGAGGCCAAGGCAGGTGGATCACTTGAGGTCAGGAGTTCAAGACCAGCCTGGCCAACATGGTGAAACCCCGTCTCTACTAAAAATACAAAAATTAGCTGGGCATGGTGGCGCGTGCTTGTAATCCCAGCTACTTGGGAGGCTGAGGCAGAAGAATTGCTTGAACTGGGTCCCGGGAAGCGGAAGTTGCAGTGAATCGAGATTGTGCCACTGTACTCCAGCCTGGGCAACAAGAGTGAGATTCTGTCTTTTTTTTTTTTTTTTTCTGAGACGGAGTCTTGCTCTGTGGCCCAGGATGGAGTACAATGGCACGATCTCGGCTCACTGCAACCTCCGCCTCCCAGGTTCAAGCAATTCTCCTGTCTCAGCCTCCTGAGTAGCTGGGATTACAGGCGCCTGCTACCTCACCTGGCTAATTTTTGTATTTTTAGTGGAGATGGGGTTTCACCATGTTGGTCAGGCTGGTCTCGAACTCCTGACCTCGTGATCCGCCCACCTTGGCCTCCCAAAGTGCTGGGATTACAGGCGTGAGCCATCACACCCGGCCCTGATTATGTCTTTAAAAGAAAGAAAAAGAAAACACAAATATATATAAGTAGCAGTCTGTATGTGTTTTGTGTTGTGTTTTGTTTGCTACTGTGGGTCCTGGACTCGGGGAGAAAGCAGGTTACTATAAACGGCATTTTGGAGACAGTTGGAGAAATTGGGAAAGGTGCCCTTTATTTTATATCAACCTTGAGTCAGTGTTAAATGTCCTAGATTGTATCGTACTGTGCTCGGTGAAAGGAATTCCTTATTGTTAGGCACTACGTGCTAACATGTGGAGGGGTATGGGATCTGCAAGGAACTCTCAAATTACTCAGGAAAAGAAGTAACAATATGATGTGCATACCGCACATGTGGGAGGGCAGAGAGAGGCGGTGAGAGAGCACACACACGACACGCTGACCACCGGGGAGCCTGGGGAAGGGCATACAGGAGTTCTAGGCATTTGAGATTATTTCAAAGTATTTAGGTTGGTGCAAAAGTAATTGCAGTTTTTGTCATTTCAATGGCAGATGGCCTGGGCAGATGGGTGGTTGGTAGGCGAGGTATCGGAGACAGAGGTTTATGGAAAATAAAGAGATGTGCCAAGGCCGGGCGCGGAGACTCAGGCCTGTAATCTCAGCACTTTGGGAGGCTGAGGCGAGTGGATCACCTGAGGTCAGGAGTTCGAGACCAGCCTGGCCAACATGGCAAAACCCCGTCTCTACTCAAAACACAAAAATTAGCTGGGTGTGGTGGTGGGCGCCTGTAATCCCAGCTACTCGGGAGGCTGAGGGGAGAATCGCTTGAACCTGGGAGGTAGAGCTTGCAGTGAGCCGAGATCATGCCATTGCACTCCAGCCTGGGTGACAAGAGCACAATTCCATCTCAAAAAAAAAAAAAAAAAAAAAAGCAAGAGATGTGCTAAGGACCTAGTGTGATGGGAGAGAGGGTCGGGGAGTCGACGGGGCTGCTGCTGCAGTAGCTAACAATTGAGCGTCTGGAATGTGCTCCCACCCCACTGCCTGCAGGGTGCAGAGAGCTATGTTAGTACAGCCAGTCCAGAGTAGGAAAAGGCTCGTGGTCATGGTGGGTGCATGGGATGCCATGGAGACAGGGTAAGAGGTGTCTCCGGTCAGAACCTCCACCAAGCTCCAACTTGCCCAGCAGGATGGATGGCAAGCGGCGGCCAGGCCCAGGGCCCGGGGTGCCCCCAAAGCGGGCCCGTGGGGGCCTCTGGGATGATGATGATGCACCTCGGCCATCCCAATTCGAGGAGGACCTGGCACTGATGGAGGAGATGGAGGCAGAACACAGGCTGCAGGAGCAGGAGGAGGAGGAGCTGCAGTCAGTCCTGGAGGGGGTTGCAGACGGTAAGGCTTGGAGTTGGAGGTTCCTGCTGCCCAACCCATTGCCCCTGGTCTTGCCTTTGGTCCAAGAGTCAGCTGCAAAGCTGACCTGTGACCCCACTCTGGCCAATTTTGAATCCTACAAAGGACTGCCCTTCCACCCCGTGCAGCCTGTGTGGCCTACAGTGATTCTGGCCCTGACCCTTGACCCTCATTCTCTTCCAAGTTTCCTGCCTGACCCAGACCACCACCTCTGCCTGGCTCCTTTCAGAACCACATGCCATCCTGGCCGGGGAAGACCATGACTCCATGTACTCCACTTCCTTCCCTTCCCCCACCAGGGCAGGTCCCACCATCAGCCATAGATCCTCGCTGGCTTCGGCCCACACCACCAGCGCTGGACCCCCAGACAGAGCCCCTCATCTTCCAACAGTTGGAGATTGACCATTATGTGGGTGAGTTTAGGGGTTATGGGTGAGTGCTGGGGCCCTGCGCTCCTGGGGCAGAGGCCGGGCCAGGTCAGCCCCTCTGGCCCTGTGCTCCTGGGGCAGAGGCCGGGCCAGGTCAGCCCCTCTGGCTCTGCCCCTCTGGTTGCCATAGAGCTGTAGTGACAGAACAGACCAGTGGGTGCCAGGGGTTGTGGAGTGCGAAGCGAAGGTGACACAGGGTCAGCTTGAGGGAGGTGCTTGGAGCGTTGATCTGTTTTGCATACGTAGTAGCTGCAGCCTGTGCAAGGACCTCTGTGCCTTAAAATTCATAACACCAGACACATAAACCAAAAGTCAATTTGACTTCTTTTTTTTGAGATGGAGTCTTGCCCTGTTGCCCAGGCTGGAGTGCAGTGGTGTGATCTCGGCTCACTGCAACCTCTGCCTCCCGGGTTCAAGTGATTCTCCTGCCTCAGCCTCCCAAGTAGCTGGGATTACAGGTGCACACCACCATGCCTGGCTAATTTTTGTATTTTTAGTAGAGATGGGCTTTTGCCAAGTTGGCTAGGCTGGTCTTGAACTCCTGACCTCAAGTGATCCACCCGCCTTGGCCTCCCAAAGTGCTTAGATTACAGGTGTGAGCCATTGTGCCAGCCCAATTTGACTTTTTAAAAGATTTTTTTTTTTTTTTTTTTTTTTTTTTTGAGACAAGATTTTCCTCTGTTGCCCAGGCTGGAGTGCACCTGGCCAATAATTTTTTTTTTTTTTTTTTTTTTTTTTAAGATGGAGTCTTGCTCCTGTCGCCCAGGCTGGAGTGCAGTGGCACACTCTTGGCTCACTATAACCTCCGCCTCCTGGGTTCAAGTGATCCTTCTTCCTCAGCCTCCCAAGTAGCTGGGATTACAGGCGCCCGCCATCACGCCCGGCTAATTTTTATATTTTTAGTAGAGACAGGGTTTCGCCATGTTGGCCAGGCTGGTTTCAAACTCCTAACCTCAGGTGATCTGCCGACCTTGGCCTCCCAAAGTGCTGGGATTACAGGAGTGAGTAACTGTGCCCCGCCTATTTTTTTTTTTTTTTTTTTTTTTTTTTTGAGACAGAGTCTCCCTCTGTCACCCAGGCTGGAGAGCAGTGGCACAATCATGGTTCACTGTAACCTCAACCTCCAGGGCTCAAGTGATCCTCCCACCTCAGCCTCGGAGTAGCTAGGACTACAGGTGTGCACCACAATGTCTGGCTAACTTTTTTTTTTTTTTTGAGACGGAGTCTTGCTCTGTCACCTAGGCTGGAGTGCAGTGGCGCGATCTCGGCTCACTGCAAGCTCTGCCTCCCAGGTTCACGCCATTCTCCTGCCTCAGCCTCCCGAGTTGCTGGGACTACAGGCACCCGCCCCAACTCCTGGCTAATTTTTTGTATTTTTAGTAGAGATGGGGTTTCACCGTTTTAGCCAGGATGGTCTTGATCTCCTGACCTCGTGATCCGCCCGCCTCAGCCTCCCAAAGTGCTGAGATTACAGGCTTGAGCCACCGCGCCCGGCCTGGCTAACTTTTAAAAATATACTTTTGGGCCCGGCATGGTGGCTCACTTTTGGAGGCTGAGGCAGGCTGATCACTTGAGGACAGGAGTTCAAGACCAGCCTGGCCAACATGGTGAAACCCCGTCTCTACTAAAAATTCAAAAAATTAGCCAGGTGTGGTGGCATGGGCCTGTAATCTCAGCTGTTCAGGTGGCTGAGGCACAAGAATCCTTTCAACCTGGGAGGTGGTTGAAATATAAATATAAGATATATATATATGATATATTCTTTATGTATTAATTTATGTATAACATATATTATATATTAATATATTTTGTAGAGACAAATATATTTATTTGTACATATAATATGTGTGTGTATTTGTGTATATGTGTATATATATATATATATATATATATTTTTTTTTTTTTTTTTTTTTTTTCTTTTTTTTGAGACTGGGTCTCGCTCTTTTGCCCAGGCTGGTCTCAAAGTCCTGGGCTCTAGCGATCCTCCCGCCTTGGCCTCACAAAGCACTGGAATCACAGGTGTGAGTCACTGTGCACGGCCAGTTGTTTTTATCTTGTAATAAAAAAGAAGGGCCTCCCTGTAGTTGTGCTGTGGAGAATGGATCCTGGGGGATGAGGCTGGAGATGGGAACCAGGGGGGAGGCTGAAATGGACACAGGGAACGGTACAGGGGCAGGAGTGCCCCAGGCTGCAGGCCCCAAGGTATTTCGAGGCTGTGGAGACACACCTTGGAGGACCCTGAGAGGCATGGCCGCTGTCTTACCCTGTGACCCCACAGGCCCAGCGCAGCCTGTGCCTGGGGGGCCCCCACCATCCCGCGGCTCCGTGCCTGTGCTCCGCGCCTTCGGGGTCACCGATGAGGGGTTCTCTGTCTGCTGCCACATCCACGGCTTCGCTCCCTACTTCTACACCCCAGCGCCCCCTGGTGAGTGGCCCCTACCCAGCCCCTCCCTGAGCCACTGGAGCCCCCTGCACCTCTGATCATCCCTCCCACACCAGGTTTCGGGCCCGAGCACATGGGTGACCTGCAACGGGAGCTGAACTTGGCCATCAGCCGGGACAGTCGCGGGGGGAGGGAGCTGACTGGGCCGGCCGTGCTGGCTGTGGAACTGTGCTCCCGAGAGAGTGAGTGCTCCCCCAGGATCAGCGGGTTGGAGGGTCCCCTCGGGAGGCCATTGGCTGGTCCCAGCTTCTTCCATCCACAGGCATGTTTGGGTACCACGGGCACGGCCCCTCCCCGTTCCTGCGCATCACCGTGGCGCTGCCGCGCCTCGTGGCCCCGGCCCGCCGTCTCCTGGAACAGGGCATCCGTGTGGCAGGCCTGGGCACGCCCAGCTTCGCGCCCTACGAGGCCAACGTCGACTTTGAGATCCGGTACGGCCTCTGCCTCACTTCTCCGGCCTCTATCCCCACCCTCGGGCAGCCCCTGTCCACTGACCCCCAGCCCCCTCCAGGTTCATGGTGGACACGGACATCGTCGGCTGCAACTGGCTGGAGCTCCCAGCTGGGAAATACGCCCTGAGGCTGAAGGAGAAGGTGCAGGGCTTCCCAGGGCAGGGCTGGGTGGGGAGCTGGTACCCTGCTGCCACCGCTGACCCACCCATGCCCACAGGCTACGCAGTGCCAGCTGGAGGCGGACGTGCTGTGGTCTGACGTGGTCAGTCACCCACCGGAAGGGCCATGGCAGCGCATTGCGCCCTTGCGCGTGCTCAGCTTCGATATCGAGTGCGCCGGCCGCAAAGGTCTGTCCCCGGGCCCGGGCTCCTGCCCGCCTCATTGATGTGCCAAGTCGGGGGTCGGAAAGGCAGGTCCGGTGGAGGGAATGGCAAGCATGAAGGTGCCGGGGCAGGAGCACCCCAGCCCATGTGGCCAGATGGAGTGAGCACAGAGGGTGTGGAGATGGCCTGGAGGTGAGAGCAGAGCAGGAGCCAGGGTGAGCCACGTAGGGCCGGCAGGCAGCGGGGACAGCCCCGGGGAGATGGCAGGTGCAGCCTCCCTGCTGTGTTGGGAGTGAGGGGCAGGAGTCAGGCCCCTGCATCCTCCTGCCTCGCAGGCATCTTCCCTGAGCCTGAGCGGGACCCTGTCATCCAGATCTGCTCGCTGGGCCTGCGCTGGGGGGAGCCGGAGCCCTTCCTACGCCTGGCGCTCACCCTGCGGCCCTGTGCCCCCATCCTGGGTGCCAAGGTGCAGAGCTACGAGAAGGAGGAGGACCTGCTGCAGGTAGCTCTCGCTCCACGCCCCACACCATTTCCCGGGGTCCCCGCCAGCCTCCGCGTCCTGAGCCATCAGCTCCTGGGTGCTGCGACGCCCATGTCTGTGGGTCTGGGTGGGTGTCTGTGGGTCTGGGTGGGCCCCTGTGCAATTAGGCTTGAGCACTTCCCCTCTGGGTTCTGCAGGATTTTCAGGGGTGGCTGGGGTTCTAGAACATTCTGGAAGTAGGGGAATCCGAGGCAGGGCAACCACCAGGGTGACCCAATGTGCTCCCACCCCCAGGCCTGGTCCACCTTCATCCGTATCATGGACCCCGACGTGATCACCGGTTACAACATCCAGAACTTCGACCTTCCGTACCTCATCTCTCGGGCCCAGACCCTCAAGGTGAGGGCTGGGCAGGTGGGAGGCTTCTCTCAGATGCCCCAGGTGTGGCCTCCGGGCCCTGGGCCTCCTTCCCACTCCCTCTCCACATGGCTTGGTGCATCTTGCTCTGTGTGCCTCAGCCGATTGCCTGCAGGGGCAGCCTAGGCCTGGTCCTGCCCTGCTCCAAGTCGAAAAAGTTACTGTGGCTTTTATCAGAGGCAAGGAGGGCGTTACGGTGGAGTAAGAGAAGGCTGTGCATTCAAGGTCGGCCTGAAGCTTGCAGGGGTTCAACAAGCCATGAAGCAGCCACTGAATCCCAGTCTTCCTTTAGGTTATATCAGCATAAGGAAAAGAATCATAATGGAGGAGGAGGGGGGAGTGTGTTGACTGATGGGGCAAATTCCGGATGCTTCTTGAGTCTGCATGTGTGTAAGGGTGGATTCCTCTGCCCGAGTTGCTGTAACAAAGAGCCACAGACCAGGTGGCTGAAAACAGCAAAAAGTCATTGTCTCACCGTCCTGAAGGCTGGAAAGTCCATGACCAAAGTGTCAGCGGGCCTGCTTCCTTCGGGGGCTGCAAGGGAGGACTGGTTCACGGCCTCTCTCCTTGGCTTGCAGACGGCCATCATCCCCCTGTGCCTCTTCACACCGTCTTCTCTCTGTGCGTGTCTGTTTCCACATGTCCTCCCTTTTTTTTTTTTTTCCAAGACAAAGTCTCGCTCTGTCGCCCAGGCTGGAGTGCAGTGGCGCAATCTTGGCTCACTGCAAACTCCGCCTCCCAGGTTCATGCCATTCTCCTGCCTCAGCCTCCCAAGTAGCTGGGACTACAGGCGCCCGCCACCACGCCTGGCTAATTTTTTGTGTTTTTAGTAGAGACGGGGTTTCACTGTGTTAGCGAGGATGGTCTTGATCTCCTGACCTTGTGATCCGTCTGCCTCGGCCTCCCAAAGTGTTGGGATTATAGGCGTGAGCTACTGCACCCAACCCCTTTTCTCTTTCTTTTTTTTTTTTTTTTTTTTTTGAGACAGAGTCTCGCTGTGTCGCCCAGGCTGGAGTGCGATGGCACGATCGAGGCTCACTGCAACCTCCACCTCCCAGGTTCAAGCGATTCTCCTGCCTCAGCCTCCCAAGTAGCTGGGATTACAGGCGTGAGCCACCACGCCCCGCAAATTTTTGCTTTTTTGTTATTGTTTCTTGAGATGGAATTTCGCTCTTGTTGCCCAGGCTGGAGTGCAATGGCACGATCTTGGCTCACCACAACCTCCGCCTCCCAGGGGGCGCTGGGGTGTAGAAGTGATTCTCCTGCCTCAGCCTCCCAAGTAGCTGGGATTATAGGCACCCGCTTCCATGCCCGACTAATTTTGTATTTTTAGTAGACAGGGTTTCTCCATGTTGGCCAGGCTGGTCTCGAACTCCCAATCTCAGGTGATCTGCCCACTTCGGCCTCCCAAAGTGCTGGGATTACAGGCGTGAGCCACCGCGCCTGGCCTATTTTTGTTTTTGTTTTTGTTTTTTTTAGCAGAGACTAGGTTTCATCATGTTGGCCAGGCTGGTCTCCATCCTCACCTCAGGTGATCTGCCCACCTCAGCCTCTCAAAGTGCTGGGATTACAGGTGTGAGCCAGTGCACCTAGCCCACATGTCCTCTTTGTGTAGTGACACCGTCGTGAGGTGAGGGCCCACCCCAGTGACCTCATCTTCACTTGACCCCCTGCGAAGACATATTTCCAAATGAGGTTACATTCTGAGGTGCCGGGGGTTAGGGCTTCAACATCTTTTGGGAGAACATGGTTCAGCCCTTAATGAGATATATTGCCTTATTTTCCTGCTTTTCTCTATGTCTGGCCAGCTTGGTAATGGAAAAACAAAACAGGCTGGGTGTGGTGGCTCACGCCTCTAATCCCAGCACTTTGGGAGGATGAGGCGAGAGGATCGATGGAGCCCAGGAGTTCAAGACCAGCCAGGGCAACATAGCAAGACCCTGCCTCTATTAAAGAGAAAACAAGAAAAAATCCATTCTAAAATACAGAACAAACTCTTAGGACCCCCAGTGTATATTCCACAGCGTGGCGCTGATGCCCGGGCCATGGTACTCCTCCTCCCCTTCCCTGGGTGTCCCTCACCCTCTGCCCTGTCCCCAGCTCAGGCTTCTTCTGGCCTCAGTCTCCCCCAGGCTGGGCCCCAGCACCCTGCAAGGCCTCCTGCAGCCAGGCGCCCTCCAGCGCCCTCAGCATCCATCTCAGCCCAGCTCCACGCCGCCTCCTGCCTCTGCCCCCACCTGGCCGCCTGCTCACAGTGTCCCCAAATCTCTTCCTGTTTCCTGCCTAGGTACAGCCCGCAGACACTGGGCTCCATCCTTGGCCCCCAGTCCATCAGGGCCCCTGACTCTCGCTATCCCAGCCTTGGCTGCAGCTTAGTCCTTACTCCGGACTCCCTCCCCAGTCTCCAGCCACCCACACCCAGCCCCAGACCGTCTTTCTGCCCCCAGGGTTGCTCTCGACCCCCTAGGGTTGTTATAAGGATGTTGTGGTTGGTCTCAATCTCCGTTCTTCAGGCTTATGTGACGGGGACCCGCAGCCTGCTGCACACCCTGCCTCTCCTCCTCAGGTACAAACATTCCCTTTCCTGGGCCGTGTGGCCGGCCTTTGCTCCAACATCCGGGACTCTTCATTCCAGTCCAAGCAGACGGGCCGGCGGGACACCAAGGTTGTCAGCATGGTGGGCCGCGTGCAGATGGACATGCTGCAGGTATGGGCGGGAGGTGGGGTGTGTCCCTGTCCTTGGAAGGCCACTGCCCAGGCCCGCAGCCCACCAGCCCACCCACCCACCTAGGTGCTGCTGCGGGAGTACAAGCTCCGCTCCTACACGCTCAATGCCGTGAGCTTCCACTTCCTGGGCGAGCAGAAGGAGGACGTGCAGCACAGCATCATCACCGACCTGCAGGTGCCTGCTGCCTCCCTGACCTCTCACCCCAACCTCTGACCTCCACCTCACCCTTCCCCGGCCTCTGACCTCAACTTCACGCCCCCACGTCTGACCTCACTCTTTGACCTGCTGTTATGACCTGTGACCTTACCTGACGCCCACTTTTTCCTGACCTCTGACCCCAGATTTCTCTCCACTCCTGTGACCTCTGTCACTATGACCTTGTCTCTGCTTTCCTGGCCTGACCACAGGTCCACGGTGGCCTTCAGGCTGCTCCCTCCTCCTCCCTCTGGCCCTGTGGACTCCCTGGCCCCCAACCCTACCTCCATCCCCACCCAGACCCTGACGACTTGGAGGGCCCTCCTGCCCGCCTCACCTCCCAGGCCCTCCCCAGGCTACCTCACCCTGACCCCCACTTCCTTCTCCTGCTCCACCTCCCACCCCCAACCCCTGGTCCCTGACCCCATCCGTGCCCATCCCCAGAATGGGAACGACCAGACCCGCCGCCGCCTGGCTGTGTACTGCCTGAAGGATGCCTACCTGCCACTGCGGCTGCTGGAGCGGCTCATGGTGCTGGTGAACGCCGTGGAGATGGCGAGGGTCACTGGCGTGCCCCTCAGCTACCTGCTCAGTCGTGGCCAGCAGGTCAAGGTCGTATCCCAGCTGTTGCGGCAGGTCAGTAGCCGAGACTTGTCCTCGCCACCCCCCACCAGGCACGTCTGTGGCCCCCTCCAGGCAATGGCATCCTGGATGCACTTTTTCTCCCCACTCCCAATCCGCACGGCCCCACCTATACCCACTCCATTTCCCACCTTCTCCCCTCCCAGGCCATGCACGAGGGGCTGCTGATGCCCGTGGTGAAGTCAGAGGGCGGCGAGGACTACACGGGAGCCACTGTCATCGAGCCCCTCAAAGGGTGAGGCCCCAGGCTGGGTGCAGTTTTTACCTGTAATCTCTGGGAGGCTGAGGTGGGAGGATCACTTGAGCTCAGGAGTTTGAGACCAGCCAGGGCAACATAGCGAGGCCCCTGCTCCACAAAATTTTTTTATTTTTATTTATTTTTATTTTTATTTTTTTGAGACAGAGTCTCGCTCTGTCACCCAGGCTGGAGTGCAGTGGCGCAATCTCAGCTCACTGCAAGCTTTGCCTCCCGGGTTCACGCCATTCTCCTACCTCAGTCTCCACAGCAGCTGGGACTACAGGCGCCCACCACCACGCCTGGCTAATTTTTTTTTTTTTTTTTTTTTTTGCATTTTTAGTAGGGACGGGGTTTCACCGTGTTAGCCAGGATGGTCTCGATCTGACCTCGTGATCCACCTGCCTCGGCCTCCCAAAGTGCTGGGATTATAGGCGTGAGCCACCGTGCCCGGCCGAAAAAATTTTTAAAAATTAGCCAGGCGTGGTGGTGCATGCCTGTAATCCCAGCTACTTGGGAGGCTGAGCTGGGAGGATGATGAGCCCAGGAGGTGGAGGCTGCAGTGAGCGATGATTGCGCCACTGCCCTCCAGCCTGGGCGACAGAGCAACACCCCGGCCCTAAAATAAATTAATAGGCCAGGCACGGTGGCTCACCCCTGTAATCAATCCCAGCACTTTGGGAGGTCAAGGCAGGCGGATCACAAGTTCAGGAGATTGGGACCATCCTGGCTAACACGGTGAAACCCCGTCTCTACTAAAAATACAGAAATTAGCTGGGCATGGTGGCGGGCGCCTGCAGTGCCAGCTACTCGGGAGGCTGAGGCAGAAGAATCGCTTGAACCCGGGAGGTGGAGGTTGCAGTGAGCTGAGATTGCGCCACTGCACTCCAGCCTGGGTGACAAAGCGAGACTCCGTCTCAAAAAAAATAAAATAAAATAAAATAGTAGATTAATTATATATATTATTTTTCTTTTTCTTTTTCTTTTTTTGACACAGGGTCTCACTCTGTCACCCAGGGTGGAGTGCGGTGGCATGATCTTGGCTTACTCCACCTCCTAGGCTCAAGCAATCCTCCTGCCTCAGGCCCCTGAGTAGCTGGGACCACAGGCGTGCACCACCACACCTGGCTAATTTTTAAAATTTTTTTGTAGAGATAGGGTTTTGCCATGTTGCCCAGGCTGATCTGAAACTCCTGAGTTCAAGCGATCCTCCTGCCTCAGCCTCCCAATGTGCTGGGATTGCAGGAGCGAGCACTGCTCCCAGCCAATGAATGATTTTTTTTTTTTAAAGGGTGAGGCCACAAGACAGGGCGGGGGCGGCATGGGAACTCCTAGCCCTGACTCCCGGCCGCGGCTGCTCCCCTCCCAGGTACTACGACGTCCCCATCGCCACCCTGGACTTCTCCTCGCTGTACCCGTCCATCATGATGGCCCACAACCTGTGTTACACCACGCTCCTTCGGCCCGGGACTGCACAGAAACTGGGGTATAGTGCCCAATTCAGCATGTGTCCCCCGAGGCCCATCTGGGCCTTCCCTTGGGGGGCTCAGTCTGGTGGGGGGCATAGGCACAGGCCCAGAGATAGTAGGGAGTGGAGGGGTGCTTGAGGGGCCTGCGTGTGCTCATGGCCAAGGCCAGGACCGTAGGGCAGAGGTGGGCTGGAGCAGGAGGGTGGCCGGCAGTCACCCCAACATCTTCCAACCCAGCCTGACTGAGGATCAGTTCATCAGGACCCCCACCGGGGACGAGTTTGTGAAGACCTCAGTGCGGAAGGGGCTGCTGCCCCAGATCCTGGAGAACCTGCTCAGTGCCCGGAAGAGGTGAGCCCTGGAGATCGCCTGCTTGGAGCTCAGACCTGTTGGGGCCTCTGGGCAATCCCTGTCCCTCACTGGGACACCCCAGGGCTGCCCAGCCACCCTGCCCTCAGCTGTGCGTGAATTAGCACAAGGCATCCCCTCCTGGCAGCTTCCTTTTGCCCCCTTGGCCAGAAGCTTCTGTGCAGTGCACAGTACGCCCAACCGTACATGGCACTCACTTCCAGAAAGGAGCCCTGACCAATGCCCAGGTGCCGCCTGAGTGTGCTTTCCCCGTGTTCCCTCGCAGGGCCAAGGCCGAGCTGGCCAAGGAGACAGACCCCCTCCGGCGCCAGGTCCTGGATGGACGGCAGCTGGCGCTGAAGGTGAGCGCCAACTCCGTATACGGCTTCACTGGCGCCCAGGTGGGCAAGTTGCCGTGCCTGGAGATCTCACAGGTGGGCACTCGGGCCCCTGGAAGGCAACTGGGGGCAGGTGGGCCCCCTGTGTAGGAGACCAGGGCTCCATGTGGGGGACCTGTATCCAGAGGACTGGGCACCCCAACTCACTGGCCTTCTAGAGAGAGGATGCCAATGTGGCTTGAGCAATTGGTCCATTCCTTCACTCAGCAAATGCCTACTGAGCACACACTGTGGTCAGGGCTCACTCTGTGCCCTGGGGATACAGAGGGGAACAAAATGGATGAGAGCTCCTGTCCCTGTCATCTTGCAGCCCAGTGGGGACACTGACAGGTCTGTGTAAACGTGTTTAGGACACAAGTGGCGCTACGAGCTTTGCAGCCGGATAAAGCAGGAGGTGCGGACTGTCGGGGAGTGATGGGGCTGGGCGGGACTCACCCCTCTCAATAGGCGACGCTCACACAGAGGCCAAGGGACGTGGGGAGGGAAGCCATTCACCGTCCCCACGGCAGCGTCCCGGTCTGCCTACCCACGGCAGCTCTGCTGCTTGAACAGAAAAACAGATTCTTTGAAACCACAGAGGGCCTGAGTTTCCGAGATTGCCAAGCTGGGGTCAGTGCCCCAGCTCCTGGCATATGAGGGCCTCGGAAGGGTCTTCCTGTCCAGCCTTCTCCCCTGGGACTTGAGTCTTGGCCCATTCCAGGCCAGTAGTTGTGCTGCTCTGCTTGGTTACCTCTAGCCACGGGGAGCTCCCTCTCTGGCTGGGCACTGCGCCACTTTTCACAGGGCTCTGGGTGGAAGGCTTGGATGAATTCTCAGTGGGTGGGGCCTTTGCACACACCCACCCACCCGCAGTTCTGGGGGTCCCAAAGACCACTTAGGTTCAGTGATTCACTAGAAGTACTCAGAGAGCAGAAAAGCTGGTTCTCATGGTTATGATTTAATACAGCAAAAGGACACAGATTAAACTCAGCAAAAGAAAGAGGTGCACAGGGCAGGGTATAGGAGGGACCAGGCGTGTCTTCCAGTTGTGCTCTCCCAGTAGAGTTGCCAGGCTGGCCCTCCTTCCTCCCAGTTTTGATGCGTGCCTGCACACATGCAGCATTGCCAACCAGAGGCTCTCACCCAAGCTTTGGGGTCCAGGGTTTTTCTTGGGTGTCAGTCCTATAGGCATGGAGCACCCTGTGACTGGCCTTAGTGACTCCATCATCCCCAGGCCCCTCAGCAACCCCCAGAGGTCAAACTGATACTGCATGGCCCAGGGCCCTACCATAAACCATGTTAGTGTCAACTACCTGGTGTGGTTCAAAGTCCCAGGTACACAAACACCTTTTTTTTTTTTTTTTTTGAGACAGAGTCTCACTCTCTCACCCAGGCTGGAGCGCAGTGGCACAATCGTGGCTCACTGCAGCCTCAACCTCCGGGACTCAGGTGAGCCTCCCACGTTAGCCTCCCAAGTGGCTGGGACTGCGGGCACGTGCCACCTATTTTTGTTATTTTTTGTAGAGATAGGGTCTCGCCATGTTGCCCAGGCTGGAACAGAGACACTGTTATCAGGCGGGATATTCTAGGGGCTTAGACTACCAGGAGCCAGGCAAGAGCCAGACCTTTCTTTGCACAAAGTGAATCGCTCACTGCATGCTCCCAACTCCCCTCTGCCTTTCACAGTCCCCGGCTGCCTCCCCAGCCTCCTTGGTGGAAAGGGGTGGCTGTGTGGACATCAGGCTCTAGCCCTGAAGCAGAGGCCAGGCCAAGAGAGCACAGCTTGGCCCTCCCCTGGGGCTGCCTCTTACCAATCCTGTGTCTCTGTCTTTTCTCTCTCAGCCGCTTCCCTCTGTCACTGTTCTGTTTCTGTCTCTTGACCTCTTTCCTTATTTCTGTCTCTCAAGCTTATGGGAGCAAGAGGTGGAATAATAAAAATGCAATGAATTGGCTGGGCGCGGTGGCTCACGCCTGTAACCCCAGCACTTTAGGAGGCCGAGGCGGGCGGATCACGAGGTCAGGAGTTCAAGACCAGCCTGGCCAACATGGTGAAACCCTGTCTCTATTAAAAATACAAAACATTAGCCAGGAGTGGTGGCAGGTGCCTCTAATCCCAGCTACTCGGGAGGCTGAGGCAGGAGAATCGCTTGAACCCAGGAGGCAGAGGTTGCAGTGAGCCGAGATTGCGCCAGTGCGCTCCAGCCTGGGCAACAGAGCAAAACTCCGTCTCAAAAAAAAAAAAAAGTAATGAATTACAGTGTTCACGCCTGTAATCCCAACACTTTGTGACACTGAGGAGGGAGGATCACTTGAGGCCAGGGGTTTAAGACCAGCCTGGGCAACATAGTGAAACCCCATCTCTACAAAAAATACAACCAAACAAAACTAGCCAGGCATTGTGGTAGCTCATGCCTGTAGTTGCAGCTACTCAGGAGGCTGAGACGGGAAGATGGCTTGAACCCAGCAGTTTGAGTTACAGTAAGCTGTGATGGCATCACTGCACTCCATTCTGGGTGACAGAGTTGAGACCCTGTCTCTTTTAGTTTTTGTTTGTTTGTTTTGAGATGGAGTCTTGCTCTGTCACCCAGGCTGGAGTGCAATGCCACAATCTTGGCTCACTGCGACCTCTCCCTCCCGGGTTCAAGTGATTCTCCTGCCTCAGCCTCCTGAGTAGCTGGGATTACAGGCACCCGCCACCATGCCTGGCTAATTTTTGCATTTTTAGTAGAGACGGGGTTTCACCATGTTGGCCAGGCTGGTCTTGAACTCCTGACCTCAGGTGATCCACCTGCCTCGGCCTCCCAAAGTGCTGGGATTACTGGTGTGAGTCACCACGCTTGGCCTCCTGTCTCTTAAAAAAAAAAAAAAATTGAATCATTTCAGGAAAAGATTACAAAGGAAAGAAAAAGGAACATAGGACAGGTGGAACAAGTAAAAGCTAGACAGTAAAGTGGTAGACGTAAGCCCAGCTATATCAGTAATTACACTAAATGTAAATGGACAAAATGCTCTAGTTAGACAGATTTCCTGACTGGATCCACACAAACAAAAACAGAAGAATCACACCCATCTCTCCTTGGTGTCCCCACCCCCAGCCTCAGGTTTGGTGGTGGTGGTGGTGGTGGTGGTGTTGTTGTTTAAGTATTTTTTAGTTTTGTGTGTGTGTGTGTGTGTATTTTTAGTAGAGATGGTGTTTCACCATGTTGTCCAGGCTGATCTCGAACTCCTGACCTCAAGTGATCCAGCCACTTCAGCCTCCCAAAGTGCTGGGTGTACAGGCATAAGCCACCACGCCAGCTAGTTTTCTTAACTCTAAAATAAGACAGTGGGTTTCTCAATGGTTTCTTAGTCAGGGTGGTGCCACCCCCTGCTCTGGGGGGCATTTGTCAATGTGTAGGTAGGGCCAGTTCTGGTGGTACAGGGATGGGGGTGGCACTGCTGGCTTCCAGGGATGGGGCTGGCTATGTCGGTGGTCCTGTACCATAGAGAGCTGCCCAGAATGTCAGTGTGAGGGAAACACTGGGCCAGTGGCCTCTTCAGGCCGCAGTCTTTCCAGCATGCATTTGATGTAGTCACTTCCTTGTGCATGTCCAGAACTCTGAGCCAGGGAACCCACTTCTTTCCACCTGACCATTGAGGAGCCGCCTTATAGTCCCATTTTGCAGATTTGGGAACTGAGGCCCAGGAGGGGCAGAGTGGCTTGTACATAAGCCTATGCCACTGGGAAATGGCAGAGGCGGGACCCCTCCCCCGCCGGCCCACGTTCACTGCACATGGCCCCCAGGGCTTCACTCCGCATGATTCTCTCCCCGACAGAGCGTCACGGGGTTCGGACGTCAGATGATCGAGAAAACCAAGCAGCTGGTGGAGTCTAAGTACACAGTGGAGAATGGCTACAGCACCAGTGCCAAGGTCGGGGGCTGCCCACCGCTGCCCTGAGATGGGCCCAGGGCAGGTGGGGGGATGGAAGCCGGGCCGGACCCCCATGTCCCCGTGCCTCCTGGTCACACCCTGCCCACTCTCCTGTTGCATCCTTGGGTCCCGTTGGCATTAGCCACCTGCCACCCCCCGACACCAGTAGTTGACAGAAGGGACCCTGCTTCTCACATACACACATCCCCACCGCCCGCAGGTGGTGTATGGTGACACTGACTCCGTCATGTGCCGATTCGGCGTGTCCTCGGTGGCTGAGGCGATGGCCCTGGGGCGGGAGGCCGCGGACTGGGTGTCAGGTCACTTCCCGTCGCCCATCCGGCTGGAGTTTGAGAAGGTGCGTGGCTGGGTCAGGGGCTCTGCATTTAGGTGCCCTCATCAGGGTACTCAGGGTGTCCCGTTCTTTGGGTTCACAAAAGCCACAGTGTGAAGGGATGTTGCTGCTTAGATTCTCCTGAGGCTGGGGCCTTGGTTTGGGAAGCCTCCAAGGCCTTGGGCTTTGTTACCCTGGATGGCATCTGTTCTTTGAAAACCCTGTCGCTGTCCCTGGTTTTGAGGTGTCACAGTGTCCCTGGTTTTGAGGTTTCCCAGTACCTGTCAGATGTGGAGCTGCCCTCCACGCAGGGACCCTGATGGGGGTGCACCTTAGATCTGTGCACCATTGCCCCTGGCCCTCTGAGTGCGGCACACTTGGTCCCAGGAAACCTTGCACCATATTTTCTTTTGAAGAGTCTGGGTCTCGCTCTGTCGCCCAGGCTGGAGTGCAGTGGCGAGTTCACAGCTCACTGCAGCCTCCAACTCCTGGGCTCCGGCGATCCTCCCGCCTTGGCCTCCTGAGCCGCCACGCCCAGTTCTCACACTGTACTGTTTCCCCGTGGCTTAACGCTCTCTCGTGCCAGGCCTTGGACTTGGAGCCTCGCAGAGTGGGGAGGTCTCTGCCTCAGGGCTCACCCAGCCGTAGTTTCTCCTCTCTTTCATGGGATGCTTCATCGACTCGCCTGTCTGGATCTCATGTTTTAGGGACTATCTGGATTTATCCCAGTCTCTGTTTCAGATTGGGGTCTCTGGTGTGGGGGCTCTGGCATTGCCGAGGGGCCTCAGGAGCCACTTCCAGCCATACAGTGTCTCGGTCCATCCCACCAGGCTCAGGGCACGGCTCCCATGTCCTCAAACTGCGTCTGGGACCCTGTCTACCTTCAGTTTCTGGGGGGCGTCTCCAGATTGGGGCTTGGCCTCCTCAGGCTCAGGGTCTTGGCCATGGCTCCCTCCCAGGTCTACTTCCCATACCTGCTTATCAGCAAGAAGCGCTACGCGGGCCTGCTCTTCTCCTCCCGGCCCGACGCCCACGACCGCATGGACTGCAAGGGCCTGGAGGCCGTGCGCAGGGACAACTGCCCCCTCGTGGCCAACCTGGTCACTGCCTCACTGCGCCGCCTGCTCATCGACCGGTGTGTGGGGCCTCCTCCCTCAGACTCAGGGGGCTGGGCCCCAAACCCCTCCTCCCTCAGACCCAGGAGTCTAGGCCCCAGCCCCTCCTCCCTCAGACCCACGGGTCCAGGCCCCCAGCCCCCTCCTCCTCAGATCCCGGGGTCAGGGCCCCCAGCCCCTTCCTCTCTTAGATACAAGAGTCCAGACCCCCAGCCCCTCCTCCTCTGGGAACACAGGTGTCAGGCCCAGCTCTTCCTCGGTGGTGAAGCAGTGGAAAGAGTCGGCTTGGGCAGCTGTGGGTTCAGGCCCTGCCTCTGCCACTCTGCAGCCTATGGTAGGAAGGGCCCCTCTCTGCCCTGAGCCTCAGCCCTAAGAGCTCATCCTGGTCTCCAGCCCTGAGACCCGTGGAGGCACCAGCCTGGCCCTCAGTGCCTTTTGGTGACGCTGTGCGGCCCGCTCTCCTACAGAGACCCTGAGGGCGCGGTGGCTCACGCACAGGACGTCATCTCGGACCTGCTGTGCAACCGCATCGATATCTCCCAGCTGGTCATCACCAAGGAGCTGACCCGCGCGGCCTCCGACTATGCCGGCAAGCAGGCCCACGTGGAGCTGGCCGAGAGGTCCTGCGCGGGGCGGGTGGCCTGGCCAGAAATAACCCCCTCCTTCCTGCCAGCTGGGCCCACTTCCTACACCCTCGCCCCCACCCCCGCCACCCACCTGCCCTCACCCACCCGCCACCCCATCTCCACGCAGGATGAGGAAGCGGGACCCCGGGAGTGCGCCCAGCCTGGGCGACCGCGTCCCCTACGTGATCATCAGTGCCGCCAAGGGTGTGGCCGCCTACATGAAGTCGGAGGTCAGGCCCACCTGGCTGCCTGCTCCCGCCCAGCCCCCTCGCTCTCACTTCTGCTTTCCGAGATGGGCGGGCCTGCGGGAAGGGTGGGGCCTCCCGTGCCCTGTGGGGCCCTGAGAACCGCCCCCCATGGCAGCCTGGGTGTGGCCTCGGCCCCCTCTGGAGGTCCCCCCTCTATTCTGACCCCTCCCTTGCTTCCCTATGGAAGGGGCCCCAGTCCCTCCCCTGTGCATACAGCTCCCCAGCCGGGGGTTCCCTTGGATTCATAATCCTCCAGCTCTACCCCCACCCCCAGTGACCCACATCTTAGCCCCATGACCTCTGACCTCCTGACCCCTTCCTCATCCTTGCTTCCCCTTGTGAACTCTGACCCTTCCGTGGTGACCTGAGAGCCCTACAGACTCTGTGGCCCAGAGACTCCGTGACCTCCGACCCCATCCCAGACCCAGGCCCCCCCCATGTCACAGCCCGCAGGCAGGCCTAGGCCCTAAGCCCCAGGCCCCATGACCACCCCGTGTCCACCCCGGTGCCCTTTCCCTGGCTGCCCGGGTGTGACTGCCATGTGGCCGCAGGACCCGCTGTTCGTGCTGGAGCACAGCCTGCCCATTGACACGCAGTACTACCTGGAGCAGCAGCTGGCCAAGCCCCTCCTGCGCATCTTCGAGCCCATCCTGGGCGAGGGCCGTGCCGAGGCTGTGCTACTGCGTACGGGGGCACCAGGGGACTGGGGGCACCCTGGGGGGGCAGAGGAGATCACCGGCCCACCACCTGCCTCCTCTCCTGCAGGGGGGGACCACACGCGCTGCAAGACGGTGCTCACGGGCAAGGTGGGCGGCCTCCTGGCCTTCGCCAAACGCCGCAACTGCTGCATTGGCTGCCGCACAGTGCTCAGCCACCAGGGTGAGCGGCCCTGGCCACTGGGCCCCCACTGGCCCTCAACCTGCTCTGCCGTCACCCCAGATCCTAGACACCCACCCCATCGGCTGGCACTGCCACCCAGTGGGCCCAGGGCCCCTGGGTGGGTGGCCCCTGTCTCCACCCCCCACAGAGGGTCCTCGGCCCCCACCCCGGGAGTTCCCCAGGGGAGTTTTCCCAGCACACTTGCTCCGTTGTTCTCCAGCCTCTGGGGACTTTCAGAAGCTGGGATTGGCAGTGGGCAGGGATGGGGTGGCCCAGTTCCTGGCTGGGCCCCAGCACTTGGGCTGACCCGCCTCCCCACAGGAGCCGTGTGTGAGTTCTGCCAGCCCCGGGAGTCTGAGCTGTATCAGAAGGAGGTGAGAGGGCCGGGAGGTGAGGAGGGGCCAGGTGGGGAGGCGGGGGCGCCCTGCTCAGCCGCTGCCGTCCCCAGGTATCCCATCTGAATGCCCTGGAGGAGCGCTTCTCGCGCCTCTGGACGCAGTGCCAGCGCTGCCAGGGCAGCCTGCACGAGGACGTCATCTGCACCAGGTGTGTGCCATGTCCCGACCCTGGGCTGCCCCGCCCCTTCCCAGCTCCCAGGCCTGTGGGTTGTGGACCCAACCTCTGACTCCAAGGCCTCTCCTGAGCATCCTCCCCGCCCATCCCCTTCCAGCTGTGAGCTGTCCTGAGCCTCAGTGTCCTTGTCTGAAAAATGGGCCCATCCCAGCCCCCCAGAGGGGGTGGGTGCTTAGGGAGGCAGCGCCCGGCACCCAGTGTTGCCCGGGAAACGGCTGTCCTCCCGACACACCCAGCCAGCCTGGCCCCCTCCCCAGGGCGGGGCCGGGCTTTCCCCAGGGAACGGGTAGGCGGGGTGGGTTCCCACGCCAGGTGACAGGTGATATACGGCCAGCCATGGCCCTGCACCTCGCCAGGCACCCGCTGTTATCGGCTCCCCCCCCCCACCCCCCCCGTGCCTGCTGAGCAAACAGCCCGCTGCGGGAGGGGGCGGGTGGGCTGGGCAGCAGGCGGGGACCAAAGTCCTGGGAACAGCCCCCACCCCTCTCCCAGGCTGGGCACTGGGCCTTGGCTGGTCCTGACCCTGCCCCTGCCCCCACCCGCAGCCGGGACTGCCCCATCTTCTACATGCGCAAGAAGGTGCGGAAGGACCTGGAAGACCAGGAGCAGCTCCTGCGGCGCTTCGGACCCCCTGGACCTGAGGCCTGGTGACCTTGCAAGCATCCCATGGGGCGGGGGCGGGACCAGGGAGAATTAATAAAGTTCTGGACTTTTGCTATATGGTGCTTTGTGGTCTCTGGGGGACACTGTCTGGTTTCATAAGCCCTGGCCTTGGCTGGGACCCTCCTGAGGCCCGCACCGCCCCTCATCCTCAGCAAAAGCCCCCGGACTCCCACCTGTGCTGCCTGGTTCATGTGGGCCAAGCCTGCCTCAGTTTCCTCTCTGGCCCTGAAGGAACCCTTATACCAGCGCTTCTCTGCCCTGCTTAGGGCCCCCAGGTGTCTGGCCCCGGCCCAGCCCTCCCTGGTGATGACCCTGGGGACCCTGGTGGCTGCCCCGCCCTCCAGGTGCTGACCTGTTTCCTCCAGGCCCTGGGGCAGCCCCAGGCGCACCGGGGCTTCCACTCCTCAGCCCGGCCAAGGGGACCCCCCCATCCCCCGCCGGACCACACACCCACGATGTTTCCACGTCGGGGTCCTGGCAATGGGCTTTGGGTCTGGGTTTCCCCCCAGCGACTCCCATCTCTATCCCCGCAGCCTCTAACTGCCGTCAGATGCCCTCGGCCCTCCCGTCACCTCACACATCCCCCGGGGAGAGTCTTGTGCTTGCCCCTCGGCCCCCAGCCCGCCCCTGCTGGAATTCGGCTCCTGGGTCCAGATCCTCCGTTTCCTGATTCTCCTCTTCAGTGAACCCCAGCCCTTCCTCGATGTTTTCAGGGTTCCCCCAAATCCAGCTCCTGTCCCATCTCCAGCCCTCAAGGTCAGCCCCCCAAACCCAGCCCCACGGGGATCCCCAAATCCAGACAGCCCCTGGCCCGCCATCCCTGCCATGTGACAAAGGGGTTGTGCAATCCAGCCCCCTCCCCTGACCCCCTCCCTGAGGGGATTTTTGAGGAGGGCCGAGCTTGTGGCCAGCGGGCACCCTCCTCCCCCCGGCAGGGGCTGGGCCAAGATATAAATAGGGTTGGCGGCTGCAGCGGGCGGCAAACAGCCCGCCCGGCACCACCATGCTCGCCCTGGAGGCTGCACAGTAAGTGAGGGCCCCCAAACCTGCACCCGGGGTCCCCACCTGCACTGCCCCTCTGTGGGGCCTCACCCATGGGCAGTGGTTTCTCTGCTCCTCACGGCCGGTGGGTGGGAGTGGAGGGGAGGGGTCCACCCTGTCTCTTGCCCCTTCTGGTTCTGTTCCCTCTTCACTTCGGACTCTCCATCCCCCCAGTTCCTATCTTTCCTGGTCCCCAAAGATCTCATTTCCCCAGAACACTTGCTAGCGTGCCCTCCTGCGGGCGTCCTCCGTGGCTCTCACTCTGTCCATCCTCCTGTCTCCCCGAGTTCCCGTATCTGTTCGCTCTGTATCTGGCATCTCCCAGCTCTCAACATTCTGCCTGTTGCTCTCTGTCTCTCTGCCTGTCTCTGTGTCTCTGTCTCCAGTTCTCGCTCTCCCTGCCTTTTGGTCTCCTTCTGCCTCACCCTCACTCTCAGTGCCTCCATCTGGGGCTCCAGGAATCCTCCCCGCCTCTGTGCGTGAATGTCCCTTTGCACACCTTTCTCTGTGTCCCACCTCTCCTTGAGCCTCCTCATCTGAGTCTTCTCCGGGCTTCCCCCTCTCTACCCAGACATCTCTCCATCCTTCTCCTCTGGTCCAAGCTGGACTCAACTGACTCGCCACCAAGGCCGCACTTGACCCAGGCCCCCTCTCCATCCCCACACCTCCTTTCCGGGACTTTCTCTCCCTCACTTTCCCTGCCCCTCCCCACCAGGGTGTCTATGCAAATTCTGGGGAGGAGGGGGACATTTGCCTCCCCCCCACCCCCCACTTCCTGTCCCAGCAGGGGGTAGTGGGGGAGTCCGGTGAATGTGGTGGGGCTGGTCCCTCACACAGGGCTGCGGTGGTCACAGCTGCTGCCGCCTCCCCATCAGCCCCCAACCACTTTGAGATTCAGGTGGCTGGAGGCAGCCTCAGCATGCCCCTGTGTCTCTCCCCCTCCAGGCTCGACGGGCCACACTTCAGCTGTCTGGTGAGTTGGGGCCCCTGGGGGCCAGGGAGGGGTGGCCCACAGTGACCTCCCTCAGAGAAGTCATTTGCTTCCTGCCTCAGTTTCCCCTCCCACCTCTTCCTGTCACTTTGTTTCTGAGCTCCCCCTTGGTATCTCCTGCTACCCCGCATCCGTATTTTTGATGTCTCTCTCCCCCTCTCAGGCTTGAATCCACTTCCTTGTGGCTTTGTATCTCTCTCTGCCCATCCCATATTCAGACAATGTATTTTCATGTTCCTTTCCTTCTTTTTGTTCGTATTTTTAAAAATTGTGTTCTCTAACAGTTCAGATACGGAATACTATACCCAACACCCTTGAACCCACAATCCAGTCTGAGTAATCAAATCTTACTGATGTGGTTGAAAGAAAGCCCCTGTTTATGCCCCTCCACATTCACACCCCAGCCATGTTTTTTTTGTTTGTTTTTGTTTGTTTGTTTTTTAATTGAAGTGTAACTAACAAGTCAGTAAAGTGACAAATCTTGTGTTTTTGCATTATCTATACACCGTGTAGCCACAAGCCAGATCAAGATACCGAACATTTCAATCTCTGAAATATTCCTTCCTGTCCCTTCTCAGTCAATACCTTTCTCTGATATTTTCCGCCACCAATTTGTAATTTGTTTTGCCTGCTCTTTTTTTTGTTTTGCTTTTTGAGAAGGAGTCTCGCTCTGTCACCCAGGCTGGAGTGCAGTGGCAGCGTCTTGGCTCACTGCAAGCTCCACCTCCCGGGTTCAAGCAATTCTCCTGCCTCAGCCTCCCAAGTAGCTGGGATTACAGGCATGTGCCACCATGCCCAGCTAATTTTTGTATTTTTAGTAGAGGCAGGGTTTCACCATGTTATCCGGGCTGGTTTCAAACTCCTGAGCTCAAGTGATCCTCCCACCTCAGCCTCCCAAATTGCTGGGATTACAGGCGTGAGCCACCGCACCCAGCTGCCTGCTTTTGAACTTTATGTAAAGTGAGTCATACAGCATGTCCCTTTTGGGGTCTGGCTTCCCTCACTCAACATGAAGTGTGTGTCAGTGTTTGTCCTTTTTCCTTGCTGTATAGTACTCTATCTATGATCAGCCCACACCACAGTCTGTTTATCCCTTCTTCTGTTGATGACACCTGGGCTGTTTCCAGTTGGAGACTCATAATAAAGCTGCTGGGATGATTCTGGAACAAGGCTATTTTGTGCACATCCATTTTCAGTTCTCTTGATTAAATGCCAAGGAGTGAGACTGCCAGGTCCTAGGCATGGTGTGGATCTAGCTTTAGTTTTTCCTAGACTCGAGTTCTTGAAGCAACAACACATGATTCATGGGGCGAATCAACATATGGAGATTTATTTATTTATTTATTTATTGAGACAGAGTTTTGCTCTGTCGCCGGGCTGGAGTACAGTGGTGCGATCTCGGCTCACTGCAACCTCAGCCTCCTGGGTTCAAGCGATTCTCCTGCCTCAGCCTCCCAAGTAGCTGGGACTACAGGTGCGCACCACCATGCCTGGCTAATTTTTGTATTTTTAGTAGAGACGGGGTTTCACCATGTTGGCCAGGCTGGTATCGATCTCCTGACCTCATGATCTGCCTGCCTTGGCCTTCCAAAGTGCTGGGATTACAGGCATGAGCCACCATGCCCGGCCTATTTATTTTTCGAGACAGAGTCTCACTCTGTCACCCAGGCTGGAGTGCAGTGGCGCGATCTCAGCTCACTGCAACCTCCACCTCCCAGGTTCAAGCGATTCTCCTGCCTCGGCCTCCAGAGTAGCTGGGATTACAGACATCTGCCACCAGGCCCAGCTAATTTTTGTATTTTCAGTAGAGATGGGGTTTCCCCATGTTGTGCAGGCTGGTCTCGAACTCCTGACCTCAGGTGATTCACTGGCCTCAGCCTCCCAAAGTGCTAGGATTACAGGCGTGCGCCACCACGCCTAGCTAATTTTTGTATTTTTAGTAGAGACGGGATTTCACCATGTTGGCTAGACTGGTCTTGAACTCCTGACCTCAGGTGATCTGCCCGCCTCGGCCCCCCAAAGTGTTGGGATGACAGGCGTGAGCCACCACGCCTGGCCTGGAGGTGTATTTAAAAAGCATTGACCCCTGCCTCTGTTAAGTGAAACACTTCCATTTCCCCTTGCCCTTCACCTCCGGAGCCCCCAGGCAGGCAAGGCTGGGGGAGTTCTTCCACCCCTTCTCCAGGCGCCCTGATTCGCTGACTGTGTGCCAGTGAGGGGCCAGGGTTCTTGGGAGCCCACCGTCTTAGCAGGAGCTGGCTGCTGTGTGCCCCTATTGGGTTGTGTCTCTACTCTCTGTATCTCTGTCTCTTTGTCCCTGTCTCTGATGCCTAGTCTCTGTGTTTCTTTGTTGCTCTAATCTCTCCAGCATCCCCTCTTCTCTCCCATGTCTGTGTTGGAGTCTCCCCAAGGGTCCAGGGTGGGGGTTGGGAGTCCCCAAGGCCTGGGATGACCCCTCTTCCCTCCTGCACCCCGTATCAGTACCCAGATGGCGTCTTCTATGACCTGGACAGCTGCAAGCATTCCAGCTACCCTGATTCAGAGGGGGCTCCTGGTGAGTGACCCCAGCCCTGTGCCCTTCCTGCCTTGGGGCCCATTTCACAGATAGGGGAGCTGAGGCCCAGGGGAGGTCATTTCCTAGCACAACAGGATAAAGGTGGCCCGGGCCTATAGCCCTCCTCCCCTTTCCTCTCCTACCCATCCGCTCCTCCATGCAAATCCTGGGGTCAGAGATTTGCACAGCCTACAATGGCCTCTCTGTGCTGGGGGCTTCGACTGCGAGGAGGCCTCCGTGAGACATCCCAGCTTCTGACTCAGTGCCCTTCCCCCAGACTCCCTGTGGGACTGGACTGTGGCCCCACCTGTCCCAGCCACCCCCTATGAAGCCTTCGACCCGGCAGCAGCCGCTTTTAGCCACCCCCAGGCTGCCCAGCTCTGCTACGAACCCCCCACCTACAGCCCTGCAGGGAACCTCGAACTGGCCCCCAGCCTGGAGGCCCCGGGGCCTGGCCTCCCTGCATACCCCACGGAGAACTTCGCTAGCCAGGTGAGTGGTAAGGGGACAGTTAAAATCAAGCCCAAACCAGGTGTGGTGGTGCACGCCTGTAATCCCAGCTGCTTGAGAGGCTGAGGTGGGAGGAGGATTGCTTGAGCCCAGAAGGTCGAGGCAATCCACTGCACTCCAGTCTGGGCAACAGAGCAAGACCCTGTCTCAAAAAAAAAAAAAAAAAAGAAAAAGAAAAGAAAACTCAAGCTCAGTCATTTGGTTGAGGTTTGCTGGGTGCCGGGCACTGCATTGAGACTGCACATAGTAAGCCCTGCAGCGGCCTCCCAGGTTACGTTCCGTTGTTGCCCCTCTGAACAAGTGAGTCAAGAGAGGTAGTGACAGGAAGCCAGGGACAGGGCAGACTCGCATTACCTGTGTTGGGCCGGCTTTGAGGAGGTACCTCAGGTGTCCCCTGGCCACAGCGTGGTGATCTGAACAAAGGCCAAAATCTAGGCTGTCAACAAAGAGGGAGACCAGAGCCAGGAGGGCCACCGCCTTGGCCTGAGAGGAGGAAGTGGAGGGAGACAAGGGGTCCCTGGACATGCAGGTGACCCTGACCTTCCGCAGACCCTGGTTCCCCCGGCATATGCCCCGTACCCCAGCCCTGTGCTATCAGAGGAGGAAGACTTACCGTTGGACAGCCCTGCCCTGGAGGTCTCGGACAGCGAGTCGGATGAGGCCCTCGTGGCTGGCCCCGAGGGGAAGGGATCCGAGGCAGGTATGCGGGAGTGGCTGGGGTGGGGGAGATGCCAGCTGGAGATGGTGGGGGGGCTGAGAGCACCATGGCTTCCTGGGCCTCTACATATACTCCAGCACTCTGGGCAGCTCCCAGATCCGCACCACCTGCTGGCTGTGTGACCTTGGGTAAGTGCCTCTACCTCTCTGTGCCCAGGTTTCCTGTCTGTGCGATGGGGATGGAGGTGATAGTGTCTACCCTCCTGAGGTCGTTGGGGGGACTAAATGGGATAGTAAGTGTAAATGGGACAGCAGTGCCAGGCACAGAGTGAGCACTTCAATAAGTCAACCTCTTCACCATCATTCCCGACACCACAGCAACAGAAATGATAATGCTATCAACCCCCAACGGTTCAACCCTTGCCCCCTGCCCGTGTGCCCAACATCCTTTATGCTCAACCCCAAGAAAGCTGAGATCGTTCCTTCCTTTCTGTGTCTGGGCCTCGGTTTCTCGTCTGTAAAGTGGGCATCACTGTCATCCTCCCCATCTCACGGGGTTATGATGGAGATTCAATGAGCTCATAACTGTAAAGTGCCTTGTGAAGCACCTGGCACTACATGCTCCACGGTGCATTGTAAAAATCAACACACAGGCTGGGTGTGGTGGCTCACGCCTGTAATCCCAGCACTTTGGGAGGCTGAGGCGGTCAGATCAACTGAGGTCAGGAGTTCGAGACCAGCCTGGCCAACATGGCAAAACCCCGTCTCTACTAAAAACACAAAAATTAGGCTGGGCATGGTGGCTCATGCCTTTAATCCCAGCACTTTGAGAGGCTGAGGAGGATGGATCACGAGGTCAAGAGATCGAGACCATCCTGGCCAACATGGTGAAACCTCACATTTACTAAAAATACAAAAATTAGCTAGGCGTGGTGGTGTGCACCTGTAGTCCCAGCTACTCGGGAGGCTGAGGCAGAAGAATCGCTTGAACCCAGGAGGCAGAGGTTGCAGTAAGCCGAGATCTTGCCACTGCAGTCCAGCCTGGCGACAGAGTAAGACTCTGTCTTAAAAAAAAAGAAAAAAGAAAGAAAAAAAAATTAATGGGGCATGGTGGTACATGCCTGTAATCCCAGCTACTCAGGAGGCTGAGGCAGGAGAGTTGCTGGAACCCAGGAGGCAAAGGTTGCAGTGAGCTGAGATTGCACCACTGGACTCCAGCCTGGGTGACAGAGCAAGACTCCGTCTCAAAAACAAACAAACAAAACCACAGCCTCATTTAAAAAATTTTAATTAATTAATTAATTTATTTTTTGAGACAGAGTCTCGCTCTGTTACCCAGGCTGGAGTGCAGTGGCACGATCTCGGCCCACTGCAACCTCCACCTTCTGGGTTCAAGCAATCCTCCTGCCTCAGCCTCCGCAGTAGCTGGGATCACAGGCACCCACACCATACCCAGCTATTTTTTGTATTTTTAGTAGAGATGGGGTTTCACCATCTGGCCAGGCTGGTCTCAAACTCCTGACCTCAGGTGATCCGCCCGTCTCGGCCTCACAAAGTGCTGGGATTACAGGCGTGAGCCACTGTGCCCAGCCACACAGCCTCATTTGTGGCTGAGAGACTTCAGCTCAGAGAGGTTAATTAAGTCACCTATTTTAACTTAGGACATTTAAGATGGAGAGGATCTCTCCAATGACTAGGAAAGACACAAGATGGAAATAAAGATTTTATTTATTTTTATTCATTTATTTGAGACGGTCTCCATCTGTCACCCAGGCTGAAGCGCAGTGGCGCAATCTCGGCTCACTACTGCCTCAAACTCCTGGGCTCAATCGATCCTCCTGCCTCAGCCTCCTGAGTAGCTAGGACCACAGGCGTACACCACCACACCTGACTAATTTTTAAAATTTTTGTAGAGGTGAGGTCTCGCTATGTTGCCCAGGCTGAACTCCCAACTCCTGAGCCTATGTGCTCCTCCCACCTCAGCCTCCCAAAGTGCTGAAGTTACAGGCATGAGCCACCACACCCAGCCAGAAATAAATTATTTTATGGCTTATAGGTCCTGGGGCATACATGGCACGCCTGGAGGCCACACACACCAGGTCAGGGAGCGCAGGCAGGGAGGGAGAGAGAGAGGGACCAGTGGACTGACGCCTTTATTGGGTCCAAGGCGTCGGCCAAACAGGTTTCCTGAGGGGGTTTTAATTGGTGGGTTCAGGCCAGGCACAGTGGCTCATGCCTATAATCCCAGCACTTTGGGAGGCTGAGGCTGGTAGATCACCTAACGTCAGGAGTTCAAGACCAGCCTAGCCAACATGGTGAAACCCCGTCTCTACTAAAAATACAAAAATTAGCTGGGCCTGGTGGTGCACGCCTGTAATCCCAGCTACTTGGGAGGCTGAGGCAGGAGAATCGCTTGAATCCAGGAGGCAGAGTTTGCAGTGAGCTGAGATCATGCCACTGCACTCCAGCCTGGGCAACAGAGCAAGACTCCAGCTCAAAATAAATAAATAAATAAATACTTGGTGGGTTGAAAGCAAGCAGGATCAAGTTCCAGGAGGTCACGCTGTGCCTGAGAGGGGGTCACTGAGGCATCTGCACAGTCCATGCAGGGCCGTCAAGTAGGCTGTCCATGGCTCTCCCACAGGGAGGTGGTCACCAGGAGTCAGTTGCATAAGAGAGATATCTGGGTCAGCCACACTGAGGAACTCGGGGAGGGAGATGTAGAACTGCCAAGGAGGACAGCCCTGCTTCCAGCATGAGAATGTCCAACTTTTATTTAGTTTTATTTTATTTTATTTTGAGAGGGAGTTTCGCTCTTGTTGCCCAGGCTGAGTGCAATGATATGATTTCAGCTCACTGCAACCTCTGCCTCCTGGGCTAAAGTGATTCTCCTGCCTCAGCCTCCCAAGTAGCTGGGATTACAGGCATGAGCCAAGCACACCCAGCTAATTTTTGTATTTTTAGTAGAAACCGGGTTTCATCATGTTGGCCAGGCTTGTCTCGAACTCCTGACCTCAAGTGATCTGCCCACCTTGGCCTCCCAAAGTGCTGGGATCACAGGCATGGCCCACCGCGCCCAGCCTCCAACTTATACTTTCGATGAATGCCGAGGCAGCCTAAAATTATAAGAATTCAATCCGGGTGCAGTGGCTCACACCTGTAATCCCAGCATTTTGGGAGGCCGAGGTGGGAGGATCACCTGAGGCCAGGAGTTCAAGACCAGCCTGGGCAACATAGTAAGACACCATCTCTACAAAAAATAAAACAATTAGCTAGGCATGATGGTGCATACTTGTAGTCCCAGCTACTGGGGAGGCTGGGGCAGGAGGATTGCTTAGGCCCAGGAGGTCGAGGCTGCAGTGAGCTGTGATTGCTCCTCTGCACTCCATCCTGGGTGACAGAACGAGACCCTGCCTTGAAAAAAAAGAAATTAAGATGTCACTACGTCACCACCCCAAGGTCACACTGCTGTAAAATGGCAGAGATGGGATTCTTGTAGCCAGTGCCCTGCTTTGAAACTCCCAGTTATTGGCCGGGCGCAGTGGCTCATGCCTGTAATCCCAGCACTTTGGGAGGTCGAGGTGGGCGGATCACCTGAGGCCAGGAGTTCGAGACCAGCCTGGCCAACATGGCGAAACCCCGTCTCTACTAAAAATATAAAAATAAGCCGGGCATGGTGGCAGACGTCTGTAGTCCCAGGTACTCGGGAGGCTGAGGCAGCAGAATTGCTCGAACCCAGGAGGCAGAGGCTGCAGTAAGCCGAGATTGCGCCATTGCACTCCAGCCTGGGCCGCAGAGCAAGACCCCGTCTCAAAAACAAACTAAACCCTAGGAGCCCAGGAGTCAGGTGCCCTGGCCTCTCCCGGGACCCTGTCCCGCTTTGGGCTGAGAGGCTGGGAGACCAGGAGCTGGAGAGATAGCCAGGCCAATGCAACTGCCTCCAGATCTGTTCGCCTCTCCGTTATAATCCTTTAAGCGGCGCTGTCAACCCATTTCACAGATTCTTTCATCCACTAGCTCAACAAATATGGAATATTACGTGCTGGCCGCAGGGCGGAAGGCAGGACAGATGTAAATCTCGAAAATTAAAGCACAGAACGCGGAGGGGGCCTGGGGCTGACAGCTTCGGGCAGGGGGAGTGGCTTGCCCCCCCCCCCCCCCGTGGTGAGGGGCGCAGAGCCAGGTGTATGTAACAGCCACTTCCCTCACCCCACTTTTCAGATCCAGGAGATGGAGGCCGGGGTGGAAGTCTCGGAGGAGGGTGGATGGGGAAGGCGGGGCCTTAGGGACCCCTCACCTAACGCGTGCCCCCGACCCCACCGCAGGGACTCGCAAGAAGCTGCGCCTGTACCAGTTCCTGCTGGGGCTACTGACGCGCGGGGACATGCGTGAGTGCGTGTGGTGGGTGGAGCCAGGCGCCGGCGTCTTCCAGTTCTCCTCCAAGCACAAGGAACTCCTGGCGCGCCGCTGGGGCCAGCAGAAGGGGAACCGCAAGCGCATGACCTACCAGAAGCTGGCGCGCGCCCTCCGAAACTACGCCAAGACCGGCGAGATCCGCAAGGTCAAGCGCAAGCTCACCTACCAGTTCGACAGCGCGCTGCTGCCTGCAGTCCGCCGGGCCTGAGCACACCCGAGGCTCCCACCTGCGGAGCCGCTGGGGGACCTCACGTCCCAGCCAGGATCCCCCTGGAAGAAAAAGGGCGTCCCCACACTCTAGGTGATAGGACTTACGCATCCCCACCTTTTGGGGTAAGGGGAGTGCTGCCCTGCCATAATCCCCAAGCCCAGCCCGGGCCTGTCTGGGATTCCCCACTTGTGCCTGGGGTCCTCTGGGATTTCTTTGTCATGTACAGACTCCCTGGGATCCTCATGTTTTGGGTGACAGGACCTATGGACCACTATACTCGGGGAGGCAGGGTAGCAGTTCTTCCAGAATCCCAAGAGCTTCTCTGGGATTTTCTTGTGATATCTGATTCCCCAGTGAGGCCTGGGACGTTTTTAAGATCGCTGTGTGTCTGTAAACCCTGAATCTCATCTGGGGTGGGGGCCCTGCTGGCAACCCTGAGCCCTGTCCAAGGTTCCCTCTTGTCAGATCTGAGATTTCCTAGTTATGTCTGGGGCCCTCTGGGAGCTGTTATCATCTCAGATCTCTTCGCCCATCTATGGCTGTGTTGTCACATCTGTCCCCTCATTTTTGAGATCCCCCAATTCTCTGGAACTATTCTGCTGCCCCTTTTTATGTGTCTGGAGTTCCCCAATCACATCTAGGGCTCCTCCAAGATCCTTTTGTCATGTCTGAAATCACTCTTGAGAGGTCTGGGGTGGAGGATGGGGAGTCAGTGAAATGTGTCATGTCTGGGCCCTGTCAGGGACACCCTTGTTATATCTGGGATCCTCCAATCACATCTGAGACCTCCTAGGCTCTCCATCTGATATGCCCTTTCAGGGACCCCACAAAGACTGAGTTCTCATGGGGATCCTACCCTTCCTAGTGCCACTCCCTATGGCCATGCTGAAGACCACTCTGGCCACGCGACTGATTTTGGGTGATCATGGCAGCTCCCCACCCATGTCATTTCTAACCAGAAGTCTCAAGGTCGTCACCCCCCTGCCCCCCAACCGAGGCCCCGGTCGCTGGTGGTGGTCTCTTTAGTGCACTGTAGCACTTGGTGGTGGAGGTGTGAGGGATCCACATTAACAGCAGGCCATCAGCTGGGCAATGGCTCACACCTGTAATCCCAGCACTTTGGGAGGCGAGGCAGGGGGAATGGCTTGAACCCAGGCATTCAAGACCAGCCTGGGCAACATAATGAGACCTCGTCTCTACAAAACATAACAAAAACAATTAGCCGAGCGTGGGGGTGAACACCTGTGGTCCCAGCTGCTCAGGAGGCTGAGGTGGGAGGATCTCTTGAGCCCAGGAAGTAGGAGGCTGTAGTGAGCTGTAATCGTGCCACTGCACTCCAGCCTGGGCGACAGAGTGAGACACCGTCTTAAAAACAAAAACAAGGCCGGGCACGGTGGCTCATGCCTGTTGTCCCAGCACTTTGGGAGGCCGAGGCAGGCGGATCACGAGGTCGAGAGATCGAGACCATCCTGGCCAACATGGTGAAACCCTGTCTCTACTAAAAATACAGAAATTAGCTGGGCGTGGTGGCACGTGCCTGTAGTCCCAGCTACTCGGGAGGCTGAGGCAAGAGAATCGCTTGAACGTGGGAGGCAGAGGTTGCAGTGAGCCTAGATTGTGCCACTGCACTCCAGCCTGGGGGACAGAGCGAGACTCCGTCTGAAAATAAAAACAACAAAAACAGCAGACCATTCAAAATAGGGAGACTTTGCATAATCCAGATTTCTGCCTTCACTTAAAACTTTGGACGGTCTGGAGAGAGTCGGCCAGTTTTCGGTGGGGGGTGGGGAGCTGGAACAGGACAGTAGCCTTTCCTAATGAGGCATTTGTTCTCCAATCTGCCCCAGTCGCTGCCATCCCTGGCTATCTCACCCTAGCAGCTTCTCAAGCCTGTTGGCTTTAGACCACTGTATAAACCCAGCTGGAACTGAAGCCTGGGTGGACTATGGAGCCCTGGTTGGGACCCCCAGGGAGTCAAAGGCTGCGGGCCAAGAGGCCAGAGGTCCTTGAGCCTGGGTGGGCAGGTGGATCTAGGGTGCATGACTTGCTGCTTCCCAACCTTAGTTTGTCCCTTCTGTGAAAAAGGGAGAGAAGGAGGAGGAAGATCTCAAAAAGACTTTCCAGCCCAGTGCGGTGGCTCACGCCTGTAATCCCAGCACTTTGGGAGGCCGATGCAGGTGGATCACCTGAGGTAGGAGTTCAAGACCAGCCTGACCAACATAGTGAAGCCCCTTCTCTACTAAAAATACAAAATTAGCTGGGCGTGGTGGCATGTGCCTGTACTCCCAGCTACTTGGGAGGCTGAGGCAGGAGAATCGCTTGAACCTGGGAGGCGGAGGTTGTAGTGAGCTGAGATCACACCACTGCACACCAGCCTGGGCGACAAGAGCGAAACTCCGTCTCAAAAAAAAAAAACTGTTGCAGCCCCGTTGAGCCTTTGACACCGCCTGAAATCCACCCCACTCCCAGGAGGAGGAGGAGGAAGGAATGCCAATGACCTAGAGACACGAGAAGTCCATGTGGAGGCACACAGCAGCTGATGGCAGAGCCCAGGCTGGGACCTGCCCTTAAGAGAATGAGTGGGAAGGGGGAGGGAGGAAGGGCAGGTAAAACGTCCTCCCCAGGGCCCCCTGCAACGGGGAAGGTACTTTTTACAAAAGCTATCATTGTCACCCTAAATGTGGAATAAAATAAGATGCATCGACGTAGACAAACCTCCTGGGACCTTTTGTCAGGGACTGCAATCCTGCCCCTCCACTGAGGCCGCTGGCTCTCAGAGACACCGTGACATCACGGGTGATGATGAGAGGAGTTCAAAGAGAGAATTATATGCTGGCGCGGTGGCTCTGTAATCCCAACACTTTGGGGGGCCAAGGCAGGAGGATCGCTTGAGTACAGGAGTTTGAAACCAGCCTGGGCAAGATAGTGAGATCCCCTTCCCACCCGTCTACAAAAAAAATAAAAAATTAGCGGGGTGTGGTGGCGTATGCCTGTAATTCCAGCTACTCCGAACTACTGAGGTGGGAGGGTCACTTGAGCACAGGAAGTTGAGGCTGCAGTGAGCCGTGATCGTGCCCCTGCACTCCAGACACGGCGAGACCCTGTCTCAAAAACAAACAAACAAATCACAAAGACACCATACAGCAAAACCTATCTGAACCTTAATGCCGAGAAATAAGAGGCTTGACGCGCAGGCACAGAGGGTTCCGTTTATGTCTTCCTCTATTCCTGCCAACTGAAGTTCTCCACCTCCTCCCCGCTTCCCCTTCCGTCTGGGTGTCTGTCCCCTTCCCTCTGAATTGAGCCCTCGGGCTGGCAGCGAGGGACGCGAGGCTTCAGGTGGCCGCGGCACTGCAGGCCTGGGCCCCTCCCCAACTTAGCGGGGCTCGCGGGAGCGCAGTGGCAGTCTGCCTGGCAACCCGTGACATCACATGGAACTGACGCCGGATTGGCTGGACGCTCCCCGGAGGCGGAGAAATTTCCGGCTCGTAGGGGGTTTTGGAAAAGGAGGAGGGGGAAGATGAACAGGAAAAAAAAGCGGAGGGACTTGTTTTCCTCACACCGGGTCCCTCACGCTGCGTTACTAGCCAGGCAGTCCCCCAGCCTTAACCCTAAGTCCCCAACACCCTTTCCCTCCTTCCTCCCCACAACACCTGGTGTCCCCAAGCCCCGCCCCTCCCCAGGCCCCGCCCCCTCGGCTCCCCGCCGCGTCCAGAGCCACCCCATTCAGAAAGTCACAGGTCCCCCTGCCGGGAAGGGCGCCAACGTCCGGGCAGCCCTCCAGGGCCTTCCCAGCCTCCCACCCGCCCCCACCGGGGACGCCCACCCCCTACCCGCGTCCGGTGCCTGCCGTGCCCGCTCCGGGAAGAGTCGCGGGGAGCGGTCCCAGGAGGGGCGGCGGCCAGTCCGGGGTCCCAGATGGCCGGGGCCCCAGCTCTTTGGGTTTGCCCACGCCCGGGGCGCGAAACTCCGGAGTCCCAGAGCCGCGGCGCCCTCCCCGGAGGCGCAGGGACCTCCTCCCCCCGCCGCCGTCCTGCCTACGCTAGGAAACCGGACCCTCCCTCCCGGCTCCGGTTTCCCGAAAACTCCTGACTTGCAGATGCTAAGAATGGCTTCCTAGACCCTGTCCCTCCCCTCCCTGCTTCATGCCAGAGCTCTGGCCCGCAGCCCTTACCCCCTTGAGACCCTCAGTCTCTTCCTCTTCCTTCTCCCGGGACCCAGGCGTCCAGGCGCTCGTCCTTTCTAGGGAACCCAAGAATCTGGGACCCCAGTTGCTTCTGCTCCCAGACTCAGGGGTCCAAGCACCCAGTCCCCTCCTCCCTGAGATTCTGGAGTCCGAGCCCCAGCCCCCTCCTCCCTCAGACCCAGGTGTCCGAGCCCCAGCCCCTCCTCCCTGGGGACCTGGCTCTCAGCCATCTCCCTAGGTCCAGCTGTTATTTCTCGCCCTTTAGAACATGCGGGCGGAATGTGGGGCGGCCCTGTGGTCTGATGTCTCCCGGAGCCTTCTGGGAGTCTCAGGACTCATTAAAAGGCTCCCCTTAGGGGCCCACCTGTCCTCCCTAGGGCCTAGCGGGACGCGGCTGCGGTCAGAGGAGCAGGAGGAGGTCCCCCGACATGCCTGAGGCAAAACCAGGTGGCGCCAGGACCCCCTCCCTGTGTGGGGATGGGGCTCTTCTTTTCTGGATGGGGATTTGGGACCCCTCTGTTTGTAGGGTTGGGAGAAGGAGGAACCTTCGCTGTGTGAGGAGGAGGCTCCCTTTGCTGTGCGGGATGGGGGTTCCCGCATCAGTTTAGGGTGAGGGTCTCGACTCTGCATGGGGAAGAGGGTCCCTTCCCTTTGTGACAGGAGTTTCCTTCCTTGTATGAGATGGGGTGGGTCTCATATCTGTGTGGGGTGAGGGATCCCCTTCACTCAGCAGGGAGGGTGTTTCTTTTTCTATAAGTGATTGGGGGGGCATCTCTGGTGGAGATGGGATTCTCTGGTTGTAAATTGGGTTCCTTTTGCTTGATGGGGATGGGGGTCTGTGTGTGTAGACTGGGTTTTTTTGTTTGTTTTTGTTTTTTGGTTTTTGGTTTTTTTTTTGAGATGGAGTCTCGCTCTGCCCCCGGGGCTGGACTGCATTGGTGCGATCTCGGCTCACTACAACATCCGCCTCCTGAGTTCAAACAATTCTCCTGCCTGGGGTAGCTGGGATTACAGGCCTGCGCCACCATGCCTGGCTATTTTTGTATTTTTAATAGAGACGGGTTTCGCCATGTTGACCAGGCTGGTCTCAAACCCCCAACCTCAGGTGATCCACCCGCCTCAGCCTCCCAAAGTGCTGGGATGACAGGCATGAGCCGCCGAGCCCGGCCAGACTGGGAGGTCTTTGCATGTGACTGGATTCTCCACATCCGGGGATGGCATCCTCTGGGCAGGGTCTGGGCCACTTCTCTGAGTGAAGACTCAGAGGGAGCCAGGTGCAGGGGCTCACGCCTGTCATCCCAGCACTCTGGGATACCGAGGCAGGAGGATTGCTTGAGGCCAGGAGTTCAAGACCAGCCTGGGCAACATGGCGAGACCTTGTCTCTACAAAAAATTAAAAATCAGCCAGGTGTGGTGGTGCATGCCTGTAGTCCCAGATACTTAGGAGGCAGTTGAGGCTGCAGTGAGCTGTGATCACGTCACTGCACTCCAGCCTGGGTGACAGAGTGAGACCCCGTCTCTAAAAAACAAGCAACAGCAACAACAAAAATGGCCCAGTGCGGTGGCTCATACCTGTAGTCCCAGCACCTTGGGAGGCCAAGGTGGGTGGATCACCTGAGCCCAGCAGTTCAAGGCCAGCCTGGCCAACATGGCAAAACCCCGTCACTACAAAAAATACTAAATTAGCTGGGCTTGTGGGGGTGTGCCTGTAGTCCCAGCTACTCAGGAGTCTGAGGTGAGAGGATCACTTGAGCCCAGGAGACGGAGGTTGCAGTGAGCCCAAATCTTGCCACTGCACTCCAGCCTGGGAGACGGAGCGAGACCCTGCTGGGAAAAAACAGAAACAAAAACAAAAAATAGATTCCAAGGGACCTTCTCTGTAGGATATGGGGTGATTGTGGGTATAAAGATTAGTGGTTCCCATCTGCATGGAGTCACAGGGGAAGTCTCTGTATTAAGGATGGGGGAGCCTCATTTCTGTGGGCACTGAGGCTTCCCCGTGTAGGAATTAGCGGGGCTTCTTCATGCAGGGAATGGGGTCCTTTTTGCGGGGTTTGGGGACCTTCTTTGAATGGGGAACACTTTCTGTGGAGATGAGGCTTTCTCTCTATGAGGAACTCACCGCAGGAATCATGCACCGCTGGGCGGACCCCCTCCTGGGATGTCTGGTCCGCTGGCATCAGGCCAAGCAGGCTGTGGGGTGGGTCCAGCCCCTACTGTAGCTGCAGACCCAGCCGGCAAGGAACAGCAGGCAGGGCAGGGGAAGGATGCTGCGGTCAGCACCAGGTGTCCAGTTTCCAGCCCAGAGGGAGAGCTAATTATACCCTCGGACCCAAAAGGTCAGGGCGTGGTGGCCTGGGCGGATGGGGCAGGGCCTGCTGGGGGTAAGGGAAACCCGATCCCACAGACTCTCAGATCTGAGATAAATTTATACCTAGGGTGGGGGCCTGGACTCTTGGGTCTGAGGGAGGAGGGGCTGGGGGCCTGGACTCCTGGGTCTGAGGGAGGAGGGGCTGGGGGCCTGGACTCCTGGGTCTGAGGGAGGAGGGGCTGGGGGGTCTGGACTCCTGCGTCTGAGGGAGGGGCATGGGTGTGCAGACCGCATGCTCAACTATGACTGTCCCCTACCTTACAGCGGCCAAAAAGGCCCCCAAAGGCAAAGATGCCCCCAAAGGAGCCCCCAAGGAGGCTCCCCCTAAGGAGGCTCCTGCAGAGGCCCCCAAAGGTGAGGAGGTGCTCCCTCGGGCTCAACCGACCTGGCTTCTCATCTCCATCCTCCTCGCTACGCCTCTCCAGGCCTTTCCCCAGCCTCTATCCTTGAATCTGTCCCCGCACAGCCCCAGGGCTGACCCACGCCTCCCGTGCTCCCAGCCCTCCCGGGGCTCCCTGGCACCCGCAGGCAGAGCCCAGCCCCTCGGCTGGCATCGGCTCCGGTCAGCTGGCTGATTGATCACCAGGTCCGGCCCCGGTCTCTCTAAACCTCTCCCGCCCCAAAGGCACATTCAGTGCCCTCCAGTCCACAGATGAGGAAACCGAGGCCCAAAGGGGTGAGGGAGCCTGGCCAAGGTCACACAGCCACGAGGGTGACAGGTGGCCTTTCCCAGGTCAGGAAAAGCCATTTAACCCCCATGATGTTTGGTTTCTGAGTAGAGGGGCCCTCACTGTCTCTAAGTCCTTTCCCCAAAGCGGCCCACTGTCCCCTCCCCAGCCTATCTCAGACCTCCTCATCCTAATCCTGTCCCCTGAACAGAAGCCCCACCCGAGGACCAGTCCCCGACTGCAGAGGAGCCCACCGGCGTTTTCCTGAAGAAGCCGGACTCCGTCTCAGTGGAGACTGGTGAGGGGAACCCGGGGGAGGAGGGGCTGCGGCCCGGACTCCTGGGTCTGAGGGAGGAGGGGCCAGGGTCTCGTTCTGTCTCCCTCTGGAGAGCCTTATGTTCCTTCCTGGGCCTCCTCCCACTCTACCCTGTCACTCACCCCATGTAGGGAAGGACGCAGTGGTCGTGGCCAAGGTGAACGGGAAGGAGCTCCCAGACAAACCGACCATCAAGTGGTTCAAGGGGAAGTGGCTGGAGCTGGGCAGCAAGAGTGGCGCCCGCTTCTCCTTCAAGGAGTCCCACAACTCCGCCAGCAATGTGAGGACCCCGTGGGCCAGAGGGCTGGTGGAGGGGAGTGGAGCTTGTGCAGGACATGCTCCTCAGAAGCCCTGTTGCCTGAGGCATCAATGTGGGCCTGGAGCCGGGATGGAGAGTGGGCCCTCTGAGGATGGAGGTTGTGCGGGGCTGCTGGGGAGAGGTTGTGTGAAGCAGAGGGAGGATGCCTGGGGTTGGGTGGGGATGCATTAGGGCTTGGTCATGTACATTCCTGGCAAGGCCTGAGGGGGCCAGGGACCTGGGCCCCAGAAGTCCTGATGGGTCAGATATGAGGAGACAGAGCTGGCCACCAGGTGCTGAGACCCCTCTCGGTCTCCATTGGCCCCCCTGTGGGGTGGGGGTGAGGACGTGGAGATAGAGCTATGAGTGGACTCTGAGGAATATGGGGTGGCTCTAGAGGGTGGTCCCGTGCACCCACACCCCCGGCCCTGGACCCAGGTGTACACCGTGGAGCTGCACATTGGGAAGGTGGTACTGGGGGACCGTGGGTATTACCGCCTCGAGGTCAAAGCCAAGGACACCTGTGACAGCTGTGGCTTCAACATCGATGTGGAGGGTATGCTGGTGGGGGATGCGGGAGCAAAGGGTTCTATGTCTGGGTGGGGTGGACAGATGTACCAGCCAGGTGTTGGGAGAGTGCACAGGCATGGGCATGAGGTGGGCACAGGTTTTTGGAGGAGGGAGTGCAGATTCTGGGGTCAGAGTATTCAAACTCAAGGAGACATAGCATGGGAGGAGGTCTGGATTTCGGGGGTGAAAGTGTACAGGGTCTTGGGATGCACATGCAAAGGCTTAGGAGGTGAGTTATGCACATTCCACGTTTAAGAAAGTAGGCAAAACGGCTTGGGAAGTGAGGGTGTCCAGGTTTAGAGAAGAAGGATGTAGGGGTTTAGAGTGAGGGTGTACAGGATTAACAGGAGGTTACACGGATTTGAGGGCACATATATGGGCCCCTGAGGGTGTATGGGCTCTGGGGGTCTGCAGCCCAGAATGTGTGAGGGCTTAAATGTGGGGTGCACAGGAAATGAGATTGTCCAGGCCTGGGGAGAAAGACATGGTGGCCCAGGTGTGGGGGGTATAGGCTGCTGAGAGAGGGTGGAGCTTGGCAGCTGGGGAAATGAGTATGAGCTGGTCTAGAACTAGAGGATGCCCAGGCCTGAGCAAGGTTGTGCTGGTCCAAGAGATGGAGAAAAGGGGGCCTGGAAGAGGTTGTGCAGGCCTGGAGAGGGGCTCTCAGTCTAAGATCAGCCCTGGCCTCTAACTCACCTTCCCTTCTCTCATCACCTCTCCCCAGCACCCCGTCAGGATGCCTCTGGGCAGAGTCTAGAAAGCTTCAAGCGTACGTAAGTGACCCCAGGCCCTTACCAGGGTCCCAAGGACCATGGGAGGCTCTCCCTTGGAAGGGGAAAAAGGGAGGATTGGGGAAGGCAAGGGGTGAATCTGAAGGGTCAAGACTCACATGCCCTCTCAATGGCCACAGGAGTGAAAAGAAGTCGGATACTGCAGGTGAGCTGGATTTCAGTGGCCTGTTGAAGAAGAGGTGAGCCCCGGACTTGGCACAGAGAGGGGAGATGGGACTCAAGGGGAGGAGGTGGTGGGTGAAGCTCCATGGCCCACTGATTCCTCCTGGACCCACTGCTTATCCCTCTACCACCTCCATCTGTTCACTCCCTGCCCACCCAGCATCTAACACACCAACCCATCAGGCTGCCTGTTCATCCACCCACCTACCCATTTACCCAGACCCCTACCCACAACCCCACCCAGCCAAACATCTGCCATGAGTTCACCCACCTTCTCACCCCTTAACCCACCATTCTCACACCCACTCTGCTGTTCACTCAGGCTCTAGTTCACCTATGCCTCCACCTACTCACCCTCCCATCCATCCATCCCTCCATCCCTCCACTTTCCACCCACTGATCCATTCACTCACCCATCCATCCAACCAGTGGCCTATTTATGTATCTACTAATACATCTATCCACCTACCTGCCCAGTTGCCAATCTATCTACCCACATATCCATCCGTTAACCACCATTTTCCCACCTGTTTACCTGCCCATCTGCCATTACAGTCAGCCTAGCTACATGGGTAGGTGGATGGATAACGGGTGAATGGGATGTTGGATTTGGTTGGGAGATGCAGGTGCAGATAGACAGGTGGGAAGGTGGGTGGATGGTACGGATGAATGCATGGTGGAGAGGTGGGAGGATGGGTGCCTCAGTAGGTGGGGAAGCGGATGGATGGATGGGGTGGGTGGACGATGAATGGATGGGTTCATGAATAGGTGGCTGAGTTCACCAGTGAAGAGGTGGGCAGTTGACACGCCCATCCACACAGATAGCCCTCTGTTAGATTGAACTATGTAAAATTGATGTTCTGCAGGTAAAAAATGATTGAAGTCTGGGTGCAGTGGTTCACGCCTATAATCCCAGCACTTTTGGAGACCAGTGTGGGAAGATCACATGAGCCCAGGAGTGTAAGACCAGCCTGGGCCACATAGGGAGACCCTGACTCTACAAAAAAAAGAAAAATTAGCAGGGCATGGTGGCATGTGTCTGTGGTCCTAACTACTTAGGAGGCTGAGGGAGGAGGATCGTTTGAGCCCAGGAGATCAAGGCTGCAGTGAGCCATGATCGCGCCACTGCACTCCAGTCTGGGCAACAGAGTGAGACTGTTTCAAAAACAACAACCACAAAAAATTAAATATCGGCAATCTCATATGCATTATCTGCTGGCCCACTTATCCATCTTCACTTGCCCATCAATCCCCATAACTATATCCCTGACAATTCCATTTACTGATCAATTCTGTCTGCAGCCAGCCAGCCACTTCCTTGGCCACTTCTCATCAACATATTCACCCAACTGCGCAGTCATTTCTCACCAACCCATCAATCCATCCACTCACCCACCTGTCTTCCCCCAACCCATCAATCCATCCACCCACCCACCTGTCTTCCCCCAACCCATCAATCCATCCACCCACCCACCTGTCTTCCCCCAACCCATCAATCCATCCACCCACCCACCTGTCTTCCCCCAACCCATCAATCCATCCACTCACCCGTCTTCCCCCAACCCATCAATCCATCCACCCACCCACCTGTCTTCCCCCAACTCATCTGCCTCTCTTCCCACCCACCCTTCCACTGACCCACCCACCTACTTATCAGCCCACTTACTCACCATTCTGTACATCAATTCAAATATTCATGTCCCCACATTCACCTCCACATCTATCCTCTCTTTGTTCCTTTCCCTTCCTTCCTTCCCTCCCAAGCTCCATCCATGCATTCACTCACTCTCTCACCCATCAACCATCTTCTGAGGCCTCCCGTCTACTAGGTCCTGGGCTGAGATCCATGCATTCACTCACTCTCTCACCCATCAACCATCTTCTGAGGCCTCCCGTCTACTAGGTCCTGGGCTGAGATCCATGCATTCACTCACTCTCTCACCCATCAACCATCTTCTGAGGCCTCCCGTCTACTAGGTCCTGGGCTGAGATCCAGGGAGAGAGAACAGTCTGACTGGGTCCCTGATGTGAGATCACTCATTGCCTTGGGAAATGGGTCTTGTCCAACAGACATAGATACAGACTGAGACTATTTGGTGTGATTTTAGAGAGGGTCCCACCGGGGCCTGTGAGAGCCCAGAGCACGAGCAACTCACTGTCTTGTAGGACACGGAATGCCTCAGGGAGAAGGGAACTTTGGTGCTAGGTCTTGTAGGATGAAGAGGAGTCTGGGAGGAAGAGAAGGTAGGGAGAGGTCATGAAGGTAGGGAAACATTTTGTGCAAAGGCTGGGAAGCAGGAGAGAGCCTGAAGTGTTCAGCAAAAGTCAAGCAGCTTGGTTCAGGTGACTTTGGGGGGAGTGACGGAAGTAGCTGGGGTGTGATGGCCAGGCGGAGGGCTGGGGCTTCCTCCTGAGGGCAGTGGGGAGCCACAGAAGAGTTCTGAACATGAAAGGGAGAACCACTGATGTGGGTGTCAGAAATACCCCACAGGATAAAAGAGGACAAATAGGGTGCAATGTATGCTGCTTGGGTGATGGGTGTACCAAAATCTCACAAATCACTACCAAACAGCTTACTCATGTAACCAAACACCACCTGTTTCCCAATAACCTGTGGAAATAAAATAAATAAATAAATAAATAAATAAATAAATAAATAAATGAAAAGAAATACTCTGCGGACCAGGCATGGTGGCTCACACCTGTAATCCCAGCACTTTGGGAGGCTGAGGCGGGTGGATCACTTAAGGTCAGGAATTCGAGACCAGCCTGTCCAACATGGCAAAACCCTGTTTCTACTAAAATACAAAAATTAGCCAGGGGTGGTGGCGTGAGCCTGTAGTCCCAGCTACTCGGGAGGCTGAGGCAGAAGAATCGCCTGAACCCAGGAGGTGGAGGTTGTAGTGAGCCGAGATCACGCCACTGCACTCCAGCCTGGGAGACAGAGTGAGAATCTGTCTCAAAAAAAAAAAAAACCAAAAAACCCAGTGGGGACTGTGCTGGGAAGAGGTCAGAAGACCCCAGGAGGAGGCTGGGGCAATGGACCAGGCGGGAAACAATAAGACCCCTAAAGGGAAGGTGGCTTGGGTGAGTCACAGAGCCAATGAGTGAAGAAGGCAGAGGGACATCCTCCCTTCCTCACTCCCTGATGGCCCCTGTCCGTTCCCCCACCCGCCAGGGAGGTGGTGGAGGAGGAGAAGAAGAAGAAAAAGAAAGATGACGATGACCTAGGCATCCCCCCGGAGATTTGGGAGCTCCTGAAAGGGGCAAAGAAGAGCGAGTACGAGAAAATCGCCTTCCAGTATGGCATCACCGACCTCCGGGGCATGCTGAAGCGGCTGAAAAAGGCTAAGGTCGAGGTCAAGAAGAGTGCAGGTCAGCCCTGGTCTGGGGGGAGCTGGGCCCTGCACACAAGGGACCCCTAGCCTTGTGGGTGTCTAATGATTGGACCCTGGACCTATCTTTTCGAGGTCCCAATGAGGTAGGAGGCAAGACCCAACTCTAGCGGTGGGCCTCGGACACCAGACCAAATTGAGGACTAGCTAAAACAGGGACAGGGTGGAAGCAGCTTTCCATAAGACATGCCCACCAGTGTGCCATGTCAGTTTACCATGGCCATGGCAACAGCCAGGAGTTACTGCCCCTTTCCATGGCAATGACCAGACCACCCAAAAGTTACCACCCTTTTCCTAGCAATTTCTGTATAACCTGCTCCTTAATCTCTAGGTAATTAAAAGTGGGTATCAATCTGACTGCAGATCTGCCCTGAGCCGTTGCTCTCTGTCTCTGGGGTAGCCCTGTTCCGCAGGAGCAGTCAGAGGGCTGTAACACTGCCACCTCAATAAAGCTGTTTTCAGGCTGGGTGCAGTGGCTCACGCCTGTAATCTCAGCACTTTGGGAGGCTGAGGTGCGCAGATCACCTGACGTCAGGAGTTCGAGACCAGCCTGGCTAACATGGTGAAACCCCATCTCTACTAAAAATACAAAAGTCAGCCGGGCATGGTGGTGTGCACCTGTAATCCCAGCAACTTGGGAGGCTGAGGCAGGAGAATCGCTTAAGCCAGGGAGGCAGAGGTTGTGGTGAGCTGAGATTACGCTGTGGCACTCCAGCCTGGGGAACAGAGTGAGACTCTGTCTCAAAAAAATAAAATAAAATAAAAAATAAAATAAAATAAAATAAAATAAAATAAATAAATAAAAATAAAGCTGTTTTCTTCTACCTAACACTGGCTTGCCCTTGACTTCTTTCCTGGGTGAAGCCGATAACCCTTGCAGGCTAAGCCCCACTTTGGGGTCCCCTGCCCTGCATCACCACCAGAGAAGTTCTCAAGGATCTCTAAGTTCATAGGAGGCCCCCTGACTTCCTCACTTTGACCTTGGAGAGCCCAGGGCCTGGGGAGGGAGATGTGGTGCCTCTGGGGATGACCAGGGGAATGAGGACCACACGCCTCCATCCCCTTTGCATGCCTCAATCTTCAGCATTCACAAAGAAGCTGGATCCAGCCTACCAAGTGGACAGAGGCAACAAGATCAAGTTGATGGTAGAGATCAGCGACCCAGACCTGACCCTCAAGTGGTTCAAGAACGGCCAGGAGATCAAACCAAGCAGCAAGTATGTGTGGGGTGGGCAGTCCCTGCACCGGGGAGATCCCCGTCCAGAGAGAACGCCCGGAGACAAGGCCTATCACTCTTAACCAGAAAGGGCATATTCACCCCTATATGAAGAGTACAGGCCGGGCACAGTGGCTCACGCCTGTAATCCTAGCACTTTGGGAGGCCGAGGCGGGTGGATCACCTAAGGTCAGGGGTTCGAGACCAGCCTGGCTAACATGGTGAAACCCCATTTCTACTAAAAATACAAAAAATTAGCCGGGTGTGGTGGCACATGTCTGTAGTGCCTGTAATCCCAGCTACTTGGGAGGCTGAGGCAGGAGGATCGCTTGAACCCAGGAGGCAAGAGGTTGCGGTTGCGGTGAGCTGAGATCTCGCCACTGCACTCCAGCCTGGGCGACAGAGTGAGACCCTGTTAACAACAACAACAACAAACACATCACAAGACAACCTTTTTTAAATTAATTACCTAATTTTGTTTTGAGACAGAGTTTCGCTCTTGTTGCCCAGGCTGGAGTGCAATGGCATGATCTCAGTTCACTGCAACCTCTGCCTCCCAGGTTCAAGAGATTCTCCTGCCTCAGCCTCCCAAGTAGCTGGGATGACAGGAGCGCCCCAACACATCTAATTTTTGGGGTGTATTTTTGGTAGAGATGGGGTTTTACCATGTTGCCCAGGCTGGTCTTGACCTCTTCAAGCAATCTGCCTGCCTCAGACTCCAAAAATGCTAGGATTACAGGTGTGACTGGCCCTGCCATGGTTATTTAAATAATAGGAATTGCTAGCTTGGACAACATAGCGAGATCCCATCTCTACAAAAAAATTAAAAAATTAGAAGATACCAAGAAAAGAGAAAAAAAAATTAGCTGGGTATGGTGGTGTGCACCTGTGATCCTAGCTACTCAGGGGCTGAGGTGGGAGGATGGCTTGGACCCAGGAAGTCTAGGTTGCAGTGAGCTGTGATCGCACCACTGCACTCTAGCCTGGGTGACAGAGTGAGACCCTGTCTCAAAAGTAAATAAAAATAAATAAATAATTGAAACTGGGCCCTCAATCCCTTTCCACACAATTTGGCTCTGAGAGAGAGAGAGAGAGACTTGCCTTGAGAACAGGTAAGCAGAGCTACCCCAGGGATAGGTGGATGCTCCACGCCCTGGTTTGAGGTGAGACTTTTGAATCAGGTACGTGTTTGAGAACGTTGGTAAGAAGCGAATTCTTACCATCAACAAGTGCACGCTGGCGGATGACGCTGCCTATGAAGTAGCTGTCAAGGATGAGAAGTGTTTCACCGAGCTCTTCGTCAAAGGTGAGGCTGGAATTCAGAACTGAGCCTGGAGAGGGACTGGAACTCTGGAGGGGGTCCTGAAACGACTGACCTCCTGTCCCCCTGCCCCACAGAACCTCCAGTCCTAATTGTCACACCTCTTGAGGACCAGCAGGTGTTTGTGGGTGACCGGGTGGAAATGGCAGTGGAGGTGTCAGAAGAGGGTGCCCAGGTGATGTGGTAAGTGACCCTTGATCCCTGATCTCCATACAGGTGCACATAGTTTCTTTGCCTCTGCCTTGATCTTTATGGGACCTCCTGTGACTTCTCTTGGAGATTTCTGACCTTTACTCAGTAGTCATCCCCAGGAGATCTCAGCTTTTCTCTATAAATCCTTACCTTCACCTAAAATTGTTTCTAGAATTTCTGACCTCTACCTATCCTATCCTCTTCAGGGTCGTCTTCCTGATCTCCGACTGTTCCATTAAATATTCATTCATCTGACCAATTATCTATTCCTTGGTCCATCTATCCAGGTATCCACTCATCCACCCAGTCCATCCATCCATCCATCCATCCATCCATCCATCCATCCATCCATCCATCTGCTTAACCATCCATCCACTCATGCATCCATCCATCCACTCATCCATCCATCCATCCATCCATCCACTTAACCATCCATCCATCTACTTAACCATCTGTCCATCCATTCATCCATCCATCCATCCATCCATCCATCCATCCATCCATCCATCCATCCCATTGACCCATTCATCCATCTACTCATTCATATATCCACTCTTCCATTTAGGTTGCCATCTAGCCATCCATCGACCTATCAATCCAGAGATCTATCCATCCACTCACTCACTCACCTGCATACTTGCCCACCATCTACCTATCCATTCATCCATCTATGTACCTATTCACCAACCCAACAAATATTTATCGAGCACCTGTTGTGTGGTGTACTCTTCTACGTATCAGAGATATAATGGGGAGAAAAAAAATGTCAACATGGCCGGGCGCGGTGGCTCACGCCTGTAATCCTAGCACTTTGGGAGGCCGAGACGGGCGGATCACGAGGTCAGGAGATCGAGACCATCTTGGCTAACACGGTGAAACCCCGTTTCTACTAAAAATACAAAAAATTAGCCGGGCGTGTTGGCGGGCGCCTGTAGTCCCAGCTACTTGGGAGGCTGAGGCAGGAGAATGGCATGAACCTGGGAGGCGGAGCTTGCAGTGAGCCGAGATCGCGCCACTGCACTCCAACCTGGGAGACACAGCGAGACTCCGTCTCAAAAAAAAAAAAAAAAAAAAAAAAATGTCAACATGGTACCTGCCTTCATGGCATTTATAATCTGCTAATTTGGTGATAGTGGTGGTGGTGGTGTGTGTGTATGTGTGTTTGTGTAGGAGAAAGAGATAGGCATTAGTCAAGTCATCACATACATACATATAAAAGTTCCATTTTGAGACTGGCTTGAAAGGAGCAGTAATGGATGTTGTAATAGCTTCCTAGGAGGAAGGGACTCAGGAGGTCAGGGAAGTCTTCCTGGAGGAGATGACAATTGAGCTGAGATCTGAATGACATGGAGGTATAAGTGAAGAGAGAAGGGGAGAGTGCCCTGGACAGGGAAAACCACTGACAGAGGCCACAACGTTTGATGTTTCTCTGAGACCCCAGGGCTTCCTCTGTGCGGACCTCTCCCCATGACATCTTTTTGTGTCCCCTGACTTCCAGCCAATACCTTGGTACCTTGAGACAATTAACTGTGTGTGGCCTGTGACTTCCTCCTCTCTCTCCTCACTGCCTTTTTTTTTTTTTTTTGAGACAGAGTCTCACTCTGTCACCCAGGCTGGAGTGCAATTGCGTGATCTTGGCTCACCTCAACCTCTGCCTCCCGGATTCAAGCAATTCTCCTGCCTTAGCCTCCTGAATAGCTGGGATTATAGGTGCCCACCACCACACCTGCCTAATTTTTTATTTTTTATTAGAGGTGGGTTTTCACCATGTTGGCCAGGTTGGTCTCGAACTCCTGACCTCAGGTGATCCACACACCTCAGCCTCCCAAAGGGCTGGGATTACAGGCATGAGCCAGCGTGCCTGGCCCTCTCTCTCCCCTTCACCTGACCTGTGACCCGTCCACCACTCAAGATGCCTCTGCCACTCATTATGTCTCCTCCCTCCGGGGACCTGCCTTCTGATCCCTCTGCATGGGCCCCCGACTGACTCTCCAAGACCCAGACCGAGAGCTGTGCTGTCTCCTCACATCCCGTTCTGTGTCTCACCCACCTAGGATGAAAGATGGTGTGGAACTGACTCGGGAGGATTCCTTCAAGGCCCGGTACCGCTTCAAGAAGGACGGGAAGCGCCACATCCTCATCTTCTCAGACGTGGTCCAGGAGGACAGGGGTCGCTATCAGGTCATAACCAATGGCGGCCAGTGTGAGGCCGAGCTGATTGTGGAAGGTATGGGGCCTCCAGGTAGGGCACGGGCTGCACTGCGCATGCTTCTCCACACAGCTTGAGGTTGCTCAGGCCCCCCAGTCTGGAAGTTGTTCCTGACTCCTCTCTTTCCCACACACCCTATGTTCAGCCCACCAGGGAGATCTGATGGCTCCAGCTTCAAAGTAAATTTTGGATCCAGCCAAGCGTGGTGGCTCACGCCTGTAATCCCAGCACTTTGGGAGGCCGAGGCGGGTGGATCACTTGAGCTTAGGAGTTCGAGACCAGCCTGGCCAACATGGTGAAACCCCATCTCTACTAAAAATACAAAAAAATTAGCTGGGCATTGCGGCGTGCACCTGTAGTCCCAGCTACTCAGGAGGCTGAGGCAGGAGAATTGCTTGAACCCAGGAGGCGGAGGTTGCAATGAGCTGAGATTGCTCCACTGCACTCCAGCCTGGGCAACAGAGCAAGACTCTGTCTTAAAACAAAAACAAAAACAAAAACAAACCTGGGCGCGGTGGCTCACACCTGTAATCCCAGCACTTTGAGAGACCAAGGTGGGCGGATCACTTGAGGTCGGGAGTTCGAGACCAGCCTGGCCAACATGGCGAAAACCCATCTCTACTAAGAATACAAAAATTAGCTGGGTGTGGTGGCGTGCACCTGTAATCACAGCTACTCGGGAGGCTGAGGCAGGAGAATCGCTTGAACCCAGGAGGTGGAGGTTGTGGTGAGCCGAGATTGCACACTGCACTCCAGCCTGGGCAACAGAGTAAGACTCTGTCTCAAAAAAAAAAAAAAAAAAATTAGCCGAGCATGGTGGCACACACCTGTAATCCCAGCCACTCAGGAGTCTGAGGCAGGCGAATTGCTAGAATCCAGGAGGCAGAGGTTGCAGTGAGCCGAGATTGTGCCACTGTGCTCCAGCCTGGGTGACAGAGCAAGACTCCGTCTTAAAAAAAAAAAAAAAAAAATCTGAAACCAACCACAGCCCCCCTGTTGCTGCCCCCGCCTGGCCCAGGCCTTCCTTCCCTCATGCCTGGACTGGTGCAGTTGTCTCCTCTCTGGTCACTCTGTGTCTATACCTGCCCCTTGACCTCCACCCCCCAGTACCCGCCAGAGTGAGCCTCGTAAAACATAAGTGAGATGGTGAAAAGAAACAGGTCTGTGGTCTGAGTAACAGTACTGGGTCCATGTCAGTGTCCTGGTTTGGATACTGGACTCCATTATGTACGATGTCACCAGTGGGGGAGGCTGGATGAAGAGCACACGGGACTCTATGTGCTATTTTTGCAAGCTCTAGGGGTCTATAATTCTGTAAATATAAAAAGTAAAAAACAACGAACTCAAGTCAGTTATGGGTCAAACAAATGATGGTATTTCCATATCTAGCCATAAAAAAAGAGAATGTTTTAGACTGGGCATGGTGGCTCAGCCCTGCCATTCCAACTCTTTGTGAGGCCGAGGTGGGAGGGTAAATTGAGTCCAGAAGTTCAAGGCCGGCCTAGGCAACATGGCAAGACCCCGTCTGTATAAAAACATCAGGCCGGGCTTAGTGGCTCACTCCTGTAATCCCAGCACTTCGGGAGGCCAAAGCGGGTGGATCACCTGAGGTCAGGAGTTCAAGACCAGCCTGGTCAACATGGTGAAACCCCATCTCTACTAAAAATACAAAATTAGCCAGGCGTGGTGGTGCATGCTAGTAATCCCAGCTACTTGGGAGGCTGAGGCAGGAGTATCACTTGTACCCGGGGGGTGGAGTTTTCAGTGAGCCAAAATCACGCCATTGCAGTCCAGCCTGGGCGACAAGAGTGAAACTCCATCTCAAAAAAAAATAAATAAATAAAATAAAATAAATAAAATCCCCAAAGTGCTGGGATTACAGGCGTGAACCACTGTGCCCGGCCACCTCAGGGCCTTTGCACACGCTGGTCCCTCTACCTGGGAGGCTTTTTTTCATCTTCTGGTAGATTCCTCCCTGCCTCCCTCAGGCCTCCTCGCTCCCTCCTCTGTTTCTTTCTTCACTGTCTCCCACTAGCATGGGAGCTTCCCGAGGCCAACGGGTTGTTTCTGGGTTGTCTGTGGCTGGTATCCCCAGTGCCTAGACCAGCGCCTGGCACACAGTGGGTGCTCACAAGTGTCTGTGCACTGACTAGAGTAGTGACGGCTCCTTGTCTTTCTCTCCCTGACCAGAGAAACAGCTGGAGGTCCTGCAGGACATCGCGGATCTGACGGTGAAGGCCTCAGAACAAGCTGTGTTCAAGTGCGAGGTGTCTGATGAGAAAGTGACGGGCAAGTGGTATAAGAATGGGGTCGAGGTGCGGCCCAGCAAGAGGATCACCATTTCCCATGTAGGCAGGTGAGGAGTGGGCTGCAGAAGTGGCTGGGGGTAGGGTGTGCATAGCAGTTAGCTTTAGCTGTGTAACAAGCTGTCCCCCATTTATTTTTTTTTTTGAGATGGAGTTTTGCTCTTGTTGCCCAGGCTAGAGTGCAATGGCGCGATCTCAGCTCACTGCAACCTCCGCCTCCCGGATTCAAGCGATTCTCCTGCCTCAGCCTCCCAAGTAGCTGGGATGCACCACCACGCCTGACTAATTTTTTTGTATTTAGTAAAGACAGGGTTTTGCCATGTTAGTCAGGCTGGTCTTGAACTCCTGACCTCAAGTGATCCACCTGCCTCAGCCTCCCAAAGTGCTGGGATTACAGGTATGAGCCACCACGCCTGGACTTTTTCTTTTCTTTTTCCTTTTTTTTTTTTTTTTGAGTCAGAGCCTCACACTGCAACCTCCAACTCTGAGGTTCAAGCGATTCTCCTGCCTCAGCCTCCTGACTAGCTGGGACTACAGGCATGCGCCACCATGCTAATTTTTGCATTTTTAGTCAAGACAGAGTTTCACCATGTTGGCCAGGCTGGTCTCTAACTCCTGACCTCAGCTGATCCACCCACCTCGGCCTCCCAAAGTGCTGGGATTACAGGTGTGAACCACCGCACCTGTCCTGTCCCCAAACTTAGAGGTTTAAAAGGATGAGGATTGGGCTCGGAGCAGTGACTCATACCTGTAATCTTGGCACTTTGGGAGGCCAAGGCAGGAGGATTTCTTGGGCCCAGGAGTTCAAGACCAGCCTGGGCAACATAGTGAGACACTCTCTCTAAATAAATAAATAAATAAATTAGGATTCATTTCATCTTGAGCGTGCAGGTTGGTTGGGGGCTGGCTGATCCAGGATGGCCTCGTTCTTACCTCTGTGGTGGCAGGACCTGGACCCTGCTGACTTTGCGTGGGCACTGTCAGGACCTCAGCTGGGACAGCTGGGCGCCCAGCACGCCGCTCCCTATGGCACCTCCTCCTCCTCCAGTGAGCTCAGCCTAGCACACTCACGTGGCAGAGGCAGAGGTCCTGAGAGAGCATGGAAGCAAATGAGACTTCTGTGGCCCAGGCTGGAAACTGGCCCAATGCCACTTCCGCCATAGTCTGTTGGGCAAGGAAAGTCCCAGGCCAGCTCTGAGTCAAGGGCTGGGAAGCAGATTCCACCACTGATGGGGATGCTGCAAAGTCGCATTTCAAGGGCATGGACACCGGCAGGGAAAAGCCTCTGGCCATATCAGCTAACAGTCAACATGGGCTCCAGCTCAGAAAACAAGAAGCTGGGATTCAACAGGTGGCACGTGGACACCTAAGACAAACACCTGGTTATCTGCAGAATGCAGAGAGCCAGCATGATGCCTGGAGAACATCGTGCCGTTCAGGGCTTCCTGGCAATAGTTCTTGGTGGGATGTAGGTTTTCCCTGTGTTCTGTGTAGGGAACCATGCCGGCTGGTGGTCTCAGTAATGATGATAATGGCCGGGCATGGTGGCTCACACCTATAATCCTAGCACTTTGGGAGGCTGAGGTGGGTGGATCACTTGAGGTCAGGAGTTCGAGACCAGCCTGGCCAACATGGTGAAACCCCCATCTCTACAAAAAATACAAAAATTAGCTGGGTGTTGTGTTACACGCCCATAGTCCCAGCTACTCGGGAGGCTGGGGTGGGAAAATCATTTGAACCCAGGAGGGGGAGGTTGCAGTGAGCCAAGATCATGCCATTGCACTCCAGCCTAGGTGACAGAGTGAGACTCCATCTCAAACAAACAAACAAAAACAACAACACATAATGATGATAACACATCCTGACACTTACAGGGCCCTTACTATGTGCCAGGTACTTTTCTAGGTGTGGTTTTTTTCTTTTCTTTTCTTTTTTTGAGACAGGGTCTCAACCTGTCACACAGCCTGGAGTGCAGTGGTGCAATCATAGCTCACTGCAGCCTTGACCTGGGCTGGAGCAATTCTCCCACCTCAGCCTCCCCAAGTGCTGAGATTACAGGCGTGAGCCACCATGCCCGGCCAAAGAACAGTATCTATTTATTTATTTTCTGTAGAGACAGGGTCTTGCCGTGTTGCCCTGGCTGGTCTCGAACTCCTGGGCTCAAACAATTCTCGATCCTCAGCTTCCCAAAGTGCTGGGATTACAGATGTGAGCCACTGCACCTTTCTCGATGCTTTACAACAACCTTGATGTAGATGGATATCATTACCCCTATTTTATAGATGAAGAAACAGAGGCACAGAGAGGTTAAGTAACTTGCCCAAGGTCACATAGCTACCGATTTGAAAATAGACCACAGCGTTCCAAAGCCCTGGATAAGAATGCAGGCATGTGGACTGCACTGAGGGAAGCTGATTGAGGCGGTGCAGCCCCATAGTGGTCCCATTGCAATCTGGTTCGAGCCCTACCCTGCTCCCCCACCCCTTAGGTTCCACAAGCTGGTGATCGATGACGTCCGCCCCGAGGATGAGGGAGACTACACGTTTGTGCCTGACGGCTACGCCCTGTCGCTCTCGGCCAAGCTCAACTTCCTGGGTGAGGATGCCCCTTCCTCCTTCCCTGGGGGCTGTAGGATCCACCCTCGCAGACCCAGGGCCCGGGATGTCCCTCTCCAGGATTAAGGTTCCCCGAGTGCGAATGAGGACGACAGCAAGCGTCTGTCCCGCTCATGGCTGGAGTCAGAAGATGGAGGGAGAGCGCTGAACTCGCTGCCACCTGCCGCCCGGGAGGAGGGGTGGCTCCTGGGCCTGAACCTGTCTCCAGCACCCCAGTTCCCAGGGAGACTGCCAGACCCTGTCACCTCTTCCTCTGGGCTGTGAAGGTGGGGTGAGGGGCCTGCTGAGTTTAGACCTAACTGTCCAGTCTTCTTTGTCTTGCAGAAATCAAGGTGGAGTACGTTCCCAAGCAAGGTGAGCACCACGGGCTGCGCTGGGAGCGGGTCTGAGGGAGGAGGGACCGGGCTGAGGGAGGAGGGGAATGGCCGAGGGAGGATAGGCAGGGCGAGGAAGGATGGGCGGGGTGCGGGAGGATGAGTGGGGAGAGGAAGGAGGGGGTTGGGGTGCTGAGGAAGGGAGGGAGGAGGGGCGGGGAGCTGACAGACGGGGTGGGGGCTATCGGCCGAGAGGAGGGACTGAGGTCCTGAGGGAAGAGGGATTGGGGACCTGGATCCCTGGGTCTGAGGGAGGAGGGGCTGGGGGCCTAGACTGTAGGGTGTGAGGGAGGAGGGGTTGGGGACCTGGATCCCTGGGTATGAGGGAGGAGGGGCTGGGGGCCTAGACTGTAGGGTCTGAGGGAGGAGGGGTTGGGGGCCTGGACTACTGGGTCTGAGGGAGGAGGGCTTCAGGACATGGATCCCTGTGTCTCTGTCACTGTTGGAACCCAACTTTTTGGAGATTCTCTTGTGGGAACTGGGAAGGCCCAGCCTCCCACTCCCAGGGTCCCTGTATCTCTTCTGTGCCACCAGAGCCACCAAAGATCCACTTGGATTGCTCGGGGAAGACCTCAGAGAATGCGATTGTGGTTGTGGCTGGAAACAAGCTGAGGCTTGACGTGTCCATCACAGGGGAGCCCCCTCCCGTCGCTACCTGGCTGAAGGGAGATGAGGTGGGTTGGGGCCGCCCCTCTGTCCTCACTCCCTTTCCGTTTAGGCAAGTCTCTTTCCCCCTGAGCCTGAGTTTCATCCTCTATAAAATGAGGGTGATGGTTCCTTCTTCACAGGGTTGTTTTGAAGATTAGAGATTATGTTTGTCCATCACAGGTATGGGCCTAGCACATGGTGGATGCTCCATCCATTCATCCATTCACCTTTCAGTTAATTAATCAAGTGATCGACCAGTTTAGGCTTCCAGCCAGCCAGTAACTCATCCGCCCATCCAGCTGATGATTTTTTCATCAACTAATTGGTTAATTCACCCAGCCATCCACTCGTCCAGTAATTAATCTGTTTGTCCATTTATCCATCAACCAATTTAGTTATCCATTCATCCAGAAACACATCATTTACCCACTTCAATCTATCTATATAATCTATCTAATCTATCTATCTGTCTATCTATCTATGTATCTGTGTATGTATGTATGTATGTATGTATGTATGTATGTATGTATGTATCTATCTATCTATCTATCTATCTATCTATGTATCTATCTATCTATCTATGTATCTATATTTTTGAAAGGTGGAATCTCACTCTGTCACCCAGGCTGGAGTGCAGTGGCGTAGTCTTGGCTCACGGAAACCTCCACCTCCCAGGCTCAAGTGATCCTCCCACCTCAGCCTCTTGAGTAGCTGGGACCACAAAAGTGTGCCACCATGCCTCGCTAATTTTTTGTATTTTTGTAGGGACAGGGTTTCACCATGTTGCCCGGGCTGGGCTCAAACTCCTGAACTCAAACGATCCTTCCACCTTGGCCTCCCAAAGTGTTGGGATTATGGGCATGAGCCAACATGCCCAGCCATATCTATATATTCCTCTATCCATCCGTCCAACAAATATTTTAACCTTGCATGTCCCAGGCCCTGGGACAGCTCGATTTTTCATTTCTTCTCTGTGCTTCCATTTCCTCTTCTGTAAAATGGACAGACTTGCTCAACATCCATCCATTTGCTCACTCAGCGTACATCCCCTAAAGTTTTCTCCGCACCAGGCACTGAGGATGCAACCATGAGTTGGATGCGGCTCCTGCCCTCCAAGAGCCTTCATTTTACTTAAAATTTATTTATTTATTTTTAAATTTGAGACAGGGTTTCACTATGTTGCCCATGCTGGTCTTGAACTCCTGGGCTTGGGTGGCACTCCTGCATCAGCCTCCCAAAGTGCTGGGATTACGGGCATGAGCTACCTCACCCTGCTCAGTAGCCTTTACTCTTGCGGAGACGCAAACACCTGCCCAAGAAGCCACAGTCCAGGGTGCTCTGGCTGAGATAAAGGGAGGTTCTAGAAGCTATGAGAACCCAGGGGCTGGAGCCAGCACTTCCAGCTAAGGGTATCCAGGAAGGCTTCCTGGAAGAGGTGTCTTCTGGGTGCTTCCTGAAGGATGAGGAAGAGCTTAGTGTTGCATGCACAGGGACCAGCCTTGCAAAATCTCTGGGACAAGGCAGTCTTTTTTTTGTTGTTGTTGTTGTTTGGTTGGTTTCTTTTTTTCTCTTTTTTTTTTGAGATGGAGTTTTGCTCTTGTTGCCCAGGCTGGAGTGCAGTGGTGTTATCTTGGCTCACCACAACCTCCGCCTCCTGGGTTCAAGCGATTCTTCTGCCTCAGCCTCCTGAGTAGCTGGGATTACAGGCATGCACCACCAGGCCCGGCTAATTTTGTATTTTTAGTAGAGATGGGGTTTCACCATGTTGGCCAGGCTGGTCGCAAACTCCCAACCTCAGTTGATCTACCCGCCTCGGCCTCCCAAAGTGCTGGGATTACAGGTGTGAGCCACTGCGCCCCGTCCAGTCTGGTGCTTTTAATGAAGGACGGCATTTGGAGGGCGAGGAGGGCAGTGGAGCGAGTGAGGACTCTGTGTGTTGATGGGGAATCATGGGAGGATTCTGAGCAGGGGAATGGCAGAGGCAGGCCTGGGTTTGCTTGGGGACACGATGGGGTGCAAGGCCATCTGGTGGCTGCGTTCAGGTATTCACGACCACCGAGGGCAGGACCCGCATCGAGAAGCGGGTGGACTGCAGCAGCTTTGTGATTGAGAGTGCGCAGCGGGAAGACGAGGGCCGCTACACCATCAAGGTCACCAACCCCGTCGGCGAGGACGTGGCTTCCATCTTCCTGCAAGTTGTAGGTGAGCAGAGAAAGCCGAGGTGGCTGGGCCAAGGGGTGACTCCCTGAGGCCTCGAGGGGCCACCTGACTCTCCTGCCCCCTGCAGATGTCCCAGACCCCCCGGAGGCTGTGCGCATCACCTCGGTTGGAGAGGATTGGGCCATCCTTGTCTGGGAGCCACCAATGTACGATGGGGGGAAGCCAGTCACCGGTGAGTGCCTCTGTCCTCATGACCTCTGACCTTCCCTCTTTCTGCCTTCTGTTTTTTTTTTTTTTTTTTTTTTTGAGATGGAGTCTCACTCTATCGCCCAGGCTGGAGTGCAGTGGCTCAATCTCGGCTCACTGCAACCTCTGCCTCCTGGGTACAAGCAATTCTCCTGCCTCAGCCTCGCAAGTAACTGGGATTACAGGTGCCCACCACCACGCCCGGCTAATTTTTGTATTTTTAGTAGAGATGGGGTTTTACCATGTTGGCCAGGCTGGTTTTGAACTCCTGACCCCAAGTGATCTGCCCACTTCAGACTCCCAAAGTGCTGGGATTACAGGTGTCAGCCACGGCACCAGCCTCTGCCTTCTCCTTGACCTCCCAGAGCCCTTAGCATCCTCAGTGACCTACCTCTGACCCCTGATTTTCCATTTTCCCATCTCAATCCCTTTGGTCTTCCCGCTTCCTTTACTCGCTGGTGACCTGGGAATTCTCACTTTGACCAGTAGCCTGGGTTTTTCTATGGCTCCTGGCCTCCTGGTTCATGAGCTGTGACCCCCTCTTGATTCCTGACTCCAGGACTGGTGGCCTCTGAATGCTCTGTGGCCCCTGAGATCCACCTAAGATTCATGGCCTCGGACCGCCCTGGCCATGCGATCCTCTGGATGTGGCCCTCACTCCCCCAGCTGACTCATGCCCCATGCCCTCCCGTTCCCTCTTCTCCTCTCTGCTTGGAGCCTCCAGGGTACCTCGTAGAGCGGAAGAAGAAGGGCTCTCAGCGCTGGATGAAGCTGAACTTTGAGGTCTTCACAGAGACCACCTATGAGTCCACCAAGATGATCGAGGGCATCCTCTATGAGATGCGTGTCTTCGCCGTCAATGCTATAGGGGTCTCCCAGCCCAGCATGAACACCAAGCCTTTTATGCCTATTGGTAATGTCCTCCCTCACTTTTATGCCTATTGGTAATGATGGATCACTCTGATCCATCAACCCCGTCCACCTCTGGCCCATCTTTTGCCCGCCATCAATCTCTGACCCTACCCCCTGGCCTTCTGACCAATCATTCTACCTCTGACTCCTGCCCCTTCCTGCTGACCCCTGACCCCTCATTCCCCCCATATCCTCTTTTTCTGGATGCTTGCAGCACCCACGAGTGAACCCCTGCACCTGATAGTGGAGGATGTGACAGACACCACCACCACACTCAAGTGGAGGCCTCCGAACAGGATCGGGGCAGGTGGCATCGATGGGTACCTGGTGGAGTACTGCCTGGAAGGCTGTGAGTGACCCTGGCAGGGCTGGTGGGGGTGGTGGCTAGCACAGGTGGGTATCCAGTCCAGGGAGCTGAAAATAGGACCATGTGGGACAGAGATGGGTGCAGTGGCCTGCTTGTGTTTTGTGTCTGTACTGTTATAAGTCTCTGGGATGGGACCCCCCTGTGACTAGTGTGTTTTCTCTCCCTTCTTCCTTTCTACATCCATCCTCCATACAGCAGTGACTTTCTGTCATTCCATCTATCCTTCCATCCCCCCATTTATCTTTTATCTTTTACCTTTATGCCTTCTTTCTTTCTTCTACTCATTTATCCATCTAACCAATCTTTCCTTCATCCATCTTAACATCCACCCATCCATCCATCTGTCCATCCATCTGTCCACCCATCTGTACATCCATCCATCCATATTTCCATCCATCCATCCATCCATTCATCTTACCGTCCATCCATCCATCCATCCATCCATCCATCCATCCATCCATCATTTCCATCCATCCATCCACCCACCCACCCACTCATATTTCCATCTATCCATCCATCCATCCATCCATTTATCCATCCATCCACCCATCCATATTTCCATCTATTCATCCATCCATCCATCCATCCATCCATCCATCCCTCCATTTGTCCATCTGTCCACCTGTCCATCATCCATCCATCCATCCATCCATCTGTCCATCCATCCATCCGTCTGTCCATCCATCTGTCCATCCATCCATCTGTCCATCCATCTATCCATCCATCCATCCATCCATCCATCTGTCCATATTTCCTTCGTTTCTCTCTCTCTCTTTTTTTTTTTTTTTGAGACAGAGTCTTGCTCTGTTGCCCAGGCTAGAGTGCAGTGGCACGATTGGCTCACTGCAAGCTCCACCTTCCAGGTTCACGCCATTCTCCTGCCTCAGCCTCCCAAGTAGCTGGGACTACAGATGCCTGCAACCATGCCCAGCTAATTTTTTTTTTTTGTATTTTTAGTAGAGACAGGGTTTCACTGTGTTAGCCAGGATGGTCTTGATCTTCTGACCTCGTGATCCACCTGCCTCGGCCTCCCAAAGTGCTGGGATTACAGGCATGAGCCATCGCACCCGGCCCAGTATCATTTTTTCATCCATATATCTATCTCTTCACCACTATCTTTGCTTCCTTCCCTCTTTCTACCTATATGGCCATCCAACCATCTGTCCACCTAACCAGCCATTGTCTCTCTGCCTGTCCATCCATCATCTGTACCTCCATACATCCACTCTCCATCCTCCACCAAACAAACATTCACTGAGCACTGACTTGTGCCCGGCCCAGTGCCATGGCTATGGAGATGTCTCAGACGCAGCCATCTCTCTGGGAGAACAGACGTGATCACCTCGACACACTATCCCAGGTCTTAAAGTCAGACAGATGCGGGTTCCAACCTTGCCCCTCCACTGTCTAACTGTGTGTCCTTGGGCAAGTCTCTGAGCCTCAGTCTCTTCATCTAACCATGGCGAAGACAGTTCTCATCTTGACAGGGTACAGTGACGATGTACTCGAGAATGCATGGAAAGGAGGGATGGTTGAACCCTCATCAGCTTCCTCCCTCCTCCTCTCCTCCGTGCTCTTTACCCCATTCCTCCCTGGCCGGCTGCTCCCACCCTGACGTTTCAGAACCCAGCTTGTTAGAGTTCACTCTGTTGATTGCTGCTCTGAGCCAACAGCCATGAGTTCCCCAGCCCATGGCCATAAACCCAAGACAGAAGGGCATGTAACGAAAAGCAGGCAATCTGAAGAGCTCTGACCCTGCCCTCAGCCCGCCTTCCCAGACACCCACCTGGCTGCGCCCTCAGACAGAGCCAAGATCCCTGCCCCTCTGTGCCAGCCTTGCAGGAGAGCAGAGCTTGAGAGCGTGCTGGAGTCAGACAGGCCTGGGTTTAACATCCTAGTCCACAGAGCCTGAGCTGCGTGTCCAGGATGGTCTTGAATTCCTGGGCTTGAGAGATCCTCCTGCCTTGGCTTCCCAAAGTGCTGGGATTACAGGCATGAGCCATGGTACCTGGGGAAAGTTTTTTTTTTTTTTTTTTTGATGGAGTCTTGGTCTGTCGCCCAGGCTGGAATGCAGTGGGGTGATCTCGGCTCACTGCAACCTCTGCCTCCCAGGTTCAAGCGATTCTCCTGCCTCAGCCTCCTGAGTAGCTGGGATTACAGGTGCCTGCCACCTTGCCCGGCTAAGTATTGTGTTTTTAATAGAGACAGGGTTTCGCCATGTTGGCCAGGCTGGTCTTGAACTCCTGGACTCAAGTGATCTGCCCACCTCAGCCTCCCGAAGTGCTGGGATTACAAGCATGAGCCACGGGATTACAAGCATGTTAGGGATGGTTTCCCATCCTTAACATGGGGATAGCACAGGGTTGAGGTAAGAATTAATGAACAACGCCTATAATCCCAGCACTTTGGGAGGCCGAGGTGGGCGGATCACGAGGTCAGGAGTTCAAGAGCATCCTGGCCAACATGGTGAAACCCCATCTCTATTAAAAATACAAAAATTAGCTGGGCGTGGTGGTGCGAGCCTGTAGTCCCAGCTACTCAGGAGGCTGAGGCAGGAGAATTACTTGAACCTGGGAGGCGGAGGTTGCAGTGAGCCAAGATCTTGCCATTGCCCTGCAGCCTGGGCGACAGGGCGAGACTCCACCTAAAAAAAAAAAAAAAAGAATTCGTCCCACTGCACTCCAGCCTGGGCGACAGGGCGAGACTCCGTTTAAAAAAAAAAAAAATTAATGAGCGAACAGAATGGCCACCCTTAGAACCTGGCCATGATGAATGCTTAACTAACTCCAGCTGCTGCTGCTGCTTCTACTGGGAACTTACTCAGTGCTCACTCGCTCGCTGCGTGGGGCCCAAGTCCCCGGGAGAAACGGGAGCGGAGGATGGGAGGAGGGCACGAGATCCGCCAGCAGGGCCTCTCTCTCCAGCCGAGGAATGGGTCCCTGCCAACACCGAGCCCGTGGAGCGCTGTGGCTTCACCGTCAAGAATCTCCCGACCGGAGCCAGAATCCTCTTCCGAGTAGTTGGGGTCAACATCGCGGGGCGCAGCGAGCCGGCCACCCTGGCCCAGCCGGTCACCATCAGGGAGATTGCGGGTGCGTGGCCCCTGACCCTGCGCTCCGAAAGACCAAGCTGGCGTCGTCCCGCCTGCCCTTTCCGTGTCGTCGACAGGACCTCCCCAGAGAGCCTTATCACCATTGGCCCCTGGAATGCGCCCCGGCCCCCCGCTGAGCCCCCTCCCTGTGTTTGCGCCCTCAGAGCCACCCAAGATCCGGCTTCCCCGCCATCTCCGCCAGACCTACATCCGCAAAGTGGGCGAGCAGCTCAACCTTGTCGTCCCCTTCCAGGTCAGGGGAGCGGGGTCACGGGCCGGGGGTCCGCTCTCGCCGCAAGCCCCCTTTTTGCGGGTGGAGCCCCGCTGACCCCACCCCGCCCCGCCCTCTCCCCGCAGGGAAAGCCCCGGCCCCAGGTGGTGTGGACCAAGGGCGGGGCCCCGCTGGACACCTCCCGCGTGCACGTGCGGACCAGCGACTTCGACACCGTGTTCTTCGTGCGCCAGGCGGCCCGCTCCGACTCCGGGGAGTACGAGCTGAGCGTGCAGATCGAGAACATGAAGGACACCGCCACCATCCGCATCCGCGTTGTGGGTGCGCGCGCTGGGGAGGGCCCCTGGAGGCCGGGAGGGGCAGGGATGGGCAGCGATGGGGGAGGAGGTAAGAGATGAGGGGTGGGGAAGGAGGTGGGAGATGAAGGGTGGGAGAGGAGGTGAGATGAGGGATGGGAGAGGAGGTGAGAGATGGGGGGTGGGAGAGGAGGTGAGAGATGAGGGGTGGGAGAGGAGGTGAGATGGGGGTGGGAGAGGAGGTGAGAGATGGGGGGGTGGGAGAGGAGGTGAGAGATGGTGGGAGAGGAGGTGAGAGATGGTGGGAGAGGAGGTGAGAGATGGGGGGTAGGAGAGGAGGTGAGACGAGGGGTGGGAGAGGAGGTGAGAGATGAGGGATGGGAGAGGAGGTGAGGAGATGAGGAGGGGAGGGGGAGAGGAGGTGAAAAGATGAGGTGGGGGAGACTAGATAAGGAGCAAGGCAAGTACCAGGGCTAGGAGTGGAGGAGAGATGAAGATGGGGGAACCCTTGAGAGGGAGATTGGGTGAAGAGAGGAAGTGGGGAGACATGGGGGTGAGGAGAGGAGGTGAGGAGGGATGAGGGTGGCCCAGGATAAGAGGAAGTGGAGAGACTGGGATGGGGGAGGCCATAGGCAGGAATGGGAATGGGGCATAAGAGAGGTTAGAATCAGGAGGGAGGGGGTGTGGAGAGGGGAGGGGAGGGAAGCGGCTGGACATCCCAAAACCTGGACTGACTTGTCACACTTCCCCATTTCCAGAAAAGGCTGGGCCCCCCATAAACGTGATGGTGAAGGAGGTGTGGGGCACGAACGCGCTGGTGGAGTGGCAGGCCCCCAAAGATGATGGGAACAGTGAGATCATGGGGTATTTCGTCCAGAAAGCAGACAAAAAAACCATGGTGAGAGAGCAGAGGGGGAGATGGGGAAGAGCCGGTGAGGTGGGCAGAGCAGGTGCAGATGTCCCCCGTTCACAGCTGGAAGGGCAGGGAGGGGCCCAGAGGCTAGAGGACGGGCTGGGGCCAGGAGGGAAGCCTTTTAGCTGAGACTTGGCACGTGATGGGTTTTCATTTTCTTTTTTCACTGAGGTAAACGTCACATAACGGAATTAGTCATTCATCGTTTTAAAGCGAACAATTCAGCAGCACTTAGGACATCTGCAGGGTTGTGCAGCCACCGCCTCTACCCAGTCCATTTTCATCCCCCAGAGGAAGCCCTGTACCCAATAGCGCTACCCCCTGGTCTCCCCTGGCAGCCACCGATTTGCTTTCTGTCTCCCTGGATTTACCTACTCTGGACATTTCATACACATGGAATCCTAGCTATGTGACCCTTGTGTCTGACTTTGTTAGCTCAGCACAACGTCTTTGAAGTTCATCCATGCTGCAGGGTGCCGGGTGTGTCCATGCAGAAATCCTGTTTTTAGAATTCTTTTTTTTGAGACAGGGTCTTACTCTGTCACCCAGGCTGGAGTGCAGTGGTGCAATCTTGGCTCACTGCCTTCTCTGCCTCTGAGCTCAGGTGATTCCCCCCCATCTCAGCCTCCCATGTAGCTGGGAATACAGGCACGTGCCACCACATCCCGCTAATTTTTGTAGAGACAGGGTCTCAGTATGTTGTCCAGGCTGGTCTCGAACTCCTGGACCCAAGTCATCCTCCCACCTTGGCCTCCCAAAGTGTTGGGATTACAGGCATGAGCCACTGCACCTGGCCTTTATTTCTTTTAAATTTTTTTTTTTTTTTTGAGACAGGGTCTTACTCTGTCACCCAAGCTGGAATGCAGTGGCATGATCATGGCTCACTGCAGCCTCCAACCCGCAGGTTCAGGCAATCCTCCTCCCTCAGCCTCCCAAGTAGCTGGGACTACAGGTGCTGGCCACCAGACCTGGCTAATTTTTTGATTTTTTTAACAGACAAGGGTCTCGCCGGGTTGCCCACTCTGGTCTCAAACTCCCAGGCTCAAGCGAGCCTCCCACCTCGGCCTCCCAAAGAGCTGGGATTACAGGCATGAGCCACGGTGCCTGACCCCTTCTTAGCGTTGAATGATGTTCCTTTGTCTGGGCCGACTGTTTTGTTTGTCCATCCCTGCGCTGATGGGCGCTGGGTTGGTTCCACCTGTTGGCCACTGTGAGTAGTGCGCCATGAGTGACATTTTTTTAAACACTGGATGTGCTTTTCTCACCCCTTCTTTCGTCTGTGTCTTGTGTGTAATCGTGTGATCCTGTGGCCCCGACCCGCCTGGTCCCTCCCTGTCCCCACACTAGGAGTGGTTCAACGTCTATGAACGTAACAGGCACACTAGCTGTACTGTGTCCGACCTTATCGTGGGCAATGAATACTATTTCCGAGTTTACACCGAGAACATCTGTGGGCTCAGTGACTCACCTGGTGTCTCCAAGAACACGGCCCGCATCCTCAAGACAGGTACAGCCATCCTGCCCCACAGCCCAGGCCCACCCCGTCCACCCTCTCGCCCAGGTCCCACCTGGACTCCTGCCCTCCCCTCCCCACTGGGGTTGACGGCACCTAGTCATGGGAGAGAGGTGATTGCGGTTTGTTCCCTGGTTGGTGTCAGGGGAGAATCTAGATCAGTCGCCTTACGGGTGCATCCTCTCTCCCCAGGAATCACCTTCAAACCGTTCGAGTATAAGGAGCATGACTTCCGGATGGCTCCCAAGTTCCTGACACCTCTCATAGACCGCGTGGTCGTGGCTGGGTACTCGGCAGCCCTCAACTGTGCTGTCAGAGGCCACCCGAAGGTGCCAGGGCAGGGACCCAGATCTGCGTGTGTGTTGCCTTGTGGGGAATCTTCCATACAATGAAGCCCACTCCCCATCACGCCAGTTCTTCTTCCCCGAGTTCTCTGTCTCAAGGGATTTAGTCACTTAAAAAATTTTTTTAATTGATTTTTGATTTTTTTTTTTTTTGAGACAGGGTCTTGCTGTATCACCCAGGCTGGAGTGCAGTGGCACGATCACAGCTCACTGCAACTTTGACCTCCTGGGTTCAAGTGATCCTCCTACCTCATCCTCCCGAGTAGCTGGGACCACAGGCATGAACCACTGTGGCCAGCTAATTTTATAATTTGTAGAGATGGGGTCTTGCTATGTTGTCCAGGCTGGTCTTGAACTCCTAGGCTCAAGTGATTCTCCCGCCTCGGCCTCCCAAAGTGCTGGGATTACAGGTGTGAGCCACCACGCCCAGACTGGACTTGCTCACTTTTCACCCACTTCCTGTTAGCTCCTCTGACCAGAGCCCAAGTCTCAGACAATCAATCACATCTTGCCTTTGGCTTCCTGCCTTTTTCCTTCTTTCTTTCTTTTTTTTTCTTTCTTTCCTGAGACCAGGCTGGAGTGCAGTGGTGCGATCTTGGCTCACTGCAACCGCCTCCCAAGTTCAAGCGATTCTCCTGTCTCAGCCTCCTGAGTAGCTAGGATTACAGGCGTGCACCACCATGCCCAGCTAAATTTTGTATTTTTAGTAGAGACGGCGTTTTGCTGACCTCAGGTGATCCGCCTGCCTCAGCCTCCCAAAGTGCTGGGATTACAGGCATGAGCCACCGCTCCTGGCCTCTTGCCTTTTTCTTTGTCCCCTGACTGCCAGGTAACAGCTTGTCTCGGCAGCTTGAGGAGAGGACCATTAAGTCTCTCTTGCTCTGTCCAAGGACAAATGCCAGTCCCATGGAAAAAGAAACGTTGGGAGCAGGGGCAGCCTAGACCAGCACGGCTCCCCAGGGTCTTCCTGTCCAGCCATTTTCCAACTGCTCTTTGTGAACAGGGACACTTGCAACCTAGAGCTCATTTAGACCAGGGGTTGGCAAACCATCACCCATGGGTCAAATCCACCCACCACCTGTTTCTCTCAATAAAGTTTTATTGGAACACGGGCCAAGCATATTTGTTTATGTTTTGTTTACAGCTACTGCAGACAAAATGTAAATAAATGTGCGTGGCTCGCGTTCCAGGCCCAGAGACTACAGGGCCCAAAAAGCCTGAATTATTTACCATCTGGTCCTTTATAGGAACAGTTTGCCAGCTTCTGGTCTGGGCTGTAGGTTATTCGCTTCAGCCTCCTTAAGGCATACCATGTCTCCATCTCTGTATACTGTATTCACTAACTCCACTCATTCATGTCACTCATTCCACTCATTTATCCACCTACCAATCCATCCATTTACTCAGTTCATTCCTTCACTCCATTTGCTTATTTACAGCACTGTTTCGTGCTCTCATTCATTTATTCACTCCATTTATTCTTACAACAAACATTTTCAGAGGCTTTCAATGACCTGGGTGATTCGAACAAGAAATTTCCTGTATGTTGGGGGAGACTGACATTTGCCCAGAGTCACATAAATAATATAAAATTATGAAGGGCTGGGCCAGACACGGTGGCTCACACCTGTAATCCCAGCACTTTGGGAGGCCGAGGCGGGCAGATCACCTGAGGTCAGGAGTTTGAGACCAGCCTGGCCAACATGGTGAAACCCCATCTCTACTAAAAATACAAAAACTAGCCAGGCATGGTGGCAGGCGCCTCTAATCCCAACCACTTGGGAAGCTGAGGCAGGATAATTGCTTAAACCCGGGAGGTGGAGGTTACAGTGAGCCAAGATCACGCCACTGCACTCCAGCCTGGGAGACAAAGCGAGATTCTGTCTCAAAAAAAAAAAAAAAAGGGAAGGGCACTATGGAAGAGGGAACAGCCAGTGCCAGCGTCCTGAGGTGGGTGCCTGTCTGGTCTGTTTGAAGGACAGTGAGGTAGCCTGTTTGGCTGGAGCAGAGAAGTAATGGGGGTCAAAGAGTGTGGGACCCTGTGGGCCACTACAAACAGTGAGCTCTTTGTCCTGAGAGCAATGGGAAGACCCCACCGTTACCCTGTGAAGTGGGATTATCAACCTGCTTTTACATAAGAGGAGACTGAGGGTCAGGGAGAAGTGACTCGTCCAAGAACATCTGGCAAGAGGGTGGCAGAGCCTAGAACCCAGATCGGCTTCCTGAGCCCCATTTTGTCATCATTGCCCAGGGTCTCTCTCTAAGTTGGCCTCCTCTCCCTTGACTCTCAACAGCCGAAGGTGGTCTGGATGAAGAACAAGATGGAAATCCGTGAAGATCCCAAGTTCCTGATAACCAATTACCAAGGAGTCCTGACGCTGAACATCCGTCGCCCCTCGCCCTTCGACGCTGGGACTTACACCTGCCGGGCCGTCAACGAGCTGGGCGAGGCGCTGGCTGAGTGCAAGCTGGAGGTCCGAGGTGAGGGCGTGGCCATCCCCAACACTGGCTGACCCTTGCTCGGGCCCTGTGCCAGCCTGGCCGGTGGCCCCGGGCTGAGCACCGCTGAGATCTGGAGACGAGTGAGACCAGCCCTCTGGGAGGAGGACTGGGAAGCTGCTGTCCTGAAGGCAGCACAGGGCATCCTAGGAGTTGGGGTTGGGGAGCCCCTGACCCAGCTTGGGAAGGAGTCAGATTTTTCCAAAGGAGTTGAAGGACAAGGAAGAGGAAGGCTGAGTGAGAAGGGCTTAGGAAACGTCCCCAAGGCCTCCAGTGTACCTGGGCCCCCGTAGGCAGATGGGTTGACAGAGTGAGAGCAAATATGGATAACACGGATGACCAGGGGTGGCGGGAGCTCCCAAGAGTGCCTCCCTCCATAGCCTGTCCCCATGCTCCCACCCACCTGCCCCTGCCTCTCCCTGCCCCGTCCCTCATCTCGGTCCCACAGCTCCAGCCCCAGCGAAAGCTACATCCTCTTCCTCCCATATTCCATTTCCAGCCGCCTCCGTCTCCAGTCTCTCCCTCCTGCCAGCCACTTTCACCCTTGGACTCTGGCCCCAGAGAGCTCTCTCTATCCAGAGCTGCTCTGCCCCAGCCCTGATCCCAGCCCGCTGGGGACTCCCCACCGCCCCAGCGCCCCTCCGCCTGGTGTTCACGGTGGTGTGTCCACCCCGGTTCTTCCCACATGATGTCCCAGCCACACCGGGCTGTTGGCAGTTACACTGGCCAGGCTTTCCTGCCACAGGGACTTGGCACATGCTCTTCCCTCTTCCTGGAACACAATTCCCCCGCTCCTTTACCCTGGGCTCCGGCCCATCAGATGTCTGCCAGTCAAGGCTCAGCGAGGAGGCCACTAACCGTGTCCCTCAGAGCAGGATGACATCAATGTGGACTTCCAGAGTCCCTCCCGGATGGTGACTTCTGACCTCTGACTTCCCTGGCTCTGAGGACAGCCCAGCAGACAGGGTGGCTGGGGACCCTTAACAAAGGCTCAGAGAGGACACTTTCTAGCCAAGCACGGTGGCTCTCGCCTGTAATCCCAGCACATTGGGAGGCCAAGGCAGGCGAGTTGCTTGAGCCCAGGAGTTCAAGACCAGCCTGGGCAACATGGCGAAACCCTGTCTCTACTAAAAATACAAAAAAATTTAGCCGGGCCTGGTGGCACATGCCTGTTGTCCCAGCTACCTGGGGGGCTGGGGCAGGAGGATCACTTGAACCAGGGAGGCCGAGGCTGCAGTGAGCTGAGATGGCACCACTGCACTCCAGCCTGGTGCAACAGAGTGAGACTCTGTCTCAAAAACCAAACAAAAACACCCCAGATCACTGCCCTTCCAAGCCCACCCAATTTCTGATACTCTGCTGTCTCCCTGATTAACTATTAAATCAGCTCAGAAAAATCCCAGCCTCAGGATTCCAGTGACCGCGTACAGCCAGCAGCTCAGAATGTCCCCATCTGGGATCCAAAATACCAGTAATCAGGAGCACTGTGACTCTGGGTTGTCCAGCCACAGTGGCCTAGGATGGGGCGGGATGGTGACCGTCATCCTGTCCCCCTGCTGGTCATGTGGATGCAGCTCCTCCTCCTGGGGCTTCAGGAGGAGGCGTGCCCGGGCCTGGCTCACCCGCTTTCTCGTTTTCCTGCAGTGCCGCAGTGAGACCTGTCCCCTACCTGCCAAGACAATTGGTGGTGGAGTCCTGACCCCAATCCCCAACCTCCCAGGACTGTGTTCTTTCTGGAGTTTTCGCTGAGAACAAAACAGTGTTGTCTGGACCCTGGAGTGTCTGTCCTTCTTGACTCCGTAGCTCCGTCTTCCTCCTGCAGGGGATTGGTCACCCCGGGGTTGGCGACGGGAGCAGCTGCGTCGACACAGGCCGCGGTGAGGTGGCCTCTTGGAATAGCTACTTTAGCGAGGCAGCCACGTTGTCACAGCAACCACAGAGCATCAGAGGTGAACCCAAGCCCACGGGGAGGCCGGCCCCAGAGAAGCTGCTGGGAGGGAGGGAGGGTGCAGGCTAGGGGCAACGACAGTGGCAGCGAGTCAAAGACACACCCAGGCCACACCCAGAAGGCCACTCTACCGAAGCAGCTGTGTCGCTGTGGCCGCCTCTAGGCCTTGGCAGCGGCCCCAAGAGCTAGACGTGGTGAACCGAAGAGGGAGGCAGCCGTACTGGACAAACTCCTGCCAGGCAGCTGCGCGGACTTGGTGACGAAGGCGAAACCGCTCGTGGCCTGCTTGTTGGTTCTTAATGGACTGACCTTTATTAACTTTAATATCTCATCTGCCCGGCCCTGAGGCAAGGTACTTTGATCTCTGGTCATTCGGTGACCTTGAAGGATGCTGGAAGACTCAGAGTCCCCAGAGTTCAGAGGTCTTGGGGTCAAGTCTGGCTTCCACGCCTTGGGGCTGGGGAGAGAGAGTTTGTTTCAGAGGCCTTGGCCTGCAGTTAGGGAGTGAGGGGGCGGGGAGGGACTTTGCACTTACTGGAATGGCAGGGGAAGCCAGGTGTCCTAAGAGGGGGCACAGATTCCAGTGCCCCCAGCTTCTAAAACTGGCATCATCCCCTGCTCCACCTTGACCCCCAAGGCCCTACAGAGAACTGGACATTGGGCCTGGCTGACCCCACTCCTTCAGGGCACAGGTTGTCCCTCTCTAGACCCTACTCTGGTATGTCACGGGGAGAGGGGCTGGGGCACGGGTGTGGGTGGCTGTGTGTGTTCCCAAGTAGGATACGACAGCCCCCTTGGCTAGGGGTGCCAAGGCCCTGGAGAGACTGCTGGCTTCTACCCACAGACCCCCATATCCCTGGGTCACCTCTACTTCCAGAACCAGGAGTCCAGGCCCCAGCCCCTCCTCCCTCAGACCCAGGAGTCCAGGACCCCAGCCCTCATCTCCCTCAGACCCAGGAGTCCAGGACCCAAGCTCTCTCCTCTCTTAGACCTGGGAGTCCTCAGACACCTCCCCTCTGCCCTCTGCTGCCCCACTGCGCTTCCCCCCTCTCCTCACCTCCTCCCACTCCCTCTGGGCCTCCACCTCATCATCATCACCCTCCCCATCTACATCCTCCAGCACCTCTTACTCCTGCGTGAAGGGCACAGCAGAAGCAGAGAGGAAGCGCAGGCGGTAGAGCAGCCGCACCCACTGGCCGAACTCTCGGTCTCGGGTCTTGAGTGGGGCCCGCAGCTGCAAGTAGAAGGTGCGGCTGGTGTTCAACTTGACCTCGAGCTGACACCGGCTTTTGTCGTGGACAAAGAGCTGGACGAACTTCAAGGGGAACAGCCTGGGTGGGAGGAAGGGGCGGCCTCAGGTTCTGACCCTGTCGGGTCCTCCAGCACCGTCGGGGTCAGGGGTCCCCACCTTGCCACCCCTCCCTCTGCCCCACGAATCCCTTTCCACTTTCATTGCCTCTTGAACTTGAGTCCATTCCCAACTTTCTTCCAGCCACATGTCTCCTTTTTGTCTCCCACTAGTCCTCTCCCCTAAACTCCAGACTCGAATATACAACTGCCTACTTGAAATTTCCATCTGGGGCCAGGCGTGGTGGCTCACGCCTGTGATCCCAGCCCTTTGGGAGGCTGAGGCAGGAGGATCACCTGAGGTCAGGAGTTCGAGACCAGCCTGGCCAACATGGTGGAACCCCATCTCTACTAAAAATAGTAAAAATTAGCCGGGCGTGGTAGTGGGTACCTATAATCCCAGCTACTTTGGAGGCTGAGGCAGGAGAATTGCTTCAACCTGGGAGGCGGAGGTTGCAGTGAGCCGAGATCACGCCACTGCACTCCAGCCTGGGCGACAGAGAGAGGGACTGTGTCTCAAAAAAAAAAAAAAAAAAAAAAAAATCCCATCTTGGGTGTGGGATCTACCATCCGACTCATAACATGTTCAACAGCCCACTTCTCAAGCTCCCTCAGCCCCTCACACGCAGCCTACTCCTCTTGGTCTTCCCTGTCTTAGCTACATCCCCCTCTTGCTTGGTCAAAATCTTGGAGTCGCTGTGGACTCCATGTTCTCACACCCTGATGAGTCCTGACACCACATCCTGGTGGCTCCACTATTTTTTGTTGGTTTTTGAGATAGAGGGTCTCACTCTGTTGCTCAGGCTGGAGTGCAGTGGCACGGTCATAGCTCACTGCAGCCTCAACATCTTGGGCTCAAGCAATCCTCTTGCCTCGGCCTCCAGAGCAGCTGGGACTATACGCGCACCACCATGCCTGGCTAATTTTTCTATTTTTATATAGTAGAGATGGGGTTTCACCATGTTGGCCAGGCTGGTCTCCAACTCCTGGGCTCAAGTGATCCTCTCGTCTCTCAAAGTGCCGGGATTATAGGCATGAGCCACCTCACTTTGCCTGCCACCTTTAAAATGTATCCACAATCCAAACTCTTTTAACTCCCTCCTCCGCCACCCTTGCGTCCAGCCACCTGCCTCAGCCCTCAGTCCCTACAGTCTGTTCCCCACAAGTCCCCCAGAAGGCGCAGGTCAACACCTTGGGCAGTTTGGGTCCCTCTGCTCAGAGCCTTCCTGTGGCTCTGGCTCAACAGGAATAAACACAAAGCCCTCACCGTGGCCCACAGACCTGCAGAGCCCCTTGCTCCCTCTCTGCCCTCACCTCCTGCACCTCCAGCCACACTGGCCTCCCTGCTGTTCCATGAACACACCAGGCTCAGTCCGACCCTAGCACCTTTGCACAGATGGTTCCCTCCACCTGAAAAGCCCTTTCTCCAGGCAAGACCCGCCCCCTCATCGCCCTGTGTTTCAGGAGGCATGTTCTCAGGGATGTCTCCCCTGGCCTATTTCAACCACATCCACCCTGTTGAGACTTCCCCGTAGTCCTTTCCGGTCTGACGGAGCCCCACAGGCCTTGCCCATCTAACAAATGGCCACCTGTTCCCTCTGCCTGCCTGGTAGAGTGGGAGCTCCTGGAGGGCAGGGAGTTCCTGGAGGCCTGCTTTGTCCAGTGGTGAAAGTTTCCCTGGTACCCGCAGCTGACACGTGGCAGGTGCTCAGTGGATGCTTCAGTGGATGCTTTTTGAGTATCTTGGTAAATTGATTGCTCAGGCCCGCAGCCCGATTTAAGGTCCAACAGGGCAGAGCAGGAAGCAGTCAGGAAAGAGTGAGGATCTTGGCTCAGGTCACACAGCCAGGATTGGAGCCCAGGTCCCATGTTCACCTACAACACTGAGTAGCCAGGTGGCCTCTCTGGTCCAGCAGTATCACTGCCAGGAATGGATCTCACAGACACCCTCACACCTGTGCACAGACACATATGCGCGGATGTCCCCTGCCACACCGCCTGTAACCGAGATGCCAACAAACCCCAGTGTCCCTCAGTGGGTGACTTGATTTTTGTCCCCCAAATAGAAGAATAACAGCTGACATTTGTGGAGCACTTACTCAGAGCCAGTTGCTATTATATTTACCCAGTTTTTCCCCCGACAACCTTATGGGGTGTGCTCTCCTCTTATCCCTGTCATCCAGATGAGGAAACTGAGGCACAGGCAGGTAGGTTGAGCTTGGCCAAAGCCAGTGATGAAGTAACGCCAGGATTTGAAACCAAGCCGTCTGAGGGCAGGCATTTGTTTAAGGACGTTGCCTACCACTTTAACATGAGGAGGCTGGACACAGCTTGGTGTCTAAGACAGCAGAGCACGTGCAATGGTCAAAAAGAATCCAACTGTGCAGGCTGTGCACGGTGGCTCAGGCCTGTAATCGCAGCACTTTGGGAGGCCGAGGCAGGCGGATCACCTGAAGTCAGGAGTTTGAGACCAGCCTGACCAACATGGCAAAACCCTGTCTCTACTAAAAATACAAAATTAGCTGGGTGTGGTGGCACATGCCAGTAATCCCAGCTACTTGGGAGGCTGAGGCAGGAGAATTTCTTGAACCTGGGAGGCGGAGGTTGCAGTGAGCCAAGATCATGCCACTACACTCCAGCCTGGGCAACAAGAGTGAGGCTCCGTCTCAAAAAAAAAAAAGAGTCCAATTGTGCAAATATGTCTGAAAGAGTGTGGTGGCTGTGCTCATGGCAATACAAAACGGATATGGGTGTCGTGCTGACGAGGGGGTGGGCGCAGGGAGAAGTGGCGTATGGCTTGTGGCTACTGCTGTTTTTTTTTTTTTTTGAGATGGAGTCTCGCACTGTTTCCCGGGCTGGAGTGTAATGGCGCGATCTTGGCTCACTGCAACCTCCACCTCCTCGGTTCAAGTGATTCTCCTGCCTCAGCCTCCCGAGTAGCTGGGATTACAGGCGCCCGCCACCATGCCCGGCTAATTTTTGTATTTTTTAGTAGAGAGGGGGTTTCACTATGTTGGCCAGGTTGGTCTCAAACTCCTGACCTCGTGATCCACCCGCCTCGGCCTCCCAAAGTGCTGGAATTACAGGTGTGACCACCGCGCCCAGCCTGTGGCTACTGCTTTTTATTTTATTTTTTGAGAAAGGGTCCTGTTCCCATTGCCCAGGCTGGAATGGAGTGGCGTGATTACAGCTCACTGCAGCCTGGACCTGCTGGGCTCAAGCAATCCTCCCACCTCAGCCTCCTAAGTAGCTGGGACTACAGGCACACCCCACCATCCCTGGCTAATGTTTGTATTTTTAGTAGAGATGGGGTCTCACTATGTTGCCCAGGCTGGTCTCCAACTCCTGGGCTTAAGCAGTCCTCCCACCTTGGCCTCCCAAATGCTGGGATTACAGGTGTGAGCCACTGCACCCAGCCTTCTACTGCTGGTTTGTTTGTTTTGAGATAGTGTCTTGCTTTGTCACCCAGGCTGGAGTGCAGTGGTGAGATCTTGGCCACTGCAACCTCCGACTCCTGGGCTCAAATGATTCTCCTGCCTCAGCCTCCTGAGTAGCTGGGACTACAGGCGCCCATCATCATGTCTGGCTAATTTTTTGTATTTTTGTAGAGATAGGGTCTCACCATGTTGGCCAGGCTGGTCTCAAACTCCTGGCAATCAGGTGATCTGCCCACCTCAGCCTCCCAAAGTGCTGGGATTACAGGTGTGAGCCATCACACCCAGCCTCTACTGCTGTTTTTAAAGAAAGGATGGATCCATATATATGTGTGTATATATATGTGTGTATACATGTGTGTATATACGCATACATGCACGTGTGTGTATACGCATACATGCACGTGTGTGTATACGCATACATGCACGTGTGTGTATACGCATACATGCACGTGTGTGTATACGCATACATGCATGTGTATACGCATACATACCTGTGTGTATACGCATACATGCATGTGTATACGCATACATACCTGTGTGTATACGCATACATATCTGTGTGCATACGCATACATACATGTGTATATGTATGCATACATGTGTGTATATGTATGCATACATGTATGTGTGTATATGTGTATATACATGTATGTGTGTAAGTATATATACATGTATGTATGTATATATACATGTATGTGTGTATATGTATATATACGTGTATGTATATATACGTGTGTATATGTATATGTACGTGTGTGTATATGTATATATACGTGTGTGTATATGTGTATATATACATGTGTGTATATGTATATGTATATATACGTGTGTATATGTATATATACGTGTGTATATGTATGTATACGTGTGTATATGTATGTATACGTGTGTATATGTATGTATACATGTATGTGTGCATGTATATACATGTGTGTATGTATATATACATGTATGTGTGTATTATATATACATGTATGTGTGTATATATGTATATATACATGTATGTGTGTATATATGTATATATACATGTATGTGTGTATATATATATCTCTCTGTCAGAAACTGCCCCAGAATAGCTCAGGGCTGGAAGTTGGTTAGACAGAAGTGAGGGGCTAGGAGGTGAGTCCTGAGGCCAAATTTGCAGAGCAAGCTCAATGTTCTCACTTCAGTGGTATGTTCATTTGGGAAGGGGTTTTAGGGTGCCAAAGGAGCTTATGAGAGGGTCATAGCCACTCTCAGCACCATCATTGGTGTTCTTCCAACTGCAGGTCATGATTCAGTGAGTGATGAGATCAATTGGTGAAATACAGTTAGCATTTAAAATAAAAGGGGCTGGGCAAGGTGGGTCACACGTATAGTCCCAGCACTTTGGGAGGTTGAGGGAGGAGGATTGCTTGAGCCCAGGAGTTCGAGACCAGCTTGGGCAGCATGGTGAGACCTGTCTCTACAAAAAAATACAAAAATTAGCCAGGTGTGGGTGGTGCACACCTGTAGTCCCAGCTACTCAGGCAGCTGAGGTGGGAGGATCGCTTGCGCCTGCAGAGAACTGTGATCACTCCAGCCTGGATGACAGAGTGAGACCCTGTCTCAAAATTAAATGAATGAATGAATAAATAAAGGCCAGGCACAGTGGCTCATGCCTGTAATCCTAGTGCTTTGGGAGGCTGAGGTGGGAGGATCACTTGAGGCCCGGAGTTCAAGACCAGCCTGGGCAACATAGTGAGATCCCACCTCTACAACACATAAACAAAAATAAAGGTATAGTGTAGAAGAGAAAATATCTCAGGGTACTGTACTGGTGTCAGAATACTCCTTTGTGAAAGGTTTTTAACTTAGGCAGGGGGATTAATAAAGGCTGTAAGTCATCTCGAGTACATGCAGGTCAAAATCTGATTTGGCCACGAAATTAGAAAAGCAATCTTTTGGATTTCAGAAATGCAGAGAAGGAACTGTGGACCTTCATGTGTGCATGTGTGAGACAATGTGAGTTTGTCCTTCCTTCCTTCCCTCCTTCCTCTATTTCTCCCTCCTTACTTTCTTCCCTTTCTTCTTTTCTCTGTCTTCTTTCTTCCCTCTCTTTCTTTCTTTTTTAGAGAACGGGTCTCACTTCATTGCCCAGGCTGGAGTGCAGTGGTGTGATCACAGTTCACTGCAGCCTCGAACTCCTGGGCTCAAGTGATCCTCCTGGCTCAGCCCCAGTAGCTAGGACCACATGTATGTGTCACCATACCTGGCTAGCTTTGTAATTTTGATTTTTGTAGAGATGGGGGTCTTGCTATGTTGCCCAGGCTGGTCTTGAACTCCAAGCCTGAAGTAATCCTCCCACCTCAGCCTCCCAAAGTGCTGGGATTACAGGCATGAGTCACCATACCCGGCATCTCTCTTTCATGAACTGTGAGATGTGGTCAAAAAAGTGAAAGCCAGACAGGCATGGTAGCTCATGCCTGTAATCCCAGCACTTTGGGAGGCCCAGGCAGGCAGATCACCTGAGGTCAGGAGTTCGAGACCAGCCTGGCCAACATGGTGAAACCCCGTCTCTACTAAAAATACAAAAATTAGCTGGGCGTGGTGGCAGGCTCCTGTAATCCCAGCTACTCAGGAGGCTGAGGCAGGAGAATTGCTTGAACCCAGGAGGCAGAGGTTGCAGTGAGCCGAGGTTGTGCCACTGCACTCCAGCCTGGAGACTCTGTCTCAAAAAAACAAACAACAAAAAAAGTGAAAGCTACTGGCAGAATGTTTCTGTACTGTAGGCATGTAAACATTTCAGTGTTTGTAGCTGGAGTTGGGGCAGGAGCCTTGGGTGAGAAAAAGGAACAGCTTCTGCTGTCTATTTTGTGCTTGTTTTCTCGTTTGTTTGCATTACTTTTTCTTTTCTCTTTTCTTTTCTTTTTTATTCTCTCTTTTTTTTTTTGAGACAGAGTCTCACTCATTCTGTTACCCAGGTTGGAGTGCAGTGGGATGATCTCGGCTCACTGCAACCTCCACCTCTTGGGTTCAAGCAATTCTCCTGCCTCAGCCTCCCGAGTAGCTGGGATTACCGGCGCCCGCCACCACACCTGGCTAATTTTTTTTTTTTTTTTTGAGATGGAGTCTCGCTCTGTCGCCCAGGCTGGAGTGCAGTGGCGCAATCTCAGCTCACTGCAACCTCCGCCTCCTGGGTTCACGCCATTCTCCTGCCTCAGCCTCCCGAGTAGCTGGGACTACAGGCGCTCACCACCACGCCCGACTAATTTTTTGTATTTTTAGTAGAGACGGGGTTTCACTGTGTTAGCCAGGATGGTCTCGTTCTCTTGACCTCGTGATCCACCCACCTCAGCCTCCCAAAGTGCTGGGATTACAAGCGTGAGCCACCGCACCCGGCCCTGGCTAATTTTTTGTATTTCTGGTAGAGACAGGGTTTTGCTATGTTGGCCAGACCGGTCTCAAATTCCTGGCCTCAAATGATCTGCCTGCCTTGGCCTCCCAAAGTGCTGGGATTACAGGTGTGGGCCACCGCACCCGATCTGCATTACTTTTTCAATGAAAAAATATGACGTAAAGGGGCAGTGTGGAGTGAGGCACAGGAGGGCTCAAGAACCATGAGATCCACAATCATGACAAGCTTGGCATTCCAATCCTGGCCCACTCTGGAGCCACAGTGGGACCCTGGGCAACTGGCTCCCGGCTCTCTGAGCCTCAGTTTAGCTCTTTGGCGGATGGGGCTAAGGGACCCCACCATGTGAAGATATGAGGTCAGAGGTGAGATCGTATGCGCGGCCTAGGGGCGTCTGGCATGAGCAGGCCCTGCGGAAATGATCATTCTCCTGACCGCTGCTGGGGCATGGCTGAGGACTGTCCCCTTCAGGTCTGTCTAATCTCTGATTTCTGGCCCCTGAGGGCTGCTCTGTCCTTGTTCTCCCGGGTAGATGGCAGCTCAGGGAGGGCCGGTAGCACTGCCAGCTCCTGGCCCTGGGGGTGGTCTGGACGAGGGGAGGTACTGCTGGGGGCTCAGGTGCCTGGAGCTGAGGGAGGAAGGGGTCTCGGCTGAGGTGGGGGCAGTTACCCGAAGAGTTGCAGGTGTCCGTTCTCCTTGGCAGGGCCGGCCAGAAGCAATAGGTCCGGGAGCTCCAGGGCTGGACTGGAGGCTGCCACCCCCATGGTGACCTCGTTGGCAACTTCTCCCAACCGAGTCACCTGGGGCCAGAGGTCAGAGGTCGGGGCAGGATAGATGTCGGGGCAGAACTGAGGAGGGATCAGAGGTTAGGAATCTTGGTAGGGGAAAAGGTCATGAACCAGGTGAGTTGAAAATCAGGCTGGGGGCCAGATATCTTGAAATTAAAGTTCAAGAATCATATGGGTGTGAAGTCAGGGAAACTGAGGCAAGGGAGTTACAGGCCAGGGTTCACAAAGAATCTAGAGAACTAGAAGTATGGGGTGTCAGAGATCACATAGGAGTTGGGAGTCGGGAATCCCACGAGATGGACGTTATGGGGGAGCAGGGGCTTTCCAAGTCAGGAGGAGGTCGAGGGGCAGGCCGAGGCTGGGGATGAGGGGGTTCTGGGGCTCCCTACCTGTACGAAGTTGCTCTCAAAGATGGGGAAGTCCCGAAACTGGTCGAATTCGCCGCTCTGGAGGTAGCGTTGGAGCCGTCTGGGACGGCCCGTGGGAGAGGCTGCAACCAGGAGGCATTTTACCAGGACGAAGTCTGGGGGTCGATCCTGGGAGGCTGTGCCTGGCTTCCCAACTGAGAGGGCCCGGCACAGCCCCGCGGAGAGGACGGGGTATCAGATGCCCCCGAATTGCCGGCCCCATCCTACTTGGTTCCTTCACCAGGTCCAACCCCTCTAGGCCTGGCTCCCCTCTCTCACCTGCCATCCCACCTGGTTCCACCTCGCCAGCTCCACCCAGGGCCGGCTTAGGGCCGCGATCCCGCCTCATTGCAATGTCCCCGTCCGACGGGAGCGGACGGAGGAGCAGAGGGAGAAAGCGAGGGGGCGGGACTACGCGCACTGTGACGTCATGATGCGGAGCGGGCTTTATGACGTCACACAAGAGCGGGCTCCTGATTTGTGATGACGTCCCTGGAGGGGGCGGCTCCTGGAGATCAGGCCAAAGGGGCGGCCCCATCCTGCTGACGTCAGGCCCCAGGTGCGGACGGGTGCCAGTGCGCAGGTGCCGGGGCCCAGCGCAGGCGCACGGGCGTCAGGATGCGGCCTGTTCCTCCCGGCGTGCTCCGCGGCTCTTGGCTCACAGCCGTCCCTTCGCTGGTGGGAAGAAGCCGAGATGGCGGCAGCCAGCGCTGGGGCAACCCGGCTGCTCCTGCTCTTGCTGATGGCGGTAGCAGCGCCCAGTCGAGCCCGGGGCAGCGGCTGCCGGGCCGGGACTGGTGCGCGAGGGGTGAGTGCTCTTTAGCTGTGCATAGCGGGCGCGGTCTACGGATGTCGCAGGTCTTGGGTCTTTAGGTGAGTTACAGACGGAAGGAGGCTGCGCAGGGCTGAGAGGGAAGAGGTGGGAGATCCCTGGAAAGCCAGGCCTCAGTCACGCACGCGCAGGAGGGGCCTCGCCAGTGCACCGGGTTGCAAGGACTGGGTGGGAGGACAAGCGCACCTGTCGGAAGGCTCTGGCTCGGGAATATGTATGAGGGGGCGGGGCTGGGGGTGTGGAATCTTGGAGAATCCGACGTCCGGGCGGTTGAAATGAAAGAGGCAAGGTGAAGCCGGGCGCGGTGGCTCATCTGTCATCCCAACGCTTAGGGAGGCCGAGGCGGGAGGATTGCTCTAGGCCAGGAGTTCAAGACCAGCCTGGGCAACATAGCGAGCCCTGTCTCTACAAAAAATACTAAAAAAAAAAAAAAAATTAGGCCGGTCGCGGTGGCTCATGCTTGTAATCCCAGCACTTCGGGAAGCCGAGGCGGGCGGACCACTTGAAGTCAGGAGTTCAAGACCAGCCTGCTCAAAATGGTGAAACCCCGTCTCTACTAAAAACACAAAAATTAGCTGGATGTGGTGGCAGGTGCCTGTAATTCCAACTACTCGGGAGGCTGAGGCAGGAGAATCGCTTGAACCCAGGAGGCAGAGGTTGCAGGGAGCTGAGATCACGCTACTGCACTCCAGCCTGGGCGACTGAGCGAGACCCTGTCTCAGAAAAAGAAAATAAGGCGTGGGAGGGGGCTCTTGAGGAAGTGGAGATGAGTTTTGTCTCCTAAATATGCGTGAGTATGCAAGTTTGGAGGTTGGAGAAAAGGAAAGCATGAATCTTGAATGTGCTTAATAGGGACTGAACTCAGGCTGCATCTTGGCTATTGGGCTGTCAGGTGATAAGGAGGCCATTTGAATATTAGCATGAAAAAGAAGGCTTGGGAGAGGGAGAGTGTCATTTAACTCATGAGTATTTGTGGCGCAAGGCTTGGAAGTGACCTTGGGATAGTTGCTTTGGCAATGAGGTTAGGCATGTTTGTAGGGTCTGGTTTTCTGGGGGTGAGGGAGTGCAGAGTATGAATATTCATGAAATGGGTGGTTTCTAGTGAAATAAAGGCAAGCAGCAGTGATTAACTTGAAGATAAGGCTCCTCCCTCAGCCCACCAGTCTGTCTGTCCTGGGTTCTGTGGGTGACTACTATGCTGAGGGCTTGGGTGGTCCTCACCTGGGGCCTTCTGTGTCCTCTGCAGGCTGGGGCGGAAGGTCGAGAGGGCGAGGCCTGTGGCACGGTGGGGCTGCTGCTGGAGCACTCATTTGAGATCGGTGAGTCAGGCAACGTCCTCTCCTAGACACTTAACATTGGTGCCCTGAGAAGTCAAGACTTGGAGTCTGGGTGCCTCCCGTCGTATGACATTTACTAACAACCATTTACTAACAGATTTGCCTCAGGTTAGGGGAAAGTGGGACATGAAAGAAGAGAAACACTCTTTAAATGCCCCCTTGCCTGTGAGACAAACCTCAGTTTTTAAAAGGTCATCACAGCAGTAATAATTTCAGAGCGGCTTTCCTGATCAGTCGCCACGTGCCCAGCATTAGCGGTTCCACGCTTTGCAAGTATTAACTCAGATGTCCTCACAGCAGCCATGTGAGGTGGTAGGTATTCGTGTCAGCCCCTTTTTCCAGAAGAGGAAACGGGCTCAGAGTAGGCACCACACAAGGTCTCATCGTGAGTGAGTGGCAGAGCAGGGGCCAGCTTCAAACCCAAACTTAAATTGCCATGATGCAGGTGTCCAGGTTCCCAGAGCTGGACGTCAGTGCTGCCCAGAGTGTAGTAATCGAGTCTGAGGCCCCGAACCTGAGGGCACAAACCCTGAAGCTGGTGCCCCTCTGCAAACCCTGGCATCTGCTCAGTGAACAGCTCCCCTGATTCTGACATGGCCAGGTAGTTGGGAATTCCTGAACTCCACAGCCTCCGTATTTTGCAGTTGGGGAAGCTGAGGCTCAGAGAGGTTGTGTGGCTATCCCTGGGTCACCTGGTGAGGCAGAGGCAGGATTTGGGAGCTGTGGGGTTCATGCATCTGCTACGGGTTGCCTTGTGAGGTGGAACATGGTGGAGGTGTCCCCACTTTGCAGATAGCAAAATGGGGGCCCAGATGGGGAGGGAACCTGGTCACTCGGGTGGAGGCCAGGCCAAAATTTGAAGCTGGACCTCCTGGCCCCTGCCTGGGTTGAAGGGTGGGCGGGGGAGGGGGCGTCTCTGAACCTGAGCTCCTCACAGATGACAGTGCCAACTTCCGGAAGCGGGGCTCACTGCTCTGGAACCAGCAGGATGGTACCTTGTCCCTGTCACAGCGGCAGCTCAGCGAGGAGGAGCGGGGCCGACTCCGGGTGAGGTGGGGCCCTCAGGGCTGGGTGTGGATGGGGATGGAGGGTTTCCAGCTGTCTCTTCAGCCACCCCCTGCTGGTCCCCAGCAGCCTTCCCTCCAGGCCCAGGTGGGCTCCCAGCACCACCTGCCACTCTCAGCCTCTGTCCTCAATGACTGCCCCTGGAGGAACGGCATTGCAGTTCGTCTTAGCGCCGCCAGGCATGGTGTCCTGCATCACGGCCTCTTCCTGCACTGCTCCCTCTGCTGGCAGACCCCCTTCCCCTGCAGGTTCACACAGTCGGCTCCTCTTCTTTTCCAGATCAGCTGAGCTGTTTCATGACCACTTAGATGAGATTTGTTTGTGAGGAGAAAGCCTCAAAATAGCTATGGTTGGACAGGAGCTCACTTCTGTCGCCCTGTGTTGTGGCAGCCTCAAGGGCCCAGCTCAATCCTCCGCAGGGGTCATGCAGAGAGGCCCCAGGGCTCCAGGCAGCAGGATAGAGAGGGAGAAAGAGGGGCAGAAGGAGCAGCAGCATTTAGAGAAAGCTTGCAAAAGCTGGCACAACCCACTTCCACCCATCAGCCAGATGTAGCTGTGAGGGAGGCTGGGGAGTGCAGGCTTGATTCTGGTGGCCACGCGGTGAGGTCTGCCTGAGCACCCTTCCTGCATGGTACCCACATGATTCTCTTGTCACAGCTGTCCCCAAACAGAATTTATTATGCATGTAACTGGTACGTCCAGGCATAGGGTGGACGCCAGGTGCAGCTGGATCCAGGCACAGGGAAGGCGTCCTCAGGACCCACTCCATCGCTGGGCTGGGCTTTGCCCTCCTTGTGGTGGCTTTTCCCCTAGGTGGGGCGGTCCCAGCTGCTCCTGGCCTCACCCACCAGCCGGGCCACCCCAACAGGAAGAGTCCTGGGTCGACTCAGGTTGGCTGGCCTGGGGAGTGTGGGCCGTGAGGTGGGTGGGGCTGGAGAGGGGCCTTCGCGGAGGCCTGGTGGGCATCACAGCCTGTCCAGGGCTGACACCATCCTTCTGACCAGCACCCTCTTCTCCCATCCCCAGGATGTGGCAGCCCTGAATGGCCTGTACCGGGTCCGGATCCCAAGGCGACCCGGGGCCCTGGATGGCCTGGAAGCTGGTGGCTATGTCTCCTCCTTTGTCCCTGCGGTGAGTTGGTGTCGGGGATGAGCCCCCTTCTCCCTCGTCCTCCTCATCCCCTACCCTGGTCCTGCTTCCACCATTCGAACCCCTGTGTTTCTGGAGCCCGCAGAGGCCTGGGAGACTCAGACCTGGCCTTGCCTTCCGAGGCCTCCTGGTCTGGAGGGGTCGGTCCAGGTAGCGGGTGCTTTCATGGGGATAGCATTGTGAGGACTCCCGGGTGGGGGGCGGTTGAACTTGGGCCTGAGGGTAACAGGGAGCCATGGGAAGGTTTTGAAAAATGCTCCGGGGGTCCTGTGGTGGGGGCCGGGGGAGGTTAGGGTGGAGCCCAGGCAGCAGGCTCCCCACCTCCACTGACCCCACTCCCCCCACAGTGCTCCCTGGTGGAGTCGCACCTGTCGGACCAGCTGACCCTGCACGTGGATGTGGCCGGCAACGTGGTGGGCGTGTCGGTGGTGACGCACCCCGGGGGCTGCCGGGGCCATGAGGTGGAGGACGTGGACCTGGAGCTGTTCAACACCTCGGTGCAGCTGCAGCCGCCCACCACAGCCCCAGGGTGAGCCTCTGCTGCCTTCGCGGCGCTCTTGCCACCTGCCCCGGCCCTTCCTGGCGGCCTCAGGGTCTCCAGGTCCCTGGACTCCGGGCCTCACCCTTCTCCTCCTCTCCCCTTGCCCCAGCCCTGAGACGGCGGCCTTCATTGAGCGCCTGGAGATGGAACAGGCCCAGAAGGCCAAGAACCCCCAGGAGCAGAAGTCCTTCTTCGCCAAATACGTGAGTGGGGCTCCCCCGCCTCCCCTATTCCCTTCCTGACAGTCCCGGTGCCTGGCCAGGCCCTCCATGCTCCCACCCAGACTCCCCTATGGTGCTCGGGCCTGCTCCTTGTCCTCCGGGCCTCCTGTGTGTCCTGGTACCTGGGCTGAGGCTTGTTTGCAGGAAGAGGGTATGGAAGTGTGGTCAGGGGAGGTCGGGCCAGCTCTAGGGCGCAGGGTCCTGGGGGAGGTCTCGGCCTGAGCTAGGTTGGAGCCATGAGGCTGGAGAGGAAGGGAACAGTGGAGGTTTCAAAGGAACCAGGGAGGCTTGGAAAGGAGGGGCGAGCAGGTTCTTCAGGGGGTTGTACAGGAAGGAGAGAGGAGTGGGTCCGGGAGGGATGTGGCCCAGGGAGGGGCATTGGGGGCAGCAGGGTGCCTGGGAGGCCTCCTGGAGCTGAGGAGGGAGGGGCCTGTGCTGCCAGCAGCAGGTCTGAGTCCCGGGGGCTTAGAGGCTGAGGCGTGGGGTGGGGAGGCTGGGGACAGCCGGAGGAGGTGGCTTCCACCCAGGCCTCTGGTCCATTGAGTGTGGAGACTGGTGTTAGGTTGTGGCACAGGAGCCCAGGCAGGCCAAGGCCAGCGAAGAGGTCTGTGTGGCCCGAGGCAGGCTAGGAGGATGCTGAGGCTGGGATGGCTGAGCCCTGCTGTGCTGAGTGCCCTGCCTGAGGGCCTCACCCGCTCCGCCTGGATAGTCCAACAGTTGTGCTGCAGGGAACTGAGGCCCAGAGGCTGAGCCCTTGCCTGCTGGGCCCTGCCCTGCTGCCCACTCGAGCGCCCTCCCACTCCCTGCTGGCCCTCAGGCCCCACGGCAGCCCACTGGCCCTGACCTGCGCTCCCTCCCTCCCCAGTGGCACATCATCCTGGGGGGGGCCGTGTTGCTCACAGCCCTGCGTCCTGCTGCGCCAGGGCCCGCGCCACCGCCACAGGAGGCCTGAGTGAGGACCGAGACCCCTGCCCCTCCCTGCGCCCCACTGGCCCTCCCTGACCTGTAGTGACGTAGGGGACCTGGGCGCCCTCCCCTTACGCGACCTCCCCTCATGCCGGTCCCCACCGTGGGTGGGTGATGCCCACACTCACCTCCTTCCCCTCTCTCTCTCTTTCTGTGTCTGTCTGTCCATCCTTCCGTCCGGCTGCAGTGGATGTACATCATTCCCGTCGTCCTGTTCCTCATGATGTCAGGAGCGCCAGACACCGGGGGCCAGGGTGGGGGTGGGGGTGGGGGTGGTGGTGGGGGTAGTGGCCGGTGAGGGCCCAGGCTGGTCAGCGTCCCGTCTTGCACACCCAGGGGCCTCCCTTTCTGCTGGAGTCCCCTGTGTCCTCAGCCATCCCAAGAAGGGTTTGCTGGTCCCTCCTTTCCCCCCGTCCCACGAGGCCACCTGGGCCAGCCCCTTGTCCTCTGCCTTCTGCTGGCAGAGGAGCAGCTGGACTGGGGCCTTTGGCACAGCAGCCGGTGTCTCCTGCGCCCGCCTCCCCCATGGCCCCATGCAGCCCCAGGGGCTTCCCCCCTGCCCATGGAGTAGAGCCCGAGATCCTGGCCACTATGCCAGTTCTGACCTCGCATCCCCCTACCCCGAGCCCATGCAGTCTGGGAACATGCCGCCTTCTCTCCAGCCTCTGTGCCTTTGTTCCAGGTGGTCTCACCCTCCTGTCCCTGGCTGGGCTAGGTGGTCCTGTCCAGGCTCCTGCAGCGCCCCCCTCACTTTGACACTGGACTAGGATGCAGCCTCCCTTCTGTGTCCCCTTGAGGGTACCCTGGGTCCCCTCATCAGGGGCAGAGGCATGAAAGAGTCGGGGCTGGATGGCCGGGGGCTTCTGGGCCCGACGCCTAGTGCAGCCCCTGGGGTCGTGGTTTGACATTTGTCTGCCTGGTGCAAACAAGGAATCCTTGCCTTTAAGGTGACAGGCCCTCCACAGGCTTCCAGACTTGAAGGAAAAGGTTTAAGAAAGAAAACAAAACCAACAGTTAGTGGAGTCAAAGCCCAGACACTGTAAATAGAACCCCCTCCACCACCCCCCGCCGCCCAGCATCCTACCTGGACTGCGGTGCTACGAGGGCCTGCGGGCCTTTGCTGTGTGCCACCCTCCCTGTAAGTCTATTTAAAAACATCGACGATACATTGAAATGTGTGAACGTTTTGAAAAGCTACAGCTTCCAGCAGCCAAAAGCAACTGTTGTTTTGGCAAGACGGTCCTGATGTACAAGCTTGATTGAAATTCACTGCTCACTTGATACGTTATTCAGAAACCCAAGGAATGGCTGTCCCCATCCTCATGTGGCTGTGTGGAGCTCAGCTGTGTTGTGTGGCAGTTTATTAAACTGTCCCCCAGATCGACACGCAGCTAGCCTCCTGCATTGTATGGTTATAAATAGCACCCTAGTGAGTGCTGTCGTCCAGTCTCTCTTGGGTGTGGTTTGAATGATCTCGGGATGCATGACTAAAATGGAATTACGATGGCAGATCGGAAACGCGTTTATAAACAAGTGATGGTTTGTGAGTCGACTGTCAAGACCAGGAGGTGGTGCACCGTGGGAGGTTGCCTTCCCTCCCATCACTTCTTTTTGTTTTTGAGTCAGGGTCTTGCTCTGTTACCCAAGCTGGAGTGCAGTGGCGGTACCTTGACTCACTGCGACCTCCACCTCTCAGGCTCAGCGATTCTCCCACCTCAGCCTCCTGAGTAGCTGGAATTGTAGGCGTGCACCACCACGCGCAGCTAGTTTTTGTATTTTTTGTAGAGACGGGGTTTCACCATATTGCCCAGGCTGGTCGTGAACTGCTGGACTCGAGTGATCCACCTGCCTCGGCTTCCCAAAGTGCTGGGATTACAGGCGTGAGCCACCGCGCCTGGCCTATTTTTGGTAACTTTAATAAAGAAGATAGTCTTAGCATTGCTAACTTCTGTTTCTTTCTCCACCTGCAGGAGATAGCTTATGCTTTTTCTGTCTTCATTCCATGTGAATCCTGCTTCATTCTTTTCCTAGAGGATTCCAGAAATATTTACTAATGCTTTTTTTTTTTTTTTTTTTTTTTTTTTGAGGCAGAGTCTCGCTCTGTCATCCAGGCTGGAGTACAATGGCACGATCTCAGCTCACTGCAACCTCCGCTTCCTGAGTTTAAGCGATTCTCCTGCATCAGCCTCCCAAATAGCGGGGATTGCAGGCGCCCGCCAACACACCTGGCTAATTTTTGTATTGTTAGTAGAGACAGGGTTTCACCATGTTGGCCAGGCTAGTCTTGAACTCCTGACCTCAGGTGATCTACCTGCCTCAGCTTCCCAAAGTGCTGGGATTACAGGCATGAGCCACTGCGCCAGGCCTACTGATGCTTTTTGGGAAGTGTTCCCAACTTGGAGTCCTGGTCCCTGTGTCTGATCTGCAGATGTCTTCTACCCCGGCACTGGGGGAACATCTTATTTTTCCTGGGTTAAACATTGGGATCTTTATAAACCTGATTATGTCCTTTCCCTCTAAGTCTCGGTTGCTTTCAGGCTGGCAGGGTTACTCTGTTGGGTATTCCAGGAAATGCCTGAGCTCCTTCAGGCTCCCCTAGCGTTCTGTTCTTATTAAACTTTTCTTCCCCGTCTGGCCGGTCCTTGGGGAACCCACTCACTATTTTATTTTATTGACCGGGTTATCCAGGGATGAAGTATGAAACTCAAAAGATAGAGTAGGTTGGCCAGGCATAGTGATTCATGCTTGTAGTCCCAGCTGTTTGGGAGGCTGAGACAGGAGGATCGCTTGAGCCCCAGAGTTCGATGCTTCCTGAGCTGTGATTGAATCACTTTACTCCAGCCTGGGTGACAGAGTGAGACCCTGTCTCCAGAATAGACAAAAGATGCAGTGGAATCCACGTCCAGAAACTGTATGCTCACTCTGGGCTCCAGCACCCACTTCCCCTCCCTGGAGGCAGCCTGAGTTTTCTGTCCCCTGGTATGCTGCAGATACTCTCCACAGAAACAAGCAGATGCACATGTCAACAGTTTTGCAAGTGTTGCTCTTTTCCCCCACCTTCTTTTGACATAGCTGGGGCAGTTTCCATCTCTGGTATAAGGTGCCATCTTATTCCATCTCTGGTGTAAGAGTGTGTTGCTGGATTTGAGTAGTTCTAAGCAGCACTGCAGGAGTCCCCCTGTTCTGCTGCATCATTTTGCACACATATGTGTCTGTGGAAGACATGGCCCGGTGGGGCCCCACCTTGCTGGGGGAGAGGGATGTGTGTGTGATGGTGGTGCATGCTTCCCCCTTGCTACTCCAGGTGTCTGCCCCATCCCTTCACCCTGGAGGTTCCAGACAGCCCCTCTTCACCAGCGATTCCCCAACTCATCTCCAGCTCAGATCCCACCCCTGATCTCCAGACTCATGGCCCCAGCTGCCTCCTGGGCTCCTTCCCCAGGATGTGCCTCAGGGGCCACTAAAGGAGCCAGTGCCTCCCACCTGCCCGGATCGGGTGCTCCTCCAGGGATCTTTGTTCCAGTGAGTGGTGCCATCACCTGCCCAACCTCATGGACCAGAGCACTGCCCTGTCCCAATCACGTTCTCCTATGCACCACCATACCTACCCCTAAAGTTCTTCCTGGCCTCATCCCGTCACCTCTGTCTCCATGGCCTTGGTCCCAGCTCAAGCCTCGTCCTCTGCCACCTGGACCATCGGCCCAGCCTCCTCTTTGGCCTCCCAGCCCCCAACATCCCCCCCTCAGTCCATCCCCCTAATGGAGAGCTTCCTGACACTAGAGCTGACCTCACTACTCCCCTGCTCACAGCCCTCCGCGTGGCCTCTCACCTCCCCCAGGATAGAGTCCCAACCCATCCTTCTGTGTCTCCTCCTCTCTGTGTCCACTGTCCTGACCCTAACTCAATCCTCATTCTCTGCCTCCTGGACCCTCATCCTAGCCTCGTGACTTCTGGTCTAAGATGTGAGAGCACCTGGCAAGGTAAATGCTCCAGGAGGGGTTGCTCCCTCCCATTTCCTGCCACCAGAAAATGTTATCGGCTGCGTGGCATTGCGAAAGCCTTCCTCTTCCCAGCCTAGGGTTTCATGTGGGCATTTAGGTGCTCCCAGTACATAGTTGCATGGCAAACAATCCTAAAATATACAAGACTACATTTAGTATTTTGTAAAATTCTTTACTAACCCCAAATTGTCTACTGGAAACTATAGGCTCCTTTTTTTTTGGTGGGTGGGGGGCAGGTGTGTTTGTGGGATGGAGTTTCACTTGTCACCCAGGCTGGAGTGCAGTGGCTCAATTTTGGCTCAATGCAACCTCCACCTCCCAGGTTCAAGCAATTCTCTTGCCTCAGCCTCCTGAGTAGCTGGGATTACAACCGTGTGCCACCACACCCAGCCAATTTTTGTATTTTTAGTAGAGACCGGGTTTCACCATGTTGGCCAGGCTGGTCTTGAACTCCTGACCTCAAGCGATCCACCTTAGTCTCCTAAAGTGCTGGGATTACATGTGTGAGCCACCGCCCCTGGCCTCTGTAGGCTTCTTTAACCCATCAGAGAGACTCCCTGGTAAGGATTAGGGGCTAATTACTGGTGCCTCTTCAGCTGTCAGTCCATCCTCCTTTATTTGTACCCACCTTCCAGTCAGCAAGGCACAACAATGTTGTTACAAAGGAAACAAACTCAATTTGGCCCATTTCCTGGAAATGCAATCTCCCAAACAGGTTTGTGTGAACCAAATTCCATTTTCCTTTGTTTCCCATGTGCAGTCCCAGTTGCATTTCCATGGGAGCCAATCCACCCACCCATAGAATGACTTGAAAATGTGTGAAGTTCAGAAGTTTCATACCAAGAAGTTTGCTGAGCATGATGTTTGTATATTGATTAGGAGTAAAAATGTTCATTTTTACAAAATATTACAACTTCTCCCTCTCCCCTCCTTCCACCCAGTATCCCCTGTTCCTCCCCCAGGCATTCTGGTCACTGTTCCTTTTTGTTGAGATCATTCTCGGTGTCTCATATAGCTGGGTTGCAGCTCCGTTCTTTGCCAGGAGGTGGTAATAGAGGATTCCACGCACTCAGAATGCCTCAGGCCGGCGCCTGTGGCTTCTCTCAATGGAGGGAAGTGTCCTGCAGGGGGCGCTGTTGGTCCTTCAGGCAAGGTCGGGTTCCCTCGAAGTCTCTGTCTTAGCAGTTGCTGGTCTTCAGAAACATTGGGCACCAATTTTCTCATTTCTGAAATGGAATTCAGGTGAGGTCCCCTCAGTGCTGAGGTGCTTCATGTTGTCAGAGGAAGAGTTGGGAAGGGAGCGGAATGGAGCAGAAAGGCGTCATCCGCTGCTCACTGAGCTCAGATAGGAGGCCAGGGATCGGCAGATTCAGGAGCCCACTCCTGGCCAACCCCAGGGGCCCCACCCAGTCCTGTCCCTGCTCCTTACGTGCTGTGTATCTTTAGGCAAGTTGCTTCCTGTCTCTGAGCGTCGTCTTTGTTTCCGCCTTCCTGGGCCTACGGCAGGCCTGATTCCTCCAGGCAGTGTCCAGAGTTCCGGACAGATGGAAAAGGAAGAGAGAATGGGTGTCACAAAGGTCTGTCCACTCCTGGGCCTCAGGCTTGGGGGCCCTGCTCAGGGCTAGCCTGTTTGGGCCTCGGTATGGACTCCTGCCTCCTGGTCAGGACCTGGAAACCTGGGAGCAGGCAAGGCAGGAACAGGAGAGGGAGGCAAAGGCCCACCAGGCAGGGATGCAGGGGCCACCTGGAGACGGAGGAGACGGGGCTCCCGGGAGGGAGGCCAGTGGGAGTGAGAGCTTGAAGGAGAGAGAGCCAGGAGAGGAGACAGGTCCAGAGAGGAGGGAAAGGAAAGGACAGGGCAGAGACAGAGAAACCAGAGAGAGGGAAGGAAGAGAGACCCAAGGGGGAGAGACAGGGAAGGAAGAGGGAGGTGAGAAGAGGAAGAGGCAGATTCAGAGGAGAGAGGAGAGAAAAGAGGTGGAAATCAAACAGGAGAAAGAGGGAGGAGAGGAGGGAGGAGAGAGTGTAGGAAAAAAGCAGGAGGAAAGAGCCGGGCACGGTGGCTCACGCCTGTAATCCCAGCACTTTGGGAGGCCAAGGCAGGCAGATCACGAGGTGAGGAGATCGAGACCGTCCTGGCTAACACGGTGAAACCCTGTCTCTACTAAAAATACAAAAAAAAAATTAGCAGGGCATGGTGGCAGGCGCCTGTAGTCCCAGCTACTCGGGAGGCTGAGGCAGGAGAATGGCGTGAACCCTGGAGGCGGAGCTTGCAGTGAGCCGAGATTGCGCCACTGCACTCCAGCCTGGGCGACAGAGCGAGACTCCGTCTCAAAAAAAAAAAAAAAAAAAAAAAGAAAAGATGGCCAGAGCAGGAGGGGAGAGAGGAAGAGGGAGAAAGAAGGAAACAGTGTAGGGGGTCAGAAGTGGAAAGAGAAGAAAAAACAGAAGAGGAAAGAAAGACGAGGGGGTGAAAAAAGGGACAGGAAGGAAGAGAGGGAGAGGGTGGGTGCCATGGCTGGTGAGCTCGGAGAAGAGGGAAGCAGAGAAACGGGTGAAGGAGGGAGCGTCCTAGGGAGAAGTGGGTGGGGGAGAGGGTGTTGGGGGAGAAGAGGGTGGGGGAGAGGGGGCCCCGGGAGAGGGAGGGATGGAGGAGCGGGGAGCTCCAGCCAGAGAAGAGGAAAGAGAAAGGAGAGAGCTAGGAACTGGGAAGGAAAAGAGCTAGGAGGAGACCATGAGACAGAAAGAGAAGAGGGTGAAGAGAGAGGATAGTGGCTGGGAGGAGAGAGGAGGAGGGAGGAGCACAGAGGGAGAGGAGAGGAAACAGCCAGAGAATCTGCTAGAAGGGAGAGAGGAGAGAGAAGAGCCGGACAGGGAGAGCAGAAGTGAGAAAAAGGAGGGTGGCCACAGAGAGGACAGCGAGAAAAAGAGAACAGGAAGAGGGGAAAAGAGAAGAAATGGGAGAGGGAAGAAGGGTGGGAGAGAAAACGGAACAGAGAGGGGGCACAGACAGCGGACTGGACCGAGAGGGAGATGGAGCGGTGCGGAGGGGGAGAGAGAAAGAGGGAGGGAAGGAGGGTAGGAGAGGGCTGGAGATAGGGGAAAAGAGAAAAGGAGGGTAGGAGAGGGCTGGAGAGAGAAGGGAAGTTAAGAAGGGAAGGAGAGAGACAGACATTAGGGAAGAAGGAAAGGAGAAAGGAAAAAATACAAAAAAGGGCAGAGAGAAAAGAACAGGCCGGGCATGGTGCCTCGCACCTGTGGTCCCAGCACTTTGAGAGGCTAAGGCAGGAGGATCACTGGAGCCTGGGAGGTGGAGGCTGCACTACTGCACTCCAGCGGGTGAGTGAGCGAGAAAAAAAGCAGAAAGGAAAGAAGAGGTGCATGAGTGTGGAAGAGCAATATGGAGAGAAAGAAGGGAGAGAGGATTGGAAGTAGCGACAGAGGACCATGCCCCTCCAGCTGAGGAGGGGGCGCCCCTAAGACAGCGTCAGCCCAGAGACCGGGGCAGGAAGCAGGAACGTGAAGCAGGTTAGGAGCCAGTGTGAGGCACGGAGAGGGCCGGGTAGCTGGGCGGCGGGGGTGTCGTGGGCACAGCCCAGGCTACTGCGGGGACAGGCTGCCAGACCCGGCGGGTCCAGGTTGGGAACTCGGCCATGCAGCAGAAACGTTCCCTGCCTCAACAGGGCGCAGCCACCCCGGGGCCATCTCTGTGACCCAGGGAGAGAAAGGACAACGAATGGGACTAGACGAGGATGGGGAGGAACAGAGCAGCTGTGGAAGGTGCGGCAGAGAAGGGCCCAGGAGAAAGGAGGAAGGGAAGGAGCTGGAGGGGCGGGAGAACAGGAGACAGAACAGGACAGAGACAGCTGCCCGGGAGGATGGGAGAACAGAAAGAGGGAGGAAACGCCGAGCACTGACCTGGGGGAGGGGAGTAAAGAGAAGTGAAGGGGGATTGGAAGGGAACTGGAGAATGAGAGAAGCAACAGGCGGGGTGCGTGTAGGAGGGCGGGAGAGCCAATGACAAGACAGAAAAGGCAGAGAAAGCAAAGCAAGACCAGACTCCTCATCCGGTAACACTGTGTCAGGTCATTGCCCTCCCACCCCGCCCCCAACCCCATAACTGAAAACAAGTAGGAACCTGGATAAAATAGTCTTAACAATTTTTTTTTTGAGACGGAGTCTTGCTGTGTTGCCCAAGCTAGAGTGCAGTGGCGCGATCTCGGCTCACTGCAAACTCCGCCTCCCGGGTTTAAGCGATTCTCCTGCCTCAGCCTCCCAAGTAGCTGGGATTACAGGGGCCCGCCATCGTGCCTGCTAATTTTTGTATTTTTTAGTAGAGACGGGGTTTCACCATTTTGGCTAGGCTGGTCTCGAATTCCTGACCTCATGATCCGCCCACCTTGGCCTCCCAAAGTGCTGGGATTACAGGCGTTGAGCCACCGTGGCCGGCCCTTAAAAGCATCAAACTACATACAAGACCGTAAGGAAGCTGTGGGTCAACGCGGAGGGACGTGGGAACCCATCCCGGTGAAGCGGCAGCGTCACGTCCTTTCTCCCAGGGATCTGTTGGTCGGAGACATCTGGACTTTCATGTGGACAGCCTGAGTGACAGGGGGACCCAGGGGCCTCACCTGGGCTACCTGGGGTGGGTGGACCCTCCACTGTGCCAAGGTGCAGCCTGGGCTCGGAGGAACATGCCCTCCGCCTAGTCCCTGACATCCTTTTCACATCCAACACGCAGAGCAGGGGCGTGAGGGAGCAGGCAAGCAGGGAAGGGAAAGACAATGAGCAAGAGCCAGCGGGACGGTGGGGCGGATGGCAGAGGCTTCGCTGCTGGAAAATCAGACGCAGAGTACGAAACGCCTGTGCTCACTATGTTAATAATAATAATAAAAGGCAAAAAACCAGGCTCATTGATACACTGATATTAACAAGAACAAAGTACTGAGAGAGAGAGAGAGAGGTGAGGAGGAAGGCAGAAGAGGGAAGGCTGGCTTTCCTGCCGTCCACTTTGTGACCTCCTGCGTGATGGCGCGTCCTTCCAAGTCATGGGGTAACGTCCTTGTGGCCCAGATAATGAGCTGCAGACGGACGGGAATGTGCAACTGTGGAGACACGCGAGCTTATGGTCCCAGGACCTGGCAGGACATGAAATGAGTTTCTTAAAGGGTGAAACAGATTGCAGGACCAATCGTCCCGATCGTCCAAGGCAGGATAAAAATATCCCAGCATGCGGAGGAGCCCTCCCTGCCCAGTCTCCTCCGAGGGGCCTCGGGGCCTCTGCAGCTGCAGCTGTTGGAGTCATCAAGAAGACGGGGACGCGGGAGGGGGACAGGGACCAGGAGGCGAGGGGATGGCGGGAGTCGGGGGTGGGGTTGGGCGGGGTGGGGAGAAGGCTGTCAGCGCCAGGCTCAGACGAGCCGGTGGGAGCAGAGACGAGGAGAGGGAAGGGTCAAGGACAATGACTGGCAGAGGAACTGGAAAGGAAGGAGCGGGCATGGAGAGGCGGAGCTGGGAAGGACTTGGGGGACTAGAGGCGAGGGGAGAGAGCTTGTGGGGTGAGGGAGAAAACGGAGAGGAAAGAGCGAGTGAAGGTGAGGATGGAAAGGAAACAGGAAAGCCCCATGGAGGGGAGGATGGGAGAAATAGAGTGTGTCAGAGACAGAGAGGGAGAGAGAGATGGCGAGAGATGGAGAGAGAAAGAGACAGCGAGAGAGACAGAGACGTTGAGAGAAACAGAGATAGCGAGAAAGAGTGAGAGAAAGAGACAGGGAGACAGCAAGAGAGACAGTGAGAGAGACAGTAAGAGGGAGACCGAGAGAGAGAGTGAGAGACAGACAGCGAGAGAGAGACAGTAAAAGAGAGATAGCCAGAGAGAGACAGACAATGAGACAGAAAGCGAGAGACAGAGAGAGACAGTGAGAGAAACAGACAAAATGATGGCGAGAGAGTGAGAAAGAAAGAGACAGCGAGAGAAACAGAGACAATGATGGCAAGAGAGTGAGAGAGACAGAGCGAGAGAGACAGAGACGGACTGAGAAAATGAGACAGAGACAGCGAGAGATGGGAGAGACAGGGAGAGAGAGAGAGAGAGAGAGAGAGAGAGAGAGAGAGAGAGAAGCGCCAAAGAGAAGCCACCAGGAGCGTGTGGAGGGGAAGCCAGGTGGAACTCACTGAAGGTGCAGGGAGAGGAAGGGGAGGCAGGAGTGAGAGGAAAGAGGAGAGGCAAATCCAAGGGACAGAAACTGGAGGCAAAGGAGGCAGAGGAGGGAGGGAGACCAAGGGCACAGGCCCTAACCACAGTGCTGCCCCTTGTCCCCGGCCCCCTTGTCTCCTTCTGACACAGTCGGTTGCTGTGGACGGGCACAGTGAGACTGGGGCCCCATCAGCGCCTCCTCTGGGGGTTGGGTACAGACGATGAGGAAATGACAGGGCGGGGATGAGGAGGAGGACCTAGCGCAGGGGAAGGAGAGGGCAGAAGACAGTGGGGGGTGGCAGTCTGGAGGACAAGGGAGAAGATTCCAGAAAGGCTGAGAGCCACAAGGTGGACAATCAGGAAAAGGTGGGGCTGGGTGGAAGCGTGTGGAGGACTGGAATATCGCCCAAGGGAGGAGCAGTGTGTGCAAGACCTAGAGAGGAGGAAACACTGAGGATCCAGCCGAAGAGAGGACACACAGGGACAGGGACAGCCTGTGTGTGTGTGTGTTATGGATAGGGGGAGGAGGAGGGGGGAGAGGAAAGAGGAGGAGGAGAAGGAAGAAGGAGGAAGAGGAAAGAGGAGGAAGGGGGAGGAGGAGGAAAGGGGGAGGAGGGGTGAGGAGGAGGAGGAAAGAGGAGGAGGAAAGAGGAAGGAGGAGGAGGGAGGAAGAAGAGGAAAGAGGGAGAGGAGGAGGAAAGGGGGAGGAGGGGTGAGGAGGAGGAGGGAGGAGGAAGAGGAAAGAGGGAAAGGAGGAGGAAGGAGGAGGGAGTAAGAGGAAGGAGGAAGAAGGAGAAGGAAAGATGAGGAAGGAGGAAAGAGGAGGAGGTGGAGTAAGAGGGAGGAGGAGGTTGCGGTGAGCTGAGATCGCTCCATTGCACTCCAGCCTGGGCGACAGAGCGAGTCCCCATCTCAAAAAAAAAAAAAAAAAAAAAAAAAGGGAATTTGGGGGCATGCAGAGACAGGAACAGAGTGGGAGCAGGGGTTGGGGGAGAGATTCAGAGAATGGGAGAGAGGAGAGGGCGAGAGAGACAGAGGAAGGGGGTCACAGAGGAGAGGTAGAAGGAGAATGGGGAGGGGCAAATCCTCTTTCCCGCCCGAGCCTCAGTTTCCTCATCTGCTCCCTCAGGTGGTGAGGAGTCCAGGGACCACCCGCCAAGTGTCTGCAGGGCAGGAAGGCCTGCGGAGGGGAGAGGGAGGTGGAGGAAGGAGGCTCAGGCTTGAATCCAGTGTGGTGACTGGCAGCAGAAGCGTCCCCTCCATGGGCACGGGCTGCCTCTCAGGCTCAGATTCTAGAGTGTTCCTTCCTAGAGTCCCTCCAGGCCTCCTTCAGCCTCCCCCACCCCACCCTGACCTGGGAGGGAGTAGCCATTGTCGTCCACATATTTTTCCAAGGGAGAAATCAGGCTGCAGCCCACATCCTCCTTCCTCCTCCTCTTTCCTGCAGCCCCGCACGGTGTAGCTGGCCACCCCTTCTAGGGCTGTGGCGGCTGAGGGGAAAGGAAGGGGCTAAAGAGAGTCGCCTTGGTACACAGTTGGCGCTCAATTGGTGCCCTTCCCCTTTCCTAGGGGAGAGCACAGAGAGTAGGAAGGCAGAGAGAGGAAGAGAAAGGGGGAATCGAGGGTGAGAAGGGGAGGCTGTATCTATAAAAAGCCTGGCACACAGTCGGTGCTCAATAACTGCCCAGGCCCTTCAGGACCACATGAAAAGGGAGAAGAAGAAAGTCCCGCAGAGCAAAAGCAGAAGGAGAGGCAGCCTAAAGAGAGGGACATAGAGCCAGGCACGGTGGCTCACGCCTGTAATCCCAGCACTTTGGGAGGCCTAGGCAGGTGGATTGCCTGAGCTCAGGAGTTCGAGACCAGCTTGGGCAACACGGTGAAACCCCGTCTCTACTAAAATACAAAAAATTAGCCGAGCATGTTGGTGGGTGCCTGTAATCCCAGCTACTCAGGAGGCTGAGACAGGAGAATCGCTTGAACCCGGGAGGCAGAGGTTGCAGTGAGCTCAGATTGCCCCCCTGCACTCCAGCCTGGGCGACAGAGCAAGACTCCATCTCAAAAAAAAAAAAAAAAAAAGAGAGAGAGGCACGGGTGGAAAGTGTGAAGCAGACCAGTAGGTGTTTGTTAAGTGTTATTTCTTTTCCCCAAGAGACAGGAGAAAGTAAAGGAGGAGTGAGGAGAGGAGGAAGAGGAGGAAGAGAAGGAGGAAGAGGAGGAGGAAGGAGAAGAGGAGGAAGAGAGGAGGAGGAGGAGGAGGAGGAGGAAACTCCAGCAGAGAGAATAGAAGAGACTGTTGTGTGGGAAGGAGACAATATATGTAAAGTGACTAATACACAGTGGGTGCCTAATAAATGCCCATTCTCCTCCCTGGCAGCAAGCACAGAGAAAGCAGCCAGGAGGAAGGGAGCAAGCGGAGAGAAGGAGAAAAGGAGAGAAGGGAGAACAGAGCCTGTGAGGCAAGCAGACAGTGTAGATGAAGCGGCAGCATACAGTAGGCACTCAATACATGCCTATTTCCTCCCTCAGGAAAGAGCTGGCAGGGCAGAGAGGAGGGGGAGAAGCTGGTGGAGAGAAGGAGGCAGGGAGAAGAGAGGAAATGAGAACAAGTACACTGGTGAGGTGGTGGGCACACAGGAGGCACTCAATAAATGCACATTGTCGTCCTTGGAGGAGCAAGAGAACAAGACAGAAATGAAGGCACAGACAGGAATGAGAGGAAAAGGTTGGCCCAGGAGGCCTCCGTGGGGGTGGAGGAGCAGAGGGAGGAGGGATCAGTGAGAGGAGTGTGGCAGAGGAGAGGATACGCAGGGAGGGGGCATTGCAGGTAAACCATGGGGCACACAGGAGGCACTCAATAAACACCTGTACCCTTCCCCAGAAAAGGACCCAGAGAACAGCAAGGGGATAAGCTGGCAGAGCAAGAGGGGCAGCGAGAAAGAGGTAGGAGATGAGGAGGGATGTTAATTGCCTGGCATACAGTAGGTGCCCCATAATTGCTTGTCTTTGTCCCCGAGAAAGAGCCGATGGGACAGAAAGAAGTTAGAGATAAGGGAAGAAGGCGAAGTGAAGGGTTAGGGGAGAATAAGAAAACTGTCTGGCACACAATAGGTACTCAATAAATGCCCATTTTCTTCCCTGGCACAGAGCAGAAAGAAGCAGAGACTGGTGGAGTCAGTGGAGACTGAAGGGCAAGAGGAGAGGAGAGAAAGGACATAATTGCTTGCATACCAGAAGTGCTCAATAAATGTAGTCCTTGCCTTGGAAGAGGGCAGAGAGCTCAGAAACACAAGGAAAGGACAGAAGAGGGACCGGGGAGGAAGAGAGTGAGGAGAGAGGTATGTAAGGTGTTTAGTACACAGTAAGTGCTCAAAATGTGTCCACTCCCTCTGCCAGGAGAGAGCAGAAAGTCAGAAAGGAGAGGACACCAATAGAGAGGAAAGAAAGGGGCCAGGCGCCGTGGCTCATGTCTGTAATCCTAGCACTTTGAGAGGCAGAGGTGGGAGGATCGCTTGAGCCCAAGAGTTCGAGACCAGCCTGGCCAACGTAGAGAGACCCTGTCTCTACAAAAAATACAAAAATTAGGCTGGGTGCGGTGGCTCATTCCTGTAATTCCAGCACTTTGGGAGCCAAGGTGGGTGGATCACCTGAGGTCAGGAGTTGAAGACCAGCCTGACCAACATGGTGAAACCCCGTCTCTACTAAAAATACTTAAAAATTATCCAGGCGTGGTGGCGGGTGCCTGTAATCCCAGCTACTCGGGAGGCTGAGGCAGGAGAATCGCTTGAACCCAGGAGGTGGAGGTTGCAATGAGCTGAGATCACGCCATTGCACTCCAGCCTGGGCGGCAAGAGCAAAACTCCATCTCAAATAATAATAATAATACAAAAATTAGCCAGGAATGGTGGTGTGTGGAGTTCCAGCTACTTGGGAGGCTGGGGTGGGAGGACTGCTTGAGCCCAGGAAGTCGAGGCTGCAGTGAGCTGCGATTGTGTGCGCTCCAACCTGAGCGACGGAGTGAGACCCTGTCCTAGAAAGAAAAAAAGAAAGAAAGGAATGGGGGTGGGGGGAGGAAAGAAGGTAGCGAGAGAGGAGCCATGTTCCTCAACTCCTCGGCGCATAGCAGATGCTCAGTAGATGCCCGTTTCCTTCCCAGGAGAGACCAAGCAAATCAGAAAGAGAAAGGAACTGGGGCAGAAGGGACAGGAAAGCAAGAAGGATGGAAAGTGCAGACGCGGTTAGGGGAATTGCCTGCCAAGCATCAGGTGCTTAATAATTGCCCGTTTCTTCCATGGAAGGAGCCAGAGGCACAGGAGGAACAAGTAGAGGGCGCCGAGGACGGCACACCCGAGGCGGGCACACCCGAGGCGGGCACACCCGAGGACGGCACACCCGTGGCGGGAGACGGAGTGTGTGAGGAGAGGCGAGGAGGCATTTTGGGTGCATACAGCAGGTACTCCATAAATGCCTGTCCCCTTCCCCAGGCAGAGCAGAGAAAGCAGGCTGGGAGTAGGTGGAGACCCCAGGAAGGGAGGCCAGGGGAGAAGGAGAGTCTGAGGGTGGAGGCCGTGGGCCAGGCCCGCAGGAGGTGCACCTTCCCCAACCCAGCAGCCGCTGTGGCCGACCCTCCTCCGTGGCCCAGCCCACAGGCCTCCCCAGCTGGCTGGCTCCTCCGGAGCCCTGACAAGGGCCCATTGTCCTGGGCCTGGCACCGCCTGGCCTGGCCTGGCCTGGAGGGGGAGGGGAGGCTGTCCAGCCCTGACCGGCTCTTGTCCCCTGTGTCTGTTTGTGTGTATTGGAGTGGGGGCGCTGTCTGGTCTGTCTGTCTCTGAGTCTCTCTGTGTCTCCCTGTCTCTCACGTGCTGTGTCTCTGTGACCTGCTGTCTCTCTCATTTCTGAGCTTACGGCCCCCATCTTGTCTCTGTCTCGCTCTGTCTCTCTCTGTCTCTTTCCGTGCCTGTCTCTGGTTCTCTCTCTGCATCCATCTCTGTCTCTGGGAGGGAGGAGCCCCCACCCCCAGCTCCAGAATTCCCACCCCCTATACCCAGGATCAGGGCTGGGGGGCCGAGCTGAGAGGCAGAGGAGTGAGGAAGGAAAGAAGGAGGCGCAGAAGGGAGAGAGGTGAGGACAGAAACAGCTTTATTCAGCAGGGACCGCAGAGGCCCCGGAGGGCTTCGTCCAGGGAGCTGGGGAGAGAGGAGGAGTCAGAGACAGGAGAGACAGACAGAGATGGAGAGAAATGGGGGGAGAGACAGAGACAGAAATGGGGGTAGAGACAGAGACAGAGAGAAATGGTGGGAGAGAGGCAGAGAGAAGTGGGGGACAGTCAGAGATAGAAATGGGGAAGAGACAGAGATAGAAGTGGGGGAGAGGCAGAGACAGAGAGAAGTAGAGGAGAGACAGAGATAGAAGTGGGGGAGAGACAGAGAGAAGTGGGGGAGAGACAGAGACAGAGAAATGGGGGAGAGACAGAGATAGAGGAAGTGGAGGAGAGACAGAGAGAAGTGGGGGAGAGACAGAGACAGAGAGAAATGGAGAGACAGAGATAGAAGTGGGGGAGACAGAGACAGAGAAGTGGGGGAGAGACAGAGAGAAGTGGGGGAGAGACAGAGATAGTGGGGGAGACAGAGACAGAGAAGTGGGGGAGAGAGAGATAGAAATGGGGGAGAGACAGAAGTGGGAGAGAGACAGAGATAGAAATGGGGAGAGACAGAGACAGAGAGAAGTGGGGGAGAGACAGAGATAGAAATGGGGGAGAGAGACAGAGAGAAGTGGGGGACAGACAGAGGCAGAGAAGTGGGGGAGAGTCAGAAATAGAAATGGGGGAGAGACAGATAGAAATGGGGAGAGACAGAGAGAAGTGGGGAGAGACAGAGAGAGAAATGGGGGAGAGACAGAGATAGAAGTGGGGGAGAAACAGAGACAGAGAGAAGTGGGGGAGAGAGAGACAGAGAAGTGGGGGAGAGTCAGAGATAGAAGTGGGGGAGAGACAGAGAAGTGGGGGAGAGGCAGAGAAAGAAGTGGAGGAGAGGCAGAGACAGAAGATGGGGAGAGACAGAGATAGAAGAAGACAGAGAGAAAGAGACACAGAGATACAAAGCCAGGGAGAGACAGAGAGATGGGGAGAAAAGGGAGAGTAAGAAAGAGAAACAGGGGGTGCTGAGGGAGACTGAGAGAAAGTTGGGGGGAGGAGACAGAGACACAGAAAAGAGGTGGGAGGAAGAGACAGATGAGACAGATGGAGAGACAGAGAGAAACAGACGAGAAGGAGGAGAGAGAGATGGAGAGAACGATAGGGAGAATGAGAGACAGAGACAGTGAGGAGAGGGAGATGAGGCAGGAGAGGAGATAAAGAGAACTGGGGAGAGGGACACAGAGAAAGACAGATGGGGAGAGAGACAGAGACAGGGAGAAAGAGAAGGAGAGAGAGACGGAGAGAGAGAGGAGAGAGGGAGACAGCGGGAAAGAGGGGGAGAGAGAGAGACGGAGAGAGGGAGACGGAGAGAGAGAGACAGAGGGAGAGAGAAAGAGGGAGAGAGAGAGTGGGAGAGAGAGACAGAGGGAGAGAGGGAGAGGGAGAGAGAAAGAGGGAGAGAGAGAGAGAGGGAGAGAGAGACAGAGGGAGAGACGGAGAAAGAGAGGGAGAGAGAGACGGAGAGAGAGAGACAGGGAGAGAGAGACAGAGGGAGACAGGGAGAGAGAGACACAGGGAGAGAGAGAGAGAGGGAGAGAGAGAGACGGAGAGGGAGAGACGGAGAGAGAGACAGAGGGAGAGAGAGACAGAGAGAGGGAGAGAGAAGGAGAGAGAGAGAGAGAGGGAGACAGAGACAGAGAGAGACAGAGGGAGAGAGGGAGAAAGAGAGAGAGGGAGAGAGAGAGACGGAGAGAGACAGAGGGAGAGAGGGAGAGAGAGAGACGGAGAGAGAGAGACGGAGAGAGGGAGAGAGAGAGACGGAGAGAGAGACAGAGGGAGACGGAGAGAGAGAGACGGAGAGAGGGAGAGAGAGACGGAGAGAGAGACAGAGGGAGACGGAGAGAGAGACAGGGAGAGAGAGAGACGGAGAGAGAGAGACAGAGGGAGAGAGGGAGACAGAGGGAGAGACAGGGAGAGAGAGAGACAGAGGGAGAGAGAGAGACAGGAAGAGAGAGACAGAGGGAGAGAGGGAGACAGAGGGAGAGACAGGGAGAGAGAGAGACAGAGGGAGAGAGAGAGACAGAGGGAGAGAGAGACAGGGAGAGAGAGACAGAGAGAGAGAGGGAGACAGAGACGGAGAGAGAGACAGAGGGAGAGAGGGAGAAAGAGAGGGAGAGAGAGACGGAGAGAGAGAGACAGAGGGAGACAGAGAGAGAGACAGAGGGAGAGAGAGAGAGAGGGAGAGAGAGACAGAGGGAGAGACGGAGAAAGAGAGGGAGAGAGAGACGGAGAGAGAGAGACAGGGAGAGAGAGACAGGGAGAGAGAGACAGAGGGAGACAGGGAGAGAGAGACACAGGGAGAGAGAGACAGAGGGAGAGAGAGAGACGGAGAGAGAGAGACGGAGAGAGAGACAGAGGGAGAGAGAGACAGAGAGAGGGAGAGAGAAGGAGAGAGAGAGAGAGGGAGAGAGAGACGGAGAGAGACAGAGGGAGAGAGGGAGAGAGAGAGACGGAGAGAGAGAGACGGAGAGAGGGAGAGAGAGAGACGGAGAGAGAGAGACAGAGGGAGACGGAGAGAGAGACGGAGAGAGAGAGATGGAGAGAGAGAGACAGAGGGAGAGACAGGGAGAGAGAGAGACAGAGGGAGAGAGGGTGACAGAGGGAGAGGGAGACAGAGGGAGAGAGAGACAGAGAGAGAGAGAGGGAGACAGAGACGGAGAGAGAGACAGAGGGAGAGAGGGAGAAAGAGAGAGAGAGATGGAGAGAGAGAGACAGAGGGAGACGGAGAGAGAGACAGAGGGAGAGAGAGAGACGGAGAGAGAGACAGGGAGAGAGAGAGACAGAGGGAGAGAGGGAGACAGAGGGAGAGAGAGACAGGGAGAGAGGGAGACGGAGAGAGAGAGGGAGAGAGAGACGGAGGGAGACAGCGAGAGAAGACGCGCGGAGCCTTGCGGCAGGAGGTCGAGGAAAGAACAGCCCCTCTCACCTGGCGTCGGTGGCAGCTGAACCCTGGGCCCGACTGTGCGATTTAAGGGGTGCCCTGGGGGTGAGACCGCCCCCCCACCCAACTGCCTTATCTGGCCAGACCCGGCTCTGTGAGCTAAATCGGGCAGCAGCTGTCACCACCAGGGGGTGTGGGACAGCTGTCCCCCTCCCCCCGCACCTGCCCTGCGCCTGCCTCTTGACCACAGCCCCTCCCTCTCCCTTTCTGCAGCCTGGGGGTGTGGAGAGGCCACTGGCATCTGTGCGGGGCGCCCCAGCCCCCTCAGCTCTGGGACAGGCCTGGCCGGGTGCCCTGGGGCAAGCGGTAGCCCTCTGAGTCCTGAGGCGCTCCCCTGGGAAGAGCAGTCCCAGCGGGTGGGGGCACAGGCGCTCTGCACTGTGAGGGGCAGACAGTAAGTGCTTAGTTGATGCAATGACCTGGTCTGTCCTGCCCGCTCTCACCTGCCAGAATATGGGGGTTGGGGCAGGAGGGAGTGGGAGCAGGAGGAGGTCAGCTGGCCCCTCTCCCCCCACCCCCAGCGCCCCCAGCTCCTCCTCCCGGGGCTCCTCACTCCGGACCTTATTTGGCCATAGCCCAGGACGCACCTGGGGGCCACAGCCCCGCCTGCCACTCAGGCCCAAGAATAGCAACACTCAGGCCCCCGCCAGTCTGTCTGGGACCTGCGATGGGACAGGCGACAGGCACAGGGTGGCAGGGAGGGGCCCAGGGGCACTGAGAGAAGGGGAGAGACACAGACAGAGGGGAGAGACAGCGAGCTGAGGAGAGACTGAGAGAGACCGTGGGAGAGACAGAGAGACAGGGTCAAAGAGACAGAGAGGGGTGGAGAGAAATGCCCAGCAAGAGAGATAGAGAAGGGAGGCTGAGACAGGCGAAGCGAGAGAGGGAGACACAGAGACAGAGGGGGTTAGCCAGGGGCCCGGGGCCAGACACCCAGATGGGGCAGAGAGCGAGACCCACACCAGCAGAGGCGTGGGGAGCCCGGTGGGCGGGCAGGAGGTGCAGGGATCTGGATGGGATGGGGCCAGAGCCGTTCGGGAGTCTGCAACCCCCAGCAGTTTCCCCTCCGGTGCTGTCTGGCTTTTAACTTTACGACCTGCCCTTTGACCTTGGGAAAACTTGCAAACCAGAACCTGCCACACCCTGGTCCATGCGCAGCCAGGGCTTTCATGAGTGTGTCCTGCGGGGCATCAGCTCCACCTTGCCAGGGGTGCATGGGCAGCTTGTGGGCTGCCTGGATGAACTGCCTGCCTGGGCGCATGGGCCTGTGGCTCCAGGAGGGGACACACCCCAAGCCAGGGACCCCTTGCCTCCCTGTGCCTGAGTCCCCCACTTCTGCAGGTGCCTAACGGGGATCCCCAGGTTCATCCAGGCCCCTGGACACCTTCCACTCATTCCTGCCTCCTCACCTCCCAGGGCCCACCAGCCTCAGACCCTCCTCTCTGTCGCCCTCAGGGGCCTAGCTCAAGCCCTGCCTCGCCCCTCCCAGCCTCCTCCCGGGCCTCCTGGCTTCTGGTTCCCCCTCCATTCTGTGCCTGCAGCCCCAGAGGGGTCTCTGCACCCAGAGCTGACCTGTCCTTCCCTTCTCGCAGCTCCCAGGCTGCCCTTGGAGGTCCCGCCTGGTTGGGTTCCTGGCCGGGACCCACCCTCCTCCTTCATCACCTCCTCAAATAACTCTGGCGATAAACAGCCGTGGCGTTCCAGGTCTCATCCGGGATGACTTCCAATTCTGGAGTGCCCTCCCGTGCCCCGCCAGCCTCTGCAGAGCCCTCCTCAGCCTTCCGTGGCCAGCCTTGTCTCTGGGCCATTTTATGCGACTTGCTTGTCCCGGGGTCCCTTCTCTGTTCTCTCGTCCCTGCAGTGCTCTGTGGGAACCCCATAAAAGCCCCCACTGCTGGGACAGAAACTCTTGGTGTCCCCTTGGGTCTCCCCACAGGGTGGGAGCTGGGAGGGTGGGCCGACACTTCCCGTCAGCACAGGCGTCCCTCCTCCGCTGTGGGGACCCTCGTGATGACCCGGGGCCCACCGGGGGATCCAGGACACTCTCCCTGTCCCAGTCCCACTCGCAACCTCACTCTCCCTTGGCCAAGTAACACAACATATTCACAGGCTCCAGGGATTAGGACAAGGCATCTTTTAACTGTATTTATTTTAATTAATTTTTTTTTTTGAAATGGAGTTTCACTCTTGTTGCTGAGGCTGGAGTTCAATGGCGCGATCTCAGTTCACTGCAACCTCCGCCTCCTGGGTTCAAGCGATTCTCCTGTCTCAGCCTCCCAGGTAGCTGGGATTACAGGTACCTGCCACCATGCCTGGCTAATTTTTTTTTTTTTTGAGACGGTGTCTCACTCTGTCACCCAGACTGGAGTGCAGTTGGTGCGATCTCGGCTCACTGCAACCTCCGCCTTGCAGGTTCAAGCAATTCTCCTGCCTCAGTCTCCTGAGTAGCTGGGATTACAGGCATGTGCCACCACACCTGGCTAATTTTTGTAATTTTAGTAGAGATGGGGTTTTCACCATGTTGGCCAGGATGGTCTCAATCTCTTTACCTTGTGATCCACCCACCTCAGCCTCCCAAAGTGCTAGGATTATAAGCGTGAGCCACTGCACCTGGCCTAATTTTTTGTTTGTTTGTTTGAGATGGAGCCTCACTCTGTCACCCAGGCTGGAGTGCAGTGGCACGATCTCCACTCACTGCAAGCTCCGCCTTCTGGATTCACGCCATTCTGCGTCAGCCTCCCCAGTAGCTGAGACTACAGGCGCCTGCCACCATGCCTGGCTAATTTTTTTGTATTTTTAGTAGAGACGGGGTTTCACCGTGTTAGCCAGGATGGTCTCAGTCTTCTGACCTCATGATCCGCCCGCCTCGGCCTCCCAAAGTGCTGAGATTACAGGCGTGAGCCACCGTGCCTGGTCTATTATATTTATTTTTATTTATTTTTTTGAGACAGGGTCTCACTCTGTCACCCAGGGTGGAGTGCAGTGATTCGATCATGGGTCACTACAGCCTCGACCTCCTGAGCTCAAGTGATCCTCCTGCTTTTGCCTCCCAAAGTGCTAGGGTTACAGGTGTGAGCCACCATGCCTGGGCTATTATATTTTGAGACAAAGTCTCTCTTACTCACGATCATGGCTAACTGCAGCCTTAACCTCCTGGGCTCAAGCAGTCCTTCTGCCTCAGCTTCCCAAGTAGCTGTGATTACAGGCGCAGGCCACCACGTCCCACTTATTTATTTATTTATGAGACAGAGTCTTCCTCTGTTGCCAAAGCTGGAGTGCAGTGGTGCAATCTCGGCTCACCAAAACCTCCACCTCCTGGGTTCAAGTGATTCTCCTGCTTCAGCCTCCCGAGCAGCTGGAATTACAGGCGTGCACCACCACACCTGGCTAATTTTTGTAATTTTAGTAGAGATGGGGTTTTCACCATGTTGGCCAGGCTGGTCTCGATCCCTTTACCTCGTGATCCACCCACCTCGGCCTCCCAAAGTACTGGGATTATAGGCGTGAGCCACGGCACCTGGCCTATTATTATTATTATTATTATTTTTGAGACGGAGTTTCACTCTGTCACCTAGGCTGGAGTGCAGTGGCACGATCTTGGTTCACTGCAAGCTCTGCCTTCTGGATTCACGCCATTCTCCTGCCTCAGCCTCCCCAGTAGCTGAAACTACAGGTGCCCACCACCACGCCCAGCGAATTTTTTTGTATTTTTAGTAGAGACGGGGTTTCACCATGTTAGCCAGGATGGTCTCAATCTCCTGACCTCGCGATCTGCCCGCCTTGGCCTCCCAAAGTGCTGGGATTACAGGCGTGAGCCACCGTGCCTGGTCTATTATATTTATTTTTATTTATTTTTTTGAGACAGGGTCTCACTCTGTCACCCAGGGTGGAGTGCAGTGATTCGATCATGGCTTACTACAGCCTCGACCTCCTGGCCTCAAGTGATCCTCCTGCCTCCACCCCCCAAGTAGCTGGGATCACAGGTGTGCACCACCATGCTTAGCTTATTTTAAAATTTTTTGTAGAGACGGGGTCTCACTATGTTGCCCAGGCTGGTTTCAAACTCCTGAGCTCAAGTGATACTCCTGCTTTTGCCTCCCAAAGTGCTAGGGTTACAGGTGTAAGCCACCATGCCTGGGCTATTATATTTTTGAGACAAGATCTCTCTTACTCACGATCATGGCTAACTGCAGCCTTAACCTCCTGGGCTCAAGCAATCCTCCTGCCTCAGCTTCCCAAGTAGCTGCGATTATAGGTGCTGGCCACCATGTCCCGCTTATTTATTTATGAGACAGAGTCTTCCTCTGTTGCCGAGGCTGAAGTGCAGTGGTGCGATCTTGGCTCACCAAAACCTCCATCTCCTGGGTTCAAGCGATTCTCCTGCCTCAGCCTCCTGAGTAGCTGGGATTACAGGCACCCGCCACTACAACCAGCTAATTTTTGTATTTTTAGTGGAGATGGGGTTTCACCATGTTGGCCAGGCTGGTCTTGAACTCTTTTTTTTTTTTTTTTTGAGACAGAGTCTCGCTCTGTTGCCCAGGCTGGAGTGCAGTGGCACAATGTTGGCTCACTGCAAGCTCTGCCTCCCGGATTCATGCCATTCTCCTGCCTCAGCCTCCCAAGTAGCTGGGACTACAGGTGCCCGCCACCATGCCTGGCTAATTTTTTTGTATTTTTAGTAGAGACGGGGTTTCACCGTGTTAGCCAGGATGGTCTCGATCTCCTGACCTCGTGATCTGCCTGCCTCAGCCTCCCAAAGTGTTGGGATTACAGCCATGAGCCACCGCGCCTGGCCAGTCTTGAACTCTTGACCTCGGGTGATCTACCCGCCTCGGCCTTCCAGAGTGCTGAGATTACAGGCGTGAGCCACCAGCCTCACATGCCACTTATTTTAATTTTTTTTTTTTTTAGAGACAGGGTCTTGCTATGTTGCCCAGGCTGGTCTCATACTTGTGGACCTCAGCCTCCCAAAGCACTGTGATTACAGGCATGAGGCACCACATCTGGCCAGGGTGTGGACATCTTTGGGGCCACTGTTCTGCCCGCCTGCCAATCAACGGAATAGAATCGAGAGTCAAGAAGTAAACTCAGGCATGGTGGCTCACACCTATAATCCCAGCACTTTGGGAAGCAGAGGCAGGCAGATTGCTTGAGGTCAGGAGTTCAAGACCAGCCTGGGCAACAAAGCGAGATCCCATCTCTACAAAAAAATTTAAAGAAAGTAGTCAGGTATGGTGGCATGCACCCGTGGTCCCAGCTACTTGGGAGGCTGAGGTGGGAGGGTCGCTTGAGCCCAGGAGTTCAAGGCTACAGTGAGCTGTGATTGACCCACTGCACTCCAGCCTGGGTGACAGAGTGAGACCCCTGTCTCAATCAATCAATCAAATAAAGAAGTAAACACCTGCTTTCTCCTTAGCAATGACCCCCGTGGAACCCAGGAGATCAAACTCATTTGTTTGCCACTGGTCTCTCTCCAGCACCGGAGGAGCGTGAGCCCCAGGGGGCACGGACTTGTGTTTTTTTCTGCTGTGTCACTGATGAGGAAACTGAGGCCCAGCAGTGAGAAACTGGCATGAGGTGGCAGAGAACCAGGAGGCCTCCTGGGCTCTCGGCCCCACACACCAGGGTGTCTGGCCTGTAAGGTAAGTGGGAGTCACTGAGTGGAAGGGGCCCCAGAAGGGTGGGGCCGTCAGACACAGGCCAGGCAGGCAGCAAATCAGCAGATTTATTGAGGCAGCAGCGGCAGTGGGGAGCAGGGGTGTGGGGAGGGGGCGGGGCCTCCCCAGGGTCCATGAAGTGCTGGCCTTTCCCAGGCATGCAGTGTGCGCAGCCGGAGGGGGATGCGCAGGGACTGCGCTGTGGGCGCCGATGGTCAGCCATGGTCAGTCTGTCCGCAGCCAGCTGCCCTTCTCCTCCACCTCCTTGGTCACTACCAGCAGCACCTCGCACAGGCCCTGGGCCAGCGCAGCCGCCAGGAAGGCCCTGGGTGGGAGAAATGGGGAGACTGAGGCTCGGCCAGCCTGGGCATTCCGTCTGGGGAGTGGGGTTTCAGGCCCCTGGTCTTGGAATCGCCTCTGTGGGGCTCACCTGACTCCGTCCTCATCCCCCAGGGCCTCGGGCGCCCGCAGCTTGGAGTCCAGGTTGTAGTAGACACCGTCCACCTGGCGCAGGGCCACCCAGTGCCGCCGGCGCAGCGGCAGTGACAGCAGCCCCAGCGACACGGGCGAGGGCAGGTTCAGGATCAGCCCCAGTACCTGGGGCAGGGCCAGCTGGGACAGGGGCCTGTGTGGGCAGGGAGGGGACACTGCCATCAGGGCCTGCTCCGCCCGCCGGTGAAATGTTGCTGAACATGTGGGGCCCAGGCTGGTGGTGGTGAGGGCCTCCTGAGCCCACCCAGAGGTGTTCCTTAATCAGCCACCCTGGTTCCCGACACTCATCCGTTCACCTGCCCACTCAAACCTCCCACCCATGCGGCCACCCAACCAGACCTCCCACCCACCCACCCACCGTCCACCCACCCACCCACCGTCCACCCAACTCACATCGGCCCTTCACCAACCACCATCACCCTGTCTGTCCAGCCACCCACCCACCAACTTACCAACTCCTCACACAGCCACCCAGGATCCATGCATGATCCGCCCACCCCACTGAGCCTCCCAGCCACCAGCCAACTTCCCAATGACGATTCACACACTCACCTCCCATCTATGCATTCACTTCCATCCCTCATATACACCCGCCCCACCTCCCCGTCAACCACCCAACCACCATCACCATCCAACTAGCCATCTACTGTTCACCACCCACCACCCACCCACCCACCCACACAGCCGGCCACCACCCAGCCAGCCATTCACCCAACAGTGGACTCGCCATGCCCCCAATCCTCACTCACTCTTGACCCCCCTGCCATTGGTCTACCCCTCATCCACCAGCCACATGCCCAGCCACTGGCCAGCCGGCCATCAAAACTTCCCATTCATCCACCCAACTCCCCAGCCTCCTGTCTGCTGCCCATTGCCCAGGAACACCCATCACTTCACTCCCCCTGACCCAACACATCCAACGGCCTACTCAGCATTCACCCAGTAACCATCATCCACCCAGCATCTCAGCCCATCGACCACCTGATCTCCCCCTTTCAACCCATCAGTGCCAGGCTTCCCACATTCATGCCAACCTCCCCCAGCCACATTCCCCTCCCTGCCCCCCAACAGGCTCACACTATAGGGTGCCCTCTGTGCCCGGCCCAGCACATGCTGTGCTGCTCTGGGGCCTACCTCCTCCTGTCCCACCACACGGCGGCCAGGCCCAGCCCCTGCAGAGCGGCCATGATCACATTGACATCATAGTTGCCGGTGCCCAGGAGGCTGCGATGAGGGTTCAGCCGGGAGTCTGGGGCCAACCTGGTAGTGGGGGTGGCCAGAGCTGAGGTGGGGACCCCTGGAAAGGCCTCCCCACAAAATGGGGGTCCCAGGGGCCACAAGTTGCCTCAGCCTTTGACTCTCCCCGCTTCAGACCCCACAACTCATCCACCCCCAAGTCCTGCCTCTCCTGCCCCAATTCTGCCCTGTCCCCAAGTCCTGTCTCTCCTGCCCTGACTCTGCCCTGTCCCCAAGTCCTGCCTCTCCTGCCCCGACTCTGCCCTGTCCCCAAGTCCTGCCTCTCCTGCCCCAACTCTGCCCTGTCCCCAAGTCCTGTCTCTCCTGCCCTGACTCTGCCCTGTCCCCAAGTCCTGTCTCTCCTGCCCTGACTCTGCCCTGTCCCCAAGGCCCCAGATGGGCTCTGTCTTCTCCCGCAGCCTCCAGCCTCCCTCCAGTCCATTCCCACACGGCCCTGGCCCTCTCCTGCTCTCAGCTCTCCCATGGCTCCCCAATGCCTTGGACAAAGTCCCTGTCCCTCCGCCAGTCCCTTCCTCTGTCCTTCAAGGCCCACCTCAGATGTCACGTCCTCTGAGAGGAGCCTCCTGACCTCCAGGCTGGATCGGGGCCCTGTCTGGGCTCCCCCAGTGAACTGAGCCACCTCAACGATGACAGCTGCCCGCATCACCCTGATTTAACACTGCTTGCTTCTCCCACGGGGTTGCCCTCACCCCTCCCCTGCTCACAGCCCACTCTGCTGCCTCATTTCCCCCAGGACAGAGTCCCACAAGGCCCTGCGTGGTCTGGCTCTGGTGGCCTCACCTCAGAGCCTCAGCACCCTCCTTCCTGGTCCCCTGTCCCCAGCCACATCCCCGGTGCCCACCGCCTCCCGCCCCACCCCCGCCAACCTTTCCTCCAGCTCTTCCCCTGCCTAGGAAGGCTCTTCCGCCTGTCACCACTTGTCTCTGGGCCCTGCCTCTGAACAGCTGCACCTCTGTTCCCTATCTGGACCCTGGGCAGGCAGGACATGGGAGGAAAACGCTCGTGTGTGTGTGTGTGTGTGTGTGTGTGTGTGTGTGTGTGTGTTTCCCTCACCACCCTTAGGCTGGCACTTGTGTCTGAGTCATCTCAGGGTCTCCAGCATGGCTTTTGTATGAAAGAGCTGATGGGTCCTTGTTGCGAATGATAGAGGAGATGACTAAATACCATAATAATCAGTCTGAGGGGCTGGGACTCTTAAGATGTCCGAGAGCCGGAGGAGGCTTGGAGCAAGAGGCAGGGGAGGCAGGGCCATCTCCAGGTGTAGAAAGACTCTCTAGGATCAAGTGGGGACTGAAGGCAGGGACAGACTGGAGGCCATGGGCAGGCTGGGCAGGAGAGGGTCAGGCCTGAGCTGGGGCCAGGGACATGGGGACAGAGAGGAGGGAGTGAGAGATGGTAAAGGAGTGATTTTTTTTTTTTTTTTTTTTGAGACAGTCTTGCTCTGTTGCCCGGCTCACTGAAACCTCTGTCTCCCAGCTTCAAGCAATTCTCCCACCTTAGCCTCCAGAGTAGCTGGGACTACAGACATGTGCCACCACGCCCAGCTAATTTTATTTTTTATTTATTTTTATTTTTTAGTAGAGACGGGGTTTCGCCCTGTTGGCCAGGCTGGTCTGGAATTCCTGACCTCAAGTGATCCACCCGCCTCAGCCTCCCAAAGTGTTGGGATTACAGGTGTGAGCCACTGCGCCCGGCCAAAGAGTGATGTTGGACATTGTGAATAGTGAAGAGGAACATTCCATGCTGGCAGAGAAGGAAGCCATGCCGGGCAGAAAGAAGTACCTGGAAGCCCAGAGGCCGCACAGAAGGGCTCACGGGAGTGGAGAGTCTGGTTTGAGGGGGGCCGTGAGGGCTGAAGATGCGGAGGCAGGCTCGGCCTCCGCTATGAGGAGGGCCCTGAGTAGGGCGGGGGCGTGTTTAGGATGGACTGGAGAGCTGTGACAGGGCCCAGATAAGAGATGCCTGAAGCTGGGTGAGCCTGTAATCCCAGCTACTGGGGAGGCTGAGGTGGGAGGATCACTTAAGCTCAGGAGTTCAAGACCAGCCAGACCTTGTCTCTAAAGAAAGAACCACTGGGCCGGGTGCAGTGGCTCACGCCTGTAATCCTAGCACTTTGGGAGGCCGAGGCGGGTGGATCACGAGGTCAGGAGATTGAGACCATCCCGGCTAACATGGTGAAACCCCGTCTCTACTAAAAATACAAAAAATTAGCCGGGCGTGGTGGCGGGTGCCTGTAGTCCCAGCTACTCGGGAGGCTGAGGCAGGAGAATGGCATGAACCCGGGAGGCCGAGCTCGCAGTGAGCGAGATCGCGCAACTGCACTCCAGCCTGGGCAACAGAGTGAGACTCAGTCTCAAAAAAAAAAAAAAAAGAAAGAACCACTGGATTGAGGTCTGGCTGGGGCTGAGGCCACAGGGACAGACAGGCACAGGAGGCAACATCTCCCCAGAGTCCCAGCGTCTAGCTTAGGCAAGTGAGCGCGGAGCAGAAGAAAGCCCCCAAGGCTCAGCGCCTGCCTGGCGGCGAGACCCAGGTGGGTCACTCCGCCAGAGCTCTGCTGCTCCAGGGGCTGGGGTGGGTGACGGTCACCTCTTGCAGATCTCATCGGCAGCCTCCTGGCTAAAGAGCTGCTGCTGCAGAACGTTGTTGAGGGCGTGGACAGCACACAGCTCCAGGCGCTGCCGTTCGTGGTACACGGTGGGTGGGCTCGGCTGTGCTCCCGGGGCCTGGGACATGCCGTCCTCGGCTCCTGCTGGGGGTTGGGAGGGGGAGAAGGTCCTCAGGGGCCCGGGATCTAGAGGTCCAGCCTCCCAGCAGGCCTTTGGGGCATCGCCATTGATTGAGCTGGGACTCGGAGCAGCCCAGGAAGACACTGGGCCCCTGACCCCGCTCCCTGGCAGTCTCCTGGCAGCACACGTCCCTCCATCCCTTATTCCTATTCCTACGAAAAACGCTGTCTCTTCTGCTCCCCTAGCAACAGAAAACCACCCTCACCAGGTCTCTAAGTAAAAGGGTCCCTATCATGGTCACCTAGCAACAGAGGAACCTGCCTCCCCGTCCCTAGGTAACCAGGGCGCTCTGTGGTTACCTAGCAACAAAGCCCCCTCCCCACCGCACTAGGTAACAAAGTCTGTCCTCCGAGCACCTAGCAATAGAGAATCCTCCTCCCCTGTCTCTAGGTGATAGGGTCCCCTCTGGTCTCCTAGCAACAGAAGACTCCCCTTCCCCGGTCATGTAGCAGCGAGGCTCTCTGCTCTTGTCACCTGGCAACGGGGCCCCCTCCCCAGTCACTAAGCAACAGGAGTTCCTCTTCCTATCACCCAGCAACCAGGCCCCCTCCCCGGACACCAAGGAATGGAGCCCTTCGCCGACCCGCACCCCAGCCACGGCGCTCGCCCTTTGCCTGGCAACGCCCCTCACCCCGCCTGCCTCTCCGCTCCACCGAGCCAGGGGTTTCCGCATCCCCTTCCTGGGCGGCGGCTCTGGGCTCCGAGTGCGGGGCGGGCAACACCGCGCTGACTGGGCAGGCGGGACGGACTACAGCTCCCGGTGATCCCCGCGCGCCGGACTACGACTCCCGTGGGGCCCCGCGGGACTCCTGCTCCACACGGAACGCCCGGGCCGCGTGGCCCTGAAGTCGGCCGTCGGGCCTAGGAAATGCCGCACTACAACTTCCGTCGGGCTCCGCGGCAGGTCCCGGAAGTGCGCCTCAGAGGCCCTTCTTTCGCATACGGCCGCGCCCACTACTGCTCAGAGATTCTAGGAAACTTAGTAGGTAGGCTCTCGCGATAGCTTCCTGGCGCCGCGCTCTCATGGGTGCTCGCCCCCGGCGATGGCGTCATGCGCGGTGCGCAGACGCAGCGTGACGTCACACAAGGGAAAGGGATCAGAGACGCCAGGCGGTGCGGGGGGAGGCAGCGGTGATCTTTACTGAGTCAGAAGGGAGACCCTGGGGAAGTGGGGCAGGGCAGGGGTGGGATGGTGGTGGTGAGAGGCCAGGCAGATGATCTTGTCTCGGGAGGGAGGAGGCTTCTCAGCAGAGATGGATCCCCGGCCTGGAGGGGAGCTGGCAGCAGGCTGCGGGGAGAGGGGAATGAGCGAATGAGACAGAGGAGAGATGAGGAGACAGACGCCTGGGGGAGGCAGTGGTGGGAGGAGGGGACAGGGCAGGGGGGCGGTGGAGGAAGACCCGGAGAGAGCGGGACAGAGCCCTGGGGGTGGACAGAGACAGAGAGAGTCTCGATCAGAGGCGGGCACAAATGGAGACATCTACAGTGCCAGGATTCAAAGTCATGGAGAGAGGTTAAGGAAATAAAGGTCAGAAAGAAAGAAAGGTCAACAAATACAGAACCAGAACTGCAGAACTAGTGAGAGCCCGGGACCCCCAAGCTCTGCAGAACACAGGAGCCCAGGGCCGGGGGAGAGGGGCCTGGCCGCACCCAGGAGGCTCTGCCAGAAGGCCGTGACGGTGGCGGAGCCGGTGACCGCGCCTGGCTCGGCAGGGTTCTCTCTGCGGGTGTGCACAGCAAAGCTTCGGCCCGTGGGGCCCCGGGGTCCGCTCAGCTCTACATCCACCACGTGCATGTCCGTGAGGCTGGGACAAGAGGGGCAGTCAGTCTGGAGAGCCTGGACTCAGCCCAACACCCTGCTTAGCTCTGCTCACCTGGTATCAGCCACGAGCACCCCAATCACCCCATCGAAGCCCAGGCTGGGGGCAGCCAGGGCAGCCGCCGCCATGGTGTTGGAATTTCGCGGGGCAAAGGGGCAGAGCCCACGGACAGGGCCTTCGTAGAGCACAGTGCAAGGCCCAGGGCTGTGGGCTGCAGCCAGGGGTCCCTCAAGCCGGAAGCCATCGGGGTGTGTGGCCATGGTGACACGAAGGCTCTGGAAGCAAGAGCCCGGGTTAGGGGGAGTGGGGTCTTTGCAGGCCTCCCCTGGTTCCTGGGGAGCCCAGCAGGCCTCACCCGGAGGCCCCCAGCTGCATCCAATCTCCTGATGTCCTCAGCGCCCCACAGGGCCCCTCGGGCCACAAACACGGCGTGGTCCCAGTGCTGTGAGGCCTCCAAGAGCTGCCGCTCTGTGGTCTGGTCACTTAGAGCTGAGGGGGACCCCACCTGGGGTGGATGAAGGAGGGGAGGGTTGAGGTCAGGGAAGGATATCCACTTCAGGGTGGGGTGAGACCAAGACAGAAGGGGCAGGGCTCTGCGTAAATGGTTGGGGTGGGGCTTACCAGGAGATTGGCATGGCGCAGGATTTGTGCCCCAGATTCATGGATTATTTTGGGATGGGCCACTTCCACAACCAGATCAGGGCGCCTGGGAGAGGGGAAAGAGGGCGGAGGGTCTTGGAGAGGTATTAGGCCTCTTCTCCCCAAGGTTCCCTCCGAGTCTACTGAGGGCTGCCCTTCTTCTCCCTGACCTGGGAGGCGAAATGAGATGAATGGGTTCGTCCTGTTTCACATTTGCTTGAACCAAGGCCCAGAGAGGGTCAGGGAACCCCTGAGATCACACAGTGGCTAAGAGAGCCAGGACAGGAGCTTCAGGGAGCTCCACTCTCCCATGGCAAGGTCACTGACCTTTCCCCAAGGGCAGCAAGGTTCTGGAGCTGCAGGGAAGGGGGCACGCTCCCTGCCATTCGTCCTGGGTCACGATTCCAGACAAAAACAAGTTCTAGGCCAAGTTCTGGTCCCTGAGCCAAGAGGCGGGAGACGAGGGACTGTCCTGGGGAGAGGGAAAGGAGAGGGCTAGAGATCCAGAGAGAGGGGGACAGAGACCCAGAGAGAGAGGAGGTGGGGACAGAGACCCAGAGAGAGAGGAGGTGGGGACAGACTCAGATTGCGGGGTAGGGAGACAGAGATGGGGGCAGGGCAGAGACACAGTGGGGTGGACAGAGGCCCAGAGAGAAGGGAGACAGAGACGGAGAGGACAGAGACCTGGGGTGGGGGTGCAGTGGGCAGACCCAGAGACACAGCCAGGGGCAGATAGAGAGAGAAAAAAGTGTTTGTGGAGGGCAGAGAGTCTTGGGAGCTTTAGGAAGGGGTTTGGGGAAGGAGGCCAAGGATGGTCAGGGACTCACCGAGGCGGCCATAGCCCACCACGCCCACCCTCCACGGGCCCCTGTCGGCCATGGCCCTGAGTGCGGTGTCTGGGGCCTGGCTCCCTGGGCTGCTCGCTGCCCGCTGCACAAGGCCTGGGCAGCCGCTGCTCTTTGGACATCTGACCCTTGAGCCTCTGGGCTCAGTCTTCCCCCTTCCCCGCAGGCCCAGCGTGGGGGCGTGGGCCTGCGGGAGTGGAGGCGGGAGAACCCTTCCCTGTGCTCTGTCCACTTTCCCGGGTCCAGCACAGTGAGCATGGTGACCGGGGGTTCTGGGAACCCTGCGTGCCCCCCTTTCCCCTGCAGCACACCCTCTTTCTCCCTGCTGATGTGGAAAGTTTCCTCTGCAGTCCCCTGCCCCCTCTCTGGCCGGCCAGGTTGTCATGGAAACTGCATCTTGCTTTGGGTTGGGAGAAGAGATGGTGACAGGGACTCTGGGCTCTGTCTGTCCCCTCGTGCTCACCTCTCCTCCTTGTCCTCAGGCGGCTAAGGTCTGAGGGAGGCTTCAGCCTGGCCGTGGCCCTAGCCCTCCCAGAGGCAGCGGGAGCCCTGGTTGTGGCTTCTCCTCAATGTGCCCTTGCCTCAGCGGGTCCAACCTCCCTAGCCCCGCTGCGCAGCACGGGTCCCCTTCCCACAGCCTCCGCCCCTGTCCACAGCCTCCCTCCGCTCTGATCATCCTTCAGTTCACCTTGACTTGCTACCTTTCACTCTGTCCCCCATCGTGCCACCAGCTGCCTCCAGTGTGACGTTCTCGCTCCCACGTCCGTCCCTCCCGTTCCCCAGCTCGCGTCAGCCCAGGAGAAGCCTTCGAGGCCTGGAGAGGCCAAGTGCCCCCAACATGAGCCCCAGCCTCTGTGCCTTGAGGGTGCCTGGCATCGGAAATGGCGCAGGCTGCGGCAGCGCAGGCTCCCTGCCCCCAGCCACCACCTGGTACCCGCTGCAGTGTTTCCATGGCAACCAGGATTGGCGCTGGAAGGAGGCTGGAGAGAAAGAGAGCGTGAACGGGAGCATGGGGTGGGGGGGGCGGGCACTGGGTGGCGAGAGCCCCAAGTTGACGGGAGGAGAGAGGAGACAGACGCGGGCAGACAGAGAGGGGCCAAGACCCCGACGTGGCACCCAAAGGCTGCCGCTGCTGATAAGGGAGGAATTGGCTTCCAGAGCCAGGAGCCCCCGGTGTGGGAGAGATGAGATGCCTGGGTGTAGACAGAGCCAGGAAGGGGGCAGGGGCCAGGCACCTCACGGAAGTGGGGGGCCTCCCGCCATCTCTACCTTCTGACTCCTGCTGGGGCCTGAGTGTCCCCATAGTGCCCATAGCTGCCGTGTACGGGGTACAGCCTGGGCCACTACGAGGGGAGAAGGGGGCTGGGCGCAGGCCTGTGTGTCCTCAGGGCTGTGTCCCCGAAGCCACCTCAGCGTGGGAAAGCACTGGAAGGCCCTGCATGGCTCCGTCCCTCCCTCTGCCTCCCCCAGCAGCGTGAGATGGCAGCCCTGGCCAGCCCCAGCCCTCCAGGGCCTGCAACTCGGGCACCTTGACCCCCCAAGAGACATCACCACCCCCTCCCCCAACCCACCCAACAGCTGCCCACTGTGCCAGCAACCCCCCAGCCAGGCCCGCTCAGGGTTTGCTCCCTGCCCTCCCAGGGCTCTGCTCCTGCCCTTCTGAGTGGCACTGTGGTGCCCCTGCCGCCCCAGGCCCACCCGATCCGGCCCTCCAGCCTCCCACTGAACCGGCCAGAAATACAGCTGCTGTGCCCCAGAGGCCGCAGGCCCAGCCTCCCGCTTGGCCTCCCTCCCCTTCGGCACCCCGTCCTCTGGAGCAGCCTTGAGGGGGTCTGCAGTGGAGAGACACACTCTGGATTGGGCCCTGTTGTGGGTTGAATTGTCACCCAGAAAGGGAAGCGCAGAAGTCCTGACCTCCAGGGCCTCAGAATGGGACCTTATTTGGGAATTGGGTTTTTGCCAAGGATGGAGCTGAGGTTATACTGGAGGTGGAGGCTCCTGGTCCAGTCTGACCTCTGTCCTTGTAAGAGGGGAGGTTAGGCAGGCTGCAGTGGCCCACACCTATAGTCCCGACACTTTGGGAGGCTGAGGCAGGTGGATCACTTGAGGTCAGAAGTTCGAGACCAGCCTGGCCAACATGGTGAAACCCCGTCTCTACTAAAAATACAAAAATTAGCTGGGTGTGGTGGTAGTCGCGTGTAATCCTAGCTACTCAGGGGGCTGAGGGAGGAGATTCGCTTGAACCTGGGAGGCAGAGGCTTCAGTGAGCTGAAATTGTGCCACTGCACTCCAGCCTGGACAACAGAGCAAGACTCTGTCTCAAAAACAAAGAAACAAACAAAGAAAACGGTCAGGCGCGGTGGCTCATGCCTGTAATCCGAGCACTTTGAGAGGCTGAGGTGAGTGGATCACCTGAGGTTAGGAGTTCGAAACCAGCCTGGCCAATGTGGTGAAACCCCATCTCTACTAAAAATACAAAAATTAGCCAGGCCTGGTGGCGCATGCCTGTGATCCCAGTTACTTGGGAGGCTGAGGCAGGAGAATCACTTGAAGCTGGGAAGCAGAGGTTGCAGTGAGCTGAGATCACACCATTGCACTCCAGCCTGGGCGACAAGAATAAAACTCCATCTCAATTAAAAAATAAATAAATAAAAGAGGGGGAGTTGGACACAGACGGACGCACACAGAGGGAAGAGATGAGAGGCTACAGGGGCAGGCACTGGAAGACTGGGGTGATGTGATACAGCCACCAGCCAGGACAGCCTGGGGACACCAGAAGCTGGCGAGGCAGGAAGCTCCCCTGAGGTATCCCCAGGTTTCAGAGAGAGCGTGGCCCTCCCTCCAGCCTCCAGAACTGTGGGACGATAGATTTCCTTTGTTATAAGTCTCCACCTGGGTTTGGGTGTGGTGTGGCGGTGCTGGGGGAGGAGTTTAGGAAGAAAGGGAATCAGACCTTCTCTGGGGTCTCCAGGGTGAAGGCTGAGGGGCCTAAGACCACCCGGAGGTGCCCCGTGCCCACCCTCCCGACGGAGCTGCGAGGCTGGCTCTCCAGCCTCTCCTTCCGCCCCCACCCACATTCACTTTGTTTTCTCTCCTCCGTGCTTTCATGACCAAAAAAAATATTTTTTTACTTTTTCCATGTTTTTTTTTTAAAGTAATTACAGAGCAGGTAGTCGTTGACGCAAACCTCCCTTCAGTATCAAAAGTGTCTGTGGGGCAGGTGGGGCTGGGGCGGGTGGAGGCTCCCCCCCGCGCCGACGACAGGGACCGCCGGCCGGGAGCAGAGCCGGGCGCTGGGACGGGAGCTCTGGCGACGTGTCCATCTCTTCAGTTTTGAGGGCGGAGGAGTGGGAGGGAGGGACGGGCGTCAAACTGCAAAAACTGAACCGTAAAAGGAAGGTGTTTGGGGCCGAGGGGAAAGGACACCCCTGGAGAAAGCTCCTCTCTCCCCTGGAAGGCGGCGGGCCCGGAACGCTTGGTGGGAGAGCGAGGAGGAAACGCGGAGAACTCAGGCCACTTCTCCTGGGTCCCACGTCCCCTCCCGTCACCGGGGATTGGCGGGGGTGAGGCGAGGATCCCAGAGACTCCGCTCCTGGAGCCCCACCCTGTCCTTACTGGGGGTCCGAGCCCCAGATGGGGCTGGAAGCCACCTCTCCCCAATTCCCTGCGTGGTCCCAGAAGGTGGGCTGGGCTGTGGGAGGGAGGGGTCCCGGTCAGGCTGCGCCCGGGCTGGGACCTGGGTGGGGGGCTCCACGCCCCTCGCCCGCCCGGCCCCGCCGCCTCAGATCTGCGTCTCTTGCACGTTCTCCTTGGAGCCGCTCTTGAAGAGCAGAGGTTCGTGGATGGAGTTGAGGCCAGGCGGGCCTTTGCCCCCGCAGCCCCCGCCGCTGGGGTTGCTGCTGTAGTGCGCCTTGAAGGCGGCAGCCACGTAGTGGTGGTGGTTGAGGTGGTCTCGCTCCAGGGCGGGCAGGGCCAGGTGGCTGTCCCCGCCCACACCACCCCCACTGGCCACGGCGGCCGCGGCGGCCACGGACACGGCCGAGGCGGCGGGCAGCTCGTCCTCCACGTTGATGATCTCCACGGTGCGCGTGGGCCCGTGGTGCTTGTGGAGCTGGTGCTGCTTGCGCAGCTTGTAGAAGGCCACGAGCATCACCGCGGCCATGAACGTGATGGCCACGAAGCAGCCGATGATGATTTTGGTGGTCTTCATGACGTCGTCCAGGTCCTTGAGGGCGTTCTCCGTCACATCCGTGATGGGCACCGTGAACGCCTTCTCCGTGGGCCGCGAGGAGCGCGGGGCGGGTGCCGTGGTAGAAGACGAGGCAGGGCCGGCCGCGTCCCCAGGCCGGCCCCCACCCCAGACACCGTCTGTCGTGGGCCCTGGCGGTTCCTTCTCCGTCCCCCGCGGCTGCAGGGCCTCCTCTCCGGGCTGCGTCTCCAGGGTCTCCACGGTCACCGTGGTGAAGTAGGTGTAGCCGCCACTGCCCCCTCCAACACCACCACTGCCCCCAGGGCCGCCCCCGCCGCTGCCGGTGCCCCCGGCCGCCACGGGGTCCACGGCCGAGACGTTGAGCGTGGCCGAGGCGGTGGTGTTGCCGGCTGAGTTCGTCACCATGCACGTGTACTGGCCCGTGTCCTGCACGGTGACGTTGGTGAAGTTAAGCGTGCCGTCATGCAGGACGGAGATGCGCACGCGGTAGGAGCCGTGGGTCATGAGGGTGCCGTTGGGCGTCAGCCAGTTGACGGAGGTCATGGAGGTGCCCGTGCGGCATTTGAGCTCGGCAGCCATGCCCTCGGTGACGTTGAGGTCCGTGGGCGGCTCCACGATGACGGGCGCATAGCAGGTGAAATGCGACTGGTCCAGCTCCCCAATGTAGCGCCCCTTGAGGCCGGCGGGCGCATGACAGCGGGCGCAGCACGTCGTGTTGCTGGGCACCGTCTCCTTGAGCCACCAGCTCAGCCAGAGCACGTCGCAGTTGCAATGCCAGGGGTTGTGGTTGAGGTGCACGCGCTCGAGGCGGTGCAGGGGCGTGAAGAGGTCGTGGGGCAGCGACATCAGGTTGTTGTGGGACAGGTTGAGCTCCTCCAGCGACTTGAGGTCGTCGAAGGCGTTGCGCTCGATGGTGGCTACCTGGGCGTGCATGAGCCACAGCTTGCGCAGGCTGGTGAGACCCTGGAAGGAGCCCGGGCGGATCAGGTCCAGCCGGTTGCCCGACAGCTCCAGCTCCTCCAGGCGCACCAGGGCCGTCAGGTTGGGGATGTCCTTGAGGTTGCACATGCCCAGGTTGAGGTAGCGCAGGTTGACCAGCCCCTCGAAGGCCGCCTCCGAGATGTATTCCAGCCGCTTGAGCTCGCCCAGGTCCAGGCGCCGCAGCGAGGGCACGCGGTTGAAGGCGTAGGAGGGGATGCTCTCGATGGGGTTGTTCCGCAGCCAGAGCTCCCGCAGCTTGGACAGGTACTCGAAGGCCTGCGTGGGCACCGTGGTCAGCCGGTTGTCAAAAAGCTCCAGCGTGTTGAGGCTGGGCAGCCCGTTGAAGGCGCCCACCTCGATCTTGCGCACCAGGTTCTTGCTCAGCTGCAGAATCTCCAGGTGCCGCAGGTGCTTGAACGTGTCCGTCCGGATCACCTGGGGAGAGGGAGACACGGATCAGTCACGGAGATACTGACGGGGACCGTGGGGGGATCACCAAGGTCCCGGGCGCAGGTGGGGCCGTGTGGCTGGATCTCCCGTGCTGTGCTGTGACGGTACGACCTATATTGCAACATGGTTTGATGAGTTTCTTATAAAGTTAAAACTGGAGTCAAGGCTGGGTGTGGTGGCTCACGCCTGTAATCTCAGCACTTTGGGAGGCCGAGGCAGGTGGATCACTTGAGGTCAGGAGTTTGAGACCAGCCTGGACAACATGGTGAAACCCTGTCTCTACTAAAAATACAAAAATTAGCCAGGTGTGGTGGTGCGTGTAATCCCAGCTACTCGGGAGGCTGAGGCACGAGAATCACTTGAACCCAGGAGGCGGAGTCTGCAGTGAGTCGAGATAGTGCCACTGCACTCCTGCCTGGGCAACAGAGCAAGACTCCATGTAGAAACAAACAAAAAAACTGGATTCAAGAATTTTGGGGGACCAAGCACAGGGGTGGCTCATGCCTGTAATCCCAGCACTTTGGGAGGCTGAGGTGGGCAGATCACTTGAACCCAGGAGATCAAGATCAGACTGGGCATCAGAACATAGACCCCATCTCTACAAAAATAAAATAAAATAAAATAAATTAGCCAGGCGTGGTGGCATGTGCCTGTTGTCCCAGCTACTAGGGAGGCTGAGGTGGGAGGATTGCGTGAGCCTGGAAAGTGAAGGCTGCAGTGAGCCCTGATCACGCCACTGCACTCCAGCCTGGGCAATGAAGTAATACCCTGTCAAAAAAAAAAAAAAAAAAAAAAAAAAAAAAAAAAAAAAAAAAAAGAAGAAAAGAAAAGAAAAATGAACAAACAAGAAAATGAAAAAAAGAGAAAAAAAGATAGTTACTTAGAAAGTTAAAACTGGAGTCAAGAATTTTGGGGACGGCCAGGCATGGTGGCTAATGCCTGTAATGCCAGCACTTTGGGAGGCTGCAGTGGGTGGATCACCTGAGGTCAGGAGTTCGAGACCAGCCTGGCCAACATGGTGAAACCCCGTCTCTACTAAAAATACAAAAATTAGCCAGGCGTGGTGGCACATGCCTGTAATCCCAGCTACTTGGGAGGCTGAGGCAGAAGAATCACTTGAACCTGGGAGGCAGAGGTTGCAGTGAACTGAGATTGTGTCACCACACTCCAGCCTGGGTGACAGAGTGAGACTCCGTCTCGAAAAAAAAAAAAAAGAATTTTGGGGGCCAGGCACAGTGGCTTATGCCTGTAATCCCAGCACTTTGGGAGGCCAAGGTGAGAGGATCACCTGAGCGCAGAAGCTTGAGACCAGTCTGGGCAACATTGGGAGACCCTGTCTCTACAAAAAGAATTTAAAAAGAAATATAAAACCAAGAATTTTGGGATTGAAGAGGAAAAAACTTTTGAAAAAAAAGTTAAAACTGGAGTGGCCATCCGACCCGGCTGTTCCATTCCTGGGTATTTCCTCAAGAGAAATGAAGGCAGATGTCCACGCAACGGCTTCTATGTGGGTGTTCACAGCATTTTTTTCTCAGGACTGCCTAAGCTGGAGACATCCCAAATGTTCCTCAGCAGGTGAATGGACAAACACTGCGAGGTGTGGCCGTGTAAAGGATGCTGCGGCTCAGCCATGAAAGGGACCTGGCTGCTGTGACCCCCTGGATGAATCTCTCAGCTCAGCCATGAAAGGGACCTGGCTACTGATGACCCTCTGGATGAATCTCTAGGGGGTTACACTGAGCAAAAGACGCCGAACACAAAGGAGCCGGTGCGGTGGATCCGTCCACACCATGCTCTGGGTGTTCTAAGTGTGCGTCTCTGCGTGTGTGGGCAGGTGAGGTATCTGGGGCAGACAGGGAAGGGCATGAGAGAGCTTTCTGGGGTGATTGAAAGGTGCTACATTGGCGTGGTGGTTACATGACGGAAAGCGACTGTTAGGACTCCCCAAACTACACTTAAAATGAGGATATTTTATTCCATGCCAGTGATACATTATTTTATTTTATTTTATTTTTGAGACAGAGTCTTGCTCTGTCACCCAGGCTGGAGTGCAGTTGCACAATCTCGGCTCACTGTAACCTCCGCCTTCCAGGTTCTAGCGATTCTCCTGCCTCAGTCTCCCAAGTAGCTGGGATTACAGGGTCGTGCCACCACGCCTGGCTAATTTTTGTATTTTTAGTAGAGATGGGGTTTCACCATGTTGGCCAGGCTGGTCTTGAACTCCTGACCTCGTGATCCACCCGCCTCAGCCTCCCAAAGTGCTGGGATTACAGGCGTGAGCCACCGTGCCCAGCCAATTTTGTATTTTTAGTAGAGACGGGGTTTCCCCATGTTGGCCAGACTGTTCTTGAACTCCCAATCTGAAGTGATCTGCCTGCCTTGGCCTCCCAAAGTGCTGGGAAATTACAGGCGTGAACCACCGTGCCCGGCCACTATACATAGTTTTAAAAATGAAAAAAATAAGGCTGGGCATGGTGGCTCACAGCAGTAATCCCAGCACTTTGGGAGGCCGAGGTGGGAGGATCACTTGAGCTCGGGAATTGAAGACAATCCTGGTCAACAAAGCAAGACCCCTGTCTCTACAGACAAATACGAAAATTAGCCCTGTGTGATGGCATGCACCTGTGGTCCCAGCTACTCAGAAGGCTAAGATGGGAGGATCGCCTGAGCCCAGGAGGCCAAGGCTGCAGTGAACTGTGATCGTGCCACTGAGCTCCAGCCTGCGTGACAGAGGGAGATCCCGTCCCCAAAATAAATAAATAAATATACAAAATGAAAATAGTAATACCAGCAACTAAGACACATTGAACACATCTTTGGTGCCAGACACTGTTCTAAACATTTTGTGGGTAATAACTCTTTTAATCCTCCAAACTGCCCTGTGAGATGGGCACTATTACCAGTCCTTATTCGATACCTGCAATTCCAAAATTCTTAAGGCCCTAACAATCAGATTTTTCCAAACTTTGACACCAAATCCCACTTGGTGGCAAAACCCGATCAGAACTCATGTGAAGCTATTTTATTTATTATTTATTTATTTATTTATTTATTTATTTATTTTGAGATGGAGTCTCGCTCTGTCGCCCAGCCTGGAGTGCAGAGGCGTGATCTCGGCTCACTGCAACCTCTGCCTGCCGGGTTCAAGTGATTCTCCTGCCTCAGCCTCACAAGTAGCTGGGATTACAGGCACGCATCAACACGCTTGGCTAATTTTTTGTATTTTTAGTAGAGACAGGGTTTTGCCATGTTGGCCAGGCTGGTCTCGAACTCCTGGCCTCAGGTGATCCACCCGCCTTGGCCTTCCAAAGTGCTGGGATTACCGGCGTGAGCCACCTCACCCAGCCACATGAAAGTAAAGCTTTTATTGATCCCACTCGTGACTATCCAAACATTTCATTCTAGAAATTCCCATGTTTCAAGACCACTAAGATATTATAAAACCTATACTATCTATTACTATGTTTCTAATATCGGAATGTCAAAACGCATCAGACCTCAAGAGTTTCACACGAAGGATGATGAATTAGGCCCAGGGAGGTGCAGTGACTTGCCCAAGGTCACACAGAAGTGGACAGCAGAGTTGGGACTGGATCCAGGCCCTCTGGTTCCAGAGTCCTGGCTCTTGACCTCTGACCCTGGCTGCCGCCTCTCAGGGCTGGAGCTGGGGTCCACGGGAGGGGCAGTGCTGGGTCAGAGCACGGGAGGCAGGAGCTCACAGGGTCCTCACTACTGATGACCACGCCGGGTGCACTGAGGCCCAGAAGGCCACACAGCCATTGGATCATATCTGCAAAGCCCAGATAGTGGTGTGTGCCAGGGAGAAGGGGACGGACACTGGGGGAATGCGGTGTTACAGTATTAACGGAGGAAACTGAGAACCTCAGATGCATCCTGTGTCATCACAAAGAAGCTGAAGAATTAGGTATCAGAGTATATGCACCAAAAGAAAAAAGAGAAAAAGAGGCCGGGCGTGGTGGCTCACACCTGTAATCCCAGCACTTAGGTAGGCCGAGGCGGGCAGATCAGTTGAGGTTGGGAGTTTGAGACCAGCCTGGCCAACATGATAAAACTCCGTCTCTGCTAAAAATACAAAAATTAGCCGGGGGTGGTGGGGGGTGCCTGTAATCCCAGTTACTCGGGAGACTGAGGCAAGAGGGAGGCGGAGGTTGCAGTGAGCCGAGATCGCGCCACTGCACTCTGGCCTGGGCAACACAGTGAGACTCCATCTTAAAAACAAAAAAGAGGCCGGGCATGGTGGCTCATGCCTGTAATCCTAGCACTCTGAGAGGCCAAGGCAGGTGGATCACCTGGGTCAGGATTTCGAGACCAGCTTGGCCAACATGGCGAAACCCCATCTCTACTAAAAATACAAAAAATTAGTCAGGCATGGTGGCAGGTGCCTGTAATCCCAGCTACTTGGGAGGCTGAGGCAGGAGAATCTCTTGAACCCGGGAGGCGGAGGTTGCAGTGAGCCAAGATCGCCCAGTTGCACTCCAGCCTGGGTGACAGAGTGAGACTCTGTCTAAAAAAAAAAAAAAACTGGAAGGACATACTCCAAGCTTTTCTTAGTAGTGAACTTTATCTGTTGGGAATTATGGACAATTTTTATTCTTGTGTGATATTTTTTCCTCAATGAGGAAAAATTACTTTTACAGTAAGCAGGAATAAAAACAAAACCAAACCCAGATATACCTGAGAGGCAAACAGCGTAAGAAATGGTAGAATCTGTGGCATAGGCAGAATCATAAAATAATAATAATGTATGTCGGTGCTGTCCAATAGAAATAGAATGTGAACACGTGTGTAATGTTTGTTTGGTTGTTTTGTTTTAAGACAGAGTCTTGCTGTGTCACCCAGGCTGGAGTGCAGTGGCGCAGTCTCGGCTCACTGCAGCCTTGACCGTCTGGGCTCAAGTGATCTGCTCGCCTCAGCCTCCTGAGTAGCTGGGACTACAGGCACGTGCCAGCACACCTGGCTAATTTTATTTTATTTTAATTTTTTGTAGAGATGGGGTCTCCCTATGTTGCCCAGGCTGGTCTCAAACTCCTGGCCTCAAGCGATCCTCCCGTCTCAGCCTCCCAAAGTGCTGGGATTATAGGTGTGAGCCACCACACCCAGCCCACATGTGTAATTTTAAATTTCCTAGAAGCCACATTGAAATAATAATAAAGAAAAAACCAAACAGGTGAAATCAACTTTACTAATATATTTATTTAGCTCAACAGGTCCAAAATACTCTCATTTGAACCTGTCATCAGATGCAAACTTGCGATTGAGCCATTTTACACTCTTTATGGTGGAGCTTCGAAATCCAAGGAAACCCAACATGTGTTTTACACCCAGGGCGTCCAGGGCACCTCTCAGTAGCAACGCATGCAGTCCCCGAGCCCAGCCAGCAGCCCCGATGCTGGCGGCTGCCCTGTGAGATGCTGCGGGTTTACTCGGTGCCCAGGGACGCTCTGTGGACACAGTCACCTTTTGTCCATCCAGCAGCCCTAAGAACAAGGACTGTGATCGCCCCGTTTTAGAAAGGAGGAAACAGGAGCCTAAAGAAGTGGCTTGCTCCATGGCAGAGCTGGGCAGGGCTGGCCGGAGCCTGCGCCCCTCCCCGTCTCGCTCGGCCACCTCACACCCACCCATCGCCGTTCCCCGTGGACAGACACGGAAACAGAGGTCACGGGTGTAGTGTGAAGAGCAGAGCCCTGTTCAAATCCCGCCTCCCCCGTCCTGGTTGTAGGGCCTGTCACTTGAGCTCTCTGTACCTCTGGGCTCACTCTTACCACGAGGAGGATGATGAAAAGCACTTCAGAGGGTGAGGGAGAGGAGATGAGGTCCCAGTGTTCAGGGGTGCTCAGCACGTCGTCATTCTCATTGTTATCGTTATCGTTGGCGTTGAGAAACTTGTACCATGCCCTTGGGATTACAGCCCTGAGCCGTCCACTGAAAGGCGGCTCTTAGGGCCAAGAACCGTACTTTTTTTTTTTTTTTTGAGAGGGAGTTTTGCTCTTGTTGCCTAGGCTGGAGTGCAATGGCGTAATCTTGGCTCACTGCAACCTCCACCTCCCGGGTTCAAGTGATTCTCCTGCCTCAGCCTCCCAAGTAGCTAGGATTACAGGCGTCCTCCACCACACCCGGCTAATTTTTGTATTTTTTTTTTTTTTTTTTAGTAGAGACGAGGGTTTTATCATGTTGGCCAGGCTGGTCTTGAACTCCTGACCTCAGGTGATCTGCCCAACTCGGCCTCCCAAAGTGCCGGGATTACACACGTGAGCCACCCTCCCCGGCAAGAACTGTCTGACTGCATCCTTTCCCGCAGAAAATCAGGGCCGCCCCCATCCTGGCCCCCTGTCCTCCGACTCCCTGTTCCAGCCTCTCCTCTCCATGCCAATGGCCCCAGCTGCACCTCAGCCCTCTGCCTCTCCCACCAGGCCCTAGAAAGGTCTGTTTAGGCAGGGCGCATGCCTGTAATCCCAGCTATTTGGGAGGCTGAGGCGGCAGAATCGTTTGAACCCAGGAGGCGAGGTTGCGGTGAGCCGAGATAACGCCATTGTACTCCAGCCTGGGTAACAAGAGAGAAACTCAGTCTCAAAAATAAAATAAAATAGAAGTCTGTTTATACCCACAGATCCCCTGTCCCTCCCCTGGGCCCTTCACAATCCTCCCAGGACTGCCCGTCAGTCCCAGCATAAGACTCTCCCATGCCCCGCTGTGCTGCCACCAAGGCGACAATGACAGTGAGAGCCCATAAGACACAGTCTCTGCCCTGGAGCAGCTCATCCGCCTGGCACCACCTTCTCCTTCCTCCTCTACTTGTTTCCCCCACCTCCTGTTCTGGCAAGTCCCTGAGCCCAGCAGACACACTCTTGCCTCTGGCCTTTGCACCTTTCCTGCTTTTTTCCTGGATACCTCCCTGCATCTGTCCTTCAACACCTAGTTCCAGGGTCACTTACACAGGAGGATGTCCTGGTCCCGTCTCCCCACCCCAGTCTGGTCAGGGATCCCCGGGGCTGGGTTCCCTGGAGCCCAGAGTCCAGGTGCCTCCAGGGAGGGCAGGGACTGGGTCCCAACCACAGGGCGTCTTGCGCAATGAAGGACTCCACCGCCTCAGAGTGAAAAGGATAGACGAAGGATAGGCGCAGTGGCTTACGCCTGTAATCCCAGCACTTTGGGAGGCCGAGGCAGGCAGATGACTTGAGGTCAGGAGTTCCAGACTAGCCTAGGCAATAAGGTGAAACCGTGTTTCTAAAATTAAAAAAATTGTTAAAAAGTAATATATACTCATTTAGGAAAAAATGTATGAGAAGAAAATAAAAATTGGCCAAAATACATCTACCCAGAGCTAATTTATGTTAATCATTTGGCACATCCTTCCAATTTTTTCTATGCATATTATGCAGGGATATATTTTTTCATTATCTTTTACTTTTTTTTTTTTTTTGAGATAGAGTCTCACTCTGTTGCCCAGGATGGAGTGCAGTGGCACAATCTTGGCTTACTACAACCTCTGGCTCCCGGGTTCATGCAATTCTCTTGCCTCAGCCTCATGAGTAGCTGGGATTACAGGCACACGCCACTACGCCCGGCTAATTTTTGTATTTTTGTATTTTTTTTTTTTTTGAGACAGAGTCTCGCTCTGTCACCCAGGCTGGAGTGCAGTGGCACAATCCCGGCTTACTGCAAGCTCCGCCTCCTGGGTTCACGCCATTCTCCTGCCTCAGCCTCCCGAGTAGCTGGGACTACAGGCACCCGCCACCACTCCCAGCTAATTTTCTGCATTTTTAGTAGAGATGGGGTTTCACTGTGTTAGCCAGGACGGTCTCGATCTCCTGACCTCGTGATCTGCCCGCCTCAGCCTCCCAAAGTGCTGGGATTACAGGCATGAGCCACCACGCCCGGCTGTTTTCTTTCTTTTTTCTTTTTTTTTTTTTTTTTTTAGTAGAGAGGGGGTTTCACCATGTTGGCCAGGTGGTCTCGAATTTCTGACCTCAAATGATCCACCCGCCTCAGTGTCCCAAAGTGCTGGGATTACAGGCATGAGCCATTCATTGTGGCTTGCTTTTTTACAAAATTTTGATGATACAATATACTTGCCTGGGTCCTGCATTTCCCCTTAATAACATTGTGAGTATTTTCTTACATCATGAATAGTGCTTCAAAGACATGATATGAACGGCCCTCTAGAGTACTGGCCCACGGCTATACCTACGTATGGACATTGATCTGTAATTGACAGGGTGATCTTTCCTTTTCTTTCTCCTTTCTCTCTGTCTCTTTCCCTCCCTCCCTCCCTCCCTCTTTCTCTCTTTCTTTTCTTTTTTTCTTTTTTTTTTTTGAGTCTCGCTCTGTTGCCCAGGCTGGAGTGCGGTGGCACGATCTCAGCTCACTGCAAGCTCCGCCTTCTGGGTTCAAATGATTTTCCTGCCTCAGCCTCTGGAGTAGCTGGGACTACAGGCACGCACCACCACACCCGGCTAATTTTTTGTATTTTTAGTAGAGACGGGGTTTCACCGTGTTAGCCAGGATGGTCTCGATCTCCTGACCTCGTGATCTGCCTGCCTCGGCCTCCCAAAGTGCTGGGATTACAGGCGTGAGCCACCGTGCCTGGCCCTCTCTCTCTCTCTTTCTTTCTGACAGGGTCTCCCTCTGTCACTCTGGCTGAAGTGCAGTGCTGTGATCATAACTCACTGCAGCCTCAACCTCCTGGGTCCCAGTGATTCTCCCACCTCAGCCTCCCAAGTAGCTGGGACTAAAGGCACACACCACCATGCCTTGCTAAGTTTAAAATTTTGTAGAGATGGGGTCTTGCTGTGTTGCCCAGCCTGGTCTCAAACTCCTGGCCTTGAGCAATCCTCTTGCCTCAGCCTCCCAAAGTGCCGGGATTACAGGTGTGAGTCACTATGTCTGTGCTTGATTTCTTCTTTCTTTTTTTTAGATGGAATTTCACTCTGTCGCCCAGGCTGGACTGCAGTGGTGCGATCTCAGCTCACTGCAACCTCTGCCTTCTGGGTTTAAGCAATTCTCCTGCCTCAGCCTCCCGAGAAGCTGGGATTACAGGTGTGCACCACCACGCCCAGCTAATTTTTGTATTTTTAGTAGAGACAGCATTTCGCCATGCTAGCCAGGTTGGTCTTGAACTCCTGACCTCAAGTGATCTACTCGCCTTGCCCTCCCAAAGTGCTGCGATGACGGGCGTGAGCCACTGCGCCCGGCCGATTTTTTTCTTAATAGGCTTCTGCCTTGTCTAACTTCCCAGAGTGAACATGGCTAGCTTTCAGAACTGAATGAGACCTCCGTGAATGCTATTTCACAGGCAGGAGGGTGTGAATGTATTTGCAGGGAGCTGGTGGGGGCTCAGCCTGCAGGACACAGCCTGAGGATGGGCTCGGGCAGGCCTTGTGGGGCAGGGAGAATGGCGGAGTACAGCAGGAATGCCTCTGCAGGTGCGGGTCCTGAGGGTCATTTGGGTCCCAAGCCGGCCTGGGGTCTCTGCACCCAGCCGGAGATGCGACTGTGCCTGGGCATGAGGCTGGGGGCTGTGGGCATCGCCTGTCCAGGGCAGGAGAAGCAGGGGCTTGAGAATGTCTCTGGCCTGACTGGGCTAGAGCTCTAAAACTCCCCCCTCTGCCAGGGGACCCCCCCAGAGCTTGCATTTCTTCCTCAGAGAGAGTATCTGGGGAAGAACCCAACCTGGAGCTTCTCAGAGCCGGTTCTCAGAGCTCATTTCCCGGGACGCTAAACACCAACAGCAAAAAAACACTCTCTCATATCAATGCGTTAGGAGCCTGCACACTCCCTCCCCGAGACTCCAGTGCACCTGGCGTGTTGAAGCTCCGTGAAGCCCAGTGGGAGACAGCGGCTTTGTTTTGCTCAACTCTAGTTTTCCCAAACATAATACACATGGGGCCCTTCTCACCAAACGCAGCTTATCACCTCCCTGGGAAATGCTGGTGATTGATAAAGCAGGCACTCGGTTGCTATTTCTATTAATAATAATAACATCAATAATAGTAACAGGAGGAGGAGGTCCCGGTCATCACTGATCGCTAGGCAGAGAATGAGGTGGACTTTAAAAGAAAGCCTGGACCAAGAGGCCGGACACGGTGGCTCATGCCTGTAATCCCAGCACTTTGGGAGGCCGAGGCGGGTGGATCACTTGAGGTCAGGAGTTCAAGACTAGCCTGGCCAATGTGGTGAAACCCCGTCTCTACTGAAAACACAAAAATTAGCTGGGCGTGATGATGCACGCCTGTAATCCCAGCTACTCAGGAGCCTGAGGCAGAATTGCATGAACTTGGGAGGAGGAGGTTGCAGTGAGCTGAGACTGCCACTGCGCTCCAGCCTGGGCAACAGAGTGAGAATCGTCTCGATAATAATAATAATAAATACAGAAAGAACAAAGGTATTGCTGGTCCATGTGCTGTCAAGAGCCCCCTGGAACTTTCCCCCTCTCTGGGTTACACTGAGATGGCCTGGGGCCCCCTTCATTCCCAGCAAACACTCTGTGCCCCACCCTCCCCTCCCTCCCTTCAGGGTCCCTTTTCTCAGTGGGCCCCCCCTAGCTCATCCTCCCCGTCCAAAGCGGGGCTGCGGCCTTGCCCGTGGGTCGTGGGTCGGCCAGCAGGGCCAGGTGGCTTCATGCCTTTTAATGCCTTGCAGCGCACTCCCCCATTTCCTCTCCATCCCCACAGCCCAGCCCCGCCTCATCCTCTCTCCCTGGGCCCGCCGCAGCCTCCTGCCTGGGCTTCAGTCTCTCCCCTCCAGTCCATCTCTGGGGTCCTGCTATGCCAGAGCTGACCCTGCCTCTGCCCTCCTCTAGACGCCTCCGGGGCTCCCCAGTGCCCTCGGGAAGTTCAGCCTGTATTGGAAGCCCTGCCTGGGCATCTGCCTTTCTCCCCATTCCCCTCTGCATGGCCCCTCACTCGCAGCCCTCACTCGGATACACGTTAGCCAGGATCAGTCCTTGGACCCTCTCGCCGGGCACTCCACCTTTGCACATGCTGTTCCCTCTGCTCAGGACGCCCTTCCCTTTCATCCACCGGGAAAGCTCCTGCTCACCCTCTTGAACCCAGCCCAAAGGTCTCCACTCATTCCCCCATTGCTTATTGATTGAATGGAGATACAGCAGGCCTGCAGGTGCAGAGGTGGAGAGGGGCCGTTGTCTGTGAAAGGACCTCACAACGTCAGCCTTGCGAGCTGCTCTGAAGGCTTGAGGTGAGACTCACTCCGCTCAGGGCTTGGCACCTGGAGGCGTGTGCTGGGCACAGGCGATGATGCCTTGCAGGGCACGTGTTGCTAGGCTCCTTTTTTGTTTTTTTTTTTTGAGATGGAGTTTCGCTGTTTTCACCCAGGCTGGAGGGCAGTGGCGCCATCTTGGCTCACTGCAACCTCCGTCTCCCAGGTTCAAGTGATTCTCCTGCCTCAGCCTCCCAAGTAGCTGGGACTACAGGCATGTGCCACCATGCACGATTAATTTTTTGTATTTTTAGTAGAAACCTGGGGGGGGGGGGTCTCTCTATGTTGGTCAGGCTGGTCTCGAACTCCCGACCTCAGGTGATCCACCTGCCTTGGCCTCTCAAAGTGCTGGGATTACAGGCGTGAGCCACCGTGCCCAGCCTAGGCTCACTTTTCAGAGAAAGAAGATGGCTCAGCGAGGCCACATGACCAGGAAGTGGCACAGCCAGGGTTTGAGCCCTGGGCCTCAGCCCCCTCCATGCCCACCTCCTGCCTGCAGCTCCCGGAGCCTCTGCGGCACCCCAGGCTCCTGCTGACTCCCCCGGCAGCCCTGGAGGTGAGCATCACACGTCATTTCAGAGACAGGAGACCAAGGCTCGGTGAAGTCAAGTGACTCAGCAGGGCTGCCGGTCCCGGGGAGCGTGCACCTGGGGCTCCAGCCCACAGTGTTTTCCAAGTCTCCTTGGTGCCTCTGGACAGAGGACCGTGACAACAGCGTGGCCACAGGCGGACAGCCTGAGGCTGCTCGGCGCTCAGCACGCAGTGACCCAGCTGCAGAGGGAAGGGGGTGTGAAGGGAGATGAAGGGACACTCCCAAAGGGAGGGGGTGGGGTCCCCCCGCCAATCACTTTAATAATGCAGTTGAGAACTGAGTGGAATGGGGGTGTTGCTGCAAAGGGAAGCCTGGTTTTGTTGAAACATGTGGCATAGGGCTGCTTTAAATAGGGAGTCTCTTTATTTTGAACAGAATTCCAGTCTATTCTGTCTCCTCTTCTCTGCAGAATGCCTGCTGAGCAGCCTCGTGGGGGATGGTTGAGGCTGGGTTTGAATCCTGGCTTTGCTGCTGACCAGCCTGAACTCCCTGGTGGCCTCGGGCAAGTGTCCTCACCTCTCTGAGCCCACTTTCCTCCCAGGTAGCATGGGGTTACTGTGATGCTTGGACAAGACAGTGAGCGCTTGGGATGAGACAATGAATGTGTGGGACATGGCGAGCATGCAGTAATAGATATTTTTTCATTGTTAATTCAGTTGATAATGATCATTAACACTGGTCCTGGCCAGCCACAGTGGCTCACGCCAGTAATCCCAGCACTTTGGGAGGCCAAGGCGGGAGGATTGCTTGAGCTCAGGAGTTCGAGACCAGCCTGTCCAACATGGTGAAACCTCGTCTCTACTAAAACAACAACAACACCCACCAAAATTTACCCTGGCGTGGTGGCACACTCCTGTAGTCCCAGCTACTTGGGAGGCTGAGGCAGGAGAATCGCTTGAACCCGGGAGGCGGAGGTTGCAGTGAGCTGAAATTGCACCACTGCACTCCAGCCTGGGTGACAGTGAGACTCTGTCTCAACAAAAACAAAAACAAAAACAAAAACAAAAAAACAAAACACTGGTCCTGTCTCTGGGCTTCCAGTTTCTCCCTCAGCATCTTTCCTCTACACTGGCTGTCAGAATGACCGGAAATGCAGTTCAGACCTTGCCACATCCCCACTCCCAGCCTCCCATGGCTATCACCCTCGACAAAGTGTCAGAGGCCCTTCAGAACCTGCCCTGCTGCCCTCTCCTTGACTCTAGCCATAGTAGGGAGAAGAGAGATGCATGGGGTTCCCTCTGCTTGCCACACTCTGTCCAGCCTCTCTGCCTTTGCACAGGCTCTGCCCCTTTTCTATACTGTCCTCCTCCTTGTTCTCTGGAAAATTCCAATTGCCTTCCTTGGAAAAGCCCTTTTTGACCCCTGGTCCCTCATCAGTCACACACACACACTCTCTTATTAGATCCCTATCGCAGTGACTATAATTTGGTTTCACACGTCTGTCTCCTTGTCTAGGCTGTGAGTTGGTGTGAGTAGAGACTGTGTTGGGGCGACTTCTGCATTCCCAGCACGCTATGCAAGGCCAAATTCGTGACAGACTTCGGCCAAGGTCTGCTGAGTAAACAGACTAGAGTGTCTAAGGCTCTTATTGGGGAACACCCTGGTTGTGCTGGTCCCTGTTTCCCTCACGCTTTTTGGCCTGGGTGATAATGCCAACATGTCAAAATCATGTTGACATCAATATGACAGAACTTGGGAACGGAAAAGCATTGGTGTTCTGCTTCCAACCTATTCTGCTTTTTACCTTCGTGTGCACGTCTGAGATCATTAAAGCTACATCACCTTTCTTGTGTTTGTCATCATTTTTACTTTCATGATTTCTGTCCTCATGTTTTAGGTATGTCTTTCGATTTTAAGTCAGTCTGAAATCCTTGTCTTTTAACTGGAAGTTTAGCTCATTTACATTTACTATAATTACTAATATATTTGAAATTCTTCCTATAATGTTATTTTGTGCTTTTTAATTGTCCTGATTTTTATAGCTTATTCTTTCCCCTTTCCTGTCTTCTTTGTATTGACTGAATTTCTTATGATTCCATTTCTTCTCTCTACTGTATTAGAATTTATATATTTTCTCATTATTTAGTGGTTACCCTTAAAATTTAACATGCATACCTAAAGACCAAAGCCAGTTAATTCTTCTCTTCTCCTCCCAAATAATACACAGACCAAAGACCAGTTAATTCTTCTCTTCTCCTCCCAAATAATACAAATACCAAAGACCAGTTCATTCTTCTCTTCTCCTCCCAAATAATACAAAGACCAAAGACCAGTTCATTCTTCTCTTCTCCTCCCAAATGATACAAAGACCAAAGACTAGTTAATTCTTCTCTTCTCCTCCCAAATAATGCAAAGCTGATCTCATCTCTGACTCTAAAACAAAGAGACATCCTGGTCAGCTTCCCAATAAGGTAAAAGGGGGGGAATCATAATTTGTTAACTGCCGATTATTGCCAGAGCTGTGCTAAATGCTCTGAGGTATGATCTCATTTAATCTTTGTGGAAATTCTGTCACATGGGGGTTATCAAGCACATACCCCTGCTCCCTTCATATCTGGTGGTTCATAGCTGAGAAAATGAAGGTTCAGAGAAGTAAAGTCACTTGTCCCCAGTCTCACAGGCTCCAAAGTTGCAGAACCAAGACTCAACGTCTCCTTCTCCTGAGCACAGACATGGGAGTCTCCACCACACCTACCCACCCTAAACTGAAACAGTTGGGCTGTCTGTGGGCTTCACAATGCTTTTTGAGCTGTGGGGCCCATTCATTCTTACATTACCATGTATTGTTTCGCTCATTTGACAGGTTATTTTTTGAGAGCTGCTATGTGTCAAGTGTCATACTGGGCTCTGGGGATCCAGCTGTGGACAAGACAGACAAAGCCCTGTCTTCCTAGATCCTGGCCTCAGAGAAGAAGAGAGACACTAAACAAAACAATTATGCCAACAATCATTTAACCAGCAAAGGTGTACACAGATCGTGGAGGCTGCCCTGGTTGCAGGGGGAGGCAGGCCTGGGGCCCCTCCAAGGCCTGATTTGAAACACCCTAGACCAGATCACCTCTGAAGTTGTGAGTGTCATCACCCTCATGGCCCTGACACAGAGTAGGATGGGCAAGGTGGGGATTGGTTCTTGACGCAGGTAAATCCTCCTGCCCCCTCACCCTAACATCTTTAGCCTGACGAAGATGTTGACATTTTGTCCTACAGTAGAGGACCTAGGCCTGGGGCCACCTCTGACAGCCACATAGCTGCCCACACTTCCAAGTTCCCTGGATCTTCAGCCCCCATCTGCTGAGCCCACCTCCACCTATGCTGGGCTCTGGGACAGATCTCAATGATGCAGATGTGAATCCGGCAAAGGGACGTGGCCCCCATCAATGACTGCCTTCTAACCCCGATGGGGACTTTCCTTTTATCCTGCAACTTGGCCTGTGTAGGGGGACTTTCCACTTTGGTTGTGGTAGGTAAATATTACTAAAGCTGAAAAAAATCCCACTGAGATCTGTTGGGGTTTTTAAGAAAATAAATTGTGAAGAAATTCCTTATTAAAAATGTAACTGTGGTAAGAAAACAATTAAGTGAACTGTTCATCTTAACATTATAAATTGTATTTATTTATATTTATTTATTTATTTGAGACAGAGTCTTGCTCTGTCACCAGGCTGGAGTGCAGCGATCTCAGCTCACTGCAACCTCTGCCTCCCGGGTTCAAGTGATTCTCCTGCCTCAGCCTCCCGAGTAGCTGGGATTACAGGCGCCTGCCACCACACCCAGCTAATTGTTTGTATTTTTAGTAGAGACAGGGTTTCACTGTGTTAGCCAGGATGGTCTCGATCTCCTGACCTCATGATCTGCCCGCCTTGGCCTCCCAAAGTGCTGGGATTACAGGCGTGACCCACCACGCCCGGCCTGTTTATTTATTTATTTATTTTTAAGACAGGATCTTGCTCTATTGCTCAGGCTGGAGTGCAGTGGCATGATTTCAGCTCACTGCAGCCTCCGCCTCCTGGGTTCAAGTGATTCTCCCACCTTAGCCTCCTGAGTAGCTGGGATTGCAGGTGCAAACAACCACACCAGGCTAATTTTTGTATTTTAGTAGAGACAAGGTTTCACCAAGTTGGCCGGGCTGGTCTCCAACTCCTGACCTCAGGTGATCTGCCTGCCTCTGCCTCCCAGAGTGCTGGGATTACAGACGTGAACCACTGCACTCGGCCTGTTTTTATGTTTTGAATATAATGAGTCAATCACAAAAGTTTAGCAAGCTTACTGTTGTTTGTGTGTGTGTGTTAATTTTTTTACATTCAGATTTTAAAAACCGTTATTTGTCACATCAACTGTCTTTATGATGACTTCTCATATTTCTTGCTTGTCCCTGAGACAAGGAACTTGTGCCTCCCTCTCCAACAGGGACTTCCCTGATGCCATGACTGGCAGCACTGCAGGGGCCGTTGTGGGCCCCTGATTCTCACACTGACCCGGCTCAGGCCTAGACGTCCCTGTCTCCCTCCTCCCATTCATCCTCCTGGGAGTGGCCTCCTGAGCCCTTCTGGGACCAGGCCCTGGCCTGGGTGGAAAGTCTGGCTGGATGGCTACCCGCCTCCCACCCTTCCCCACCACCAGGAGCCCAGAGAGGCATCTGAACCTGGGTGTAAACAACAAGGGGATGAGATCTATATCAGAGGCATGTGCAAGACCAAGCAAGGCAGCAGGACTTTGCCTAAGGCACCTGCGGGTGGGGTGGGAGAGTGGGGTTAAGCTGAGGCACAGGCCATGGGCCTACACCGCTTCCTGGGCAGCCTTCCCTGGCCTCCCCTCACTATGTTCAGCTCAGCAGCCCCCCGCCAGCTCGTGCACGCTGCTACTGGACTTGTTTACCTTCCTTTTTTTTTTTTTTATGATGGAGTCTCGCTCTGTCGCCCAGGCTGGAGTGCAATAGCATGATCTCAGCTCACTGCAACCTTCGCCTCCCAGGTTCAAGCGATTCTCCTGCCTCACCCTCCCGAGTATCTGGGATTACAGTAACACATCACCACACCTGGCTAATTTTTGTATTTTTAGTAGAGATGGGGTTTCACTACGTTGGTCAGGCTGGTCTCAAGCTCCTGACCTCAAGTGAGCACCCGCCTCAGCCTCCCGAAGTGCTAGGATTACAGGCGTGAGCCACTGTGCCCGGATGAGACTTGCCGACTTTCTGAACGACCTCTTTCTGCACGCAGTGTCGAGAGGGCAGGGATCTCTGTATGTCCTGCTCTCTGGGCCTCGGGTGGTGCCTGGCACACACTAGGTGCTCAATAAACAAATCAGGGCTGCACTGAATGCTGCAGATGGATTAGCCGGGGCTGTTCAGACACAGGAGGGACAGCCCATGCAGGGAGAAAGATGCACGGGTCTCAGCTCAGCTCCTAGACTCGCCACGGGGTGGTGACGAGACCACGGCATCCTTGTGAGGATTAAACTGTCTCGATATCTGTAAGCCATGGAGAAGAGCGCCTGGCACAGGGCAAGCACATCTGTCTGTGACTATTTAAAGGCAGGGCAAGTTTCTGGAAGGGTGGGAAGGAAGGGGCTGGGGTAGCTTCTGGTGCCCAGTAGAGGGTGCCCCTGAGCTTGGTGTAGCTGGGAGCGCCAGGCATACTCATCCTGATCTGAGATGGGGACAGGGTGGCTTGCAGAAAGGTGTCCCCTAGGAGGAGTTGGTGTGGCGACTCCAGCTGGGTGTGGTGGCAGGGGTGTGTGGGTACAGGCTACATCTGGGAGGCTAGGAAGAAGCTGGGGCTTCCAGATGAGCAAGGACAAGGCCAGAGCCAGGCTGGGCTGTGGGGATGTAGACTGGGACTCAGTGGCAGTTCTGAGACTGAGTCACCAGGGTGCAGCGCCAGGGATAGCTACGAATTAGGAAGCATTACGAATCGCGTTGAAAAAACCAAGTTCTGCAGCCAGCCTGCCTGGGCCGAGTCCCAGCTCCGTTACTAACCATGGGACCAGGACCGTTTGCAAGTGTCTTAACTCTCCTATGCCTCAGTTTCCTCATCTGTAACATGAGAAGAATAGGACCTACTCAGGGGGCTGTCGTGAGGCTGAAATTCACTGACCCTGTAAAGGGCTTGGAGCAATGCTGGGGGCCCGACTGACATTCTCCCGCCCACCCTCGCTGAGCTGTAGAAATAATTGGTCTATTTTCTAGACGAGAAGGCAGGCTCAGAGAGGTGACTCAACGCCTTAGCGTCATTCGTGGAGGGGAGAACGCGGGTCTTGTGCCTCTCAGGACTCGCAGGCTGCTCAACAGAGATGTGGGACTGATACTCCCACCCAGCAGCCTGTCCCGAGGCTCAGGGGCCATGTGGCTTTGCAGGACGCCAAGCAATTCTACGCCTTTGTCAATTTAACTTTAACAGGTGTGAGCCACCGCGCCCGGCCGACTGTTCTTTTCTGTAAGTGTGCTGTGAGTCATCATGAGAAAAAGTTAAGAAGAAACTGACAAAGTATGGGAAATCCTATTTGAAAAGGGTAGAAACTGAGGCTCGGAGTGGTGACAAGGATTATGTGGGCCCCGAGATGGCGCTGCTGAGGGAATGAAGAGGATAACTCAGCTGGAATGAGAGCCAGGGAGGCCGCAGTTAGACACGAAGTCTCAGCAGCCCGGGAACGGACGGCAGAGGGCGCACTGCTCCCTCCTATCCAGAGGACCTCCTGGCTGCTGGTCGCAGGCCCGCGGCTGGGGAATGTCCCAGTTGACCTCAAGAGAGGTCAGCTCCTAGATTCCCCTCTACAGATCCTCCCTTCCGCCATTTTCTTTCTTTCTTTCTTTTTTGCCTTTTTTGAGATGGAGTCTCTCTCTGTTGCCCAGGCTGGAGTGCAGTGGCACAATCTCAGCTCACTGCAACCTACCTCTGCCTCCGGGTTCAAGTGATTCTCCTGCCTCAGCCTCCTGAGTAGCTAGTACTACAGGCACGCACTACCACTCCCAGATAATTTTTGTATTTTTGGTAGAGACGGGGTTTCGCCATGTTGGCCAGGCTAGTTTCCAATTCCTGACCTCAGGTGATCCAACCGCCTCGGCCTCCCGAAGTGGTGGGATTACAGGCGCGAGCCACCGCGCCCGGCCCTCCCACCGTTTTCTTCCTTAAAGGGCTCTAACTGGGAAAAGTCTGTCCAATCAAAAGCTCCATGTTTCATGCCCCTGGAGGGATCAGCCGCCTGGAAAATGCGAACTAGTGGGTAATTTAAAAGCTATTCTTGGTATTTGCCTTGATAATGCACTATGGCCGGGGTTTTTATTTGGTTAGTTTGGGTTTTGTCTTGTTTTTTTTTTTTTTTTTTTTTTTTTTTGAGACAGAGTCTTGCTCTGCCACCTAGGCTGGAGTCCAGTGGCAAAATCACAGCTCACTGCAGCCTCTGCCTCCTGGCCTCATGCAATCTTCCCACCTCAGCCTCCCAGGGATCTGGGACTACAGGTGCGTGCCACCACACCTGGCTAATTTTTGTATTTTTAGTAGAGATGGGGTCTTGCTATGTTGCCCAGGCTGGTTTCAAACTCCTGAGCTCAAGCGATCCACCTGCCTTGGCCTCCCAAAGTGCTGGGATTACAGGTGTGAGCCACCGTGCTGGGATTACAGGTGCGAGCCACCGCACGCCGCCTTTTTTTTTTCAAGACGGATTCTTGCTTTGTCGCCAGGCTGGAGTGCAGTGGCACGATCTCGGCTCACTACCACCTCTGCATCCTGGGTTCAAGCGATTCTCCTGCCTCAGCCTCCCAAGTAGCCAGGTGCCCGCCACCACACCCGGCTAATTTTTGTATTTTTAGTAGAGACAGGGTTTCACCATGTTGGCCAGGATGGTCTCGAACTCCTGACCTTGTGATCCACCTGCCTTGGCTTCCCAAAGTGCTGGGATTACAGGCGTGAGCCACCGTGCCCGGCCAGGTTTTGTTTTTTGTTTTTGCAACAGAATTACCATCCTGTAGCTGCCCCACTTTGGCTGTCTGGGCCTGGCTTCTCCACACTGACTCTCAGGGTGGGACAGACATATATACCTTCTGAGGCACATGGCAAGCCCATGGGGGCTACAGCTTGCTGGGCGACCTTGGATAAGTCACTCAGAGCCTGTGCCTCCATTTCCACGTCCATAAGATGGGAGAAGTCATCCTGCCCTCACAGGAATAAATGGGGTTAGATGAGCGCTCCCTGACCCCCTGCTCCAGATAAATGCTTTGAAATTTTTGTTTCTTTTTCCTCATTTAGGAAAAGGTGAGCAAATTCCAGTATAGCCTTTTTTTTTTCTTTCCAGCTTGCATAGGATTTTATACTTAGTATTTTTAAAGCTTAATTTGTTCTGATTATAAAAGTTATTGGCTGGGTGTGGTGGCTCACACATGTAATCCCAGCACTTTGGGAGGCCGAGGCAGGTGGATCACAAGGTCAGGAGTTCGAGACCAGCCTGGCCAGCATGGTGAAACCCCGTCTCTACCAAAAATACAAAAATCAGCAGGGCGTGGTGGCAGGTGCCTGTAGTCCCAGCTACTCGGGAGGCTGAGGCAGGAGAATTGCTTGAACCCGAGAGGTGGAAGTTGCAGTGAACCGAGATCGCGCCACTGCACTCCAGCCTGGGGGACAGTGCGAGACTCCATCTCAAAAAAAAAAAAAAAAGTTATTAAATGCTCTCACTGAAGAAAATCTAGAGAATAAAGAAAACATAAAGAAGAAATTAAATATCCCTGTAATACTAATGCAAAGAGAAAAGACCCTGTTGACCTTCCTGGGTGTTTCTCGGTCTTTTAAAATATATTGCTTAAGTTTTAAAAGTGAATTGGAGATCCTATTCACATTCTTTGAAAGCTCAGTATTACGTTTTGAGCATTTCCCCATGTCATCCACTATTATTTGAAACTCTGTTTTAAATAGCTGCATAATATTCCATTGTAATGGGCACAGTGATTCATTGAACCCAGGGGTCCGCAACCCCTAGGCCACAGACCGGTACTGGTGGGTGGCCTGTTAGGAACCAGGCTGCACAGAAGGAGGTGAGCAGCAGGCGAGCGAGCATTACTGTCTGAGCTCTGCCTCCTATCAGATCACTGGCGGCATTACATTCTCTTTTATTTAAATTACAAAAAAATTTTTTTTTGAGACAGAGTCTTGCTCTGTTGCCTAGGCTGGAGTGCAGTGGCACGATCTCAGCACACTACAACCTCCGCCTCTCGGGTTCAAGTGATTCTCCTGCCTCCTGAGTATCTGGGATTACAGACACCTGCCACCATGCCTGGGTTATTTTTGTATTTTTAGTAGAGACAGGTTTTGCCGTGTTGGCCAGGCTGGTCTCGAACTCGTGACCTCAGGTGATCCACCCACCTCAGCCTCCCAAAGCACTGGGGTTACAGGCGTGAGGCACCACGCTCGGCCAGCATTAGATTCTCATAGGAACGTGAACCCTATTGTGAACTGTGCAGGCGAGGGATTTCGTTTACTTGCTCCTTATGAGAATCTAATGCCTGATGATCCATCACTGTCTCCCATCACCCCCAGATGGGACCATCTAGTTGCAGGAAAACAAGCTCAGGGCTCCCACTGATTCTACATTATAGTGAGTAGTATAATTATTTTATTATACATTACGATGTAATAATAATAATAGAAATAAAGTGCACCGGCCGGGCGTGGTGGCTCACGCCTGTAATCCCAGCACTTTGGGAGGCCAAAGCAGGCGGATCATGAGGTCAGGAGATCGAGACCATCCTGGCTAACATGGTGAAACCCTATCTCTACTAAAAATACAAAAAAAGTAGCCGGGCGTGCTGGTGGGTGCCTGTAGTCCCAGCTACTCGGGAGGCTGAAGCAGGAGAATGGCGTGAACCCGGGAGGCGGAGCTTGCAGTGAGCCGAGATGGCGCTACTGCACTCCAGCCTGGGCGAAAATGAGAGGCTCTGTCTCAAAAAAAAAAAGAAAAGAAAAGAAAAGAAAAATTAGCCGCTCACAGTGGGGTGTGCCTGTAATCCCAGCTACTCGGGAGGCTGAGGCAGGAGAATCGCTTGAACCTGGGAGGCGGAGGTTGCAGTGAGCCAAGATTGCACCACTGCACTCCAGCCTGGTGACAGAGTGAAGCAAGACTCTATCTCAAAAAAAAAAAAAAAAGAAAAAGAAAAAGCAATGCACCATAAATGTAATGCCAAAACCATCTCCTCGACACCCCAGTCCATGGAAAAATTATCTTCCATGAAACCAGTCCCTGGTGCCAAAAGGGTTGGGGACCGCTGATGTAACCAGTCCCTTGTCAGCAGGAGTTGAGGCTACTTCTAAACGTTGGTAGTCGGGCCATCCTTAAACACAACTCTTTGAAGCCCCTCTAATAATTTCCTTAGGATGGATTGGTTTGTTCCTTAAGCTGGAACCACACTTGCTTGCCATACAACCTCATAGCCGGCCCCAGGAGGGACCCAGAGCCGCCCGCTAAAAGCCTTGGGTGGATTCAGTGGTACTTTGTTAAATTAAGTACATGAATATCCTACGGCCCGGCAATTCCCTCTGGGTATATATTCCACAGAAATGATCATGCAGCTCCCAGAGGGGTCCTGAGGGAGGATTTGCGGTGGGGCAGCTAGAAGCCTCCGGGACGTCCAGTCTCATCAGGAAGCAGTGGGGGACTTGGCAGATGGACGGGGGTGGGTGCCCATCAATTCTGTAGCAGCAACAGCAGCAGAGTGGACACACACAGCAATATGAACCACTCTCAGAAACACAGGCCGAGCGAACACAGTGAGACAAAGACAGCGATCTTAACGCAGCTTCATCTGCATAAATTAAGAATACGTGTACGCAAAGCAACAATACCCATTTTGCAAGAACACACACAAGCAAAAAATCCACAGTAAACACATTAGGAGGACTTTCTGTGGGGAGAGGGTAAGGCGGGGATATGAGGATAAAAGGGAGGGAAGGAGGAAGGAGCCAGTCCGGTGAGGACCAGGTACCTGACTGAGGAGCGAGGAGTGGACAGGCTGGGCCCAGCCGAGGTGGTGCACCTTCCCCCCAGGTCCCGAGGAGATGGAGGCGAAGATCTGCACCCGGTCTTCTCCCAGGGGGCCAGGGCATGTGAGCTGCGGGGAGGCAGTCTCCTGGCCTCTGCCTTAAAAGGCATTTCCTGAGGCTCCAGGCTTGCAGGCCCCACCAATCTCAAAAAACAGTGGTGGGGCCGGGGCAGGGCCTCAGAGAATTGCTGATTTTTTTTTTTTTTTTTTTTTTTTTGAGACGGAGTCTCGCTCTGTCACTCAGGCGGGAGTGCATTGGTGTGATCTCAGCTCACTGCAGACTCCACCTCCTGGGTTCAAGCTATTCTCCTTCCTCAGCCTCCCAAGTAGCTGGGACTACAGGCATACGCCACTATGCCTGGCTAATTTTGGTATTTTTAGTAGAGATGGGGTTTCACCATGTTGGCCAGGCTGGTCTCGAACTCCTAACCTCAGGTGATCTGCCTGCCTCAGCCTTCCAAAGTACTGGGATTACAGGCATAGCCACCGCGCCTGGCCATGATATTTTAAAAAACACATCCTCTGTCTTACTATGGGGACCACCTACTGTCTCTGTCATGTGGCAGAAGAACATTTTAACTCTCTCACCAAAGATGAATGGCAACGTTCTAGCTTCCCAGAGAGAGGCCAGCACCGTCACCCCGTGGACTTAGAGTCCCCCAAAGTCCCCGCGAGGTTCTTGCTGCCCACACCGCACCCAGGCCAGGGGCAGGCGAGAACAGGAGTCTCTGAGCCACCCCCCAGAGCTCACGGGAGGGCGTCGCAGGGATTCGCGTCGGCTCCCACCGACAGATGGCTGCAGGCCTCTGCCAAGGATCCGGGCAGGAGTTCGGGAGCTGGCCTCCCATTCAGAGGCAAACAACTGCTGGGCACCTCCTGTGTGCCAGGCTCGGCCCTAGGTGCTGGGGATCCGGCAGGGAACATTGCAAAGTCCCTGCCTTCATGCAGGTGGCAGCGCGGCGGGGGACAGATGACAACCAAGGCGGCAGGTCACACGGGAGGCTCTGGAATCCCCAGAATTCAGCCTGCCGCTACCAATGCTCCAGTGCCAGGCCCTGGTGTGTGTGTGTGTGTGTGTGTGTGTGTGTGTCTCTGTGTGTAAGGGAGAAGTACACTCAAATGAGGAAGCCACATAGAACTCACAGGGCGGTGCTTCTCTCATCATCCCTCAGACCCAGAAACTCCGCTTCTAGGAATTTATCCCAAGGGCAGAGTCCAGAACATTAGGAAGAATGAGCCAACGGATGTCCCCCCGGTGTTGTTCATATCAACTCAGAAATTGGAAATAAGGAGGCCGGGCGCGGTGGCTCACACCTGTAATCTCAGCACTTTGGGAGGCCGAGGTGGGCGGATCCCTTGAGGCCAGGAGTTCGAGACCAGCCGGGTCAATATGGTGAAACCCCGTCTCTACTAGGAAGTACAAAAATTAGCTGAGTGTCGTGGTGGGCACCTGTAGTCTCAGCTACTCGGGAGGCTAAGGCAGGAGAATCTCCTGAACCCAGGAGGCAGAGGTTGCAGTGAGCCAAGACTGTACCACTGCACTCCAGCCTGGGTGACAGAGTGAGCCTCCATCTCAAAAAAAAAAAAAAAAAAAAAGAAAGAAAAGAAAAAAGAAAAAGAAGGGCCTGGTTAAATAACAGGATGCTGGCTGGGTGTGGTGGCTTGGGCCTGTAATCCCAGAACTTTGGGAGGCCAAGGCGGGCAGATCATCTGAGGTCAGGAGTTCGAGACCAGCCTGCCCAACATGGTGAAACCCCGTTTCTACTAAAAATACAAAAAATTAGCTGGGCGTGGTGGTGTGCGCCTGTAATCCCAGCTACTTGGGAGGCTGAGGCGGTAGAATTGCTTGAACGCGGGAGGCAGAGGTTGCAGTGAGCTGAGATTGCACCATTGCACTCCAGCTTGGGCAACAAAAGCAAAACTCCATCTCAAAAAAAATAAAAAATAGGCCGGGCGCAGTGGCTCATGCCTGTAATCCCAGCACTTTGGGAGGCCGAGGCGGGCAGATCACGAAGTCAGGAGATCAAGACCATCCTGGCTAACACAGTGAAACCTCATCTCTACTAAAAATACAAAAAAATTAGCTGGGTGTGGTGGCGGGCACCTGTAGTCCCAGCTACTTGGGAGGCTGAGGCAGGAGAATGGCGTGAACCCGGGAGGCGGAGCTTGCAGTGAGCCGAGATCACGCCACTGCACTCCAGCCTGGGCGACAGAGCGAGACTCCGTCTCAAAAAAAAAAAATAAATAAAAATATAAATAAAAATAAAAAAATAAAAAAGCTAAAACTCCATTTACAAATCAGCAGCAATTGTGCAACACACTGTGCATGGGTGGGGAGGGTGTCCGAATGCAAAGACACCAAAGCGAAGGAGAGCTACCCATGGCTGTGGGATTATGGTTGGCTTCTGTCTTCCTGTTTTTACTTAGGTATATTTTCTAGTTTTTCTCAATTAATTTATATTCATTCTGTAATAAGTAATTAAAAATACACTTATGGCTGGGTTAGGTGGTTTATACCTGTAATCCCAGCACTTTGGGAGGCCAAGGTGGGTGAATTGCTTGGGTCCAGGAGTTCAAGACCAGCCTGGGAAACATAGTGAGACCCTGTCTTCATAAAAAAGAAAAAAAATCGAGACCATCCTGGCTAACACGGTGAAACCCTGTCTCTACTAAAAATACAAAAAATTAGCCGGACGTGGTGGGTGGCGCCTGTAATCCCAGCTACTCAGGAGGCTGAGGCGGGAGAATGGTGTGAACCCAGGAGGCGGAGCTTGCAGTGAGCCAAGATCGTACCACTGCACTCCAGCCTGGGCAACAGAGCGAAGACTCCATCTCAAAAAAAAAAAAAGGTCAGGCTTGGTGGCTCACGCCTGTAATCCTGGCACTTTGGGAGTCCGAGGCGGGCAGATCATCTGAGGTCGGGAGTTCGAGTCTAGCCTGACCAACATGGAGAAACCCTGTCTCTACTAAAAATACAAAATTAGCCGGGCGTGGTGGCACATGCCTGTAATCCCAGCTACTCAAGAAGGCTGAGGCAGGAGAATCACTTGAACCCAGGAGGTGGAGGTTGCGGTGAGCCGAGATCACGCCATTGCACTCCAGCCTGGGTAACAAGAGTGAAACTCCATCTCAAAAAAAAAAAAAAAAAAAAGAATTAGCTGGGTGTGATGGTGTCTCCCAGTAGTCCCAGCTACTCTGGAGGCTGAGGCAGGAGGATCACTTGAGCCAGGGAAGTTAAGGCTGCAGGGAGCCATGATAGTCCCACTGCACTCCAGCCTGAATGACAGAGTGAGACCCTGTCTCTAAAAATGAAACCATTTACATAGAGACAGGAAAGAGCCAGGAAGGCATTAGAACAAAATGTAAACAGTAGTTATTTATATCTGGTGATGGAACTAGGGTGATTTTTTCAATTTTTTATTTGGATAACTAAAGAGTTATTACTTTTTTTTTTTTTTTTTTTTTTAAGACAGGGTCTCTCTGTTGCCCAGGATGGAGTGCAGTGGTGAAATCTCAGCTCACTGCAACCTCTGCCTCCTGGTCTCAAGCAAGCCTCCCACCTCAGCCTCTTAAGTAGCTGGGACCACAGGCTCATGCCACCATACCTGGCTAATTTTTGGTTTTTTAGTGGAGATGGGGATTTGCTGTGTGGCTCAGGCTGGTCTTGAACTCCTGGGCTCAAGCAATCCACCTGCCTCAGTCTCCCAAAGTGCTGGGATTACAGGCATGAGTCACCGCGCCAGGCTAAAAGTTATTACTTTTTAAAGAGCCTCTGGGCCAGGCGTGGTGGCTCACGCCTGTAATCCCAGCACTTTGGGAGGCCGAGGCGGGTGGATCACCTGAGGTCAGGAGTTCGAGACCAGCCTGGCCAACCTGGTGAAACCTCGTCTCTACTAAAAATATAAAAATTTGCTGAGCGTGGCAGCAGGCGCCTGTAATCCCAGCTACTCAAGAGACTGAGGCGGAAGACTCGCTTGAACCCGGGAGGTGGAGGTTACAATGAGCCAACGTTGCGCCACTGCACTCCAGCCTGGGAGACAGAGCGAGACTCTGTCTCAAAATAAATAAATAAATAAATACAAAAATAAAGAGCCTCTGATTACCCTCGACGTGGTCCATGCCTCTTGCTGTCTGGGATGTGTCCACTGAGGGAGGCCAAGCCCACTGACAAACACTCACAAGCATCCACTCTCGTGGACTGGACGAACACACCCTCCATCCATGTCTCTGGGTGGGGCAGGGGGCGGTGCAAGAACCCCTGGGTGGGGAGGATGAGAAATAGAGGCGTCTGGATCCCTATTGATGCTTTTCACCCTTTGACAATGTCCACCTTGGGTGTGTGCTTTACCAGGTGCATGATATACGGAGGGAGCGGGCCTGTGCATGACTTATCATAAATGAATGTACGTCCGCTGGTGGCGCTCAGCACGTTTGTGGGACTGAATTGTTCACTGAGCCCCCTCGCCCCCCCACAAAGAGAAACGGGTCCAGGTTCTACGACGGGGATGTTGCCACGGCCTGGGGCTGCTGGTGAGTGGCGTGGGTGCCTCCCTGTCCCACGCTCTCCCTGGCCATTTCTGCAAAGCGCGTTTCCCTGGCGTGCCGTCCCAGCCACTGGCTCCTTTTCCTCCTCATTTCTTCCCCACTAGAATGTGAGCTGCCGGGGCTAGGGCTGGGCTTTGCCTGGCTCGGTCACCACCCAGGACAGGGCTTGGTGCAGAGCCGGTGCTGCCGGTGTCTGTTGAACGTCACGTGTATAAGTGGGGGAAGGATGGAGTGCAGGGAAGCCGGGGGCAGGTGCATGGGGACCGCACAGTGCGGAATGTCACCTGCTCAAGGGAGATGTGGATGGATCGGTGGAGACTGCAACTAGGGAGATGCAGGGCAGACTCAAAGCAAACTGGCAGACATGGGAGCCTGTGGGAGGTGGGCGTGGACAGAGGGACAAGGCCCTGCGGGAGCGGGGGGTGGTGATGTGACGACGCCCCTGACGTTTCTGGACCCCTTCGCTGGCCCTTGCCCCACAGCCACCAGGAAGGGACTGCTCCCCTGAGAGGTCCCTTTTCTTCCCTGAATCTGGCTCTCAGGATGGTCAGATGGGAGCAGCCAAGTCCTCCCACCCTTTCCCAGGGACAGACCAGGCAGAAAAGCAGCCGCATTTCTTACGGGAGCTGTTACATCTGGAAGATTAGATCTGGAGGGGCTGGGACCTCTGGCATCGGCACCCTCTTCTCTCCCAGCTTTACAGGCTGGAACAGGAGGAGGCTTGCTTGGAGGCAGGAGTTGGACCAAATCAGCCTGGGGTAATGATCCCCTGGGAATCACTGGCAATGCCTGGAGATATTTTTGGAACTGGGGGTGGGGTGCTACTGGCATCTAGTGGCCGGAAATGCTGGTAAACATCCTACAGCACACAGGACAGAGCCCCCCACCCTGCCCGCCAAAGGATGATAGGGCAGGCCCCAAATGTCAATAGGGCAGAGGTTGAGAAGCCCTGCTTTCTAATAGCACAGCTCTGTCCCCCCAAGCCCTCGCTTACGGCCTATCCTAATCAGAGTCATCATTAATTGAGTGGCAGCTGCCCCATCCTGAGCACCAGCCACAGGCCACCATGGCGCCAAGCACCACAGCGTTCTCAGCCTCTCTGCTCTCCAATTCTCACACCAGCTCCAGGAAATGGGGACGCAAACCCTGCACTGCCCGGCAAATGACCATGGAAACGCCTCCTGTCCTCTGACCACTCGCCAGGTGCCAGCACACAAGCTAACGCCCCAATAAGTACCAGACCCATCAGCCCTCACAGCAACACCTCAACGCAGGGGCTTGCATTGTCCCCGCTTTTCAGATGAAGAAACTGAGGCTCAGAATCATGCCGTCACCTTCCCAAGGCCACGAGAGGGTGTGGTGGTGCAGATGCCACAGGGGTCCCTGTGAAAGGGTTGCTCTCCACACCCCAGGGACTCCAGGGCTCGGCCTAGGCCGACCCGCCTGTCCTGTGCCGGGGGGGCTGGGCAGGTGGCCTGCACTTGGGCCCCGACACGGTGGCTCAGAGACAGGGAGCACTGTGCTCTCAAAGCCCGGAGGGCCTCCACTCCACCTCGGGAGCCCGGCTCCAGCTGATAGGATGCAGACCCGCAGGCCACATCCACAGGTGCCGGAGACGGGGAAGCCCCGGTGTGGGGAGGCCCAGAAGGGATGGGCTACATCTGCATGCCTCCCCAGTGTCCCCTCCAAGGTCCCCCTCTGCCCGCTGGCCCCGCATACCTGGATGCCGTTCTCTTGCAGGTTCAGGTACCGCGTGTTGACCGGGATGCTGGCTGGGACCTCGGCCAGGTCTCTCCGTGTGCAGATCACCCGGCTGGCCTGGTTGCTGCAGGAGCAGGCCACGGGGCAGGAGGTGGCCGGCGGGGAGCCCCCTCCGGCGGCAGACGTCACGGCCACTCCACCTCCACCGGCCCCCAGGGGTGGGGAGAAGAGCCAGAGGAAGAGCAATGCCCCGTGGGGCCAGGACATCCTACCGGGCGGCAGCGGGGGGCACGGGGAGCCGCGGGCACGCGCCATCCTCAATGTTCATGCTCCGCGTGGACGCTGGGGGGCTGTGGGTGGGGGAGAGAAGGGGGAGAGGCTTGGTGAGGGACAGGAGCCCATGTGGCCTGGGTGCTTGCCAACACCCAGGCAGCCCCATCGCCGCCTCCCTGCCCCATGCCCAGAACAAAGGGACAGGGAGGGAGACAGCTGCCGATGGACCCACCCAGCAGGCTGGGGCAGGCAGAGGGAAGCTTGGCCCGCCTGGCCCTGCACTAGCTCATCCTCTCCATGCTGGCAAGATTCTACGCCCATTCTGCAGCAGGGAAAACTGAGGCTGGGGGAGAGGAAGTGCCTGCCCAAGGTCACTCATCCAGTAAGTGCAGAAGTTGTCCAGATTCAAAACCCAGTTCTTTGCATGACTTCAAAAAGGTAGATACATCAGAGGAGTGAGACAGACAGACAGACAGACAAGGCGAGGGGGCAGAAACGGGGAAGAGCAAGCGAGGTGGCGAGGACCTCGCTCCCATCCCAACACCCGCCCGGTCCCCTTGCCACCTGCGTGATCACCTGGGAGGTGGGTCCCAGCCTCCTCTCCCCTCCACTCCCTCCCCCTCTCCCCATCCCAGGGATGTTAGCGAAGAGATGCATTTCCCCCACCCCCTGTGCCCTCAGCTAAACCGAAAGACCCTCCGCTGCACACCCTCCTGTCACTGCCCACCCTGTCCAGGCCCTGTGGGGGCCTCACAGCAGCTTCAGAGACTTGAGTCAGACTCATGGGAGAATCTGAGGGAGAGAGAGGTAAGGTGGCAGACAAGGCAACCGTGGAGGTGACAGGTGTGGGCAGGTGAAGGGAGGGCTGGGAGGCAGCAGGGTGAAGAGGGAGGAGACTGGAGCTTGTGTGTGAGGGTGGCTGGGGACCTGACGGGGGGCGGCACAGGCCGAGAGGCCACCAGCTGCACCCCCTCCTTTGCCCCGAGACTGTGGGTGCTCCAGGCAGAGACAGCCCCGATGGGACTCATGCCAGCTGCTGCCGCAGGACCGAGCTTGGTTCTCGGGGAGGGGATGGGGAAGGGAAGGGGGTCCAGGGACTCTGCCTGGGTTCTGGGAGGAAAGCAGACAGCGGGGACTCGGGCCCTCTGAGAAGTCACGCTGTACCTCCCCAATCTGTCCTGCCCCGCCATTTCCATGGAACCAGAGAGGGAAAGGGGATGGGTGAGTCACAGCAACGATACCAGTAACAATAGTCTCTCCGGAACACTGGGTGAGCCCTTGCAATGCAGCAAACTGTATCCCGGTCATCTCATGTGAGCCTCATAATGACCATAGGAGAAAGCTATTAGGATGCCCAATTTACAGATGGGGACACTGAGGCACTATGAGGGAAAACGGCCTGTCCAAGGGCACAGAGCAGGCCGGGAGGGCGCAGAGGGGGTACTTCGGCCCTGGGTCTACCCTCTGGCTCCCAGCTCTCCTTTGCACGCAGCATCTCTGAGTACACACAAATACACCCACACCAGCAGGCCCTGCCCCAACACAGGCCAACCCCAAACCATTCCCAAGAGACCAGGAGGAGGGCAGGTCACACAAACACGCACACCGACCCACTCACACACTCAGCAGTGATGGGGCACACCCTCTCACGGTGGACTCTCAGGACCCCCCTCTCACGGTGGACTCTCAGGACCCCCGACACAGGCTCACCCCCAGGCACACGGCTATGCACACACACAGTCACTCCCTCCTCCTGCAGTTTCCAAGACCATTTTAACCCAGATAAAAATGTGTGTGCATACGTCTGTGTATCTGAGTGCATGTGTGAGAGCGAGGGCTAGACAGAGACACAGAGAGACAGAGACAGAAGCAGAGGCAGAGAGACAGAGGGCAGGGGAAAGAGGGAGCTGGGGAGAGAAAGAGAGAGAGGTTGATTCTGTGTCCACCCGGGCTCATTTTTCTCCTGCAGGGCTGGGGCCGTGTGTCTGTGTCTGACTATGTGAGTGCGGTGAGGGTCTTCATTTTCCTGAATGTGAACAGGGAGGTCAATGCCCAGTCCTTATCCTGGGTCAGGGGCTCCTACCTCTTAAGACCCTGGCGATGATCCAGCCCACACCCTCTTAGCCAAAGGGCTGGCCCAAAGCGCAGGGCCTGGATTTGAGGCCGGGGGACCCCGCAGGGCCTGTGGGAGCCCACGGCACCCACCCCGGCCTCCAGGCCTGCCGCTGCCATGTCTACCTCCGCATCTGTCCCCAGCTCTCCCGCTGCCAGCCCGCATCCCCCCACCCCCATCACGGCTTCTGCAGCGACTCGGCCTCCCTCCCCTTCCCCCCGCCGCCCTCCGCCATCTCCCATCCTTTTCTCCCCACAACCCCACGGTGGGGGACACTCACCCTGGTGGCTTGGCTTCCGCTGGGCCTCTCCCTGCGCCCAGGCCCCCCCCTCCACATGCCTCCGGCCAGCCGGGGTCTCTGCCTCCCCAGTTCTCCAGGGCTTCCTGTCGAGATCGTGCTGGGGGGGGCGCAGGGGCTTCTTGGGTCTCCCCGCGCCCCCCCCACTGGCCTGTCGCCCTTCCCACCCCTGGGGGGGGCTGTCCTTTGGCCACTGCAGCAGTTCTCTGCTCCCCTCCCCGCTCGCCTCCTCCGGTCTCCTTCCACCCCCTCTCCCACCTCTACCTCGACTCTCCCCCGACCGCAGCCTCCTTTCTCTCCACCCACCGACCCCAGCCCCCTTAACTCTCTCTCTGCCCCTCTCGGTCCTCCCCCTCCGCCTCTGGTCCCCGTCCACCTCCTCTGGCCTCAACCCCCTCCTGAGTCTCCCCCCTCACAATCTTGCCTCCCTCGGGACCCCCAGGCCCCTTCTCTCCTTCTCCTCCATCTATTCCTCCCTCTTGCTCTATCCCTGTCACCCTCTCATCGGCCCTGAGCCCGTCTCAGTCAGGTTGTCTGTCTGTCCGTCTGTCTTGGTCCCTTTCTCCCCGGCTCTGTCTGTCTCTCTCTTTCTCCGCGATTACAATTTCTAGTCACACGGCAGTGCAGAGCCAAGCTGTGCCTCAGCTCCCTCCCTCCCCACCCCTCCCTCCTTCTTTCTCTCCTTCTGAACGGGGAGGGCGCCTCTCCTCCCTCCTCCTCAGCCTCCCTTCCCTGCGCCGCCTGGGGGAGGCCTCCCCCTCCCCCGCTAATCAAAGGCTCCGTTATCTAATTAACCCATTGGTTCTGGGCAGCCGAGGAGGCAGCCGAGGAAGGTCGGGGGAAGCGGGGGAGGAAGGTTGCCGGCTGGGCTGCCCAAGAAAGGGGGGTGGTTGGGCCGTGCCAAGCCGGAGCCTCATGGCACACAGACAGCCTCGTTGGCTGCATGACCGGGCTGGGCCACCACTGACCCCCTCGCCCCCACTTCCAGCCAAAACCCCCCAGCTTCACACCCCCCACTGGGTCTAGGCACACAATCTTGCCCAGCGTTTTCCTGCAGATGCCCCTGTACCCCAGGAACTCCTTTGAACCCCCACCATGCCACACAGCCTTTACTCCAACCCTGATATACCACACCTGATATACCGGCACTGGAACCTGCGCCCTGCACCGTCACCCCGTCCCGTGGCTGAGGGCCAGCCCCTCTCCATGCCACAAAGGCCCCCACCCCTAGAGGAACCCCTCTCCCTTGGACCTTAGCCAGATCCTGACATCCACCTCCTGACACACTTCTGCAAAATCTGCAGGGCAGCCACGTTCATTCATTCAACTTATCCGCCCATCCATCCGTCCATCCATCCGTCCACCCATCCGTCCATCCATCTGTCCATCCATCCATCCATCCATCCATCCATCCATCCATTCATCCATCCGCCCATCCGTCCATCCATCCATCCATCCATCCATCCATCCATCCATCCATCCGTCCATCCATCCGCCCATCCGTCCATCCGTCTATCCATCCGTCCTTCCATCCCTCCGCCCATCCATCCACCCATCCATCCATCCATCCATCCGTCCACCCATCCATCCTTCCATCCATCTGTCCAACAAATGTCTACCCAGTCCCTGCTATGTGCTAGACACTAGCCCAGGACACCCATGGGCCACAAAAGGCACCTCTCGAGAGTGGGGCACATTGGTGAGTGCCGAGAGGCCTGGGTTTGAGTCCTGACTCTGCTGCCACTTCCCGTGTAACCTCGGGCCGGTGGCTTATTCTCCCAAGCTGCAGTTCCCTCCACTGTGAAACAGGGATAATGGGAGTATCTGCCTCCTAGGGCCACTGTGGGGATTAAATCGCTAAATCCTTGGTAAAGAGTTCTGTCTTCACAACATATGCGGAATCAGACCCCAGAATCAGAGGATCTTTCTCCCCACGCCCAGGCTACTTCCCTGACCTGGCTCCCATCTCCCTCTTGAACGATTACAGTGTCCTCCCCTCCAGCCTCCCCATTTCTGCCTTCACCCCCACTCCCCGTGCGTTCCCCACGGGCAGCGAGGGGTATCCTGTCAACACCCCATGGACCCTGCCCCGCCTCTGCTCCACAGCCTTCCACAGCTCCCGTCCCACTCAGAGCAGAGATGAGGACTTCAGTTTTCAGGTCTCCACTCTCCACCCCAGCTCCTCCTCTGACCTCATCGCTTCCCTCCTCCCCCTGCTCACTCGCTGTTTCCAGAACAGGCCGTGCACACCCCGGCCCCAGGGCCTTTGCACCTGCTCTTCCCTTTTCCTGGAATGCTCTTTGCCGGTTGTCCACAGGGCTCTTGCCCTGCTCTCTATCAGGTCCGTGCTCCAATGCTACCTTCTCAGTGAGGCCGTCCTGACCGCCCCGCATCAAACAGCACCCCTATCCCTCTCCAGAACCTTCTCTGTTTCCTTTTTCTCCATGACATTTATCAGCATCTGAGCTTTTATATGGGTCCGTGCGCTTGAAGGCAAGTTTCCCGAGGGCAGTCAGTTTGTGACTATTTGGTTCCCAGGACCCACAACAGTGCTGGGCACATGGCAGTTGCTCACCAAACACTGGGTGCAGGGACGGATGGGTACGTTATCATCACTGTGAGTCTATTTCCCCCCACGCTCACACACAGATACCCCCACTCTCCGTTCTGCACACCGAGCCAGGCCGCACTGCAATAGCTGCACAATGCAGGCTCCCAGCCCTGGACACCCTCGGTCCCCAGGTCCCCTTCCATCCCAGGAGGCCTGCTGGCAGAGGCAGCACCTTTTTTTTTTTTTTTTTTTTGAGACAGAGTCTCACTCTGTTGCCCAGGCTGGAGTGCAGTGGCGCGATCTCAGCTCATGGCAACCTCTACCTCCTGGGTTCAAGCAATTCTCCTGCCCCAGCCTCCTGAGTAGCTGAGACTACAGGCGCTCACCACCACCCCGGCTAATTTTTGTATTTTAAGTTAGAATCGGGGGTTTCACCATGTGGGCCAGGCTGGTCTTGAACTCCTGACCTCCAGTGATCCACCTGCCTTGGCCTCCCAAAGTGCTGGGATGACAGGTGTGGGCCACCGTACCTGGCCGAGGAAGCACACATCTCACGTCAGCTGGACACCAATGTCCCGGGTCACCCTCCATGCCCTGGGTCACCCTCCGTGCCCCAGCACCACCCGGATGGCTAAGTCCCAGATACTACACCTCAGGTTCCAAACAGGAGGTCCCCAGCGCAGCTCCGTGCACCCAGAGGAAAGCTACCACTCTGCCCAAACCTCAGATACCACCTGCGTGAGCTACACTCCTGGATACAGCTGCATACTGAGAGGGCACCTGGCCCCAGTTGTCCCCAGATAGAGCCCTCTGACCTGGATAACAGGAATGCTGGCTAACCTCATCTCTTCCGCACACACATCTGACTTGCGTGAACTCACTGAATAATGACACCACCAAAGGTGGTAACGTCCAACACACATCTGGCACTGACTGGGCACCATTCTGGGAGCTTTACTTGCATTAGCCACCGCAGTTCACATCAACCCTCTGAGAGAAGACTGCTATTACACCCAGTTCCCAGCTAGCAAAGCTGAGACACACAGAGGTACTGTTAGTTGCCTAATGCGAAACACACGGCTAGGAAGTGGCCCCTCCTAGGTCAGCCTTGCCAGAGTCCAGGGGCCCCAAAGACCCCCAAGTGTGGCCTGACAGCAGCAACAATTCCCATGGAGGCTGCCTGTGTGTGGGGGGCAGGGTGCAGGCAAGGCCACAGGCATGCTGAACAGCCACCCTTCCTCAGCCCCTGCAGTCACCCGCACTGCACAGGATATCACACGCCCGACACCCCACCACGGCTTCACGCCCGGCTGGCAGAGGCTCCATGGACTGCCCTCTGCCCCCACGCACCCCTAGTAGTGATGGGAAATACTGATTACATGTGGGTGCCATGCTATCCACTCCTCAAGCTGCTGGCTTCTCCCCACGGCCCTGGGAGGAAGGGATGGTTCTTGTGCCCATTTTACAGATTCAGAGGTGAGCGGCACTTGCCAAAGGTTACACAGCCCTCCAGCAGCACAGCCGGCATTGGAACCCCAGTCCCAGAACTTAGCCAGGTCACCACGGTTGCCTCTCCCACCGCAGCTGCCCCGGGAGAGGACCCATCACAAGGGTACACCTGTTCTCCTCCCTCACCTGGTGCAAGGAACAAGCCAGAGGTGCAGACACAGAAGGACCCCAAAGAGGAGAAGTACGAGGGGCAGAGAGTGGCAGAGTCACAGGGAGACAGACACAGGCATACAAAGGGGCATGAAAGGGGCAGGAGGACAGGAGGCCCCGAGATGGAGCTGAGATCCAGGCGAAGGCAGAGGCTGGGAGGGCCCGGGCACTCGAGGCGTGAAGCTGAGTCCTCACCGGCTTCGCCATCCTCCCCAGCCCCAGCTCTGAGAGATCTCGGGCACTGTGCCTGGGAGGATTCAGGCAGATGGCAGATCGGAAACTCGGGGACCCAGGAGAGGCGGGGTGAGGAGAAATGGGAGGCAGGGAACGTTCCTGTCAGGCGCACTCATTTTTTGGGGTGGGGTGGGGGGCTAAATTCAGACGGCCAGAGGGAAGATAGGAAATTGACTACCATTGCAGCAAGAGGCCTGGAGGTTAGAGCTAGAGAAGAACTTCCCCACTGCGAGGGACTGGGGCAGAAGTGGAGCCTGGAGCCCAGAGGGTGGAGAGGGATTGAAGCCGGGGAGGGATGAGCCCTTCTGTCCCTGGAAGCCGGTCCTATGGGAGAGACCCGGGTTCTGGGGGAGGGGACAGGCAGCGCTGGCGTTCTGAGCCAATCCATGTCCTGAATGCTTTCAAAATAAAAGCAGCCCCACAGCGCCGAGAATTGTCAGGCTTCTATGTCTGGAGGTAGAAGAACCTTAGGGAAAGGGCAGTCCAGGCCCCCTAGGAGCTGCTGATGAGGAAGCAGGACTAGGGGCTTGGCTCAGCTCACGAATTTCCCGGGCCACTGGCCACTGGGCAGCAGGACCAACAGGCGGCCCGTGCAGTGGGGGTGCAGTCGGGGTGGGGGTGAGGTGCAGTGGGTGGGGGTGAGGTGGTGACTTGCTTGGAGGGGGGCTGTCCTTTCCCGTGCAGCCACGCCGCTCTCCCCCAGGCTCCTCCCACCCACCAGGCGCCTCCCACCCAGGCTCTTCCCATCCACACCAGACCCGTTCCCCTGAGGGGACTTTGCCCCTGCTGTGCCCTCGGCCAGCCGGGGGTGCTCTTCCTGGGGTCAGGGGGGGCTCTGCGTTCCCACGACACCTCCAGGAGGTCTTCTTTGAGCTCCCCCTACCGTCCGTATCCCTTGCACTTCCTTTTCTTCACAGCTCGTGTCACGGCCACCCAGCACCTGATGCTCGGTGATTTGTTCCTGCGTTCATTGCCTGCCTTCCTGCTAAGAGGGGAGCCCCTGAGGGCTTTGCCGCGGCGTCCACGGCTGCATCCTCAAGGCCGGCCAACGGCGCTGGCCCCTCCGAGCCTCAGTATTTGCTGCAGGAACGAGCGAGCCAGCGCCCCCTACCGGCAGTTCCTCTGCTGGCACCCGAGGCAAGGAGCCCTGGGTCTCTAGGGAGGCAAGTGTGGGGGTGGGGGAGCCGTCCGAGGGCTAAGTGAGAGGGCGGGCACAGGGTGGGCCCCGGAACGTCCAGGAGGGAAGCCGGGAGGAGGGAATGTCGAGCTGTTACAGAGGCCGTGGCAATGGGCCGGGGGCGGGGGGGCCCTCCTTCCTCTCACAACGGGCTGTGACAACAGAGGGGCAGGCTCAGCTCTGGTGGGTGAAGGACCCCTCTGAGTGGACTGGAGCGGCGCGGCTGGAGGCCAGGGAGGAGCTGCGCCAGGGGTCCGGGGGTAGAGGATGAGGCCGCGGCTGGAGCCACGGGGATGGAGAGAAGGGAAAGAGTGAACAGATAAAGCAAATTTGTAAAAGTGGCAGAACCTGGAGGCGGTGTAGGAGGTGAGGGAGAGGGAGGAGCCAGGCTCTTCTTATAGATCTGGGGTCAAATTCCAAAAGCCAGAAGAGGATGTGGGGCGGGAAGCAGTTACGGGGAGAAGAGAATGCAAAAGTCCCTGCCACAGGCCCCCCAGCCCCAATCTCCACTCACAGGCGGTGCCTCGCTCTGGTCACACCCACAGGGCAGCAGGGGAGCTGGGGACACACCGCCCACCCGGCTCCCGTCCAGTCCCTGGCTGTGCCACTTTGGGCCAGCTGCAGCCTCTCTGATGATGCTGCATGGGGCTGTGGCAAGGGGGCCCAAGTAGGGCCTGGCACACAGCAAGTGACCAGCAAGTGACATATAGGACTCGGAGCCTGGCTGGAAGCCAGGAAAAGCAGAAACCTGGGCTCCGACCCCCCGGTGCTGCCAATTTTCCGCTAGGAACAGTACCCTGTGGCCACTCAGTTTCCTCATCAGAGAAATGGGAATTAACAGCAGGTTTCAGAAGAGGGCTGGGAGGGCTGGGTGGGGGGTGGTGGGGACCCAGGAAGGGCTGAGGTGAGCTATTTACCAGCCAGCGGAGGACTACACTTGACCCTTGAAGGACAGGGGTTTGAATCGTGTGGTCCACTTATATGTGGACTTTCTCCTGCCTCTGCCACTCCTGAGACAGCAAGACAACCGCCCCCTCCTCCTGCTCACAGCCTACTCAACGTGAAGACAATCAGGGGAGCCCGTTACGATGATACACTCCACTTAGTGGCTAGTAAATGTATTTTCTCTTCCTTAGCATTTTCTCAATAACATTTTCTTTTCTCTAGCTTACTTTATTGTCAGAATTCAGGATAGAATACATTTAACATGAATGTGTTAACTGACTGTTTATGTTATTGGTAGGGTGTCCAATCAACAGAACACTATTAGGAGTTAAGTTTTAGGGGAGTCAAAAGTTACAGGCAGATTTTCAACTGCACAGGGGGCTGGCACCCCTAGCCCCCAAGTTGGTCAGGGGTCAACTGTATACATACACACACACACACACACACACACACATACACACACACATACATACATACACACACACACATCACACAAATTTCTGCTGGAGTGCAGTGGCGTGATCTCAGCTCACTGCAGCCTCCACCTCCCAGGCCCAGGTGATCCTCCCACCTCAGCCTCCTGAGTAGCCGACTACAGGCGTGGACCACTACACCCGGCTAATTTTTTTGTATTTTTGTAGAGATAAGCTTTTGCCATGTTGCCCAGGCTGGTCTCAAACTCTCGGCCTCAAACAATCCTCCTGCCTCAGCCTCCCAAAGTGCTGGATTATAAGCGTGAGCCACGGCACCCGGCTGTATTTCAATATATCAATGCATCACTGTCAAACAGACTCTCTGCAATGATGCAAATGTTCTCTCCGTGCTGTCCAGCACTGGTGGCCACCAGCCACACGAGGCTACGGAGCACGTGACGTATGTCGAGAAGGAGCAGGGACTGAATTCTTCATTCGACTTGATGTGACTGTTGCTGCTCATGCATGGCAGTGGCTGTGGCAGCTACTGTGTTGGACAGCATGGATCTAACCACTGATCCTGCTTGGAACTGCTTCTGCCTGAGTCCCTGAAGTGCCGCTCCGTCTGCTCCTTGGCCCTGCCCAGCTACCTCACAGGGCTCTTATGGGACTCATGGAGAAGCCAGGGAGATCACAGCTGGAGAAATGGAATGTTATGGAGAGTCTGAGGCCTGAGCACCTGACCAGCGCTGCCTTGGTTGCCTGTGCCAGGCCTGCGCTGCGGGAGCTGCCTGCAAGAGCTCATTCAGTCCCCGCAAGGGGCCCATGGCGAGAGCTGCTGCTGCCCATTTTACAGAAGGGCACACTGAGGCACTGCCATACCCATGGATAGCCAGATTTGGGTAGGCTTTGAGATAAAAACTGAACTTCCAAAAAAAAAGAAAAAGAAAAAGAAAAAGAAAAGAGGGCCGGGGGTGGTGGCTCACGCCTGTAATCCCAGCACTTTGGGAGGCCAAGGTGGGCGGATTACCTGAGGTCAGGAGTTTGAGACCAGCCTGACCAACATGCTGAAATTCCACCTCTACTAAAAATACAAAATTAGCCGTGCCTGGTGGCGGGCGTCCATAATCCCAGCTACTGGGGAGGCTGAGAAAGGGGAATTACTTGAACCGAGGAGGCAGAGGTTGCAGTGAGCTGAGATGGCGCCACTGCACTCCAACCTGGGCAACAGAGCGAGACTCTGTCTGAAAAAAAGGAAAGAAAAAAAACTGAACTTCCAGGTCCCTGGACTGTGATTCTGTGCTGGGATGGGGCGGCTTAACACCCCTGAACTGAATTCACCCCAGAAGAGAACTGGGCCCTGGCCTGGCATTGGTGGTTTTTACAACAGTATTTGTTGCCAAGGCTCAGGCAGTGGGGCGTGAGAGCGAGTTTGCAGGTTGGGAGGGGCGTGGCCCCCGCCAGCTCCACTCATAGGGGTCCTGCCTAGGAAGGACGCTGATCCGATCTGTTTTCTCTCACAGGGTTGTGCATAGTTATTTTGTTTACAACAAAAGGGTGCTGCTAAAAGTCATAAAAAGCTGAAAACTATGTGAACTGGAGCAATGCTTCTCAGACATGAATGTGTGTCCAGCTGTCTGGGAATCTTGTTAAGAGGCAGATTCTGGCCGGGCGCAGTGGCTCACGCCTGTAATCCCAGCACTCTGGGAGGCTGAGGCGGGCAGATCACTTGAGGTCAGGAGTTTTGACACCAGCCTGACCAACATGGTGAAACCCTGTCTCTAATAAAAATACAAAAATTAGCTGGGCGTGGAGGCACCTGCCTGTAGTTCCAGCTACTCGGGAGGCTGAGGCAGGAGAATCACTTGAACCTGGGAGGCGGAGGTTGCAGTGAGCCGAGATCGCACCACTGTACTCCAGCCTCGGTGACAGAGTGAGATTCTGTCTCAAAATAACAATAACAATAACAAAAAACTGCAGATTCTGCATCGCCATATCTAGGGTGAGGCTGTCATTCTGTTTCCCAGGGGATGCAGGTCTCACAGCAAGGGGCTGAAGGGTCTCTAAGTGCCCATCTCACTCCTATATTCCATTTCGGGATGAAGAATGAAGCCCCCTCCTCTCCTCTCCGGAGCTCTGTATAGGGGTGTAGCTCAAGGTGGGCCTTGGAATCAACTAGACCTGGGTTTGAACCTCAGCTGCCACAGTTACTAGCCATGTTGGCTTGCAAAGGGAGCTTCACCCCTCAGGACCTCGGTCTGCTCACCTGTAGGTGGGGAAGGTCTGATATCTGTGATGAGTTTAGGGAAATGCCTGGGGCATAAAAGGAAAATGCTCAGTGAACTTATTCCAGGATCCAGAAGATCCTCCTTCTCCTCGTCTACCTCATCACACCGTCCTGTGAAGAGGAAGGATGGAGAGGTGGAAAGAGTGTTGGTGTTGAGGAAAACTGGGTTGAAACTCTGGCTGGCCACTTTCTCCCTGTGTCCCCCGCCCCAGGCTCCGCCTTGCAGTCTGTGAAGATAATGACACCTATTAATAGCTTGTTGGGGTTCCTGGAGACCATGTACAGTGCTTGACACTTAAGTGACAGCTACATTAAAAGTTATCATTTATTCTCGGCCGGGTGCAGTGGCTCACGCCTGTAATCCCAGCACTTTGGGAGGCCGAGACGGGCGGATCGCTTGAGGTCAGGAGTTCAAGACCAGGCCGGCCAACACAGTGAAACCCCCGTCTCTACTAAAAATACAAAAAATTAGCCAGGCGCTGTGGTGCGTGCCTGTAATCCCAGCTACTCAAGAGGTTGAGACAGGAGAATCGCTTGAACCTGGGAGGTGGAGGTTGCAGTGAGCGAAGATAGCACCACTGCACTCCAGCCTGGGTGACAGAGTGAGACTCCGTCTTAAAAAAACAAAAAACGGTATTTATTCTTACGGGTCAGAAGAACAAACAGTTTTCCCATTCCATGACTCAGCCCCCTCCCCACCCAACCCCGCCACTTCTCTGCCATTGTAAATCCAGCATTTCTGGCTGGATCAAAACCACTCATCTGTCAAGGAGTGGGGGGCCCATGGGATCACATTTGGGGTCTTTGCCCTTCCCGCAACAAGATCCTACAACCCCCACGTCGGTGAGGGCTGATTCTCTACTGTGAGAATCAGCATGGGGAGTCCTTTCCCTTCTGGTGCTTGAGAGGCATAAACAAGATTGAGAACCTGACAGCCCCTAAGTTATAGCAGCTTCAATGCCTTCAAAAGTCTAGACTTGTTGGCCGTGGTGGCTCATGCCTGTAATCCCAGCACTTTGGGAGGCCAAGGCAAGAGGATCGCATGAGCTCAGGAATTCCAGACCAGCCTGGGCAACATAGTGAGAACCCCCTCTCTACAAAAAATACAAAAATTAGCTGGGTGTGGTGGTGCACGCCTGTAATCCCTGCTACTTGGGAGGCTGAGGCGGGAGGATCGCTTGAGCCCAGGAGGTCAAGGCTGCAGTGAGCTGTGGTTGTGCCCCTGCACTTCAGCATGGGTAACGGAGCAAGACCCTGTTCTCCCCCAACTCCAAAAGTCTAACCTTCTATGAGTGTATTGTTATTAACAACCTAATTATTGTGATTATTAACAATTTTATGGCCGAGTGCAGTGGCTCACACCTGTAATCCCAGCACTTTGGGAGGCTGAGGCAGGTGGGTCACTTGAGGTCAGGAATTTGAGACCAGCCTAGCCAACACAGTGAAACGGTGTCTCTACCATAAAATACAAATAAATAAATAAATAAATAAATAAGCCAGGTGTAGTAGTGATGCGTGCCTGTAGTCTCAGCTACTCAGGAGCCTGAGGCAGGAGAATTGCTTGAACCCAGGAGGCAGAGGTTGCAGTGAGCCGAGATCGCGCCACTGCACTCTAGCCTGGGTGACAGAGTGAGACCCTGTCTCAAAAAAAAAAAAAAAAAATTGAATTTCCACTTTTAGGGCCCAATGGACCAGTGCATTCTCCTCTCTTGGCCTCAGTTTCCCCCTCTGTAAACTGGGAGTCTCATGGAGGGAGGCGACCTGCAGGGCGGCCCACACCAGGGTTTGGAGTCCCGGCTCTGCCATTTCTAGGTGTACTATTTTGGGCAAGGGACCCACCTCTCTGGGCCTCAGTTTCCCCATCTGTCAAACCAGGGATGATGACTGTGCCTCCTTGCAGGGTTGCCTGAGGAATACACGGAAAAAATCCACATAAGAGACTGAGCACTGAGCCTGGCTCGTGGCATGCTCTCAATCAGTTAGCTACGATCATGGTCATCTCCAGCTCTGGAGAGAGGGTTTGAGGCAAGGGGAGGGCCAATCTCCTCTGCGTTTACCCCCTGGGGCTGGCCTCTGCAGTGGAGCTGTGGCTGCACAGCCTTCTGACCTTTGTTGTAGTGTTTGAACAAGAACTCTGGGGCCTAAGCTCAACTCCCTGGGCTGGGGCAGCATCTGGGGGGCACAGTGAGCCTGGGAGTGGCTGGGGCTGCTGCCCCCTCCTGCCCTGCCTCACTCTCTTCCTCCTCTCCATCCAGGGTTTTTTTTTTTGTTTTTTTTTTTTTGGCGATGGAGTTTTGCTCTTGTCGTCTAGGCTGGAGTACAATGGGCATGATCTCGGCTCACTGCAACCTCTGCCTCCCGGGTTCAAGCGATTCTCCTGCCTCGGCCCCCTGAGTAGCTGGGATTACAGACTCACACCACCACACCTGGCTGATTTTGTATTTTTGGTAGAGACGGGGTTTCACCATGTTGGCCAGGCTGGTCTCAAACTCCCGACCTCAGGTGATCCACCCGCCTCAGCCTCCCAAAGTGTTGAGACGGCGTGAGCCACCATGCCTGGCCTGTCTCTGTCTAGGTCTCTCAACCTCCCACCAGGATCCCAGATACTACCAGACACCCCCCATTCTCACTCTCAGCAGCCCTCCTGGGGAAACAGCAGTCCCCTGGGCTCCCGCCTGCCTCCCGCAGTGAGCCCCCATCAGCCCCTCTCGTGGGTCTCCAAGGCAGCCCCTCCACCTCTGCCTGCCATGACAACAGTTGCGCGTGGGTTTCCAGGCAACAAGGGGCATCCTGCCACTCTCCTTACTCTCCTGCCACCCCCTGTCTGGCGGAGCCAGCCCAGCCTCAGGAACTGGGACTCGAAGGGAAGGGAGGTTCTCCCCAGTGGGGACAAAGGGTCTCCAAACTCAGAGTTAATGAGGTTTCCCGTACCCCACCAGAGAGGACACAAAGACGTGCCCCCTTCACCCAGCAAGGGTGATGGTGGAGGGGATGCTGCTGGGCTTGAGCGCTGCCAGGCACAGAGGGGAGCCCTGTCCTTTGCACCCCTATCTGGAGGTGAGGCCCTCCCTCCAGAAACAGCGTCCGCATCCCAGGTCCTCTAAGGCAGCCCCTGCTCTCCACCTGCTCTGGGGCCAAATGTGCAGCCTGGTGTACAGAGAAGCCCACCCCCTGCCTACGGGCTGTGATGCCACATGCTGGGGACAAGAGTGTGGGGTCTGTGGCCCACCCCAGCCATCAGCCAGCTGAGAAGGACAGGCTGCAACATGGTGCCTTCACGCAACGCTGACTTTCCAACACTGTGAGGGGCTGGCAGTTTCACAGCAGATCCTGGTCCTGGAGAATGGGCGTGTGCTCTGCGTCCTGGCAGTCTTAAGAACCACTTCTCCCAGAGAAGGATAAGACTCTTCCTGCTCTCGGCAAGGGAAGGAGGCCATTTAAGTGGAAACAGGGCCCAGTCAAAGTGAGGCTTGGAGTTAGGGCAAACTGATGGGGGGATGAAGGAGGAGGGGCAGAGAGAGGACCCGGCAAGGGAAACCAAGGGAAGGAGAGTGGAGAGGGTGACAGGGCACAAAGAGATGGAGCAGAGAGGAAGAGGAGCAAACAGCAGAGGTTGCAAACTCCTCTGTCTATGGAGCCCAGCAGGGAAGATGATCCCGATGCTGGTTAGAGGGGAGAGTGGGGAGTGGTGGCCCTTTGCACCTGAGCACAACCCACAGTTATCCAGGGGGAAGACGATTCCAAAAGCTGACAGTCTAGATTTTTATGCAAAATCTCTAATTTAAAAAATGTTGGCAACAAATTAAACATGTTGAAAGCACTGGGGGAAAATAACCCTCTTGGGCCGCCCGGAGGACCCCAGGTAAGTGAGTCCTCAGGGATGTGGGGAGAGGGAGCCACGGGGAAGGAGCAGGGGAGGCGGGGAGGCAGACAGGCTGGCAGGAACAGCAGCAGAGGTGAGGGCGAGTGACACAGAGGGACAAAGAAGGGAGGCACAGAGAGCGGTGTCGAGCAGAGACAGAAATAGAGGCAGGTTTCACAGCAGATGGGGTGGGAGAGGGAAAGACTGATGAATGAGTCCACAGACTAGACGGATGGGCCAGGTCAGCAAGACATTGGGGGCTGGGAGGGCAAAGGGTCAGTCCCAGGGAAGATGAGGGGAGATGGAGAGGCGAGACGGCTTGACAGAGACAGGAGGTCCAGGTGACACCTCGAGACAGATGCCCGGCCAGAGAGAGTGGGGTGAGAAGGGATGAAATGCAGGGAGAGAGGATGGAGAGAGAGAACCAGTGTGAGCTACACAGCAGGTGTCCTAGCAGGTGAGACAGGTGATTGAGGGGGTGGGGACCCTGGCAAGAAAGCAGGGCCAGGGTTCCGGAAGGGACTGAGGATTCAGCGGCCACCCCCGCCCCCAATCCCCAACCCACAGCACCTCTGCCTGAAGATCGGCCTCTCTGCATGGGCCCTGAGGGTGTGTGTGCAGGCACATGTGTGCACAGGCTCTGCTTGTGAGAGATGCCAGCGCCCTCTGATACCTGATGTCTTAATTCTGCTGACCTCTCGGACGGCGAGGAGGTCCCTGAGGAGCCCCGTGGCGAGAGGAACACTCTCAGGGCTGTCTCTGAGTGGGATTAAGGGTGACTGCTGGATGGGGCTGGCCCTCCCTGCAGTGCACACACGTGCCTCCGACGCTGGCACTCGGTTTGGTGTGTGCGCCACAGTGCACAGCTCTGTGACTGTCTTAGCGGCACCTGGGGCTGCATCTCTGTAGCTCTGGGGCCACCTCCGTGCCTTTTGCCTTGTGTCTGTCCGTAGGCGTGAGGCCACGAGGCCACAGGACCACAAGGCAAGGGCCTCCTGCCTTTGTCTCTCCCTCCAGGTCTGTGTACGAAGGACTGTGTGTGTCTCTGTGTGACACACGACTACAGGTCTGGGGACTGCTCCCTGTCTCTCCTGACCACTGGCTGACTGAGTGTGGGGGCTGCGTCTGCAACTGGGCCTCTCTGGTTCCATATCGGGGTCTCTGGCTGCCAGTGAATGACTGTGTGCTCTCGTGTGTGTGTGTGTGTGTGTGTGTGTGTGTGTGTGTACCTGCCAGGGGAATCTTTGCCTCCACGTGCCCCGTGTCTTCCTCGCACGCTCCCACTCTCTGTCGCTGACTTGCTGACTTGGGGTCCCTCTGACAAGTCAGAAGCGGCCTCTAATCCCCCAGAACTCTGGTGGCCAGTGTCCCCCGGCTCCCTGCTGGCCCCAGCAGGCACCCCGCGGGTCTGTCCCACCCTCCCTGAGTCTGTGGCTCCCTGCGTCTCTGCCTCACCCGCGTGTCTGCTCTCTGGGTGGGAGTGGCGTGTGTCCCCGGCTCCCCGACTCTTTCTTTCGGAAATTAAGTGAGTAACTCCGTGACTCCGTGCTGATGCCCTAATTGCCTGTATGTGTGTTTCGGAGGCTGGGTCCCTTCTCTCCCTCTGTGCCTCCCTCCCTGGCTCCCACTCTTCCCTTCCTTGGGTCTCTCTCCCCGCCTTTCGGCGGCTTCACTCTCTGTCCCTCATTTCTCTGTGTGCGTTTGGACAATCCGGTGGCCAGGAGGAGAGGAGCCCCAGGGAGGAGGAGGAGGAGGAAGGTGGGAAGGCGAAGTGGAGGCTGCGGAAAGGCAGGTTAGAAGGCGAAGGCTGCGGAAGATGCTACAGGAAGAGGGAGGTGCGGTCCTGGCCGCGGTCCGGGGGTGGGGGGCGGGAGTTTTCAGGCTCCTGGACCAGGAGGGAAGCCGGCTCCGGCTACTCCCAGCTGCCTGGAGCCCGAGTTCCTGTCTGGCGGCTGCGCGGCCGGGACTTGGGATGTGAGGCGCATAGCAATGGGGCGCTGCGGAGGCGCCACTGCAGCTCCCAGCTGGAGAGGGGGGCGGGGAGGGGGCCGAGGGGCAGCCCCGAGGCTCCCTTCCCCCTCCCCCTTCCCAGCTGGGCTCTCCCCAGGGGAATTCCCCACCCCGACAGAAAGTCACCAGAGGCTGCGGGGAGGGGGCAGGGAGGAGGGGAGGGCGCCTAGGAGGAGAGCAGAGGTGAGGAGGTCTGGGGAAGGAGATGGGGGTGCAGAGAGGAGGCGAAGGGGTGGAGGGGTGGGCAAGAGGCCATCCTGGGCTCTGGAGACTCGAGTCCTGGAGAGAGACTGGCTGGGCCCCTGGCAGGACAGGACCCCAGGGAGGCAGGGGCATAGAGATGGGGGGAACCCTGAGAGCCCGGGATTGATGGTGAGTTGGAAGGAGAGGCTCCCAAAAGGAGAGAGCTAGGATTGGGGGGGTCTGAGACTGGGGAGTACTATGGGGTGAGGAGACAACGATGGAGGGGGTCTCTGGGTGATGAAAGGTCATAGAAGGATGTTTCAGAGAGTGATGGGCTAAGGAGAAGGCGACTGGGGGTGTTGGGGAGAAAGGGGAGAGGCTGGGGTGCAAGGCCCAAAGAGGGGCGGGGAGGGAGTGGGAGGAGGGAGCTAGAGGAGAGGGCGGCTGAAGTGAGGGTCTCCTGGACAGAAGGTCTGGAGAGGGATATCTGGGGGATTGTCAGAGATGGGGGTTAGAGAAGGCTGAGGAGCAGATGCCGTGTCTTAGAAGGTCCTAGAAGAGCAGGTGTGAGGGTCGGAAGCCTGGGGAGGAGGCAGCAAATGGGGGGCGGGGGTCTCCAGGAGGAGAGGTTTCCAGGAGGGGAGGGCGGAGGGAGGTGGGAGAGGCAGTGGTCCTGGAGAGACACGTGCCCAAGGATAGAAGGCCCCAAAGCCTAGTGGGGTCAGGGAACGGGGGTCTTGGAGAGACGGAGGGGCAGGGGTCCGAGCCGCCCACCAGGAGAGGCGGGGTGACCCCAGAGGGAGAAGGGCTGAAGACTGGGGAGGGGGTTGTCTCACTCCCCAATCACCCCCTCCGTCTTTCCCATTTTCACTTCCCAAACTCCCCGGTTCTCCCCGGTTGCCACGGCAACCGCTCTTGCCAGGCGCGGTCACCAAGGAAACCCCGTGCCCGCCTCTCCCCCCTCCCCATCACTGGCGTGCCCCCCCCACCCCAAGCAGCAGCGGTGTGGAGGGTGGGAGGGGCCATGGGGAGAGGAAGAACCTGGACTCCCGCCCCAGAAAGGGGGGCCCGGACCTACGCCCGGAGAGCCCCCCACCCTAAGCCTACTTCCTCAGCCCCACAGCTGGATACGCAGCGACCGCCGGACGCACCCCCCACAACCTGTCCCCAGGCAGCGGCGACAACCACCCCCCCCACAGCACAGAACTCGCCCTGCCCGGAGAACCCCCACCCAGTCGCCTCCCCCACCGGCTTCTGCCTCCCATTAGGCCCCGCCCCCTGTCCTCTGCCATCCCCCCCCATCCCGGAGGAGGCCTAAGACCACTGTCCCCCAATTAGCGAATGCCCCCCACCCACCCCCCGCGGTTCCGCCTCCGGCCCCCGCCCCCGACCCGTGCCCCTTGGCGGCTACTCACAGCGAGGAGAGGGGTTCCTTCCGGGGGGCAGCATGCCCGGCCCGTGGGGGGAGGACCCCCCCAATGAGGCTCAGGAATTTGGGGTGCAAGGCCCGCTGCGGGGAGGCGCGGGGGGCGGGGCTGCGGCCGGGCCTGGAGCCTCTCGCGCTCTCCCCCCTCCCCGGCTCCTGGGTGGGGAGGGGGCTTCCGCAGCGGCGGCGGTGGGGCTGGGGGGGCCGCTCTGCCTCCTCGCCTCGCGCCCGCCTGCCGTCCGGCCCCGCGCCCTCGCCCGCCGCCCGCCTTCCTTCTTGCCTTCCTTTCTTTCCTTCTTTCTTTCCTGGCTTCCTTCCTTCCAGCCTTCCTTCCTTCCTTCCTCCCTCCTCGGGCCCGCCGGCGCCGCTCTCCCCCCACCCCACCCCCCCCCAGGCCCCGGCCCCGGCCCCGGCCCCCGCCTCGGACGGTGCGGCAGCGACCGAGAGCAGCCGAGAGCGGCGGAGACGGGAGCGGAATACTGATGATGGTGGGAGCGGGCGGGCGGAGGGAGGGAGCAGGGAGGGAGGCCCGGGAGGAGAGGAAGGGGGGAGAGAGGGAGGGGAGGGAGGGCAGCGTGGAGAGGGAGGAAGGAAAGAGGGGGGAAGAACCGGAGAGGATGGGAGAGGGAGGGAAGAAAGGAGAGGGAGACGGGAGGGAAGGGGAAGGGGGGGAGGAAAGAAGAGGGAAGGGGAGGAAAGAAGGAAGGAAGTGGGAAGGGGGTGGAAGAAAGAAGAGGGGGAGAAAAAGGGGAGGAGCAGGGGAGAGAGGAGGGAAAGGGGAGAGGGTGTGGGAGGGGAGGGGAGAGGAGGGGGTAACTCCTGCAATAAGGTCCTGGATGAAGGGGAGGGGAGGGCGGGGGGCAGGGGGAGTGGGTAGAGGAAGAGGAAAGGAGGGAGAGGAGGAGTGGAGGGGGAGATGGGTAGAGAGATGGGCAGGAGAGGCCCAGGGGCAGGGAAGTGAGGGGAAAGAGGAGGTAGGGAAGGCCTAACTTTGAGGGCTGCAGGGGACAGAGGGGCCTGGAGGGCGGCGGGGGCTGTGGGGAGAAGAATGGGGGGTGCGGTGTGCGTTGTCAGGAAGAGCAGGGGAAGCTGGCAGGACCCGGAAGAGGCAGGAGGATCTAAGTGGGACAGAGATGAGAGGATGGAAGAGGGAGGGAAGGACCCGTCGGGGGGAGGGGGGAGGAGAAAGATCTCGGGGGAGAGGAGAGAAGCTGGGGAGCTGGAGCTTTGAGGGCCCAAGACTGGGTGGCAAGAGCCCGGGGAGTAGACAGAGTGGGGGAGGGGACAGAGGGCCTTTCTTGAACTCCGCTGTATGCCCGCTTCGTCCGCCCCTCCACCTCATGAAGAGAAGAACCTTCAAACCCATTTTCCAGAAGAGACCACTGAGCTCTTGGAGGAGCCAGGATGGGGTTTGAATGCAGTCTTGGGCTGGGGGTACCCTGAGGGAGATGGAGAATGGGTCAGTTCCTAGCTTTCGTCCCTGGTCCAGACTTGGCAGGTGGAGGCACCTGGGAGGGGCAGAGGGCACAGCCTGCAGCCTCCCTACTCACTCTCCTCTCACCTCCCCCAGGTGTTGGCAGCGGGTGCTGGGGACGCATTTAGAGCTGTGAAGCTGAGCTGCATCTTGGGTGCAGGGAGGGGGAGGGCAGATGCAGAGGCCTCTGGGAGGTCACCGTGACCCTCCCCTCTACCTCCCCGGTCCACTACCCCAAAAGCTTGGGCCCCAAGGAAGGGGGACATCGGGAATCAGGGGCGGAGAAACCCAGAAGGAGGGGTGGCCCCTGTCCAGGACACTGAAGATCCTTCCAGATGTTAAAATTAGCACAGAAGTTTCACCCCTGCCTTGTTATCCCCCAAAACGCTGACTAATAACTGAGGACTCAGGAGAGAGAGAAGAAAGATGAAGGTTCCTTCTTTCAGTGCCAGGGGACCCGGGACAGACTCTCCCTCTTCCCCTTCTCCTCGGAGAGCCCCAGGGAGGGAAAGTGTGGCTGTACCCCTGCAGGCAGAGCCTGGGGAGAGTCAGGGTTGGAAGCTGGAAGGAAAGTGGGCCAGACACATCTATAATGAGCCAGGGTTCCCGAGAGAAGCCAGGTCACAGATGGGTTCGGAAGAGGCGGTTTTGGGTGGGCGCTGGTGGGTGCTGAGCCCTGAGAGCTGCCGAGAGGGGAAACTGAGAAGGGGCTGGGCGAGGGCCAGGGAGTGGCAGGTGGCTGTGGTGCTTCGGGTTTCACCCGCCCCTGGCGCCGCTCAAGTCTAGTTCGTGAGACTGGACCAGTGAATGTGTGTGTGCACCAGGGTCCAGCACAGAGTAGGCCAGGACCGATGGTGATACCAGCAAAACAGAATCACATGGTGGCAGCCCGCGGTTCCTCCTGGTCTCCCACAGGCCAGATGCTGTGCCCAGCACCTCACAAGCGTGGCATCAATCCTGCAACCATGCGGTACCAACTCCTAGGGATGGTGGTACCTGGTGGGCACAGGTGAGAGCAGGCCCCTGATGAGCCCTGAGTTAACCCTTTCATTACAAGAGGGTCTCGGCCGGGCATGGTGGCTCGCACCTGTAATCCCAGCACTTTGTGAGGCCGAGGCGGGAGGATCACTTGAGGTCGGGAGTTCGAGACCAGCCTGGCCAACATGGTGAAACCCCATCTCTACTAAAAATACAAAAATTAGCCAGGCATGGTGGTGCGCGCCTGTAATCCCAGCTACTCGGGAGGCTGAGGCACGAGAATCACTTGAACTCGGGAGGCCTCCAGAGGTTGCAGTGAGCCGAGATCACGTTATTGCACTCCAGCCTGGGTGACAGAGCGAAACTCAGTCTCAAAAAACAAACCAAGAGGGTCTCAGGTGAGAGGCCAAGCCGTGTCAGGTGGGGCCGTTAGAGAAGCAGGGAAGTATTCCAATATTTGAACAACCAGCGAACCCTCTTGGTCCATGCAGCCTAAGTCTCAGCCCTGCCTGGAGGGTATGACTGCCCCTGTTTTACTGAAGGAGAAATGATTTGCCGTCAACCTCCAGAGCTCATCAAGGGTCTTCAGCACCGGGCACTGTTCAGGGCTTTGAGAGCCCGGCCGGAGAACAGTAAGGAGACAGCCCCTGTCCCCGTGGAACTGACCCCTCAAGGTCCTATTTCCAAGAGCAGTGTGAGCAATGAAGAAAATAAGAGGACAATTAGGGAGGAGAGAAGTTGGTGGGCGGTCAGGAGGACAGACTTGAGGTGATCAGGGGAGGCCTCCTGGAGGAGGTGTCTTTTGTGGCGAGGCCAAAATAAGGAGATAGCTCATTGCGTGCACAGGGGCAAGCACCTGGGGCAGAGGCCCCCAGATGGCAGCAAGCCGGGCCCGTTTGAGAGATGGGAGCCAGATAGGTGTGGCGTGGAGGAAGAAGAGAAGCAGAGTGGAAAAAGATGAGGATGCGGCCCCAGGTTTGGCTCAAACACAAAACCAAATCTTAACGCTTCCCACTGTCCCCTAAACCTTGCCCTAAGGCTTAACTCTAATCTCCCACTCAGGTGACTGTCCTGAGCAACTGGAACACTGATCCTCAGTTTTGATTCATGTTGTCAACATGGATTGGGGACTCTGATGTCCCAGAAATGGTATTAGGTAAGAGACAGGGACAGTGACCCTCCACAGTAATGAGTGCTCAAAGGTATTTTCACCATTTCAAAAAATAAAACCAAAAAACAAAAACAGACAAAAAAAAAATGGAAGTTGTACATTTCCTTCGGGATGGGATTTCAGAGGTTAAATTTCAAATTTCTTTGCTTCAGGCTGTAAAAAAAATTATCCACTCAGTGTGTTCACTGCCTGTCTCACCCCAATCAGAAGCTATGATCGGCAGTTTGGTATACCTTTGATAAATAAAATATGGGAAAATGAATGAACTTTTCACTTAATGTAGTTTGGTTTGCTCAGAAAAATCTCTCAAAGTGGGACTCATGGGGGACAATGGCTAAAGGAATCACAGCCACTCAGATGTTCCTGTTATTTAGTTCCACACAGTTGCACTGGACAACTCCCAGGCACCTTTCACCTGGGCTGTGATATAACAAGACTGCCACCCATGATAGGAAGCTATGGGAAGGTGGCTCGCACCACCATGGGTGCTAAGCTGCTTGGCCTTATGCCTTACCCCAATTCTCCTTTTTTATTTTTTTTGAGACAGGGCCTCGCTCTGTCACCCAGGCTGGAGTGCAGTGGTGCGATGTTGGCTCACCGCAACCTCCACCTCCCATTCTCGTGCCTCAGCCTCCGAGTAGCTGGGACTACAGGCGTGCACAACCATGCCCGGCTAAGTTTTGTATTTTTAGTAGAGATGGGGGTTTCACCATGTCGGCCAGACTGGTCTTGAACTCCTGGCTTCAGGTGATCGCCTGCCTCAGCCTCCCAAAGTTCTGGGTTTACAGGCATGAGCTGCTGTACCCAGGCCCTTAGCCCCAATTCTGACCATCACTAACTGCTATGATCTGAATATGTTCCCCCAAAATTCCTATGTTGAAACTTAATTGCCAATGTGACAGTATTAACAGGTGGGTCCTTTATGAGGTGATTAAGTTGCAAGGATAGAGCCCTCATGAATGCCATTAGTGACTTTATTTATTTATTTATTTATTGGAGATAGTCTCACGCTGTCACCCAGGCTGGAGTGCAGTGGCAAGATCTCTGCTCATTGCAACCTCTGCCTCCCGGGCTCAAGCAGTTCTCGTGCCTCAACCTCCCAAGTAGCTGGGACTACTTGCCCCTGCTACCAAGCCCAGCTTTTTTTTTTGTATTTTAGTAGAGATGGGGTTTCACCACGTTGCCTAGGGTGTCTTGAACTCCTGAGCTCAGGTAATCCACCCATATCAGCCTCCCAAAGTGCTATGATTACAACCATGGGCCACCACGCTCAGCTGCATTAGTGGCTTTATAACAGAGGTTTGGCCAGGCACAGTGGCTCAGACCTGTAATCGCAGCAATTTGGGAGGCCGAGGTGGGAGGATCACTTGAGCCCAAGAGTTTGAGAGCAGTCTGGGTAATACGGCAAAACCCATAAAAAATACAAAAAATTAGCCAGTATAGTGGCATGTGCCTGTAGTCCCAGCTACTCAGGAGGCTGAGATGGGAGGATGGCTTGAACCTGGGAGTTGCTGGTTCCAGTGAGCTGAGATTTCACCACTGCACTCCAGCCTGGGGGACAGAGTGAGATCCTGTCTCAAACAACAACAACAACAAAACAACAAAAAAACCCAGAAGTTTGAGTGAGCTATATTCCCTTTTGCTATGTGAAGACACAGCAAGAAGGCACCATCTATGAGGAACAGCTCTTCTCCAGACACTGAATCTGCTGGCGCCTTGATCTTAGAATTCGCAGCCTTCAGAACTGTGAGAGAAAATTCCCATTGTTTATAAATTACCCAATCTAGGCTGGGCGTGGTTGTTCACACCTGTAATCCCAGCACTTTGGGAGGCCGAGGTGGGCGGATCACTTGAGGTCAGGAGTTCAAGACCGGCCTGGCTAACATGGTGAAACCCCATCCATCTCTACTAAAAATACAAAAATTGGCTGGGCATGGTGGCAGGTGCCTGTAATCCTGGCTACTCAGGAGGCTGAGGCAGGAGAACTGCTTGAGCCCAGGAGGTGTGGAGGTTGCAGTGAGCCAAGATTGTGCCACTGCACTCCGGCCTGGGCAACAGAGCAAAACTCTGTCTCAAAATAAATAAATAAATAAAATTACCCAATCTAAGGTATTTTTCTGTAGCAGCCCCAATGGACGAAGACACTGTGCCTCTATTCCAAACCCTAACCCTCACTGTTAGGAGAGATGAGTGGCCACTGAAATAGAAGCACAGAGCTGGGTGCTCCATCCTCACAGCATGGTAACATCCCTATTGCCCGCTTGTCTGGTTTCCAGAACGTCTGTATTTGTCCTGAGTCAGTGTGACAGGCTACATTTCCTGAAGATAGCTGTAATCATCGCCCCGTCCCTCAGGCTCTTCTTACGATGAGACTGACACTTTCCCCTGTCTCATCCCATCAAAGTGCTGATTGGCAGTGAGGTATACCTTGATAAATAAAAGCCCTTGAAACCGGGAGGGCTTTTGTGACTTTTTCACCCAATGGCCTGTGGCCGCCAAAAAGATGTAGCTTCTGTTTTATTTGCTAAAATATTAACTCCAGCCTTTGGCAGCTCTATGAGCTGACTGACTGCCCCGAGGTAGTTACGCCGTGAGGCGGCTCAGACTAACCTGATATAGTTGGGTATTTTTTTATTTTTTTTTATTTTTTGAGGCGGTGTCTCACTCTGTCACCCAGGCTGGAGTGCAGTGATGCAATCATGGCTTACCACAGCCTTGACCCAAGGGGTTCAAGTGATCCTCCCACCTAAGCCTCCCAAGTAGCTGGGACTATAGGTATGTGCCACCACACATGCCTAATTTTTAAGCTTTTTGTAGAGATGGGGTCTCACTATGTTGCCCAGGCCGGTCTCAAATTCCTGGGCTCAAGCTGTCCTCCTGCCTTGGCCACTCCAAGTGCTGGCATTACAGGCATGAGCCACACCTGGCCAAGTTTAGATACTTGTCCCTTCCAAATCTGATTTAGAAATGTGATCCCCAGTGTTGGAGGTGGGGCCTGGGGGGAGGTGTCTGGGTCCCAGAGGCAGACCCCCTCATGAATGTCTTGGTGCCATTCCTGCAGCAATGAATGAGTTCTTGCTCTATTAGTTCACTGAGGTCTAGTTGTTAAAAAGGGCCTGGCGCCTCCCTCCTCACTGTCTTTTTTGCTCCTTCTCTCACCATGTGACATACCAGCTTCCCCTCGCCTTTCACCCTCTTCTATGATTGAAAGCTTCCTGGCTGGGTGCAGTGGTTCACGCCTGTAATCCCAGCACTTTGGGAGGCGGAGGTGGGAGGATCGCCTGAGGTCAGGAGCTGGAGACCAGCCTGGCCAACATGGCAAAATCCCATCTCTACTAAAAATACAAAAATTAGCCAGGCGTGGTGGCATGCACCGGTAGTTCCAGCTACTCGGGAGGCTGAGGCAGGAGAATTGCTTGAACCCAGGAGGTGGAGGTTGCAGTGAGCCAAGATCGTGCCACTGCACTCCAGCCTGGATGACAGAGCAAGACTCCGTCTTGGGAAAAAACAAAAACAAAAACAGAGCATCACTTACGACGTTTTCTTGCCAAGAGCATTTAAAGTAAATCTAATTAAGCCCCAAGACCTATGGTTCCCAAACTAGATGCCAAGACACCCTGGGGGGACTACAGCAAATTCATAGCAGGCCACAGCAGTGCCATGCAGGTAAACGTTTACCAGCCGGTTCTCAACATTCGCTAGAGAAGAGTCGTATTTTTTTTGCTTCTGTTTGCAAAGCCACCATTCGCTGGCTCCAGCACACAACTGGTTACAGCATCTTTAAATTTTTCAAGTGAAACACAGTGATAGTTGACATCTCTCAGACACCACCATGACCTCATGGCTTGGGACAGTCCACAGTTTCAACATTAGATTATGCTACATTTGGGGGATGATATTATCTCTGTAAAGCTGAGTTTTTGGCAGTTCCATGATTAAAAGCAACCACTACCTGTTTGTGGAACAGGAAAGGAGGGTGGTAGTGTCCAATCTGATTCCAAAGTGTGATAGGTTGTACAGTGCCCAACAGGTGCGTATACCCTTTTAGTAAGTAATCAGTGCCCTTTAAGACTGAAATAAAGGCCGGGCACGGTGGCTCATGCCTATAATCCCAGCACTTTGGGAGGCCAAGGGGGGCAGATCATTTGAGACCAGGAGTTCGAGACAAGCCTGGCCAACATGGCAAAACCCGTTGGTGAAACCCCGTCTCTACTAAAAATACAAAAAGTAGCCAGGCGTGGTGGCGCACGCCTGCAGCCTCAGCTACTCTGGTGCCTGAAGCAGGAGGATCACTTGGACCCCAGAGGCGGAGGTTACAGTGAGCCGAGATTGCACCACTGCACTCCAGGCTGGGTGACAAAGCAAGACTCTGTATCAATTAAAAAAAAAAAAGGATGAAATACAATATTTTTTCTTTCAATTTGTGTGCATTACTTTTTCAACTGGTGCTAAGTTGCTAGAACATAATACTTCTTAAGTTGTGTGAACATAACTGCTTAATAACGGCCACCACGTATTTCTTTTTGGGTCAGGGACACCATGAGAAAATGACTGAGGTGCTGTGAACTGAGAATGTGGGGGATCCTCTGCACGAGCTCTCTTGTCCATCTACAGGAATTAGGAGAGAGAAACAAGCTGGAAGACACTGCGAAGGAACAATCAGGCAAATCTAGAATGTGGGGCATTCTAGGAGACAACCAGCCTGGTCCCTCCAAAAAGTCCCCATGATGGGGCAGAGAAACTGGCTGGAGTGGTTGCTCTAAGTTAAAATAGATTAAGGAGATACAACCACCACATGCAGTGCTTGAGCCTTGCTTGGATCCTGGTTTGCAACATTTCTTTTTTCTTTTTTTTTTTTTTTGGGAGTGGGGGTCTCACTTTTTTGCTTAAGCTGGAGTGCAGTGGCACAATCATAGCTCACTGCAGCCTCCAACTCCTGGGCTTAAGTGAGCCTCCTGCCACAGCCTTCTGAGTAGCGGGGATTACAGGCAGGTGCCACCACACCTGGCTAATTTTTTGTTGTTGTTGAGATGGAGTCTCGCTCTGTTGCCCAGGCTGGAGTGCAGTGGCATGATCTCAGCTCACTGCAACCTCCACCTTCCAGGCTCAATCCATTCTCCTGCCTCAGCCTCCCAAGTAGCTGAAACTGCAGGCGCACACCACTATGCCTGGGTAATTTTTTTTCTTTTGTATTTTTAGTAGAGATGAGGTTTCACCATGTTGGTCAGGCTGGTCCCAAACTCCTGACCTCAAGTGATCTGCCCGCCTCAGCCTCCCAAAGTGCTGTGATTACAAGTGGCAGCTACTGCACCTGGCTAATTTTTAAACCTTTTTTTTTTTTTTTAGAGATGGGGTCTTGCTATGTTGCCCAGGCTGGTCTTCAACTCCTGGCCTCACGTGATCCTCCTGCCTTGGCCTCTCAAAGCACTAGGATTATAGATGTGGGCCACTGTGCCCAGCCCATAGTATGTTTTAAAAGTCCTAAAATACAATGTCTGGACAAGTGGGATAATGTGAATTTGGACTCGATCTTAGAAGCACTAGGGAATTAAGTTTACTCTTCTTGGGTGTGATATGATATAATATTGTAGTTATGTAGGAGAATGTTCTTATTCTTTTCTTTCTTTTTTTTTTTTTTATTTTTGTTTTTGAGACAAGGTCTCACTCTGTTGCCCAGGCCGGAGGGCAGTGGCACAGTCTTGGCTTGGTGTAACCTCTGCCTCCCAGGTTCAAGCCATCTTCTCTTTTCAGCCTCCTGGGTAGCTGGGACTACAGGTGTGCACCACCATGGCTGGCTAATTTTTGTATTTTTTGTAGAGTTTCATCATGTTTCTCTACATTGCCCAGGCTGGTCTTGAACTCCTGGCCACAAGCGATCTGCCTGTCTCAGCCTCCCAAAGTGCTGGGATTACAGGCATGAGCCACCACGTCTGGCCTAGAATGTTCTTATCTTAGGAGATTCGTATGGAAGCATTTGCGTCTGCAACCTCTTCTCAAATCATTCAGCATCTCAAATATTAACAACGATGGAATCAAAGCGGTGGGCATATGGATGCTCAATGTTTTTTCAACTTTCTGGATATATGACATTTCTCATAAAAAATTTGGGGGAGATTCATCTGAGAGAAGTCACATTTAGGGCAGGTTGTTGCTTGCAATTAACCACTCCCCTCCTGCATAAACGCTTTTCCCTGTCTGCACCAGCATTTAAGATTTCCCCAGTATCTCCCATCTTAAAGAGGAACCACCCCATCATGCCCTCCTCTGACACGTCTCCCTGCAGTGACCGCCCACTTCTCTTGTTCTTCTCAGCAAAACTTCACAAAAGCTACCTCTCCTTCTTCATCTCATAGTCCCTCTGCAAACACCAGCTGGGCTTCTGCATCCCACTTCCGACCAAGCTGTCCTTGTCCAAGGCCACCAATGGCCTCCGTACTGCACACTCAATGGCCACTTCTCTACCCGCATCCCAGTCTTCCACTTGGCAGCACTGGCCACAGAACCTCCTGGAAACCAATGTCTTTTCATGGCTTCAGTGACTTCAAACCCTCCCTCACTTTCCTCCTCTTTCACCTGGCTGAGCCTTCTGGGACTTGTCTGCCAGTTCCCCTCCTTTGCTTGCTCCCTAAATGTGGGAGGAAAGCCACTGGATCCCAGCCCTCTTTGTGCTCTGTTCTCTACCCCTAGGTGACCCAGTTCTGTGGCTTTAAACCCAGACAGCCGGGCCGGGCGTAGTGGCTCAGGCCTGTAATCCCAGCACTTTGGGAGGCAGAGGCGGGCAGATCACTTGAGGCCAGGAGTTCGAGACCAGCCTGACCAACATGGTGAAACCCTTTCTCTAATAACAATACAAAAATTAGCCGGGTGTGGTGGTGGGCGCCTGTAATCTCAGCTACTCGGGAGGCTGAGGCGGGAGGATCACGTGAACCTGGGAGGCGGAGGTTGCAGTGAGCCAAGATCGCACCACTGCACTCCAGCCTGGGTGACAGAGTGAGACCCTGTCTCAGAAAACGAAACAAACCAAACAAACAAAAAATCCAGGCAGCTGATGACTCCCCAGTATGGGTGTCCAACTCTGAACTCTGCGCCGAGCTCCTCCTGCAGGTATACAAATGGCTCCTTGACATCTCTTCTTAAATGTAGCGGCCAAAGTTGGGCTCCTGACTCCCGGCCCCTGCCCACACACACTTGCTTTGCTTCCAGTCTTCCTTATCTCAGTAAACTGTACCATCCTCCACTCAGCTGTTGACTTCAAGACGTAGAAATTGTTCTCGATGGCACTCTTTTCTCACTCCCTCTGTCCAGTCCATCATCCAGTGACTCTACCTTTAAAATACATTTCCAAGTATCCCTTCTTTTCATCCCTTCTGGCACCACGGTAGCAAAAGCCACCATCCTCTCTCCCATGGCCGACTGAAGGCCTCCTCCCTGGCCTTACTGCTTTTTTTAATTGTTGTTGTTTTTGTTTTTTTGAGATGGAGTCTCACTCTGTCGCTCAGGCTGGAATGCAGTGGCGTGATCTCGGCTCACTGCAACCTCCATCTCCTGGGTTCAAGCTATTCTCCTGCCTCAGCCTCCCAAGTAGCTGGGATTACAGGCACCTGCCACCACGCCCGGCTAACTTTTGTATTTTTAGTAGAGGCGGAGTTTCACCATATTGGTCAGGCTGGTCTTGAACTCCTGACCTCAAGTGACCCACCCATCTCGGCCTCCCAAAGTGCTGGGATTACAGGCGTGAGCCACCATGCCCAGCCTAGCCCTATTGCCTTTGCTCTTGCCTCCCTACAATCCATTCTCCACACAGCAGCCAGGGTGAAACTTGCTGAAAAACATAATCAGGGCCGGGCGCAGTGGCTCACACCTGTAATCCCAGCACTTTGGGAGGCCGAGGCGGGTGGATCACGAGGTCAGGAGGTGGAGACCATCTTGGCTAACACAGTGAAACCCCGTCTCTACTAAAAATACAAAAAAAGGCCGGGCGCGGTGGTTCACGTCTGTAATCCAGCACTTTGGAAGGCCGAGGCAGGCGCATCATGAGGTCAGGAGATCAAGATCATCCTGGCTAACACGGTGAAACCCCATCTCTACTAAAAATACAAAAAATTAGCCGGGCGTGGTGGTGGGCGCCTGTAGTCCCAGCTACTCGGGAGGCTGAGGCAGGAGAATGGCGTGAACCTGGGAGGTGGAGCTTGCAGTGAGCCGAAATTGTGCCACTGCACTCCAGCCTGGGCGACAGAGCGAGACTCCGTCTCAAAAAAAAAAAACAAACAAAAAACAAAAAAAAAAGTAGCTGGGCGTGGTGGCGGGCACCTGTAGTCCCAGCTACTCAGGAGGCCGAGGCAGGAGAATGGCGTGACCCTGGGAGGTGGAGCTTGCAGTGAGCCAAGATTGCACCACTGCACTCCAGCCGGGGCAATAGAGCAAGACTCCATCTCAAAAAAAAAAAAAAAAAAGAAAAACGAAATCAGATCACATTAACCTCCAACTTAAAATACTCGGAGGACTTCTCACTGCATTTGGGATTCATTCCTCCTTCCCATGACTGCTAAAGTCCTGAGCGGTCTGGGCCTTGATGCTGCCCCACCCTCACCTCCCACCTCTCCCCACTCCAGCTTCTCCAGGACAGTGTGCTCATTCCTACCACAGGGCCTTGGCACCTGTTCCTCTCTGCCGGAACGCTCTTCTCCCACATCGTCACATGCTGGCTTCCGATTTTCAGGTTTCAGTTCAAATATCACCTCAGAGGGGCCTTCCTTGTCCTGCTGATTTAGAGACACTCTCCTACCTGTTCTTGGTAACTCTTTGCAACACAATTGTGTTCTGTTTTCTTCACAGCTCTCATTGATAACTGAAATTTTCCTCTTTTCTTTTGCTTCCTTCCTTCCTTTCTCTCTCTCTTTCTCTCTTTTTTCTCTTTCTTTTCTTTCTCTTTTTCTTTCTTTCTCTCTCTCTTTCTTTCTTTCTTTCTTTCTTCCTTTCTCTCTTTCTTTCTTTCTTTTTTGAGACAGTCTCCCTCTCTTGCCCAGGCTGAAGTGTGGTGGCGCCATCTCGGCTCCCTGCAACCTCTGCCTCCCAGCTTCAAGCAATTCTTGTGCCTCAGCCTCCTGAGTACCTGGGATTATAGGCGTGTACCACCACGCCAGGCTAATTTTTGTATTTTTAGTAGAGAAGGGGTTTTGTCATGTTGGCCAGGCTGGTCTCGAACTCCTGACCTCAAGTGATCTGCCCTCCTTGGCCTCCCAGAATGCTGTGATTACAGGCATGAGCCACGGCGCCCAGGCTGAAATTTTCTTCGCTTCTTTCCTTTCTACTCACTGTCTTCCCTCACTTGAAGGCAAACTCCATGAGAACAAGGACCTGGTCTATTTTCAGTGATGACTACATTCCCAGTGTCTGGAAAATGCCAGGAGAACTGAGTATTTTCATGGAATTTGTGGAATTTTACATACAATCCATGCAGGCTTCTCTGCACTTTAAATACCTTTCCTGAAACAGAATCATCCTTCCCCATAACAAAACATTAATTGTTCTTGTTGGTCTGCCATGCATGAGATAAGTGCTTGGATTACCTCTGACCCCACCAACAATCCTGCAAGGAAGGTGCTATTAATATCCTCCTCTCCACTTTACAGAGAAGACTCAAGTGCAAAGAGCTGAGGTGCTTACACAAGACCACCGCACAGGAACGAAGCGTCGGAGTGTGGAATCGAGACCTGTTCTACTGCACTCCAGAGCACATGTTCTTTCTACTCTGCCATAATGTTTGGGACAAAATTGAATCATGAGGGTTTTTTTCTTCCATTACAAATGTAACACATCGCTCCTGCGTACGGCTGGGATGAGTCACTGGCACCAGACGTGCCCTCCTGCAAAAAACAGCTATGAAACTGGACAAAATACAGGAGGGCCACTGTTTTCAGGCGTTGAACAGTGGAAAGAGGACTGCGATCCTTGAGAAGAGACGATGGTGAAGGTGAGCCCATGTGTTGGCCCAGGTTCCTCACTGGGAGCCCTGTCCCTACCACAGCACAGAGATACGGGGCTAAAACAATGCAGTTGTTTTTTTGTGTTTTCTCTTCTCTTCTTTCTATTATCTTTTTTTTTTTTTGAGACCAAGTCTCGCTGTTACCCAGGCTGGAGTGCAATGGTGTGATCTCAGCTAAATGCAACCTCCACCTCCTGGGTTCAAGCGGTTCTCCTGCCTCAGCCTGTCAAGTAGCTGGGATTATAGACTCGTGCCATCATGCCTGGGTAATTTTTTTTTTTAATTTTTTTAGTATTTATTGATCATTCTTGGGTGTTTCTCGGAGAGAGGGATGTGGCAGGGTCATACGATAATAGTGGAGAGAAGGTCAGCAGATAAACACGTGAACAAAGGTCTCTGGTTTTCCTAGGCAGAGGACCCTGCGGCCTTCCGCAGTGTTTGTGTCCCTGGGTACTTGAGATTAGGGAGTGGTGATGACTCTTAACGAGCATGCTGCCTTCAAGCATCTGTTTAACAAAGCACATCTTGCACCGCCCTTAATCCATTTAACCCTGAGTGGACACAGCACATGTTTCAGAGAGCACGGGGTTGGGGGAAAGGTTATAGATTAACAGCATGCCAAGGCAGAAGAATTTTTCTTAGTATAGAACAAAATGGAGTCTCCTATGTCTACTTCTTTCTACACAGACACAGTAACAATCTGATCTCTCTTTCTTTTCCCCACATTTCCCCCTTTTCTTTTTGACAAAACCGCCATCGTCATCATGGCCCGTTCTCAATGAGCTGTTGGGGACACCTGCAGAAAGGCTGTCACTTCACACTTGGAAGATTGCACAGCGGCCAGGCAGAGGCACTCCTCACTTCCCAGACAGGGTGGCGGCCGGGCAGAGGGGCTCCTCACTTCCTAGACGGGGTGGCCGGGCAGAGGCGCTCCTCACTTCACGCCTGGATAATTTTTGTATTTTTAGTAGAGACGGGGTTTTGCTGTGTTGCCAAAACTGGTCTTGAACTCCTGGCCTCAAGGGATCTGCCCGTCTCAGCTTCCGAAAGTGTTGGGATTACAGGCGTGAGCCACCGTGCCTGGCCCAGAGCAGTCTTACTGAGCCGAGGAGACAGAGAGAGGGCTCTGGGGGCTGCTGACAAGGCTGGAATTTGCAGGATAGGGCAGTGGGGAAAAGGGAGCCGCATGAGGTGGGCCCCCAGAAGCCTGTGTGTAGTTCACCATAGGTCCTTGGCTAAGGACTGGACGGTGTCTGCAGAGGACAAGACTCCATGAGTACCAGTCGGGGGTAGCTGCTACAAAGATGAGAGATGAACAGAAATAAAAGCCGTCATGCAGCGCTAGGAGATGAGTCTCCAGCCCAGCCAGAGTGGGAGGGCCTCACTAAGCTCCTGGGCACTCAGCTGAAAGCTCAGGAAGGCCATGCTTTAGGAGTAAGGCCCTGACTTAATATTCTGTTGAGTGGATACAGCATGGTTAATTTAACCATTCCTTTCTAGTTGGATACTCTGGTAATTTTATTTTTCAAAAACTAGGCCTGGCATGGTGGCTCATGCCTATAACCCCAGAACTCTGGGAGGCTGAGGTGGGTGGATCTGTTGAGCTCAGGAGTTTGAGGCCAGCCTGGCTAACATGGTAAAACCCCGTCTCCACTAAAAATACAAAAATTAGCCAGGTTTGGTGGTGCGTGCCTATAGTCCCAGCTACTTGGGAAGCTGAAGTAGGAGAATCGCTTAAACCCGGGAGGTGGAGGTTGCAGTGAGCCGAGATGGTACCACTGCACCCATCCAGCCTGGGTGACAGAGCAAGACTCTGTTCAAAAAAGAAGTAAAAATAAAAAATAAAAATAAAGGCCAGGCACAGTGGCTCACACCTGTAATCCCAGCACTTTGGGAGGCTAAGATGGGCGGATCACCTGAGGTCAGGAGGTCGAGACCAGCCTGGATAAGATGGCGAAACCCTGTCTCTACTAAAAATACAAAAATTAGCTGAGCATGGTGGCACGCGCCTGTAGTCCCAGCTTCTCAGGAGGCTGAGGCAGGAGAATCGCTTGAAACTGAGAGGCCGAGGTTGCAGTGAGCCGAGATCACGCCACTGCACTCCAGCCTGGGTGAGAAGAGCAAGACTCCATCTCAAAAAAAAAAAAAAACTATTATAAAATATCACCATGAACCTCTTTGTAAGCTTCTGACTTTCAGGTGAATTCCCAGGCATGGGATATTTTCAGGGTATGGACATTGTTCCTGTATTTGACACCTTTCACCAATTTGCTTTCCAAAATTGTGGCAATTTACCTTCTGACAACTGAGTATCAGCATGCATGTCTGTTTGGCTGCACTCTCTCTAGCATTTGGTAGAAGCTTAAAACATTTGTTGCTCATTTGATGGGCAGAGGAAGGAATCACTGAGCTGTTGTAATGCTATGCCTTTGGGCTTTATAAAAGGAACTAAATGAAACAGTTAATGTGAAAATTGCTTTAGCTTCTGCAGAAAACTTTTGTTAATGACCCAGCAATTCAACTCATAGGAACTTATATTCAGGAAGTCATCAGAGAGGTAGACAAAAATATACACACAGAGATGTATCTCATAGAATCATTTATTATAGCCAAATCTGAAAAAAACTTAAGTGTTAATGGAGTACATGTGATCTGGGGATGCTGCTTTACCTGTAGCCTGTTTTCATTTCACTCCTAAGTTATTTATTTATTTTATTTATTTTTATTTTTATTTTTTATTTTTAGAGACAGAGCCTCGCTCTGTTGCCCAGGCTGGAGTGCAGTGGCACAATCTCAGCTCATTGCAACCTTTGCCTCCCAGGTTCAAGCGATTCTCCTGCCTCAGCCTCCAGAGTAGCTGGGACTACAGGCCGGTACCACCATGCCCGGCTAATTTGTGTATTTTTAGTAGAGATGGGGTTTCACCACGTTGGCCAGACTCGTCTCAAACTCCTGACCTCAGATGATCTGCCTGACTCAGCCTCCCAAAGTGCTGGGATTACAGGCGTGAGCTTCTGTGCCCGGCCCTGCCATATTATTATTATTATTATTTTGAGACAGAGTCTTGCTCTGTCACCCAGGCTGGAGTGCAGTGGCACAATCTCAGCTCACTGCAATTTCCACCTCCTGAGTTCAAGAAATCCTCCCACCTCAGCCTCCTGAGTAGCTGGGACTACAGGCGCCTGCCACCACGCCCAGCTTATTTTTGTATTTTTTTGTAGAGATGGGGTTTTGTCATGTTTGCCCTGGCTGGTCTCAAACTCTTGGGCTCAAGCCCCCTGGGCTCAAGTGATCCAGCCGCCTTGGCCTCCCAAAGTGCTGGGATTATAGGCATAAGCCACCATTTCTGGCCACTCCTGCCTTATTGACTAATAATTTTATTATTATTATTATTGTTATTGAGACAGAGTCTCTGTCACCCAGGCTGGAGTGCAGCGGTGCAATCTTAGCTCACTCCAACCTCCACCTCCTTGGTTCAAGTGATTCTCTTGCCTTCGTCTCCCAAGTAGCTGGGATTACAGGTGCCCACCACCATACCCAGCTAATTTTTGTATTTATGGGGTTTCACCATGTTGCCCAGGCTGGTCTCGAACTCCTGGGCTCAAATGATCTGCCCTCCTCAGCCTCCCAAAATGCTGGGATTACAGGCGTGGGCAACCACACCCAGCCACTCCTGACTTATTGACTAATAATTTTATTATTTTTATTTTTTTGAGACAGAGTAACCTATAATTTTAGCACTTGGGAAGGCCAGGGTGGGAGGATAGCTTGAGCCCAGGAGTTTGAGACCAGCCTGGGAAACATAGGGAGACCCCCGTCTCTGCAAAGAATCAGAAAAATTAGCCAGGCGTGGTGATACGTGCCTGCTCAGGAGGCTGAGGTGGAGGATCTCTTATCGGTGACAGGCTCTTCCACCTGGTACTTTCCCTCTACTTCGTGCTGCGTTTTGGCTGACAATAGCCTTAAGGGAGAGGAAATCAATATATATTCCCCCCATAGGACTGGCAAAACCAAAGTTAACTGGTGTAGTAAGCATTGATGAGATGGGCTGGGCCAGTGGCTCACTCCTGTAATCCCAGCACTTTGGGAGGCCAACACAGGCGGATCACTTGAGGTCAGGAGTTCCAGACCAGCCTGGCCAACATGGTGAAATCCCGTCTCTACTAAAAATACAATAATTAGCTGGGCATAGTGGCAAGCGCCTGTAATCCCAGCTACTTGGGAGGCTGAGGCAGGACAACCGCTTGAATCCAGGAGGCGGAGGTTGTGGCGAGCTGAGATCGCACAGCTGCACTCCAGCCTGGGCAACAGAGAGAGGCTCAGCTTAAAAAAAAAAGCACTGATGAGGATGTGGGGGAACAGGTCCTCTGTCCCATTACCAGCAGAAAGAAAATCAGGCTGGGCTCAGTGGCTCATGCCTGTAATCCCAGAACTTTGGGAGGCTGAGGCGGGTGGATCACCTGAGGTCAGGAGTTGGAGACCAGCCTGGTCAACATGGTGAAACCCCGTCTCTACTAAAAATACCAAATTAGCTGGGTGTGATGGCGGGCACCTGTAATCCCAGCAACTCGGGAGGCTGAAGCATAAGGAGCAGCTGAACCCGGGAGGCGGAGGCTGCAGTGAGCCAAGATCGCGCCTTTGCACTCCAGCCTGGGTGACAGAGCGATACCCTGTCACAAACACACACACAAAAAGTGAAAATCAGTATGTCTACCAATGGTTCCACACCCTTGCCACGGCCTCATCGTGTATGTGGGGTGCTTCCTTGCCCTTTAACTCTGCACAGTTGACTTGACTTGACTTGCTTTGGCCAATGGCATGTGGGTGGATGCACCAGCGTCTGAGTCTAGGCTTTCAGAAGCCTTGCATCTGCCTCTAGTCCGCTTGTGCCCCAGCCGTCACCACGAGACGCTCTCCCTGGCAGCCTACCTTCTCTCAACCTGGGCCCCAGAATGAGATGCTTGGAGCGGACCTGAGCCAGCCAGACCTGCAGCTTCAAGCAGAGCAGCCCTAGAAAAGTCTGGCTAGGCCGGGTGCAGTGGCTCACGCCTGTAATCCCAGCACTTTGGGAGGCCAAGGCAGGTGAATCACTTGAGGTCAGGAGTTCAAAACCAGCCTGGCGAACATATAGTGAAACCCTGTCTCTACTAAAAATACAAAAATTAGCCAGGCGTGGTGGTGCATTCCTGTAGTCCCAGCTACTTGGGAAGCTGAGGCAGGAGAATCACTTGAACCCGGGAGGCGGAGGTTGCAGTGAGCCGAGGTTGTGCCATTGCACTCCAGCGTGGGCGACAGAGAGAGACTGTCTCAAAACAAAACAAAACAAAAAACAAATAAACAAAAAAGCAGAAAAGCCTGGCTAGATCAAGAACACATGAAGTTGCTGAGTTTTTGGTATTTGTTATGTAGAAATACTTGACAGTTCCAGGAATTGTTTATTAAAATTAAAATGAATACATTCATATAACTTGATAATTCTAACTCTCCTTATTAGACATGTCTCCAAGGAAACTCATGTAAAGATGTTCATAGCAACATTGTTTGTAAAAGCAAAGAAACCAAGAATAACCCAAATGTCCAGCAAGAGGAGAGCGGACAAAGAAACGCCGAGTTCTATGGAATACTACTGCAGCTTTTAAAAGGAAGAGGACAAGCTCTTTAAATAAATCTGGATAGATTTCCAAGACATATTGTTGAGTTAAAAAAGCAAGCTGCAGAACAATATGTACAGTAGGATCCCATTTATGTTAAAAGACACTCATATGCTTGCTCAAAACAATACTACTCATTTACTATACAATACTATGCATATACTCTATTACCACACACGCACACACATGCACACACATGCATGCACACACACACATGCAGCATGCACTCACTTTTAGACAAAGATCCAGAAGGATCAACCATAAACCAATAATCATGGTTACTTCCAGAGAAGAGATGTAGATGAGAGAGAGGTGACCAAAGGGAATTTTAGCTTTGCCTGTAAGCTTTTTTTAAGAAGCAAGGAAAGTCTATCTGTATATTATTTGTACAATTTAAAAGTAATTTTCCTTTTCTTTTTTTTTTTTTTTTTGAGATAGGGTCTTGCTCTGTCACCCAGACTGGAGTGCTGTGGCATGATCATGGCTCACTGCAGCTTCAAACTCCTGGGCTCAAGTGATCCTCCCATCTCGGACTCCTCGGTAGCTGGGACTACAGGTGAGCGCCACCATGCCCAGCTAATTTTTGCTTTTTTTTTTCTGTAGAGATGGGGTCTTGCCATGTTGTCCATGTCGGTCTTGAACTCCTGGGCTCAAGTGATCCTCCCACCTCGGCCTCCCAAAGTGCTGGGATTACAGGTGTGAGCCGCTGCGCCCAGCCTAAAAATAATTTTGTAAAAGGAAGAAATATATATGAATATATACATCCATGCATACTATGAATATAAACATAGGGCCTTATTTTAAATGTCCTTTGTGGCAGACAGGCCTGAATTCAAATCCTGCTACTGCCACCAGCTAACTGTGTCACTAGACAAGTCCATTCTTTCACTTGGAACCTCTGTTTCCTCATATGTAAAAACGGGGATACTCATTTATATTTAATAGGGTTGTCATCAAAGTAAATTATAATGTTTGTAAAGTTCCAAGAGCAGGCTGGGCATGGTGGCTCACGCCTGTAATCCCAGCACTTTGGGAGGCTGAGGTGAGTGGATCACCTGAGGTCAGGAGTTCGAGACCAGCCTGGGCAACATGGCAAAACCCTGTCTCTACTAAAAATATAAAAATTAGCCGGGTATGGTGGCAGGCGCCTGTAATCCCAGCTACTCTGGAGGCTGAGGCAGGAGAATCACTTGAAACCCGGAGGCGGAGGTTGCAGTGAGCCGAGATCGCATCACTGTACTCCAGTCTGGGTGACAGAGTGAGACTCTGTCTCAACAAAAAAAAAAAAAAAAAAAAAAAAAAAAAAAAAGTTCCAAGAGCAGTGTCTGACAACCAGTGTATGTTCAATTAAATACGAATTCTTTCCCTTCCACTTCCCAGTCCCTGCTACCCCTAACCTTGCTCCTAAGCCATGAGTCATGCTGTGGTGACTATTTTGTAGGTGCCTCCTTAGCACTTACATTCCCTAGGGTAGGCGGAATAATTACTCCCCAAAGATGTCCTCATCCCCAGAACCCGTGAATATGTTTGATTACATAGCAAAGAGGAAGTAAGGCAGCTGGCGGAATTAAGGTTGCTAATCAGCTGACGTTAAGATAGGGAAAGTAGGCCGGGCGCGGTGGCTCACGTCTGTAATCCCACCACTTCGGAAGGCCGAGGCGGGCAGATCACAAGGTCAGGAGATCAAGACCATCCTGGCTAACATGGTGAAACCCCGTCTCTACTAAAAACACAAAAAATTAGCCGGACGTGGTGGCACACACCTGTAGTCCCAGCTACTCGGGAGGCTGAGGCAGGAGAATCGCTCCCAGAACCCGGGAGGCGGAGGTTGCAGTGAGCCGAGATATGCTGCTGCACTCCAGCCTGGGTGACAGAGCAAGATTCCATCTAAAAAAAAAAAAAAAAAAACGTTAGGGAAAGTATCCTGGAGTACATAGACATGCTCTATGCAGTAAGAATCCTTCCAAGTGGAAGAGGGAGGCCAGAAGGAAAGAATCAGAAAAACATGTGGGACAATGGAAGCAGGGTTAGAAAAATGCTACACTGCTGACTTTGAAAATGGAAGGTGCTATCAGCCGAGGCAGCCTTTAGAAGCTGGAAAGGACAATTAAACAGATTTTCCCCTAGAGCCTCCAGAAGAAATGCAGTCCTGCTGCCATCTTGATTTTAGCCCAGTGAGACCCATGTTGGACTTCTGAACTACGGAACTGTTAAGATAATGAATTTGCACTAGATGGCGGGGCTCGTTGGCTCACGCCTGTAATCCCAGCACTTTGGGAGGCTGAGGTGGGCGGATCTCCTGAGGTCAGGAGTTCAAGACCAGCCTGGCCAACATGGTGAAACCCCTTCTGTATTAAAAACAGAAAAATTAGCCAGGCATGGTGGTGGGTGCCTGTAATCCCAGCTACTTGGGAGGTTGAGGCAGGAGAATTGCTTGAACCCGGGAGGCAGAGGTTGCAATGAGCTGAGATTGGGCCATTTTACTCCAGCCTGGGTGAGAAGAGTGACACTCTGTCTCAAAAAAAAAAAAAATTGCATTGCTACGGTAGCAACAAAAAACAATGCAACTTTGTGTGTGTGTGTGTGTGTGTGTGTGTGTGTGTGTGTGTGAGAGAGAGAGAGAGAGAGAGAGACAGGGTCTCAACTCTGTCACCCAGGCTGGGGTGCAGTGGTGCCATCTCAGCTCACTGAAACCTCTGCCTCGCTGGCTCAAGCAATCCTCCCACCTCAGCCTCCCGAGTAACTAGGACCACAGACATACACACTAATACGCCCAGCTAATTTTTGCATTTTTTGTAGAGATGGGGTTTTGCCATGTTGCCCAAGCTGGTCCGAAACTCCTGGGCTCAAATATCCACCCACCTCAGCCTCCCAAAGTGCTGGGATTACAGGTGTGACCACCACACCCAGCCCAATGCAACCTTTGATTCCTACAAAGGCATCTCTATTTTTGGTGGCAGAAACACCTTTCTCTCCAAATAGCCCATGTGTCCTTCCTGGACATATCTCTTTGGATACACTGGGTCCTCTCAGCTTCAGACAGAGGACTCAGGCTTGGTTAATCAGAGAATTTACAATCTCTGGCCATACTGACTGGTTCATGGATGGTCATGTGAGCAAAACTGGGCCAAAGCAGAGAATTAAGCCAAAGTTGCTAAGGGGGTTGGATGTGAGCCTGATAATACTGATGGTCATATTTCCAGCATGAGGGAACAGCTTATGTGAAGCGAAGCCAGTCAGAGGGAATGAGGACTCAGAGATGCAGAGGCACATTCCCCACGACATCGTTTGAGTGCTTGGATCTAGTCCTGCCTGAAGTTCTAGGCTAGCCATGACTTTTCAGCTACATGAGCCAATACATTCAATAAATCTCCCACAATTTTTTTTTTTTTTGAGACAGAATCTCACTCTATCACCCAGGTTGGAGTGCAGTGGCACGATCTGAGCTCACTGCAACCTCTGCCTCTGAGGTTCAAGCGATTCTCCTGCCTCAGCCTCCAGAGTAGCTGGGACTGCAGGCACGCACCACCACTCCTGGCTATTTTTTTGCATTTTTAGTAGAGACAGGGTCTCACCATGTTGGTCAGGCTGGTCTCGAACTCCTGACCTCCAACGATCTGCCGACCTCGGCCTCCCAAATTGCTGGGATTACAGGTGTGAGCCACCATGCCCGGCCATGAACCTCCTTCTTAAAATTCAGCCAATTTGAATTGGGGTCTGTCTTTTGCAAGTGGACTAATCCTTTGAGAATCTGATGACAGCTATAAATTTTTTTTCCTTGAGAAAAACGCATGTGGACAAACCTTTATATACAATTTCAGGGAAACTTTTGACCCCTGAAGTCAGGCCCCAGCTTATGAAGTCCTGCTGTGTTCCAGGCTGTATCGCCAGCAAGGCATCAAAAAGGAGAGAAGAGACAGAGTATCTTCAGGGAGCCCAGGATGCCCAGTCCTTCTCTCCAATCCTGAAGAGGAGTTTTGATATAGGTCATAAACCACTGGATCAAGGAATGAAAGGTGGGAGTTCTCCGCGGGAGGCATAAAAAGGCTCTTTGCGATCACTGCACTCAGCCTCTTTGAGAGAATCTCTCAGCCCTACTTTTGGAATCTACTGATTCCAATCTACTTTTGGAATCTAAGAGCCTCTCTTGGATCTCTTTCCTGGATTATGATTATATTTCTCTTTCCCCTCTTTCCACACTTGGAAGAACCCAAGATCAGAGTGACACAGTACGTGCCCAAGATACACAGCAAAGATATGAAGCGGGTTTTGAATTCTGGCCTCGTTAGCTCTTTTACACATAGAAGGTCTTTCTTTTTCTTTCTTTTCTTTTCTTTTTTCTCTCTTTCTTTTTTTTTTTTTTGAGGTTAACAGTGGAGGTTTAATAGGTTAAAGAGAAAAGCTCTCTCTCCTGCAGAGAGGGAGGGGCTCCCAAGTGGGTCATCTGGTTCCCTGGTGAAATGAACTGGGTTTTATAGGTGAGCTTGGGTAGGTGGAGTGTGATTTACATAGAGGATGAGAGATTGGTGGGACCAGGTATGCCATTTGCATAGCGTGCCGAGGGAATCTTTTATTATGCAGATGGGCTCTCTACCTGGCCAGCACCATGTTGCCTGCTCTTTTTTTTTTTTTTTTTTTTTTTGAGATGGAGTCTCGCTTTGTCGCCAGGCTGGAGTGCAGTGGCCCCACCTCGGCTCACTGCAACCTCCACCTCCCGGGTTGAAGCGATTCCCCTGCCTCAGCCTCCCCAGTAGCTGGGATTACAGGTATGCACCACCACACCCGGCTAATTTTTTGTATTTTGGTAGAGACGGGGTTTCACCATGTTGGCCAGGATGGTCTAGATATCCTGACCTCATGATCCACCCGCCTCGGCCTCCCAAAGTGGTGGGGTTACAGGCGTGAGCCACTGCGCCCGACCTACCTGCTTCTTTACTGCACACGTGGTCGACAAAGAAAAGGAAAGATGGAGCCTCCATGTTGAACATGCCTGGTCCCCAGGTAGCTTTTTCCTGTTGGCACAGCTGCCTGCATTCACCTGAGCAAGCTCCTAGCTTGCTTTTTATAGAGAGTGTTTCAATGGCTTCCCTCCCCTCTTAGAATACAAAAGCAGGATCTCACTGTGGCCACCGGGCCTTATAAGATTTGTCACTTGTCTCTCTGCCCTCGTTTGGAGTCCCTCTCACCGTCATTCATTAGGCTCCTTCCAGCCATGTTGGTTTTCTGTCTGTCCCTCAAATGTGCCAAACATGCTCCTTTGTCCCTGCTCCTCCCTGTGCCTACAGCCGATGCTGGATAACCTAAGATGCAGACCACAAACATGCTCAAGAAACCAGCAAAGTGTGGGCTCGCCCAAATTCTTTCTTGAAAAAAGTTTCATATTGTAAAGAAGTCATCATGGGAAAAAACAAAATGTAGATTCCTTTTTTGGCCTATCATACTCTCGTTGTCAGATTTTGGTATTAAAGTTAGGCCAGCTGGATCTTCCGGCTGGTTGCTCCTCCTCCTCCTCCTCCTTCTTTCTTCTTTTCCTTCCCCCTTCCTTCCTGCCTTCCTTCTTTCCTTCCTTCCTCCCTCCCTCCCTCCCTTCTTCCTTCCCTCCCTTCCTTCCTTCCCTCCCTTCTTCCTCCCTTCACTCTTCCCTCCCTTCCTTCCTTCTTTCCTTCCTTCCTTCCCTCCTTCCTCCCTTCTCTCTTCCCTCCCTCCCTTCCTTCTTTCCTTCCTTCCTTCTTTCCTCTCTCTTTCCCTCCCTCCCTCCCTCCCTCCCTCCCTCCTTCCCTTCCTTCCTCCCTTCCTTCCTTCCTTCCTTCCTCCTTTCTTATTCCTTTCTTCAAGACAGAGTCTCGCTCTGTCGCCTAGGCTGGAGTGCAGTGGTGCAATCTCGGCCCGCTGCAACCTCTGCCTCCCGCAATCAAGCGATTCTTGTGCGTCATCCAGCATAGCTGGAATCACAGGCAGGCGCTACTGTGCCTGGCTAATTTTTGTATTTTGAGTAGAGACAGGGTTTTGCCATGTTGGCCAGGCTGGTCTTGAACTCCTGCCCTCAAGTGATCTTCCTACCTCCCAAAGTGCTGGATTACAGGTGTGAACCACTGTGCCTGGCCTGGAATTATTTCCTCTTTAAATGTTTAGCAACATTTAGTGCCAGTGACACTGTATGGACCCAGAATTTTCTTTGCGGTTAATCTTTTAAAAATTACTGATTTGATTTGTTTCATGGTTTTGGACTAACTGAATGCTATATTTTATCTTGAGTCATTTTTGGTAAGTTATAGCTTTCCAGGAATTTGTCCATTTCAGCTATATTTTAAAATTTGTTAGCGTAAAGTTGTTCTTAATAAAGTTCCCTCTTAAAAATTCCTGATATTGGCTATTTGTGCTTTTTTCTTTCTCTTTTTAATCACTATCACTGGAGGTTTGACTATCTTACTAGGCTTTTCAAGTAACCAACTTTGGTGTAGTTGATTATCCTAACTCTATGTTTGTTTTCTATATGACTTTTTTCATTTTTATTATTTTTTCCATTTCCTTATTTTTTTGGATTTTTTTAGTTATTCTTTTTCTAACTCCTTGAGATGAATGTATTTAGTGCCATGAATTTCCCTTGAAGTTCTGCTTTATGCATTCACGTTTAAAAATATATAGTTTTTTTTTTTACCATACAGTTAAAAGTGTTTTACAGCTTCCATTAGGATTTCTTCATTGACCCAGGAGTTATTTAAAAGAACATTTTTTAATTTGTGAGAATTTTTTTTTTTTTTTTGATGAGGTCACACTCTATCACCCAGGCTGGAGTACAGTGGCCAGATCTCTGTTCACTGCAACCTCTGCCTCCCCGGACTCAAATGATCCTCCCACCTCAACCTTCTGAGTAGCTGGGACTACAGGCATGTGCTACCAGGCCTGGCTAATTCTGAATTTTTTTTTGTAGAGACAGGGTCTCCCCATGTTGCCCAGGTTGATCTAAAGGTCCTGAGTTCAAGTGACCCTCCCGCCTCAGCCTTCCAAAGTGCTGGAATTACAGGCGTGAACCACCACACCCAGGACATGAGATTTTTATTTATTACTATTATTATTAATTTTTTTTTTTTTTTGAGACGGAGTTTGGCTCTTGTTGCCCAAGCTGGAGTGCAATGGCACAATCTCGGCTCACCGCAACCTCTGCCTCCTGGGTTCAAGCAATTCTCCTGCCTCAGCCTCCTGAGTATCTGGGATTGCAGGCATGCCCCACCACGCCCGGCTAATTTTGTATTTTTAGTAGAGATGGGGTTTCTCCATGTTGGTCAGGCTAGTCTCGAACTCCTGACCTCAGGTCATCTGCCCGCCTCTGCCTCCCAAAGTGCTGGGATTACAGGCATGAACCACCACACCCAGGATATGAGAATTTTTAAAGTTATCTTTTTTTTTTTTTTTTTGAGGCAGAGTCTCGCTCTGTCATCCAGGCTGGAGTGCAATGGTGATCTCAGCTCACTGCAACATCCGCCTCCCCAGCTTAAGCAATTCTCCTGCCTCAGCCTCTAGGGTAGCTGGGATTACAGGCGCCTGCCACTAAGCCCGGCTAATTTTTAGTATTTTTAGTGGAAATGGGGTTTTGCCATGTTGGTCAGGCTAGTCTTAAATTCCTGACCTCAGATGATCCATCTGTCTTGGCCTCACAAAGTGCTGGGATTACAGATGTGAGCCACCGCGCCCAGCCTAAAGTTATCTTTTTTTTTTTTTTTTTTTTAGAGACAGACTTTTGCTCTGTCGCCCAGGCTAGAGTGCAGTGGTGCGATCTCTGCTCACTGCAAGCTCTGCCTCCCCGGTTCACGCCATTCTCCTGCCTTAGCCTCCGGAGTAGCTGGGACTACAGGCGCCCGCCACCACATTAGCCAGGATGGTCTCGATCTCCTGACCTCGTGATCCACCCACCTCAGCATCCACCCACCTCGGCCTCCCAAAGTGCTGGGATTATAGGCATGAGCCATCGCGCCCGGCCAACTTATCTTTTTATTATTAACTTATAACAACCTACCTATGGTAATGACCATATTTATTCTGTATGATGTCATGTCAAACATTTGAAATGTGTTACGGCGTGTATATCTCATTTTATTGCTCCTTGCTTTATTGCACTTTGCAGATTTTTCTTTCTACAAATTGAAGTTCTGCTGTGTTGAGTCTGTCTATCAGCACCATTTTAACAACAGCGTGTGCTCCCTTAATGTCTCTGTGTCACATTTTGGTAATTCTCCCAATATTTCAAACTTTTTCTTTATCATTCTGTTATGGTGATCTGTGATCAATGATTTTTTTTTGAGATGCAGTCTCACTCTGTCGCCTAGGCTGGAGTACGGCGGTGCGATCTTGGCTCACTGCTGCTCCGCCTCCCGGGTCCAAGTGATTCTCCCGCCTCAGCCTCTTGAGTAGCTGGGTTTACAGGCGTGCACCACCATGCTCAGCTAATTTTTGTATTTTTAGTAGAGACGGGGTTTCACCATGTTGGTCAGGCTGGTCTCGACCTCCTGACCTCGTGATCTGCCTGCCTTGGCCTCCGGAAGTGCTGGGATTACAGGCGTGAGCCACTGTGCCCGGGTGATCGGTGATCTTTGATGTTGCTATTGTAATTGTTTTGGGATGCCATGAACCACATCCATATCAGATGGTGAACTTCATCCATAAATGTTGTGCGTGTTGTGGCTTTTATACCAACTGGCCTTTCCCTTGTCCTTCTCCCTCTCCCTGGGCCTCCTCATTTCCTGAGACACAACAGTATTAAAATTAGGCCAATTGATAACTCTACAGTGGACTCTAAGCATTTAAGTGAAAGGAAGAGTCACATGTCTTTCACTTTAAATCAAAAGCTAAAAATGATTAAGTTCAGTGAGGAAGGCACGTTAGAAGCTTAGACAGGCCAAAGGCAAGGCCTCTTGCCTTTAGCCAAGGTGGAAATGCAAAGGAAAAGTTCTTGAAGGACATGAAAAGTGTTATTCCAGTGAATGGCTAATCATAAGAAAGCCAAACAGCCTTATTGCTGATATGAAGAAAGTTTTCGTGGTCTGGATAGAAGATCAAACCAGCCACAGTTTTCCCCTAAGCCAAAGCCTAATCCAGAGCAAGGCCTTAACTCTCTTCAATTCTACGAAGGCTAAGAGAGGTAAGGAAGCCACAGAAGAAAAGTTGGAAGCTAGCAAAGGTTGGTTCACGAGGTTTAAGGAAAGAAGCTATCTCCGTGATATAGAAGTGCAAGGTGAGGCCAGGCGCGGTGGCTCATGCCTGTAATCCTAGGACTTTGGGAGGCCAAGGTGGGTCGATCACGAGGTCAGGAGTTTGAGACCAGCCTGGCCAACATGGTGAAACACTGTCTCTACTAAGAATACAAAAATTAGCTGGGCGTGGTGGCATGCACCTGTAATCCCAGCTACTTGGGAGGCTGAGGCAGGAGAATTACTTGAACCCAGGAGGCAGAGATTGCAGTGAACTGAGATCACACCACTGCACTCCAGCCTGGGTGACGGAGTGAGACTCTGTCTCGGAAAAAAAAAAGAAAAAAAGAAAAAGAAGTGCAAGGTGAAGCACCAAGTGCTGATGGAGAAGCTGCAGCAAGTTATCCAGAAGGCCTGGCTAAGATAATTGATGAAGGCAGCTATACTAAACAACAGATTTTCAATGTAAATGAAACAGCCTACAGCCTTCTATGAAAAGAACATGCCATCTAGGGCTTTTATAGCTAGAGAGGAAAATTCAATATTTGGCTTCAAAGTTCCAAAGGACAGGTTGACTCTCATTTTAGGGGTTCATGCAGCTGATGACTTTAATCGAAGCCAGTGCTCCTTTGCCATTCTGAAAATTCTAAGGCCCTTAAGAATTTTGCAGAATCTACTAGGCCTGTGCTCAAGGAATAGAACAACAAAACCTGAATACAACACATCTGTTTACTTCATGGCTTACTGAATATTTTAAGCCCATTGTTGACATCTGCTCAGAAAAAAATATTGTTTCTTTCCAAATATTACTGCTCATTAACAATATATCTGGTCAGCCAAGAGCCCTGATGGAGAGATACAAGATTAGTGTCGGCTGGGTGTGGTGGCTCACACCTGCAATCCCAGCACTTTGGGAGGCGGAGGTGGGCGGATCACGAGGTCAGGAGTTCAAGACCAGCCTGGCCAACATGGTGAAACCATCTCTACTAAAGATACAACAAATTAGCTGGGCATGGTGGCACGCACCTGTAATCCCAGCTACTCAGGAGGATGAGGCAGGAGAATCGCTTGAGCCTGGGAGGTGGAGGTTGCAGTGAGCTGAGATCCTGCCGCTGCACTCCAGCCTGGGTGACAGGGTGAGACTCCATCTCAAAAAAAAAAAAAAAGAAAAGAAAAGAAAATTAGTGTAATTTTCATGCCTGCTAACACATCCATTTTATAGCCCATGGATCAAGAAGTAATTTTAATTTTCAGGTCTTATTATTTCAGCAATACACTTCATAAGGGCATGGCTGCCATAGATAGTGATTCCTCTGATGGATCTCGTCAAAGCCCATTGGAAACCTTCTGGAAAGGATTCACCATTCTAGATGCCATTAAGAACATTTGTGATTCATGGGAGGGGGTCCAAAATCAACGTTAACAGGAGTTTGGAAGAAGTTGATTCCAGCTGTCATGATGACTTTGAGAGAAGTTCAAGACCTCAGTGGAAGAAGTCACAGCAGATGTGGTGGAAATAGCAAGGGAACTGGAATTTGAAGTAGAACCTGAAGATTCTACTACTGAATTGACTGAATTGTGGCAATCTCATAATAAAATTTGTACACATGAGGAGTTGCTCCTTATGGATGAGGAAAGAAAGTGGTTTCTTTTTTTTTTTTTCTCTAAGATGGAGTCTTGCTCTGTCACCCAGGCTGGAGTGCAGTGGTGTGATCTTGGCTCACTACAACTTCTGCCTCCCAGGTTCAATCGATTCTCTTGCCTCAGCCTCCTGACTAGCTGGGATTACAGGAGCACACCACCCTGCTAATTTTTGTATTTTTAGTAGAGAAGGGGTTTCACCAGGTTGGTCAGGCAGGTGTCGAACTCCTGACCTCGTGATCTGCCTGCCTCGGCCTCCCAAAGTGCTGGGGTTACAGACATGAGCCACTGTGCCGGCCAAGAAAGTGGTTTCTTGAGATGGAGTCTACTCCCGGTAAAGATGCTGTGAACATTGTTGAAATGACAAACAAAAGATTTAGAATATTACATAAACTTAGTTGATAAAGCAATGGCATGGTTTGAGAGGACTGACTCCAATTTTAAAACAAATTCTACTGTGGGTAAAATGCTATCAAACAGCATGCATACGTATCTATGTTTGTATAGAACAATTGGAACATGTCGACATCATTCTTGAAATATATTTTCACTGGCTGGGCATGGTGACTCATGCCTGTAATTCTAGGATTTTGGGAGGCCGAGGCTGGTGCATCGCTTGAGCTCAGGAGTTGAAGACCAGCCTGGCCAACATGGTGAAAACCTGTCTCTACTAAAAATACAAAAATTAGCTGGGTGTGGTGGCGCGTGCCTGTAGTCCCAGCTACTCAGGAGGCTGAGGCAGGAGAACTGCTTGAACCCGGGAGGCAGAGGTTGCAGTGAGCTGGGATCATGCCATTGCACTTCAGCCTGGGTGACAGAGTAAGACTCCATCTCTCTCTCTCTCTCTCTCTATATTATATATTATAATATTATATATATTATATATTATATTATATATTTTATATATAATATAATATATATAATATATAAAATATATAATATATATTTTATATATTATATGTATTTTACTGGATATTAAATATATATATTATATATATATTTTACTGGATATTAAATTGACAGTTATTTTCTATCAGCACGTTGATCTTATTCTAGATTCCATTGTTACTGATGTAACAATGTCAGTTGTTATGCAAATTATTTATTTTTTTAAAAGCCAGTCCAATTTAGCAGTAAGAGGTTGTATAACAACTCGCAGTGAATTTCTTTTTTAAGACAAGGTCTCACTCTATTGCCAAGGCTAGGATGCAGTGGTGCAGTCATGGCTCACTGCAGCCGCAACCTCTTGGGCTCAAATGATTCTCCTGCCTCAGCCTCCTAAGTGAGTAGCTGGGACTACAGGCTGTGCCACCATGCCTGGCTAAGTTTTTAAAAAAATTTTTGTAGAGACAGTCTTGCTATGTTGCCTAGGCTGGTCTCAAACTCCTGGCCTTAAGCAATCCTCCTGCCACAGAGGCTTCCCAGAGTGCTGGGATAACTGATGTGAGACACCACACCTGGCCCTCCAACTATTGATCTTTTAAAGGACATCTGTCTTTTTTCTCTAGCTGCTGATGAGATCTCTTTGCCTTTAGTGTTCTGCAAACATACTGCCGCGGGTGCGACTGCTGGGGCCGGTGTCGCGGTCATTAAAGGAATTTACCGAGACAGTCATAGCTAAAGAAAAGCAGATTTATTGGAGAAAGTATGAAGATACATTGCAAGGTTGCAATGGGCTGCACAGCAAAGAAGCGGCTGTTTGCAAAGAGGCAGGGGCTAGAGGGATGAGTTTATGCTGCTGAGGTTACATGCGGAGTGAGGTATTTGGGAGCAGGATGTTGTGCCAGCCTGTTGTCTGTGATTAGTCATCTCTCAGAACAATTGTTTTCCCCAACCTGGGACCCCTTCCTTTTTGCTTACTTATTTTGTCAGGACTCCACGCATATTAATACAATGATGTTTCTAAGTGTAGATTTCTTTATACTTATGATTCATTAGGCTTCTTGAATCTTTGAATTAGATTCTCTCCTCAATTTTGGAAAATTTGAAAAATCCGCCATTATTTTCTTAAATATTCTTTCTGCCATATTCTCTTTATCCCCTCTTTTGGGACTCAGAATATAGATAAGACTCTCTGTCTTATCTACACTCCATGCCACTTAACCTCTTTTACATGTTTCCTGCTTTGTCTCTTATGGTGAATTGTGGATAACTTCTGTTGATCTATGTTCCAATTCACTATGTCTCTACTCAGCTGTTGCTTTTACTTTTAATCCTCTTTTAGAGTTTTTGTCATTTTCAAAGTACCTAGATAATTTTTTATAGTTTCTCGGTCCCTTGCCATTGCAAAACAATGGCAATCTTATATTTTATATGAACAAACCACACTGTTTTATGTCCCTCTGATAGTTCTAAAATCACAAGGATTAGTGGGTCTGTTTACAGTGTCTCTTATTTCTGCTAGTTCTTGCTCCTGGTACTTTGTGTTCTTGGTTATACCTGCGTGCTGCTCACGTTCCTTGGGAAAAAAAAAATATGTTTACAGGAGTAATTTGAGGCCTTTAATGAAGATTATTTTCACCAGAGAGAATTATCTGTGTGTTGTCATCAAGAGTTTAAAAATACTTCCACTTGGGGACTTTAAGTCCACAACTTGAGGTCTTTTGGACCACCCATGGAATAGGCTGCCAAGTAACAAACCAGGGCCAATTTACTTCTAGTTCCCCCTTACCCTGAGGGCATAGCCATTGCTTTCTCAGCTCAATGTGGACTCCCCACCTTGCTTGGGCCCTAGCTTTTTTTTGTTTTCCTTCCATCTAAGAAGCCATCCAAATAAAAGTTTAAATTTGCCAGGGTTATAAAATTCCCTTAGGGTAGAAGTACTCTGATTACTTCTCTGAGTTCCCAATTTTCCATCAGTTACAGCCTGATAAATCCTGTGAGCCTTCGGTGGTTTTTTTTTAAGTTACAGAAATTCTTTTAGAGATAGGGTCTTGCTATATTACCCATGCTGGAATGCAGTGGCTATTCACGAGCATATTCATTGTGCACTACAGCCTCAAACTCCTGGCCTCAAGGGGTCCTCCTGCCTCAGCCTCCTAGGTAGCTGGGACTACAAGTACAGGCCACTGTGCCAGGCCAATGCCTTCAAGATTTAAAAAAACGCATCCAGCATTTTTAGTTGCTTTTAGTGGGAATGTTGGTCTGAATAACCTAGCCTGCCATTATCAGCAACCTCAATTACTCTGTCCTCTCATCTTTGCTTAATTTCTCTTCTTAGCATTTAACACTACTTGACATTATATATTTATTTGTCCACCAACTAGGCTGAAAGCTGCGTGGGTGCATGTACTTTGTTTGCTGCTGTCGTCTCCCTGGCACCCACAATAATGCCTGGAAAATAGTGAATACTCAATAGTTGTTGAATGAATGAATGAAAAAAGAATGATTTTGCTTAGTGCTTTGTGCCATGGCTACTGTGGGCCAAAGAAAGAGGACTGGGGGATTCAGTGTCAAGATCTTTCAAATCACAATTCCAAATCAAGGTCACAACTTAACCAAACTGGCAGAAGGAACCTCAAGTGTTCTTGGCTTTCAGTACTTCCCAGGTTTAGGTACTGAGCTGAGTGGCAGGTCTCAGCTACCGACGGGTTTGTGGGTTCCCGTCACTCTCTCTGGGTCTTTGCTCAGTTCGCCTATCTTTGCTTTTGTCTGTTGTCGTCACCCTTTACCAAGTCTCAGACAGCTCTGACCCTCTCATTTCCTTTCTTTGCCCTTTCTCTCTATTCATCTCTGTGACTCAGTCTCTGTGTCCTTATCTTTCTCTAGTGGGTCTTGATCATGTACTTCCCGTCACTCTCCTCCCCCATAAGATACAATTCTAATGGTTTCTGACTTTGCCCGCACCCCTAATCTCTAGCTGCAGGATGTCTGACAAGCCATCTTCCATCTACCCCCGCGTCTTGCCTCATGACTTTTCTCTATCACCCCCTTTTTATGTTACCATCCCTTCTGTCTGACGTCACGCTCTCTGCCTTTATATCTTCACCACTCTCTCTCATTGAATGAACTCTGTTATGTTCATCCTGGTAGTGTCACCACAACTGCCCTCCACTCAGAGTCTGTGCATTCTGTTGCCATTCCCCCTGGCTCTGTCTCCTCTCACTCTGAATCCTCCATCTCTGTCCCTTGCTTGGCTTCTGTCTCCTCTATTTCTGTTGGAGCCTCTTTCTCTGAGTTCTACCTTCTATCTCCGTCTCTGTCCCGTCAGCTTCTGTTCCACTTCTCTCTTTGCTATTCTCTTTTCTTTTCTTTCTTTTTGACAGAGTCTCACTCTGTTGCCCAGACGAGGCTGGAGTGCAGTGGTGCGAACACCACGCACTGCAGCCTCCAACTCTCAGGCTCTAGTGATCCTCCCACCTCAGCCTCCCAGGTAGCTAGGACCACAGATGTGTGTCACTATCACCATGCCTGGCTAATTTTAAACATTTTTGTAGGGACACGGTCTCCTTTTGTTGCCCAGGTTGGAGGACAGTGGCATCAACATAGCTCACTGCAGCCTTGACCTCCCTGGCCCAAGTGATCCTCCTGCCTCAGCCTCCCAAATGGCTGAGACCACAGGCGCACAACACCATGCCCAGTGAACTTTTATATGTTTTTTTGTAGAGACAGGCTTTTGCCACGTTGGCCGGGCTGGTCTTGAACTCCTGACCTCAAGTGATCTGCCCACCTCTGCCTCCCAAAGTGCTGGGATTACATTCATGAGCCACCGTGCCCGGCCTGTCTTTGCTATTTGCCACCAGCTCTCTGTGCCCTCTGTGCACTCTTAATCTACTATTGCTTCCTGAATCTCTGATATTGACACCATTATCTCTGCCCCATCCATCTGAGTTTGTTCTCTTTGCCTCACTCGCTGTTGCCTCAGATTTTGTCTCTGGCACCATCTCCATATTTGTCACTTGTCCCCGTATCACTTCTGTTATCTCTGCCATGTGTCTAACACTGTCCACTATATCTTTATAGCCTTTGGGTCTCTGTCTTCTCTGTCTCTATGGCTGTCACCTTCTCTGTGTCGGCCACATCCCCTTATCTCTTTCTCCCCTATCACTGTCCCTTAGTCTCTGTCCCTTCTGTCACAGTCCTCCCTGTTTCTATTACTGTCCCCTTGGTATCTCTCCCATCTTCCTCCTTCCTCTTCTTCCCCTCTCCTTCTCCTTCTCCTTCCCCTTCTCCCTCTCCTCTCCCTCTCCTTCTTCTCTCTTTCTCTCACTTTTTCTTTTTTTTTTTTTCTTTTGTTGTTGTTGCTTTGTGTTTTTTTGACGTAGTCTCACCCTGTCGCCCAGGCTGGAGTGCAGTGACACAATCTTGGTAAACTGCAACCTTTGCCTCCCGAGTTCAAGCGATTCTCCTGCCTCAGCCTCTCCAGTAGCTGGAACTCTCCAGTAGCAGGCACTACAGGCGCCGCCACCAGACCCGCCTAATTTTTGTATTTTTAGTAGAGACGGGGTTTCACCGTGTTGGCCAGGATGGTCCTGAACTTCCGGCATCAAGTGATCCTCCCGCCTTGGCCTCCCAAAGTGCTGGGATTACAGGGGTGTGCCCTCGCGCTCGGCCGTCTCTCGCGTCTTTCTTAGACTCCCTGATCTCTGTCCTGGCCCCCGGGATCTTTGTCTTCGTCCCCTCTCTAGTTCGCTCCCAGCAGATTCACTGTCTTCTCTCTCTGGTCCTCTCCCCTTTGCCTCGGACTGTATCCTCTTCGTCGCTGTTGATCCCACTGCTGCACTGTCCTCGCTGCTGTCTTCTCACAGTCCTGTCGCCATCCCCATCCCCTGCCTCAGTCCCCTGTGCCGTCGGCCGCTCCACCTGTGACCGTGGAGTCTTTTTCTGTCACTTCCGTCTCTGTCACATCCCCTCTGGTCGCTCCTGGTCGGAGGCCCTGCCTCCCTCGCCTCAGGGCCCTTCCCCGCTCCTTCTCTTCCTGTCATCCCTGGCTCCTTCCCAGCGTCTTTCCTTCCTTCTCCGAATCGTCCTCTGCTCCTCTGGGTTTGCGCCTGCTGGGAGCTCTGCCCCTGGGAGCTGTTTCCTCCGCTCAGTCTCTGGGTGTTTCCTAGGGGGTCACATGCTCTTCTAGGCCTGTCCTGGGGCAGAGGGGTCGCCCTGAGGTCCATCAGTCAGTCTGACCATCTCCTTCGAACCTCGAGCCTCTCGCCTCGCCTCGCCTGACGCCCTTTCCCGCCCTTTATCTTTCCCTTCAGGATAAAAAATAAAAAGAGTCGGAAGCATCAGCGCCTAGGGCCCAATCGCCACTCTGGAACAGGTGTGCGCGGCGGGTCCGCGGGCTGGCGGGAGCTCACACGAACTCACGCGCGAGCTCGCAGGCCGCGGCGGCCGGCTGGCGACTAGTGACGTCGCAGGGGCTTGTCCCTGCCTTACTGGCTGCCTTCGACCAGCGCGCGCTTGCTGGAGTAGACGGCCGCGCCTTTCCCAGCGCCAGGGGGCGCTCAGCGCTAGAGCTCACTGACCCTGGGAGCCCTATGGAGAGACTCGTGTCATCCTGGCAACCCTGTCCTACCTGATTGGATACCTGCTGCCGTTCGTTGGATCCATTACTCTGATCGGATGCCTGGTGGGTCAAGGCTTGTACATAACTGGATGCCTGGAAATGTGGATCTACCCTACCTTTGGCATGTCTCTCTCTTAGCGGGATATCTTCCGCAAGCACTGGGGATGTGGACAAGGAAAGTAAATTGAGTCTCCGTTGGGGAGTGAGGGGTGTTGGACGTGGCACGGGAACCCGGCCGGAGTCAGCGGACCCAATTGGCTGCTCTCTCTCAGATACAGTTCCCCTTCCTCCCTCCAGGGGGCGCCATGGAACGCAGGGCCCTCACTGGCTCTGGGGACTGGGTGACGTCAGGGGTGAGCCTCTCGTGATTGGCTCCATCACCCTGCGTAAGATCAAAGGGAAGAAAGGAGAGCCCCGACAGCCGGAGCCATTGTGGCTCCGGCCGATTGCGCCGGCCCTCGGGCCCTCAGGGAGGCGAGGGTGTGAGGGTACAGAGTTCGAGGCCAACTTGGTCCACATTGGTAGGAAAAAAAAAATTTTTTTTATCGTTCCCTATATAACAACAAAACATAAAGGGAGGACGCCTTGATAGGAAGAAATGACATCTTCCTAAGTGTTTTTAAATTACTTCAATGTATCTTTTTTTTTTTTTTTTTTTTTTTGGGAGACTGAGCCTCGCTCTGTAGCCCAGGCTGGAGTGCAGTGGTGTGATCTTGGCTCACTGCAACCTCCGCCTCCTGGGTTCAAGCGAGTCTCCTGTCTCAGCCTCCCGAGTAGCTGGGATTACAGGCCCACGCCACCGTGCCTGGCCAATTTTGGTATTTTTAGTAGAGACGGAGTTTCACCATGTTGGCGAGGCTGGTCTCGAACTGCTGGCCTCAAGAGATCTCGCCCCTTGGCCTCCCAAAGTGCTGGGATTACAGGGGTGTGCCCTCGCGCTCGGCCGTCTCTCGCGTCTTTCTTAGACTCCCTGATCTCTGTCCTGGCCCCCGGGATCTTTGTCTTCGTCCCCTCTCTAGTTCGCTCCCAGCAGATTCACTGTCTTCTCTCTCTGGTCCTCTCCCCTTTGCCTCGGACTGTATCCTCTTCGTCGCTGTTGATCCCACTGCTGCACTGTCCTCGCTGCTGTCTTCTCACAGTCCTGTCGCCATCCCCATCCCCTGCCTCAGTCCCCTGTGCCGTCGGCCGCTCCACCTGTGACCGTGGAGTCTTTTTCTGTCACTTCCGTCTCTGTCACATCCCCTCTGGTCGCTCCTGGTCGGAGGCCCTGCCTCCCTCGCCTCAGGGCCCTTCCCGGTCTCCTTCTCTTCCTGTCATCCCTGGCTCCTTCACAGCGTCTTTCCTTCCTTCTCCGAATCGTCCTCTGCTCCTCTGGGTTTGTGCCTGCTGGGAGCTCTGCCCCTGGGAGCTGTTTCCTCCGCTCAGTCTCTGGGTGTTTCCTAGGGGGTCTCATGCTCTTCTAGGCCTGTCCTGGGGCAGAGGGGTCGCCCTGAGGTCCATCAGTCAGTCTGACCATCTCCTTCGAACCTCGAGCCTCTCGCCTCGCCCCGCCTGACGCCCTTTCCCGCCCTTTATCTTTCCCTTCAGGATAAAAAATAAAAAGAGTCGGAAGCAGCAGCGCCTAGGGCCGAATCGCCACTTTGCAACAGGTGCGCGCGGCGGGCCCGCGGGCTGGCGGGAGCTCACACGAACTCACGCGCGAGCTCGCAGGCCGCGGCGGCCGGCTGGCGACTAGTGACGTCGCAGGGGCTTGTCCCTGCCTTACTGGCTGCCTTCGACCAGCGCGCGCTTGCTGGAGTAGACGGCCGCGCCTTTCCCAGCGCCAGGGGGCGCTCAGCGCTAGAGCTCACTGACCCTGGGAGCCCTATGGAGAGACTCGTGTCATCCTGGCAACCCTGTCCTACCTGATTGGATGCCTGCTGCAGTTCGTTGGATCCATTACTCTGATTGGATGCTTGGTGAGTCAAGGCTTGTATATAATTGGATGCCTGGAACTATGGATCTTCCCTACCTTTCGCATATCTCTCTCTTAGCGGGATTTCTTCCGCAAGCACTGGGGATGTGGACGTGGAAAGTGACTGGCGTCTCCGTGGGGGAGTGAGGGGTGTTGCACACGGTGCAGGTACCCGGCGCGAGTTAGAGGTCCCTATTGGCTGCTCTCTCTCAGATACAGGTCACTTTCCTCCTGCCAAGATGCGCCATGGAACGCAGGGCCCTCGCTGGCCCTGGGGACTGGGTGATGTCACGGGTGAGCCTGTCGTGATTGGCTATATCGCTGTGCCTAAGACCAAAGGAAAGAAAGGAGAGCCCGGACAGCTGGATCCGCCGTGGTTCAGGGTACACGTTATAGGCCAACCTGGTCAACAATGATTTAAAAAAAAAATTTTATTGTTCCCTATATCATAACAACAAAATATAAAGGGAGGAAGACTTCAGAGGAAGAAATTGCGTCTTCCTAGCCGTTTTTAAATTACTTCAAAAAAAAATTTTTTTTGGACGAAGTCTTGCTCTGTCACCCAGGCTGGAGTGCAGTTGTTTGATCTTGGCTCACTGCAATCTCCGCCTCCTGGGTTCAAGCGGGTCTCCTGTCTCATTCTGCCAGGAGGTTGGGATTACAGGCACACGCCACCGCGCCTGGCTAATTTTTGTATTTTTAGTGGAGACGGAGTTTCACCATGTTGCGGAGGCTGGTCTCGAACTTCTGACCTCAAGAGATCCTCGCCTCTTGGCCTCCCAAAAAGCTGGGATTATAGGGGTGAGGCACCTTGCCTGGCCGTCTCTCCCGTATTTCTTAGACCCCTTCATCTCTGTCCTGGCCCCTGGGATCTTTGTCTTCGTCACCTCTCTAGTTCGCTCCCATCTGATTCACTGTCTTCTCTCTCTGGTCCTGTCCCCTTTGCCTACGAATGTATCCTCTTTATTGCTGTTGATCCCACTGCTGCACTGTCCTCGCTGCTGCCTTCTCACAGTCCTGTCGCCGTCCCCATCCTCTTTCTCAGTCCCCTGTGCCGTCGGGCGCTCCACCTGTGACCGTGGGGTCTTTTTCTGTCCCCTCGGTGCCTGTCACAACCCCTCTTGTCGCTCCTCCCCTGCCTCCCTCGCCTCAGGGCCCTTCCCCGTCTCCTTCTCTTCCTGTCATCCCTGGCTCCTTCCCAGCGTCTTTTCTTCCTTCTCCGAATCGTCGTCTGCTCCTCTGGGTTTGCGGCTGTTGGGGACTCTGCCCCTGGGAGAGAGAAATGCGAAACGTATTTCTGGGAGCTGGAAGCTGTTTCCTCCATTTAGTCTCTGGATGTTTTCTAGGTGACCACAGCCTCTTATAGGCCTGTCCTGGGGCAGAGCGGCCACCTTGAGGTCCATCAGTCAGTCTGATCATCTCTGTAGAACCTCGAACCTCTCGCCTCGCCTCGCCTGACGCCGTTTCCTGCCCTTTATCTCTCCCTTCAGAATTAAAAAAAAAAAAAAAAAAAAAGACAGTCGGAAGCAGCAGCGCATGAGCCCCAATCACCACTCTGAAACAGGTGCGCGCGGTGGCCTGCGGGCTCGCGGGAGCTCACGCGAACTCACGCGCGAGCTCACAAGCTGCGGCGGCCGGCTAGGCGACTAGTGACGTCACCGAGGCTTGTCCCTGCCTTATTGGCTGCCTTCGACCAGCGCGCGTTTGCTGGAGTAGTCGGCCACGCCTTGCCAATCGCCAGGGGGCGCTCAGCGCTAGAGCTCCGCGACCCTGGGAGCCCTATAGAGAGACTCGTGTCATCATGGCAACCCTGCCCTACCTAATTGGATACCTGCTCCAGTTGGTTGGATCCATTACTCTGATTGGATGCCTGGCGAGTCAAGGCTTGTATATAATTGGATGCCGGAAATTTGGATCTTTTCTACGTTTCGCATTTCTGTCTCTTAGCCGGATTTCTTCCGCAAGCACTGGGGATGTGGAGATTGAAAGTAACTTGAGTCTCCGTGGGGGAGTGATGGGTGTTGGGCACGGTATGGGAACCTGGCCCGAGTCTGCGGACCCGATTGGCTGCTGTCTCTCAGATACAGGTCCCTTTCGTCCCGCCAAGGGGGGCCATGGAACGTAGGGCCCTCTCTGTCCCTGGGGACTGGGTGATGTCAGGGGTGATTGGCTACATCGCTCCCCAGAAGGTGAAATGGAAAAATTGAGAGCACTTTCCCACCAGCTTCGGTGGCTCCATCAGGTTGTCCTGGCGCACAAGCTGGCGATGCTATGTGTTTGAAGCTAACCTGGGCAAAATTGAAAAAAAATTGTTTTTTCATTGTTCCGTCATAAAGGGAGGTCTCGACAGGAAGAAATTGCGCTTCCAATAGAATTGTTTTTAAATTACTGCAATATATCTTTTGAGATGGAGTCTTGCTCTATTGCCTAGGGTGGAGTGCAGTCTTATGATCTCGTCTCACTGTAACCTCTGCCTCTTGGGTTGAAGAGAGTCTCCTCTCTCACCCTGAGGTTACAGGCGCACACTACCACACTTGGCTAATTTTTGAATTTTGGCTTCTTTTTGAGATGGAGTCTTGCTCCGCCGCTGAGGCTCAAGGGCAGTGGTGCGATCTTGGCTGACTGCAACCTCTGCCTTCCGGGTTCAAGTGATTCATCTGCCTCAGCCTCCCGAGTAGCTGGGACTACAGGCACGTGCCACCACGCCTAGCTAATTCTTTGTATTTTTAGTAGAGAAAGGGTTTCACTGTGTTAGGATGGTCTCTATCTCCTGACCTTGTGATCTGCCCGCCTCAGCCTCCCAAAGTGGTGGGATTACAGGTGTGAGCCACCGCTACCTGGCCTTTTAAAAAATTTATTTATTTATTTATTTATTTTTATTTTGAGGCGGAGTCTTACTCTGTTGCCCAGGCTGGAGTGCAGTGGCGTGATTTTGGCTCACTGCAACCCCCGCCTCCCGGGTTCAAGCAATTCCTTTGCCTCAGCGACCCAGTAGCTGGGATTACAGGCGCGTGCCACCATGTCTGGCAATTTTGTGTATTTTTAATAGAGACGAGGTTTCCCCATTTTGGCCAGGCTGGTCTTCAACTCCCGACCTCAGGTGATCCGCCCGCCTCCGCTTTCCAGACTGCTGGGCTTACAGGCGTGAACCACTGCGCCAGCCTCTTTATCCCTTCTATACTGCATACCCCAAGTTGCAAACTGTTATTAGAGTGAATACCTAGGGGCAACTTGGATCCTTATAATGGACACCTGATATTTTTGCCTGAGTGACATCTGTTATCTCTGATTTTCTTCTTCATTAATAATTTTTTTTGGAGCAGTCTTAGGTTTACAGGAAAAAATCGAATGAAAAGTACCGAGAGTTTCTACATCCCCCTTCATCCCTTCATTGCCCCTCATCTTCCCTGTTAACATCTTGTGTTACTGTGCTACGTTTGTTACAATTAATAAGCCAGTATTGATACATTATTATTAGCTGAAATCTGCAGTTTACATTAAGGTCCACTCCTTGTGTGATACCTTGTACAGTCTATTTTTTTTTTAATAAAGTATTTTTTTGGTTTTTTTTTTTTTTTTTGAGATGGAGTCTTGCTCTGTCACCCAGGCTGGAGTGCAGTGGCGCGATCTCGGCTCACTGCAAGCTCCACCTCCTGGGTTCACACCATTCTCCCGCCTCAGCCTCCTGAGTAGCTGGGACTACAGGCGCCTGCAATCACGCCTGGCTAATTGTTTGTATTTTTAGTAGAGACGGGGTTTCACCGTGTTATCCAAGATGGTCTCGATCTCCTGACCTCATGATCTGCCCACCTTGGCCTCCCAAAGTGCTGGGATTACAGGCGTGACCCACCGCGCCAGGCCTTTTTTTTTTTTCAGTTTTAAAATCACAGCAAAATTGAGAGGAAAGTCCATAGTTTACATTCAGTTTCTCTCTTAGTGTTTTATTGTCTATGGGTTTGAACAAATTTATAATGACATGTGTCCACCATTATAGTATTATGCAGAGTAGTTTCACTGTCCTAAAACTCCTCTGGGCTCTGCTGATTCATCCTTCCCTCCTCCCAAACCCCTAAAAACCAATGATTTTTTTTTAACTGTCTCTATAGTGTTTCCTTTTCCAGAATGTGGTATAGTTGGAATCATACCATATGTAGCCGTTTCGTATTGGCTTCTTTCACTTAACAATATGCATTTTAGGTTCCTCCATATCTTTTCATGGCTTATTATAACTGATTAATATTCCATTGTATGGATGTACTGCAGTTTGTTCATCTACTGAAGGACATCTTGTTTGCTTCCAAGTTTTGACAATTATGTACAGAGCCGCTATGAATATTTGTCTTCAGGTTTTTGTGTGGATGTAAGTTTTGAGCTCATTTGAGTAAATACCAAGGAACATGAGTGCTGCAATATATGGTAAGAGTGTTTAGTTTTGTAAGGAAGTGCCAAATTGTCTTCTAAAGTGGCTGCACCATTTTGCATTACTGCCAGAGATGAATAAGAGTTCCTGACGTTCCTCATCCTCATCAGCACTTGGTGTTATTCATGTTTTGGATTTTCACCATTCTAATAGGTGGTTGTCGTATGTCATCGTTGCTGTAATTTGCAATTTCCTAATGACATTTGATGTTGAGCCCCGCTTTTTTTTGGAGACGGAGTCTTGCTCTGTCGCCGAGGCTGAAGTGCAATGGCATGATCTCGGCTCACTGCAACTTCTGCCTCCCAGGTTCAAGTGATTCTCCTGTCTCAGCCTCCCAAGTAGCTGGGATTACAGGCATGCGCCACTACGCCTGGCTAATTTTGTATTTTTAGTAGACATGGGGTTTCTCCATGTCGATCAGGCTGGTCTCGAATGCCTCGCCTCAGGTGATCTGCCCACCTTGGCCTCCCAAAGTGCTGGGATTACAGGTGTGAGCCACCACGCCCGGCCCAAGTACCTTTTATTTATTTGTTTGTTTGTTTATTTATTTATTTTAAGAAACAGGGTCTCTGTTGCCCAGGCTGGAGTACAGCAGTGCAATCATAGCTCACTGCCGCCTCCAACTCTTAGATCCTCCTTCTCAGCCTCCCCAGTAGCTGGGACTACAGTTGTGTGCTGTCACACCTGGCTATTTTTTTATTTCTATTTTTATTATTTTATTTATTTATTTATTTAGAAACAGGGTCTCGCTCTGTCATCCAGGCTGGAATGCAGTGGCACTGGAATCTCTGCTGACTGCAACCTCTGCCTCCTAGACTCAAGTGATCCTCCGACCTCACCTTTCCAAGTAGCTGAGACCACAGGTGTGCAACACCACACCTGGCTAGTTTTTTGTATTTTTCGTAGAGATGGGGTTTCACCACGTTGCCTGGCTGGTCTTGACCTCCTGAGCTCAAGGGAATTACCAGCTGTGGCCTCCCAAAGTGCTGGGATTGCAGGTGTGAGCCACCACATCTGACCTTTTTATTTTTATTTTTTGTAGAGATGGCGTCTCAGTGTGTTGCCTAGGTTGGTCTGAAACTCTTGGCCTCAAATGATCCTCCTGCCCCAGCCTCCCAAAGTGTTGGGATTATAAGCGGGAGCCACCACACCTGGCCAACTATCTTTTTATTTACTTATTTGCCATCTGCATATCTTCTTTGTTGAAGTGTCTGTTCAGATCTGTTCCCTATTTTTAAATTGGGTTGTTTGTTTTCCTATTGTTGAGTTTTAGTTCTTTGTATACCAGCTTTCTTTTTTCTTTTTCTTTCTTTCTTTTTTTTTTTTTCAGACAAAGTCTTGCTCTGTTGCCCAGGCTGGAGTGCAATGGCGCAATCTCAGCTCACTGCCACCTCCGCCTCCCAGGTTCAAGTGATTCTCTTGCTTCAGACTCCCGAGTAGCTGGGATTACAGGCGCCCACCACCATGACTGGCTAATTTTTGTATTTTTAGTAGAGACAGCATTTTGCCACGTTGGCCAGGCTGGTCTCAAACTCCTGACCTCAGGTGATCCGCCCACCTCGGCCTCTCAAAATGCTGGGATTACAGATGTGAGCCACCACACCTGGCCTGGATACCAGCTTTTTGTCTGAAAGGTGTTTTGAAAAGATTTTCTCACAATCTATAGCTTCTCTTTTTGTTCTCTTAAACATCTGATTTTCCTATCACTCCTCCCCATGCAAAATATACATTTTTTAACTGGATCTTGCCAGGGATTTCAGAGTGAGAACAAGAGTCAGACCTGGCCAATCTGAGTGCTTCATGACCTTGGTTATGATGTGCAGTAGTTTGGATGTATGTCCCATCCAATTTTTTTTTTTTTTTTTTTTGAGACAGAGTTTTGCTTTGTCACCCAGGCTGGAGTGCAGTTGCACAATCTTGGCTCAGTGCAACCTCCACCTCCTGGGTTCAAGTGACCCTTCTGCCTCCGCCTCCTGAGTAGCTGGGATTACAGGCACATGCCACGCCCGGCTAATTTTTGTATTTTTAGGAGAGACGGGGTTTTCCCGTGTTGGCCAGGCTGCCTTCTAAATTTCGTTGTTGAAATTTGATCCCCAATGTTGGAGATGGGGTCCTAATGAGAGGTGTTTGGGTCACAGGGGTGGACCCCTCACAAATAGATTAATGCCCTCCCTGGGAGTGTGGGTGAGTGAGTTCTTCCTCCATTAGTTCCCATTAGAGTTGGTTGTTAAAGAGAGGCTGACACTTGCCTCTCTTGCTTCCTCTATTGTCACGTGATCCCTGCTTTCTTTCTCCTTCCACCAAGAGTAGAAGCAGCTCAAGACTTTCTCTGTATGCCCAATCTTCCAGCCAGAAGAATCATAAGCCAAATACACCTTTTTCTCTTTATAAATTACCCAGCCTCGTGGATCACTTTAGGTCAGGCGTTCGAGACCAGCCTGGCTAACACGGTGAAACCCTGTCTCTACTAAAAATACAAAAAATTAGCCAGGTGTGGTGGCGGGCACCTGTCATACCAGCTACACTGGAGGCAGGAGAATCACTTGTACCTGGGAGGCGGACATTGTAGTGAGCCAAGATTGCACCACTGCACTCTAGCCTGGGTGACAGAGCAAGATCCTGTCTCAAAAAAAAAAAATAAATAAATAAAAATAAAAATTACCCAGCGTCAGGTTTTCCTTTATAGCAAGACAACATGGACTAAGACACATGGTTACTATAGAAATGGACATGTGACCCAAGTTGGACCAATGAGAGCTAACCTTGAGACTTTGGTATCACCATTCAGGAAAGCAGTACCTCTTTTCTGCTAGGTTGTTAAAATGATAGTATGGAAACTTTGAGCTGCTGTGGGCCCTGTTTGTCACCGTGAGGGAAGAGATTCTGCCTGAGAGGAAAGTCAAGATACAGAAAAGTAAAGCCCAGATGGGAAATGAGCTGTATTGCTAAAGATTCATTTTAGTGCCTGGATCCAGTTATGCCTGAAGCTAGTTATACAGCTCGGTTCTATAAGTCAACAAATTCCCTTTGTTAAAAACAAAAAAAAGCCAGAGTACTTTCCAGAGAGCAAGGCTTATTATAATAATAATTAAAGCAGCATACTCTTGCGAGGAAAAACAAATAGGCCAAAAGAACAAGACGGAAAAATCAGGAAAAGTTCACACATATATGGTAACTTGGTTTATGACAAAAGCAACATTTCAGTGCAGTGAGAAGCAAAAGATGATCTTTTTGAATCAATAGGGCTGAGCCAGTTGATAGCCATATGACCTCTACCTCACACCATACACAAAAATTGATTCCAGATGTGTTGTAGATCTAAATGTTAAAGCTTAAACAATAAAACTTCTAGAAGAAAATATCATAGAGTATCTTCAGAACCTTCAGGGTAAGAAAATATTTCTTTTATTTACTTGTTTGTGTTAATAGAGATAGGGTCTCGCTATGTTGCCCAGGCTGGTCTCGAACTCCTAGGCTCATGTGATCCTCCCTCCTCAGCCTCCCAAAGTGCTGAGATTACAGGCATGAGCCAGTGTGCCTGGCCAGAAAATATTTCTTAAACCAGAAACAAAGGAGCCTTAACTATAAAGGAAAATGTTGATAAATTGGACTATATTAAAATAGAAACTGATCCTTATCAAAAAATACCACTAAGAGAATGAAAAGAGAAGCCAGAGAGTGGGAGAAGAATATGTATTCTAACAAAAGACTCATAAGAAAAATAAAGAAAGAACTACTAACCTGTTTTTTAAAAAAGGCAGAAAAACCAGTCAAAAAGTGGACAAATGGCGTGAATTGACATTTCACAAAGTAGCATATTCATATGGCCAATTAATATTTGAAATGGTGTTAAATTTCTTTCTATTTTTTTTTTTTTTTGAGACTGAGTCTCGCTCTGTCTCCCAGGCTGGAGTGCAGTGGCGTGATCTTGGCTCACTGCAAGCTCCGCCTTCCGGGTTCACGCCATTCTCCTGCCTCAGCCTCCTGAGTAGCTGGGACTACAGGCACCCGCCACCGCGCCCAGCTAATTTTTTGTATTTTTAGTAGAGACGGGGTTTCACCGTGGTCTCGATCTCCTGACCTCGTGATCCACCCGCCTCGGCCTCCCAAAGTGCTGGGATTACAGGCATGAGCCACTGCGCCTGGCCCGAAACGGTGTTAAATTTCTTTAGGCATTGGGCTAAAGGTAAATTAAAACCATAATAAAACACGGCTACAGCCCCACCAGAATTGCTAAAATTGAAAGGACTAACAATACCAAATGTTGGCGAGCAACTGAAATTCTCAGAGACTGCTAGTGGGTGTATAAATGGAGAAAATTAGTTTGAAAACCTGGTTGGCAGTGTCTATGAAGGATGAACATGAAGCTGGGAATGGTGACTCACGCCTGTAATTCCAACACTTCGGGAGGCGGCAGATCACCTGAGGTCAAGACCAGCCTGGCCACTCCCATCTCAAAAAAAAAAAAAAGATGAACATGCACACACCATGTATACACCCTGGGACCCAGCAATTACACTTCTAGGTATATACCCAACAGAAATACAGAAATGCCTACATATGTTCACCAAAATTCAATGTATATAGCAGTACTATAAGTGATCATGCCAAATCAGAAGGCACCTAAATGTCAATCAACAGTAGAATGGATACATAGATTATTATGTATTCCCATAACACACTTTTTTTTTTTTGAGACAAGATTGTCCTCTGTCACCCAGGCTGTAGTGCAGTGGTGTGATCTCAGCTCACTGCAATTTCTGCCTCCCAAGCTCAAGCCATCCTCCCACCTCAGCTTCCCAAGTAGCTGAGATGACAGGCACGCACCACCACACCCCACTAATTTTTGTATTTTTTTTGTAGAGACGGGGTCTTGCTATGTTGCTCAGGCTGGTCTTGAACTCCTGTGCTCAAGCTATCTGCTTGCCTCACCCTCCTAAAGTGCTAGGATTATAGGCATGAGCCACCATGCCTGGCTCATAACACACTCTTATACAGCAATGACAATGAACAACCTCCAACAATCAGCAACTACATGGACAAATCTCATAGACGTATGATGAATAAAACAATTCAGGCCAGGTGCAATGGCTCACGCCTGTAATTCCAACACTCTGGGAGGCCGAGATGGGCAGATCACAAGGTCAAGAAATAGAAACCATCCTGGCCAACATGGTGAAACCCTGTCTCTACTAAAAATACAAAAAATTAGCCGGGTGTGGTAGTGCGCACCTGTAATCCCAGCTACTCAGGAGGCTGAGGCAGGAGAATCGTTTGAACCTGGGAGGCGAAGGTTGCAGTGAGCTGAGATCATGCCACTGCACTCCAGCCTGGTGACAGAGCGACTCTCCGTCTCAAAAAAAAAAAAAAAAAAAAAAGAGAGAATTCCAACACACAAGTCTCTATGCTTGTAGGATTCCAAGCAGATTAAGATAAAAAACAAGGCAAACTAACTTATGGTGTCAGAAATCAGGGTAGTAGTTACTTTTGAGGTAAAGAAGTGACTGACAAGGGGCCGGGCGCGGTGGCTTACGCTTGTAATCCCAGCACTTTGGGAGGCCGAGGTGGGCAGATCATGAGGTCAGGAGATCGAGACCATCCTGGCTAACACGGTGAAACCCCGTCTCTACTAAAAATACAAAAAAATTAGCCATGCATAGTGGCAGGCGCCTGTAGTCCCGGCTACTCGGGAGGCCGAGGCAGGAGAATGGCGTGAACCCAGGAGGCGGAGCTTGCAGTGAGCCGAGATAGCGCCACTGCACTCCAGGCGAGACTCTGTCTCAAAAAAAAAAAAAACACAAAAAAGTGACTGACAAGGAGCATGAGGGGTTTGGAGAGCTGGTAATGTTCTAGTTCCTGACCCAGGGCTGGTTACCCATGGTTACATGGTGTGCTCAGTCTGTTATCTGATCCATACTTACTGGGTATTTGTGAGTTTCTTTGTGAGTATGTTGTACTTCAATAATTGTTTTTTTGAAACTGGGTCTCTGTCATCCAGACTGGACTGCAGTGGCTCAACCATGGCTCACTGCAGCCTTGACCTCCTGGGCTCAAGCGATCCTCCCACCTGAGTAGCTGGGACTACAGGTGCACACCATGGCACTTGGCTATTTATATATATATATATATTTAAAGAGATGGAGTCTTGCTATGTTGCCAAGGCTGGGTCTCGAACTCCTGGGCTCTAGTGATCCTCCCATCTTAGCCTCTCAAAGTGCTGGGATTACAGGCATGAGCCACCGAGCTTGGCAATAATTTTTTAAAAGGCCAGTTTTTTGTCTCTTGAAAGTGGAGGAGTCTTGGCAAGTCCAGCAAATGGCATATACTATTTTGTTTCTCTTCCCTCCCCTTTCAAGTGAGAATTGTGATTGTTTTCTTGTTTTTCCTCCACTGTTATACACAGGGGTGGGTTGCTGAGGGGGCTACAATTTCATTTAACATTAATTTTTTTTTTAGATGGAGTCTTGCTCTGTCACCAGGCTGGAGTGCAGTGGCACAATCTCCGCTGACTGCAACCTCCGCCTCCCAGGTTCAAGTGATTCTTCTGCCTCGGCCTCCCGAGTAGCTGGGATTATAGGTGTGTGCCACCATGCCGGGCTAATTTTTGTACTTTTAGTAGAGACAGGGTTTCACCATGCTGGCCAGGCTGGTCTTGAACTCCTGACCTCAGGTGATCCACTTGCCTTGGCCTCCCAAAGTGCTGGGATTACAGGTGTGAGCTACCGTGCCCAGCCTTAACATTAATTTTCAGGATCAAGAGAGACTCCATGTGCCCTTGATGAAAGGAATAGCCAATATCCAGAAATCTTGGTCTGAGGATTGGATGTGGCTTTGGGATCCCTCCCTTTGCAGAAGGGGTGAAAGCTTCTGCAGTTGCACTAGAGATAGTTATGTTAGGTGGGAGTATTAGTTTTAGCCAACTTTATCAAAATATAATTTGTGTACAAGAAAATGTATCAATATTTCAAAAAGATATTTGCAACACACTTTCATAGCAGCATTATTTACAATACCCAAAAGGTGAAGGAGGCAACCCAGCTGTTCATCAACAAATAAATGGTTCGACAAAATGTGGTATATACACATAATGGATTTTTTTTTTTGAGATGGAGTCTCGCTCTGTCGCCCAGGCTAGAGTGCAGGGGTGCGATCTTGGCTCACTGCAACCTCCGCCTCCCAGGTTTAAGTGATTCCCCTGCCTCAGCCTCCCGAGTAGCTGGGACTATAGGCGCCTGCCACCACGCCCGGCTAATTTTTTGTAGTTTAGTAGAGATGGGGTTTCACCATGTTGACCAGGATGGTCTCGATCTCCTGACCTCGTGATCCGCCTGCCTCTTCCTCCCAAAGTGCTGGGATTACAGGTGTGAGTCACTGTGCCTGGCCCATAATGGAAAATTATTTAACCTTAAAAAGGAAGGAAATGCTAACACATGCTACAACATGGGTGAAGCCTGAGGACATTCATGCTAAGTGAAACAATCCCATCACAAAAAGACAGATGCTGTATGATTCCACTTACATGAGGTACCTAGAGTAGTCAAATTCATAGGGAATTTCCCAGAGAGTAGAACGTGCTTCCCAGGGGCTGGGAAGGGAAGGCAGTGGGAGTTGCTTGATGGGAACAGTTTCAATTCTACAAGAGGAAAGAGTGGAGATGAGTAGGGGTGATGATTGCACAACAATGCAACTGTACACTTAAAATTGGCTAAGTCCTGGGGAGGTGGCTCATGCCTGTAATCTCAGCTACTCTGGAAGCTGAGGCAGGAGAATCGCTTGAACCGGGGAAGTGGAGGTTGCAGTGAGCCAAGATCATGCCATTGCACTCCAGCCTGGGCATTGCAGCGAGACTCCGTCTCAAAAAAAAAAAATTGGCTAAGATGATAAAGTTTGTGTTATGTGTATTTTGCAACAATGTACAAGAATTTAAATGAACCAATTTTAAGCGCAATGAATTTTGACAAATGTATTCGGTTGTGTGATCACTTCCATCATCCGGAAAGTTTCCCTGTGTCCACTAGTAATCAGTCTCTCCATAACCACTGCCACTGCCCCCAGTCAACCACTAATCCATTTTCTGCCCCTGCGTATTAGCCTTTTCTTTTCTCTTTTCTTCTCTTCTCTTCTTTTCTTTTCTTTTACTCTGTCACCCAGGCTGGAGTTCAGTGGTGTGATCTCAGCTCACTACAACCTCCGCCTCCCAGGTTCAAGCCATTCTCCTGCCTCAGCCTCCAAAGTAGCTGGGATTACAGGCACTCGCTACCACACCCGGTTAATTTTTGTATTTTTAGTAGAGATGGGGTTTTACCATGTTGGCCAGGCTGGTCTTGAACTCCTGACCTCGTGATCCACCTGCCTTGGCCTCCCAAAGTGCTGGGATTACAGGGTGAGCCACTGTGCCTGGCCTCTGGCGTCTTTCTTTCTTTCTCTTTCTTTTCTTTTCTTTTCTTTTTTCTTTCTTTCTCTCTCTCTCCTTCCTTCCTTCCTTCCTTCCTTCCTTCCTTCCTTCCTTCCTTCCTTCCTTCCTTCCTTCTCTCTCTCTCTTTCTTTCTCTCTTTTTTGAGTTGGAGTCTCACTCTGTTGCCCAGGCTGGAGTGCAGTGGCATGATCGGCTCACTGCAACCTCCGCCTCCCGATTCTCCTACCTCAGCCTCCCAAGTAGCTGGGATTACAGGTGCCAGGCTGCTTTTGAACTTCTGATCTCAAGTAATCCGCCTGCCTCAGCCTCCCAAAGTGCTAGGATTACAGGCGTGAGCCACCATGCCCTGCCCATATTAGTGTTTTCTTTCTACAGTTTCACAAAAGTGGAATCCTACAGCATATACCCTTGTATCTGGCTGTATCACACGGCATCATGTTTTTGAGATGCAGGGCAGCAGTGCCATCACAGCTCACTGCAGCCTCAAACTCCTGGGCTCAAGTGATCCTCCTGCCTCAGCCACCAGAGTAGCTGGGACTACAGGTGAGCACCATCATGCCTGGATAATTTTATTATTATTATTATTATTATTATTATTATTATTATACCTGGATAATTTTATTATTATTATTATTATTATTATTATTATTATTATTATTATTACTACTACTACTACTACTATTATTTGTAGAGACAGGGTCTTGCTATGCTGCCCAGGCTGGTCTCGAACTCCTGAGCTCGAGCAATACTCCCACCTCGACCTCCAAAGTAGCTGGAACTACAAGTGAACATCACCATGCCCGGCCAATTTTTTTTTTTTTTTTTAAGAGAATCTCACCATATTACCTGGTCTCAAACTCCTGGGCTTGAGCGATCCTCCTGCCTCAGCCTCCCAAAGTGCTGGGATTTACAGGCATGAGCCACTGTGCCTGGTGGTTACTACCACATTGACTTCAGACTTCTGGCCTCCAGAGCTGTGAGAGAATAAATTTCTGTTGTTTTCAGCTAGGTTATTGTAACTTGTTACATCAGTCCTAGCAAACTGACACAGTGATTGGACCAATTTTTGCAGTGGGAGTTTTTGAAATGTTGTGTCCCGGAATGTAGATGTGAATTAGTGTGAAGTAGCTGAGGGTAGAATGTAGTGGACACCTACTGCTTTGAGGGACTGTCCCTTGCCCATTGCCGTGTGATTCACTTGGAACTGTCAGTCAAGGGACCCCTACATATATGGCTTCCAGGAGATGAATTCATCCCTCCAGCAAAAAGGGATGAGGTGCAGAGGGGCTTTGGACCAATCCTGGGCAAGATGGGCAGGGGAGGAGGAGGAGGAGTCAGCAAAGGCAGGAGGCGGGCCCAAGAGTAGGCTCCAAACTGGACCCAATGATTGGCCCGGGGTGTCTCCAAGGTCTGCGCTGGACCAATCAGAATCCTGTTCCTGAATGACACAGCAGCTGGGAGCCAGCTGATTCTCACATTGTTTCCTCTGAAGTTATCTGCTCTGAAGGCAATTACAAGTCCTGTTAATTTCTTGCAATGGCAGCAGATCCTGTTAATTTCCTACCCAACAATAGTTCCCCTCCCCGTGCTTCCTCTAGGCAAAGCCCGCACCCCACCATGGGGACTGGAAATGACAGATGTTCACTACCCAGACCGCTTTGCAACTCGGGGTAGCCACACAGCCGGGTTCTGGCAAGAGAGAAATAAGGAGAATTATTCTGAGGAGGAAAAATGGGGAACACAGAAGGGGAGGCCCCGGTCTACACTGCCTGATTTAGATGCCAGTGTGTGAAAACATGATGCTGCTATAGACAGTTTGTACTCAGGAGGGGAACGAACACCAGTCTCAGAGATGCCAACCAGAGCCTAATGTTGTTGAGCAGCTGAACCAACCCTGGGACTGTCTTTGAAAAATTTGATATGCAAACATGCAAAAAAATCTTTCTCTTTCAGTTGGGAAGTTTTTTTTTTTTTTTTCAGCCGAAGGTATCATAACAGATACAGCATTATACACCTGGAGCTCCAAGTGACCATCTCATTGCCACTGCAAACACCTACCCGAGAGAGAAGCCAATAGCCAGGCGCGGTGGCTCACGCCTGTAATCCCAGCACTTTGGGAGGCCAAGGCGGGCAGATCACAGGAGGTCAGCAGTTTGAGACCGGCCTGCCAACATGGTGAAACCCCGTCTCTACTAAAAATACAAAAAATTAGCCAGGCGTGGTGGCGAGCGGCTGTAATCCCAGCTACTCAGGAGGCCGAGGCAGGAGAATTGCTTGAAACCGCGAGGTTGCAGTGAGCCGAGATCACACCACTGCACTCCAGCCTGGGCAACAAGAGTGAAACTCCATCCAAAAAAAAAAAGAGGAAAGCAGAAGTGAGAGTCCCTTGAACAGCCTGAAGTCCCTCTGTGTTCAATGTGTTCATAGGCTTTCCATGGACAGAGGTCTTTCAATTCTGTTTATGGCTTTGGGTTGAATTTTGTGTTCTGTACTCACAATGATCCTGACTAACACCATTTTTATAAACTGAGGCTCAGAGAGATCATTAAGTTGCCCAGTCATTGAAAGAAACACAAATTTGTCTGCTTGCAGAGCCAGCATGTTCCAATCCGGTTTCCCAGTCTCAGAGAGGACAGGAGGCCCAGTTGGAGTGAGACCCACAGAGTGTGTTTATTCTGGCGTTGATAGCAGCAGCAGTGGGGGGACCGGCCAGACGCAGGGGTGTGGCGAACAGAAGGGGTGGACACAGGTGTGTGTGTGTCTGAAAGGACAGAGAGGATTGGCCCATTGACATTCACGGCGAGAACAAGGGTCGGGACACTGAGTCTTGGACAAACAGCAAAGAGACAGAGACAGACAGAGGGTTTTGGGGGGCAGGGGTCCCCCAGACATGCATGGCCCCTCGCCTCGAGGGGGAGCCCCAGGGAAGAAAAGACAGACACAGTGGAGGCTGAATGACCCCCACCCTGAAAGAAGGAGCTGGGCCGGCCTCCTCTCATCCTCTCGCTTCCAGGGTTAGGAAGCCTAGGGCCAGGGCTGCCCCGCACCAGCAGCTCGGACGTTATGGCTTCAAGGAGATGAATTCACGGTCCGGGCAGGAAAGGATGGGGTCCTGAGGGAGCCTGGTCCGATCCCGGGCCTAGGCCAGACCTGCACGATGGAGCAGGAAAGGAGGGGTCAGCAATGGCAGAGAACTGCACCACGACCTCCTGTAGCTCCATCACCACCCAGAGATCCAGGAGTCCCAGGCGCAGCCCCTCCTCCCTCAGACCCAGGAGTCCAGGCCCCCAGCCCCTCCTCCCTCAGACGCAGGCATCTCCACCCCCAGCCCCTTCCCTGTGGCCAGGCTGCTTACCCCTCACTCGGAGTTCTCTTTCTCTGATAGTCCTTTGCTGCCTTTTGTGAAGCTGGTCACAGTCTTTTCCTAAAGGAGAAAGTGCAGAAGGTTCGGGAGTGAGAGACAGAGAGTTGAAACAGATGCTAATCATCAACAGGAGAAGACGTCAATCCTGTTTCATTATTTAGGATGCGCTTTCTCACTTGGCCCTGAAGTGACGGACAGATGGTATTACAATTCCATTCTACAGATGGGGAAATGGAGGCACAAAAAAGAGGAGTCTCTGCAAATGCGAGGAGAGATGAGGCTGTAGGGATGAGTGGGGCAAGTCCTGCATGGTATCAGAGGGGCTGAGACTCTGTCCTGGGGCCACTGGGGAGCCACGGGAGGGCTGTGAGCAAGGAAGGGGAGGGGAAGCTCTGGGTGTAGAAGGATCTTCTGGGGCCACAGGGAGCATGAGGGGCTGAAATTCATGGGCAGTGTCAGGACTCGGCCTAGACTCTGTGCCACCAGCGTTGCCCAACATGGGCAGTGGCTCACCAGAAACTCCTGGGAAGGTTGGTGGGATGAATTAATGAACGGATGAATGAGTGAATGACAGGAGGAGGGAGTAGCCTCCATCCTATCCACCTTAGTAGAGTCCCCGTCTTTTCCAATCTCAAATCTGAGTTCTGTGCCCAGGTGTCGGGTCCCTCATGATCACTGGAAAAAAGCCCACAGCAGGGCCAGACTAAATCTGGTGATGTGGTGAAAGTTTCACCCAGTACTAAATGTAAATGTGTGCCCCAAATGCAGCAATCAAGATAAAGAATATTTCATGCAATATTGGCCAGGCGCGGTGGCTCACGCCTATAATCCCAGCACTTTGGGAGCCCAAGGTGGGTGGATCACTTGAGGTGGGAAGTTGAGACCAGCCTGGACAACATGGCAAAACCCTGTCTCTACAAAAAAAAAAAAAAAAAAAAAAAAAAAAAAAAAAAAAAATTAGCAGGGTGAGGTGGCACACGCCTGTAGTCCCAGCTACTTGGGAGGCTGAAGCAGGAGAATCACTTGTACTCAGGGAGGGGGAGGTTGCAGTGAGCCAAGACTGCAACACTGCACTCCAGCCTGGGTGACAGAGTGAGACTCTGTCTCAATAATAACAATAATAATAATAATGCAAGATTTTAAAAAAAATCAAAATTAATGCAAAAAAATCAATGATGAAGAAAATATCAAATTTTTAAAAAAGGCCAGTCTCATGCCACATCAGACTGCTATTTCAAAGGAAATGTATGTGCCCTCATATACTTGCTTTTTTTTTTTTTTTAAGGAGAGGGGTTCCTGCTCCATTGCCCAGGCTGGAGTGTGGTGGTGAGATCATAGCTCACTGCAGTAACAAACTCCTGGGCTCAAGAGATCCTCCTGCCTCAGCCTCCTGAGTAGCAGGGACTATAAGCACACACTACCATGCCTAGCTAATTCCTAAATTATTTTTGTAGAGACAGGCTCTCCCCATGTTGCTCAGGCTAGTCTTAAACTCCCAGGCTCAAGTGATCCACCCACCTTGGCCTCCCAAGGCCTGTGCTGGGATTTCAGGCATGAGCCACTGTGCCCTGCCCAAGTTTTTATATATTTTTTCTAAATTTATTTTTCCTGGAATGCTAAACTAGTTGAAAAATACTGAAAAATGAAGTAAGTGTGTTGAAATTCACAACATTATTTTACATTTAAATCTTTCATATATACCCTAGACAGAATTTGAATAATTTGACTTTCTTGGCTTTTAATGGAGGCAAATCTGCCAATAACACTTTCTAAAGCTACTTCTTTGCTCCTCTTGTTTTCTATTGAGAGAATGGCCATGTTTGATTATTTCTCCTGATCAAGCGATAATCTTAAATGACTTTTTTTTTTTTTTTTGAGACAGAGTCTTGCTCTGTCGCCCAGGCTGGAGTGCAATGGCGCCACCTCAGCTCACCGCAACCTCTGCCTCCCAGGTTCAAGCGATTCTCCTGCCTCAGCCTCCCAAGTAGCTGGGATTACAGGCGTGCGCCACCACGCCCAGCTAATTTTGTATTTTTAGTAGAGACAGGGTTTCTCCATGTTGGTCAGGCTGGTCTCAAACTCCTGACCTCAGGTGATCCACCCTCCTCGGCCTCCCAAAGTGCTGGGATTACAGGCGTGAGCCACCACGCCCAGCCCCCTCTATTTTCAACTTAGCCTCATGGGTAACAACAGCAGCGACCACCTACAGAACGTTTAACTCAGCACATCTCACCTCTATCCTAACAGAAGATGCTATCAACAGTCCCATTTCCTAGTGGGTAAATTGAGGCACAGAGCGCTTGGGTAACTGGCTCTAAGCCGCACAGCTAAAGTTGGCACAGCAGGGATTGAAACCTAGGACGCCTGGCTCTGCGACTCACGAACATGCAGGGCGTTCGTTGCATGGATGAAGGGGCCGAGGGTGCACGGGTGCTTGTCAGGGGTCGGTGTGGGACCCCTACTCACCTCCACTAGCTGATGCCAGTGCTCCACGGGCTTGCGGGGATTGGCCAGCATCTCTGCCCAGTGCTCGCGGCCGTGCGGGTCGGCAGCGTCGGGGCCCACACGGCACACGCCGATCACCTCGTTGTGCCCGATGCTGGGGGTTGGGGTCAGTGAGGACCGTGGAGGGTGGTGGGAGGGCCTGTCCCCACCCCAGCCCTCCTGCCTGACCCCCGCCCGGGCCGCGCCCCTCACCAGTCGTAGTCTACCACGGCGATGCTGAGCCCCACGTTCTCCACGCTCTCGGGGGCCACGTCGAACACCAGCGCCTCATTATAGGTGGGGTTCAGCGTGTTCTTCTTGATGGAGGTTTTCCGCTTCTTCAGACGCCGCCCCTCGCTGATCAGGGAGGCCTTCACGTAGGGGTCTGGGAACAGCAATGAAGTAAGGAACAGAGACTCACTCCCTCAGACCTAGGGGTCCAGGACCCCAGGCCCCGAGCCCCTCCTCCCTCAGACCCAGAGGTCCGGGGCCCCAGGCCCCCAGTCCCTCCTTCCTCAGGCCCAAGAGTCCAGACCCCAGGTCCTCCTCTCTCCGACCCAGGAGTCCAGGCCCCTGGCCCCTCCTCCCTCAGACCCAGGAGTCCAGATCCCCAGCTCCTCCTCCCTCAGACCCAGGAGTCCAGGCCCCTGGCCCCTCCTCCCTCAGACCCAGGAGTCCAGGCCCCCAGCCCTCCTCCCTCAGACCCAGGACCCTCACCTGAGAAGCCAGTGAGGTCCATCGCTTTGAGGTTAGAGGCTTTGATGATGGTCACGGTGAGGCGCCCGGCCGTGGGGAGGTAGCAGAGTGAGAAGTTGAGCTCCCCAAGATCTGCTTTTTCCTGCAGTTGGGGAAAAGGTCAGCGATATCTTGCCTCAGCCCCTCTTCAACTCTCCCTGATTTTCTCTCCGGTCGGAGCCTCCTGCTTTACACCCTGACATCCAGGGCTCAGGCTTCCCATCCACTTAGCAATCTGACTCTTGGGACAAGGCCCAGTAATTCCCTGGCCACAGCTGCCCATGACCATCAAAGCTTATTTGTTCTGCAGGAAAGATTGGAAGAAGCATGAGTGAGGGGAGAGAGAGAGGAGGGGAGAGACAGAGAAGGTGAGAGAGAGAGAAAACACAAAGAGAAATAGACTGAGACAGAAGCCAAAACACGGAGGGATACAGCTGGAAAGACAGACCCACAGGCAAAGTTCTCAAGTCAGAGGGACAGAGGCCCAGAGACAGACACAGAGAGAGACCCAGAGAGAGGGAGACAGAGACCCAGAAAGAGAGGGAGACAGAGACCCAGAGAGAGAGGGGGACAGAGGCCCAGAGAGAGAGGGGGGGGGACAGAGACCCAGAGAGGAGGACAGAGACCCAGAGAGAGAGGAGGACAGAAGCCCAGAGAGAGAGGAGGACAGAGGCCCAGAAAGAGAGGGGGACAGAGACCCAGAGAGAGGAGGACAGACCCAGAGAGAGAAAGGGGCAGAGACCCAGACAGAGAGGGGGACAGAGACCCAGAGACAGAGAGATAGAGACCCAGAGAGAGACAGAAGCCCAGAGACAGGGGGTACAGAGACCCAGAGAGAGAAAGAGAGAGAGATATATATAGAGAGAGACTCAGAGAGAGACAGAGGCCCAGAGAGAGAGAGGGACAGAGACAGTGGGTTGGGGGTGCATAAAGACCCAGAGAGAGTGATAGTTACCTAGAATTAGAGTGGAGGGGCAGAGACCAGAGAGCGAGAGAGAAACCTAGACTCAGATACCCTACTCCCTGCACCAAGAGAAAGAGAGAGAGAGAGAGAGAGGCTGACTCAGACAGAGTGGGACAAAGACCAAGCAGACACACACACATAAACCAGCCTGAGAGAGGGCAGGAGATTCATCAACCTCCACCGAAGTTTCCAGGACTGCCCCCAACCCTGACACACAGGCTGGAGCCACGCTGGAGCTAGCTGGGAGCTTTGACCAACCTGGCCTAGCCCTGCGGCCTCCCAACTGTGCCCAGGACTCCCTACTCATTCCCCTCAGGGCATCTGCCCAGGCTGTCCCTCTGCCAGAACACTCTTCCCTCTATCTCTCCTTGGCCTTTGAGCCTCCCCTCGTTCCACAAGCTCCCAGATCCCCCACAGCCCTGCAGAGGCTCCTCCTGTGCCTCCCCATAACCCTGGCCCCTGACACAAGGCCCGACCATCTAGACCTGGAGCTGCCGAGGGCTGCCTGGGGTCCCCAGGCCCTGCTCCTGAAAAAAACAGTGGTTGAAGAAATGAATGAAGGCTGGGTGCAGTGGCTGATGCCTGTAATCCCAGCACTTTGGGAGGCTGAGGTGGGCGGTTAACCTGAGCTCAGGAGTTCGAGACCAGCCTGGCCAGCATGGCGAAACCCTGTCTCTACTAAAAATACAAAAATTAGCCGGGCATGGTGGCAGGTGCCTGTAATCCCAGCTACTTGGGTGACTGAAGCATGAGAATCACAATCACTTGAACCCGGGAGGTGGAGGTTGCAGTGAGCTGAGATTGCGCCACTGTACTCCAGCCTGGGTGACAGAGAGAGACTCTGTCTCAAAAAAAAAAAAAAAAAAATGAGAGAGAGAGAATGTATGAATCAATGGAATGAGTGAGGAAAACCTCAAGTGATGATGATGGAGAGAGAAAATGAGAAGGGTGAGCACAAGAATTAGGCCAGCATGGATACAGAGAGAAGGCCCTGGCATGGGGCTGCCATGGGTGATGACTGGGAGTAGGAGCTGGTGGAATACACAGGGGCCCTGGGACCTTGGAACTGGGCACTTCAATCTCAAAGGCTGGGCTTGGGGGCCAAGCAGGCAGGCTGGGGAGGGCCCCATGAAGAAGCCTACCCAAAGAGCTACCCAAAAAGCCTACCTGGCACCCAGCTCAACTGGACATCTGTCATTGAACAGATGGGGAAACTGAGGCTCAGAAAAGGAAAGAACCTTGAGGAGGTCTAGTCCTCTCCTGATATGAAGGCCGCCCTCCCCACAACACACACACAGCTACCCCAGATTGGCAGAGAACTGGAATGTTGGATAATCCACAAATTAGGTTGGAGCGGGGGCGCTGTAGAGTTGAGGATCTGAGATTTGGTGGGGCAGAAGAGCTCAGGACACACACACAAGAAGTACCTAAGAATGGGGCTGGGGAGGGATTGGAGGTACAGGGAGAATGAGATACCAGAGGGCAGGGGTCGCAAGGAATAAGGAAGAAGCCATTGGGCCCTATAATCTGGATGCTGGGAGAACTGAGGAGTGTCTGCATATTGGGGATCCCAGGATGGCTGAGGCCTGGGGGATCAAGCTATCAGCATTCGGGCAGGGACCATGAAAAAACAGAGGGTCAGAATATGAAAGAGTTCCAATGTCAGGGGTTGGGAAAATTCAGAAGTTCAGAGATTAGAGAGGGATTGGGGCTTTCAGAAGTTCAGAGATTAGAGAGGGACTGGGGCTTCCAGAAGTCCAGTCATTGGAAAGTCAGGAAGTTAGGAAGGTAAGAAGTCTGGGGTGAGAGGGGAGAAGTCATGGGGTTGAGGCAGGAAGGCATCCTATGGCAAAGCGGGTGAGAGGTTGGAAAATCGGATCCAGACCTGATGCTAACATTTGGCGATGTTGAGGAGAGGAATGGTGTCCACTGTATCATTATCTGTTCTTTTTTTTTTTTTTTTGAGACGGAGTTTCGCTCTTGTTGCCTACGCTGGAGTGCAATGGCATGATCTCTGCTCACCACAACCTCCACTTCCTGGTGCAAGCGATTCTCCTGCCTCATCCTCCTAAGTAGCTGGGATTACAGGCATGTGCCACCATGCCCGGCTAATTTTTGTATTTTTAGTAGAGATGGGGTTTCTCCATGTTGGCCAGGCTGGTCTCGAACTCCCAACCTCAAGTGATCTGCCCACCTGGCCTCCCAAAGTGCTGGGATTATAGGCATGAGCTACCGCGCCCGGCTCATTCTCTATTCTTGCCTGTAAGTTTGCAGTCTTCCCCAGTGTGATACATTTTAACAGAAAAATGTGGGGACAAGAAGTGAGGAAGTTATGAACTCTGAGGGCAGGGGGCTTGCAACCCGGGGGGTCTCAGGGCCCTGGGAAGGGGAAGGTCAGGGGAGAGGGCCACTGACCGAGCCGCCCTCCACGATGTCCCTCCAGAGCGGGCGGTCAGGGGGCTGCTCGGCCAGCTCCAGGAGGTTGTCCAGCACCACCTGGCCGATGAGGTCGTGCCGCGAGAAGCGGTCAAAGTCATAGACGCTGAAGTGCAGTTTGCGTTGGGCCAGCTCGGCCAGGGGCACCGAGAATTGAAACGTCTCATTGAAGACGGGGTTCAGGGTCTTCCTGTGCACCTGGTGGTGGTGGGCGACAGGAGACAGACACCGTGCCCATAAGCCCCTCCTCCACAGGATCCAGGAGTCCAGCCCCCAGCCCCTCCTCCCTCAGACCCAGGAGTCCAGGCCCCCAGCCCCTCCTCCCTCAGACCCGGGAGTCCAGGCCCCCAGCCCCTCCTCCCTCAGACCCGGGAGTCCAGGCCCCCAGCCCCTCCTCCCTCAGACCCGGGAGTCCAGAGCCCTAGCTCCCTCTCTGTGGGAACCCGGTGTCCAGCCCGCTGCTCCGGACCTTGGTCTGAAACTTTTTCTTGCGGTCAGGCAGCAGGTAGATCTTGACGTAGGGGTCTGAGAAGCCGTTGGAGTCCTTGGCAGGGAGGTCCAGGGCCTGCAGGATCCTCACCACCAGCTGGTCCGAGCCATAGAGGTACCGCAGGGCGAAGCTGATACGGCCACAGGGTGCCCCTGTGCCTGCCTCTCCAGAGCCTGGGCCCCCACCGCTCCGCCGGCCACCAGGGCCAGTCCCCTGGTACAGCTCTGGCTTAATCTGCCCAATGAGTTTGGCTTTTTCCTCGCCTCCAGGCAGGGGTAAGGGCAGGGCAGGTGGCCGCTCCTCACTGCTGGGGTCCGGCTGGGAGGTCAGAGTCTGCTGGGTGAGGGGTCGGGGCAGGGCTGGGTACCTGTAGGGGGTTGGGGGGAGACCAAGGTGAGGTCAGTGGCTCTGATCTTCGACTGCATGCAGAGACCTGGGAGACTCCTCCCTGCCTTTCCCCCCATCCCCCAGCCAGGTGGCCACAAGTCCCCTCCTTTGCTCACTGTGTGAGCTTGAGGAAGCCACTGTGCTCTCTGAGCCTCAGATTCCCCATTGGTATCTGGGGGGCATTCCTTCTCTCCCTCCCTCCCTCCCTCCCTCCCTTCTTTCCTTCCTTCCTTCTTTCCTTTTCTTTTGAGACGAAGTTTTGCTCTTGTCACCCAGGCTGGAGTGCAAAGGCGCGATCTCGGCCCACTGCAAACTCTGCCTCCCAGGTTCAAGTGATTATCCTGCCTCAGCCTCCCGAGTAACTGGGATTACAGGCATGCACCACCATATCCGGCTAATTTTTATATTTTTAGCAGAGATGGGGTTTCACCATGTTGGTCAGGCTGGTCTTAAACTCCTGACCTCAGATGATCTGCCCGCCTCGGCCTCCCAAAGTGCTGGGATTACAGGTGTGAGCCACCACACCCAGCCTCATTCTCCCCATTTCAAAGCTAGCTCCAGCCCAGACCTGTGCATAAACCAGCTTCCAGTAACCTCTTTTGGACCTCAAGCTGGTGACCCAGGATGCTTCTCCATGGACCCCTGGCAGACCTTCTTTGAACGCTCTTCTGCCCTTCTCTTAATCTCCCCGGCTGTCTCTCCTCTCTATCCCCACTGTCCTGGTCACAGCTCAGGCCTTGTCCTCTCCTGGACTCTCAGCCTCCAGTGTCTCCCTCCAGCCCACTCCCATATGGCCCCAGAGGGTTCCTTCTACACCCAGAGCTGAGCCTGCCCCTCCCCTGCTCACAGCCCTCCCATGGCTCCTCAGTGCCCTCAGGACAAAGTCCCAGACCCTCAGGCGGGCACTCAAAGCCCCATGTGGTCTGGTGTCTGTAGTCACATCTCTGAAGTTTTCTTTTTCTTTTTTCTTTCTTTCTTTTTTTTTTTTTTTTTTGAGATGGAGTCTCACTCTGCTGCCCAGGCTGGAGTACAGTGGTGCAATCTTGGCTCCCAGGTTCAAGAGATTCTCCCGTCTCAGCCTCCCGAGTAGCTGGGATTACAGACACACACAACCATGCCCGGCTATTTTTGTTTGTTTGTTTTTGTATTTTTAGTAGAGATGGGGTTTCACCATATTGGCCAGGCTGGTCTCGAACTCCTGACCTCAAGTGATCTGCCCACTTCGGCCTCCCAAAGTGCTGGGATTACAGGCATGAGCCACTGCGCCCAGCCTGAAGTTTTCCGTTTTTCAAACTTATTCTCATGCCTTGGTGACTAAGGCTTGGTGCCCTGGCTGTCCCCTTGGTGTGGGCTGTCCTCACAATGCACTAGGATCTCGTTCTCCTCTTGTCTTTGCCTGGGCCTCTCCTTTCACCTGGAATGCCCAGGTCACAGCCCTGCCTCTTTGCCTTCCCAACTCTCCCTCAGCCTGCAGGTCTCAGCTGAGACATCTCCACCTCCAGGAAGCTCCCAGCCTTCTCCCAGTTGCGGTTCCCTGAGTCGCTTTCCTGTCTCACCAACCTGGCTACACCAGGACAGCCAGTCTGGGGGTCGCCTCCCCTGCGCTGTGAGTGACAGGAGGGCAGAGTCTGGTGTTTTCCTAACACCCCTCTCAGGCCTAGTTTATATCAGTGCTCAATATACATTTACATGTATATTGAGAAATAATGAATGAAGGAACTCCAGGTCCCACTACCAATCCTGGCTTAGGGTGAAAGGGGGTGAACTGCCTTGTGCCACAGGGGACTTGGGGATCCAACCTTATTCTCCTCTACTTTCCTGTCCTAAGTCCTGCCCCCAGTCTCCTCCCTCTGGACCCAGGAATTCAGGCCCCCAGTCCCCTACTTCTTCTGGTCCAAGGGGTCTAGACCCCACAGCCCCAACCTCCCTCAGATCCAGGAGTCTAGGGCCCCAGCCTCCTCTTTCCCTAAGATCCAGGAGTCAATACCCCGATTCCCCTCCAAATCCCGAACTCATAAGAGCTATAGATAGGAAAGAGACACAGAGGAGGAGCAGAAGTTCAGAGTGGACCCCCAACCCAGTATCCTCTCTCACCTGGTAGTGGGTGCCAGGCTTGTGACCTGCTGATGTGACTGGGCACTGGGCAAGCCCCCACCACTGGGGGGCAGCAGGAGCAACCCAGAGCCTGCTCCCCCCTCAGAGGGCAGCTCAGGGGATGTTTGGCTCGGTTTGACCCCAGCGGCCACTGCTGCTGCTGCAGCCTCTGGATACGAGTCCATGTCCAAGTAGGAGGGCTCAGGGGTGTCAGAACCCCCCAGGCTGCCTGGCTCCAGCAGCTCAGCAAAGGGTGGATGGTGGGCGGCATGGGCATGGTGGTGTGGGCCGCCCAGCAGAGGATGGCCACCCAGGCCAGCCGCCAGGTGGTGCCCGCCTCCGCCTACCAGGCCTGCCAGCCCGACACCAGGGCCTAGGTCTTTGCGCAGGGGGCCACCGCCCACTGCCGAGCCTCCCTTGTCCCGCCAGGGCACCCAGCACAACTTCCAGGACACGAAGAGAGAGACACCCAGAAGGACAATGCCACAGAATGTCACGATGACCGACAGCAGGCTCACGGAGATGTCTGGAGAGAACGAGGACAGAGGTAGGGGTCAGGATGGGGTCACAGTACATCCTCCCTCTGCTGTCCCCAAAGAGTTAACCCTTCATATTTGCCATGCAATTGTCCATGCAATTGCAAGTGCCAGGCACTTTACATGTATTACTTAATTTATGTTCTACAACTCTACAAGGTTAAGTATTGTATTTTTTTAAAGAGATGGAATCTCTGTTACTCAGGCTGGAGTGCAGTGGCATAATCACAGCTCACTGCACCCTCGAACTCTTGGGCTCAAGCAATCCTCTTACCTCAGCCTCCCAAGAAGCTGGAACTACAGGTATGTGCTATCACACCTGGCTAACTTTTAAATTTTTCTGTAGAGATGAGGTCTTGCTATGTTGCCCAGGCTGGCTCGAACTCCTGGCCTCAAGCAATCTTCCCACCTTGGCCTCCCAAAGTGCTGTGATTACAGATGTGGCCACTGTGCCCAGCCCAGTAGTTCTATATGACCATTTTAAAGATGAGGAAACTGAGACACAGAGAGATTCAGTGATTTGTTTAAGGTTTTACAAGTAATAAATGACAGTTCTGAGATTTGAATCCAGCAGTCTCTCTCCAGATTTTATTCTCTTAATCACTAGACTTTGCTGCCTCTCTATAATAGAACACAACATGTGAGGTAGCACCAAGGTCCTCCAAAATGCTCAGAGATGGTCAAGGAAGCATGGACCCTGCACGACACAGTTAGGCAGGGCAGGGTTTAAATCACGCTTGCTGTGTGGCCTTGGGAACATATCTTGACCACTCTGAACCTTACATTTCCCATTTTCCAAGTAGGAAAAATCAGTTCTTCCCTCTTACAGTAGTTTGAAGGAATGCAGAAGGTAAATCACATGTGGAAGATAATAACAAACATATCTTGAGGGGTGATTACATACCAAATAGCTCAGTACTTTATAGAGATCAGGTTATTTAAGCCTGCCAGGCACTACATGAGGTTGGCAACATATTTATCCCTGTTTTCCACAAAAGAAAACTGAGGTCTGTATACCCATAGTTACCTGCTCAAAGTCCATAGCTGGTAGGTGGTAGAGTCAGGATTTAAGTCTGGGAAGCCTGGCTTCAGAGCCCATGGTCTTTACTATGATGCTATCACACCTCAACGCTTCCCAATAAATGGTAGTTCAAATGTGAATTTTTATTAGAATAATAAATCCTATTGCTGCCACTATGTGCGTCCAACACCATCAACAAGATAGCTAACACATTCTGAATGCCACATATGTGCTGATATGCCTTGCAGAGAAACCCAAGTACAGAATTGTTCTTACAATCAAAGGTTTTAGGCTTCTTCAGTAATTGGTACCAGGAGTGGGGTTTTTCAGAAATGACCTTCAAGGAATGGGAATTTGTTTTGAAATGGACTTCTGGGTGTTGACAAAGTGAAAGACAGGGAAAATCCCTACTCCTGACAGACAGTGGGTTATGGTGGGGAAGCAGGTAGCTAGGCCATTGCCGGCAAGGACAGCTGAGTGGAATGGCTGTGTCCAGTTATATTAGGGGACACACAGCAGGAAGGGGTTGCCTTCTGGTCCTGTACTGCTTAGTGAAGCTACAGTGGTGTGTGACATTAATCCTTATGACATTATATAACTTTGGAATGACTTATCCCATTTTACAGATGAGAAAACAGGCTCTGAGAGAGAGGAAGTGGCCCTGCAGGGACATATACCAGGCACTGGCAGAAGAACTCTGGGTTTCCTTCCCCCCTCCCTCTTGGGGTGCTTTTTTTTTTTTTTTTTTTTTTTTTTTTTGAGGCAGAGTCTTGCTCTATCATCCAGGCTGGAGTGCAGTGGCATGATCTCGGTTCACTGAAGCCTCCACCTCCCAGGTTCAAGCACTTCCTGTGCCTGAGCCTCCTGAGTAGCTGGAACAACAAGTGGGCACCAGCATGCCTGGCTAATTTTTGTATTTTTGGAATAGACGGAGTTTTGTTATGTTGGCCAGGCTGGTCTTGAACTCCTGGCCTCAGATCCATCCACCTCGGCTTCCCAAAGTACTGGGATTACAGGCATGCACCACCATGCCTGGCCAGAGTGCTCCTTCTCTTTTTTTTTGAGACAGAGTCTCGCTGTGTCACCCAGGCTGGAGTGCAGTGATGTGATCTCTGCGGAGTGCAGTGGTGTGATCTTGGCTCACTGCAAGCTCCACCTCCTGGGTTGATGCCGTTCTCCTGCCTCAGCCTCCCAAGTAGCTGGGACTACAGGCGCCTGCCACCATGCCCAGCTAATTTTTTGTTTTTGTATTTTTAGTAGAGATAGGGTTTTACCATGGATGGTCTTGATCTCCTGACCTTGTGATCCGCCCACCTCAGCCTCCCAAAGTGCTGGGATTACAGGTGTGAGCCACCACACCTGGCCCAGAGTGCTCCTTTTTAAGTGACCAACACTCACTGAGCATTCTGGGTGGCCTGTTAGAAACCAGAGGCAAGGACTTTATGAGCCTCCTGAACACAGGTTGAGTTGAGAAAACAGGGTCATTGTGGAGAAAAATTAAACAGATGCTTTCCCCTACCGCCAGCCTGATTCAGACCCTGTCCAACTCAAAACATGAATCCCACAAACCCTGACAGATTCCCCATTCCTGTCTGCACAGACTGGGGAGTTATTTGGGCGTGGAGAGGTGGTGTAGTTGCGCAGTAGAAGATTCACCTTGCCCAGAGAAAGGTTTGGCCCTTGATCAGCTCCCGGGAGGGAACCTCTAAGCCCATGGAATGTCCTGCCTGATTAGAGTGTCTTTGTTTACCTGGGGCCTTGGATCATGTGGCATAGTCTATGTTAACACTGTGATATATGCTGGAGGCCTCCAGCTCAGCCTCTGGAGGAGCTGGAGACTAAAGTCAGCCACACCAGCAATCAGTCACGTATATGAGGCCGACCCCCAATAAAAACCCTGCCCACCAAGGCTCAGGTGAGCTTTCCTGGTTCGTAATAGACTGTGCATGCTGTCACATGTCGTTGCTGGGAAAATTAAGCACTGTCCATGTGACTCCACTGGGAGAGGATGACTGGAAGCTCACACCTGGTCTGTCCTGGACTCTGCCCTGGGTGCCTCTTCCCTTTGCTGACTTCAGTCTGTATCCTTTCACTGTCATAAACCATAACCATGAGTATAACAGTTTCCAGCCAGGCGTGGTGGCTCATGCCTGTAATCCCAGCACTTTGGGAGGCTGGGGCGGGTGGATCACTTGAGGTCAGGAGTTCGAGACCAGCCTGGCGAACAGGATGAAACCCTGTCTCTACTGAAAATACAAAAAATTAACTGGGCGTGGTGGCAGACGCCTGTAATCCTAGCTACTCTGGAGGCTGAGGCAGGAGAATCACTTGAACCTGGGAGGTGGAGGATGCAGTGAGCCGAGATCCCACCATTAATTACACTCCAGCCTGGGCAACAAGAGTGAAACTCCATCTCAAAAACAAACAGACAGACAAACAAAAACAGTTTCCTGAGTTCTGTGAGTCAATGATTCTAGCAAATCATTGAACCTGAGGGTGGTCATGGGCACCTCCAGACTACAGTGCTGTACTAGACTATGCAGGATTCAGTTCTGCCTCTGCTACCATTGAGCCTCTGGGCAAGTGACTGCTGCTCTCTCGGCCTTATCCCTCATGACTGTCACCTGGACATCCTGCACATGAGGTGCCAGACCCTGCCCTGGTGCTCAGCAAGTGTGACTGTGGTTGTAATCACTCAGCACATGCTTCCTCTGGTCACCGTTTCCTCATCTGGACAATGGCACTCATAATGTTTCCTCATTCCCAGAACCCTGCTGCTTTCTAGCTGTGTGACCTTGGACAGGTCACTTCACCCTTCTCAGCCTCAGTTTCCTCTGTTGAAAATGGGGATTATATGTTCCACAAAGGGTCACTGTGAGTAATCATTGAGATGTGCAGAGGACCTCGCATGCTGCCTGGACCACAGTTGGTGCTCAGTAAGTGAATCCCAGCATTGTTCTAAGTTCTTCGTAGGTGTTATATCATTTAAGTCTTTCATCTGCTCTATGAAGCATCCCTTTTATTATCCCCATTTTCCAGATGAGGAGACTGAGTCCCAGAAGAAGAGTCACTTACCTACAGCCATGCAGTTATTAATAAAGTGAGGGAGATGGGACTTGAACCCAAACAAGTCAGTCTGACTCAAGAGCCTGACATTTGCACAAGATGCAGAGAGATATCTGAAGGGGGCATTTGGTGGTGGTAGTCGGAGGGAGGCCCACAGGGCAAAACTCAAAAAGCAGACCACACAGCTCCTTCCCCTTGGATCAGAGATTTGGGAGAAGGGCAGCAGCAGGCAGAATGGGGGCAAGACGCTACGAGGGACTGACCCCACAAGCAATGGAAAGCTGAGCAGTTCTGCTCCGAGTCTCCTGGCCATAGTGCAAGCAGGGGGCTGGCCAAGACAGGCAGGGGTGCTGACCTGCATCTGGACCCCGGGGATAGCCTCGGATTCGGTCATTGAACTCCTGGCACCTGTCGTTGGTGTCAGCATCTCGGACCCGCGCACAGAGGTCCGAGACCAGGATGAGTGCCCGCCGGCAGAGGTCATCCTCGTAGTCTCCTGACATGGTGGCCGTCTGGTCCTGTGTGTGGGAGGGATGGGGCAAGGGTGCAGATGGGAAACAGAATGGGAGTGCAGGGTGGGCAGGTGTGGAGATAAGGGTGGAAAGAGACACCGAGAAAAGGAAGGATGGGCAAAGGGGACAGAGATTAGGGGCAGATGGATTAGGGATGGAGATTCGAGGAAGAAGGACAAGGTGACAGGTATTAGGGATGGACAAGGAAAAGGAATTAGGAGTAGACAGACAAGAGGGCAGAAATTAGGGATGGAGATAGTAGCAGGGACTGGGTAAGTCAAGGGGACAGAGATGGGCATGAGTGGAGTAGAGGACAGAGAACAGGGACAAATGAACAAGGAGGAAGAGATGGAGAAGGGCAGTGAAGGGGCTAAGAATGAGGATGCACAAATAAAGGGATGGACAGATGAGGAAACAAAGATTAGGGCTGCACAGATGAAGGAACAGGAGTTAGGGATGAGCAGACAAGGTGCCAGCCATTCATCATTCATTCATTCAACAAACATCCATCCAGCACCAACTACGCCCTACGTGCTGTGCTGGTTGCTGCGAATCCAGCAGAGAACAAGGTCCTGGAGTTCCCTGACCTCCCGGTGTCACAATCCAACGAGAGGAGACATAGAGTAAACAAGCAAACAAAAACACATACACAAACCGGTCACTGTCAGACTGTCTGTGAGAAGCGCTCCACAGGACACAGCTGGAGAATGTGTCACAAAGGAACTCAGAGGGGGGCGGTCAGGGAGGGCTCTCCCAAACCTGAAGGATGACATGGAGCCAGCCACAGGCGGGGGGCAGTGGCGCCAGGATGGGAAAAGCATTTTAAAGAAAAGCATTTTAGACAGTAGGAGCAGGATGACAGGGGCTTAGGGTAGGAAAGCAGTTGGAGGGTCCAGGGACCAAGGAGGCCAGACTGGGGTAGACGCGGGGAGGGCCAGGAGAGAAGGATGGATGTGGGTAGAGAGATTGGAGGTGGATAGGTATGGTGGGAGCTGGGGGTGGAGAGGTGGAGATGCAGAGATGGGGACCAAGTTGAGGGAGGGAGAGATACAGGGAGGGGAGACAGAGATAATGTGAAGGGCAGACTGAGGCTCCGAAGAGATGGAGAGGTGAACAGGCAGGCAGAAGGAAAGTCAAGGATTGAGACTTGGGATGGACAGTGACAAGGAATGAACCGAGATGTAATTAATTCACGGGGGCTTGAGAGACGAGAGGACGAGAGACGGTGAAGAGGGGCAGGCAGGAGTGTGGGCAGAAATATCTTTGAAAGAGAAACGGTCGAACGGGAGGATGGATGGGTGGGCAAGGACAGCAGATGATGGCTAGAGATCGCAGATAGACAAAAGGAGACAGGAGGGCTGGGCAGACAGACATGGGTTCATAAGGGAAGGTTCAATGAGCACATAAATGAGAGGAGGCTAGGAAGGAGAGGTGGATGTGGGGAGAGGGGGAATTAGTGACACATGGCTCGGAGCCAGGCATCAAGATGGGTTGAAGGGGATGCAGGGGAATTAGGAACAGACAGACCAGGGCTCACAGATGGACAGGTGTCGTGGGGGTGCTGCAGAAGGCCAGGACTCCAAGACAGGCATGGCCACACTCACCTGCGCTTATCTCTGCCGTGTCCTGGGTGGCAGCCGAGGCGGCGGCGGGCGGCAGCCCATGGGGGTTCTAGGGCGGACAAGGGGCTGTGGACCCGTTCCCACGCGCCGGGTAATGAGAGAGAATGTCTGATCTAGGGGCTGAGGCCGGGAGAAAAAGCTCAGCTTAACAGTCACATCTTGCCCTACTCGAGCCAGCTGCCCGACCCCAGGCGACCCACTGGGAGCCCGGCCACCCCCTCCCACCTCCGGGCCCCCAGCTCCCGTTGAGGGCTTAGAGACTACAATTCCCGGCAGGTCTCGCGCTCGCGCTGCTGCGGCTTCATAGACCCGGCGCTGCAGGATCTGCTGGGAGTTGAAGTCCTTAATGCCTCCGGGCTGCAGAGAGGATGGGATTTTTTTTTTTTTTTTAAGGTTTTGGGGGGTTAAGATGCTGGGGTCCCAAGACGCTTCAGGGGAGGGGAACGATGTCCGGGACTTCGAAAAGCCACGGAGCCCTAAGTCCTTAGGGGCCACGGAATGAGGAAACGATCCCCCCGCGCTGGGGATCGGTGGGCGAGGGGTGGGATACACCCAGGTGTTTCGGGACCCCCTTCCAGGGCCACGTGCCCCTCCCCCGGGGTGGCCAGAGAGCGCTGCAGCGCTCCCACTCCCCGGCCCGAGATCCACGCGCCTCTGCATCTACCCCGCCCCCATGCGCCGGGGCCGACCCCAGGGATTTGACTGGGGCTGGGGCTGTGGCAGGAGGAGGGGGAGGAGCGGACTCACCCGGAGCCGCCGCTGCCGCCGCTGCCGCCGCCGCCGCCGCCGCAGCCCCGCGCGCCAGCCGCGGTGCCGGCTCGGCTCCTCCCCTCGCCACTGTCGCAGGTCCGCGGCTCCTCCCCCTGCACCCCCTCCTTCCCCCACTCCGAACCCGCGGCAAGAAAGCCGAAATCACTTGGCCTCAGCAAGGAAGCAGGGAGATTGCCCGGGACTAAGGCAGCAGAGACCCAGTGGGTTTCCACACTGGGGACCCAGAGATCTAGGATCACGACGTGCTGCTTCTCCAGGGTCCGGGGGCCCAGTTCTCCGCCCCGCTATCTCACAGAGGTAGAAGTCCGGGGACCCCAGGCCCCTCTTCCCAGGAACCCAGGACTTCAGGCCCTCCAACCTGAGCCGCTCTGAAGGCCGGTGGTAGGAGCGGAAGCTGAGACTCAAAGGTACAGTGCCACAGCCAGGATAGAGGTACTAGCAGGGACCTGGGTTTGAATCCCACCTGGGCCAACTCCTGCCTGTGTGCGCCTCTTGCTCTGAGGCCCCGTTTCCTCATCAGCAAAATACACACCATAAACTTATTTCCTAAGGGATCCACAGTTTGAAAAACCGGTCAGTGTAGACAAAACATTGGTACCAACTAGGTACTTAATGAATATTTCTCAAAAGTAGTGAGTAACAGTTTCTGGTATATTAATAGCAGTTAATGGCAATTGTCATTTCCTATAAGTGGTGAAGTGCTAAGTGCTTTGAAAGCGTTTTCTCATTTAATTTTCACTTGGGTGCAATTATGACATTCCCATTTCACAGAGGAGACAACTGAGGCCCATGGAGGTTAAATCCCTTGGGTAAGGTCTAGATCAGGGGTGTCCAATCTTTTGGCTTCCCTGGACTGCATTGTTGTCTTGGGCTACACATAAAATACACTAACAGTAACAATAGCTGATGAGAAAAAAAAAATCACAAAAAAATCTCATAATGTTTTAAGAAAGTTTACAAATTTGTGTTGTGCCGCATTCAAAGCTGTCCTGTGCTGCATGCGGGCCTCAGGCCATGGGTTGGACAAGCTTGATCTAGATCTACATAGCCTGGAGAGGTGGCTCGGAGGCCCCCTCAGTGCTCTCAATCAGTGACATCCAAATAAATACAACCTCTAGGTAAAAATCAAAGGCTGGGCTGACACCTGTAAATCCCAACACTTTGGGAGGCTGAAGTGGGAGGATCCCTTGAAGCCAGGAGTTTGAGACTATCCTGGACAACGTAGGAGACTCCATCTCTACAAAACAAAAAAACCAAAAAACCAAAACAAAACCAAACTAGTGGGTGTGGTGGCGTGCACCTGTAGTCCCACCTACGCAGGAGGCTGAGGTGGGAGGATTGCTGGAGCCCAGGAATTTTTTTTTTTTTTTTTTTTTTTTTTTGTGAGACAGAGTCTTGCTCTGTCGCCCAGGCTGGAGTGTAGTGGCGCGATCTGGGCTCACTGAAAGCTCCGCCTCCCGGGTTCACTCCATTCTCCTGCCTCAGCCTCCTGAGTAGCTGGGACTACAGGCGCCTGCCACCGTGCCCGGCTAATTTTTTTTGTATTTTTAGTAAAGACGGGGTTTCACCGTGGTCTCGATCTCCTGACCTTGTGATCCACCCGCCTCGGCCTCCCAAAGTGCTGGGATTACAGACGTGAGCCACCGCGCCCGGCCTAGCCCAGGATTTTGAGGCTGCAGTGAGCTATGATTGCACCACTGCATTCCATCCAGCCTGGGCAACAAAGCAAGACCCCCATCTCAAGAATAAATAGCCAGGTGCGGTGGCTCATGCCTGTAATCCTAGCACTTTGGGAGGCCAAGTGGGCGGATCACTTGAGCTCAGGAGTTCAAGACCAGCCTGGGCAACATGGCAAAACCCTGTCTCTACAAAAAATACAAAAATTAGCTGGGTGTGGTGATGCATGCCTGTAGTCCTAGCTACTTGGGGGGCTGAGGCAGAAGGATCACTTGAACCCAGAAGGTGGAGGTTGCAGTCAGTGAGCCAAGATTGTGCCACTGGGCTCCAGCCTGGGCGACAGAGTGAGACCCTGTCTCAAAAATAAACATAAATATGAATAAATAAATAAATATTTAGAGCAAGAAATAAAAATGTCAAAATAAGTAAGTAAATAAAAGTAAAAATTGCTTGCTGCTTCTGCAAATACAACTTTAAGCACGCATCCTGGGCCCTCCCTCTAATTAGATTACACCCTACCCCTATTGCTGCCTATGTGTACATTTTGCAGCCATTATACTACCACAGAACCCCCAGAAATGCCTCCCAGGTTTGCCGAGTCTCTTCCTTGTGGCTTCTTGCATCCCCCCAGATGGATGTGTGTTTACATCCAGGGAAGCATGTGCGGGTGTAAACCTACAGACCACGAGTGCAGGTCCCCATGCCAACTCTAACAGCCCGACCCTTGAACCCTGCTGGGCCTGCCCAGGGTCCACAGGTAGCCCTGTTCCACAGGGAGAGACACGCAGTGATGCACACACTCAGAGATGGGCACACAGATGGGCTTGCCACGCTGCCATGACACGTTTCCAAAGAGACGCTCGGATTCCGAGGCTGCCCAGGCATTGAGAGGCAGCCGTAGTGCACTGGTTTTCTGTGTGACTTTGGGGGCAGAGCACTGGGATTCAAATCCCAGCTCTGCTCCCCTCTCTATGCAACCTTGGAGGGGTTACTTAGATTCTCCATGCCTCAGTTTCCCTCTCTGTAAGTGCAGATAATAATACTTTAAAAAATCATACTCTGGCTGGGTGCAGTGGCACATGCCTGTAATCCCAGCACTTTGGGAGGCCGAGGCTGGCAGATCACCTGAGGTCGGGAGTTTGAGACCAGCCTGACCAACATGGAGAAACCCCGTCTCTACTAAAAATACAAAAATTAGCCGGGCGTGGTGGCACATGCCTGTAATCTCAGCTACTTGGGAGGCTGAAGCAGGAGAATCACTTGAACCCAGGAGGCAGAGGCTGCAGTGAGCCAAGATCATGCCATTGCACTCCAGCCTGGGCAACAAGAGTGAAACTCTGTCTCAAAAAAAAGAAAGAAAGAAAAAATCATATTGTATCTCACTGGGTTATTTTGAGGGTTAAATTAAATTCATGGAAGGTGCTTAGGAAAAATGGCTAGTGTTTAGTGTTGTCATAAATAAAAATTAAATGCATTTGCTCATTTAAACTTTAGCTGGACTTGACAAGTGAGGAAATTGAGGCTCACCAAGGGAAGCGCTCTGCCCAAGATCACACATCTGGAAAGTGTGAGTGGAGATTAAAAACTGTATGGGTCTGGACCAAGTGCAGTGGCTCACACCTGTAATCCCAGCACTTTGGGAGGCCAAAGGTGAGAGGATCCTTTGAGCTCAGGAGTTGAGACTTGCCTGGACAACATAGTGAGACCTCATTTCTACAAAAAATACAAAATTTAGCCGGGCATGGTGGCACACACCTGTAGTCCCACCTGCTTGGGGGGAGGCTGAGGTGGGAGGATTGCTTGAGCCCCAGAAGTCGAGGCTGTGGGGAAATGGAGGCTGCCCAGAGTCCCGTCCTTGTGCCTTCTTGCATCCCCCCGGATGGATGTGCGTTTACATCCAGGCTGGAGTGCAGTGAGCCATGATCGTGCCACTGCACTCCAGCCTGGATGTCAGAGTGAGACCTTGTCTCAAAACACAAAAAGAAAAAACAAAAAACGGAGTGGATCTGAATCCAGAGCCCTTGCCTTTAGCCACCATGCTGTTTGCATCTAGGACCCATTTGAGGACTTGCATGCTACTGCTGCTAGGAGTATAGAACAATATAAAGAACACCGGACAGGGAGCCAGGAGACAGAGATAGAATCTTCCATATTCATTCAACTCGATTCATGCAGTCATTTGAGAAATACTTTCTGAGCACCTAATGTGTGCCAGGCATTTTTTTTTTTAGACAGCAGGGATTCATCTGGGAACAAAATAGACTAAAATTCCAGGGTTGGAAGAGCTCATGGTCTAGTGGAAGAGACAGAAAATAATCAAATAACTACACATACTAGGATCCTCATACTAGGATCAATGCTAGGAAGGAACATCCATTGTGCTGTGTGTTTGAGAGAGGTCAGAGAAGTTCCTGAGCAAGTGACTTTTCAGCTGAGCTCAGAAGGATGAGTAGGCATAAGCCAGGTGGTGAAGATGAGGGAGGGGAGGGGAAATGCTCCAGGGAGAAGGAACAGCTCATGTAAGACCTGGGGGCAGGAGGGAGTTTGGCACCTTGAGGGCTGTCAAGCACACAAGCCCCGTAGGAGTAGCACTTTGTTTTGTTCATAGCTGTGTCCCAGCTGCCTGGCACAGTACCTGGCGCATGGTAGGCACTCAATACTTATTGGTTGGTTGAATGAATGAATGAACATGTGAATGGATAAGTGGAGGAATGTGTGAATCTATGATGTATTGATGGATGGGTGCATGACTGGATAGATGCTGGAAGGATAGATGAAGGGATGGACAGATAGGTGGATGAGTGAATGGCTGGATGGATAAGATGGATGTTGGAGGAATAGATGAAGGAATGGATAGATGAAAGAGTGGATGGTTGGGTGCATACATGGATGATTGGATGGATAGATGAAGAGTTAGAGTGGGGATGGATAGATGGATACTGCAGAAATAGATGAAGGGATGGATGAGTGAATGGCTGGATGGATAGAGGATAGATTGGTGGATAGATGGATGGATGTTGGAGGAATAGATGAAGGGATGGATGAGTGGATGAGTGGATGAGTGGATAGTTGGATGGGATGGATGGAAGCTGCAGAAATAGACGAAGGGATGAATGAGTCAGTGGTTGAATGGATAGAAGATGGATGGATTTGTGGATGGGTGGATGGATGTTGGAGAAAAAGATGAAGGAATGGATGGATGAGTGGATGATAGGATGGATGGATGCTGCAGAAATAAATAAAGGGATGGATGAGTGGAGGGTTGGGTGGATGGATGGATGATTGGATGGGTAGATGGAGAATTAGATAAAGGATGGATGGATTTTGGAGAAATAGATGAAGGGAGGGATGAGTGGATGGCTAGGTGCAGGGATGGATGATTGGATGATTGGATAGATAGATGAAGAGTTAGATAGAGGATGGTTGGGTGGATGTTGGAGAAATAGATGAAGGGATGGATGGATGGGTGACTGATTGAATGAGTTTTCACAAATACCTACAGATTCACACACATATGTGCCTGGAGGTAGATGCAGATACACTCAGAGGCATGCACACATGTGTGTAAATACAGATTCACTTGTTCTCCTGGTGCTCCTCCTGGAGAGAGCAAACACTGAGAATGGGGAGGTGGGGAGACACACCTTTTGGCCAGGGCTATGGCCATCCCTGCCACCACTGCGGCGCTGACAGTATTTCTGGAATTGGAGGAAAACGCTGATTCAGGGGTGTGTGTTTTAGACTGGGCACCAGGCCAGGAAGTGGGACAGGGATGGCCCAGAGAGATGGATTGAGTGGCAGAGGGAAGTCGGTCGGAGTAAGGCAGAGAGACAGGCAAGGCGACAGAGAGGTGGAGACACACAGAAGCAGAGAGATGGGGAAATAGGCAAAGTCATGGAGGCAGAGACAGAGACATAGAGAGAAAGGGAAGGAAAGAGAGATGGAGACACAGAAACAGAGATGGGGAAATAGAGTGATGGAGACAGAGACAGATGTACAGAGAGAAAGACAGGGAGAGAAAGATGGAGATACAGAGACATACAGAAATCTACAGAGATGCAGACAGTGAGAGACAGAGATACAGGAATACAGAAACCTGTGATACAGGAATTCAAATTCAGACACACACTGTAGTCCCAGCACTTTGGGAGGCTGAGGCAGGCAGATAGCTTGAGCTCAAGAGTTCAAGACCAACCTGGACAACATGGTGAAATTTCAGCTTTACCAAAAAAATACAAAAATTAGCCAGGCGTGGTGTGTGCGCCTGTAGTTCCACCTACTTGGAAGGCTGAGGCGGGAAGATCGCTTGAGCCTAGAAGGTTGACGCTGCAGTGAGCTATGATTGTATCACTGCATTCCAGCCTGGGCCCTTGTCTCAAAAAAACCCCCCACGAAACCCAAACCCCCACAAAAATCAAATGCAGACACACAGAGAGAGATGAGGTAGGGTTCCAGAGACAGGTAGAGAGAAGGGAAGAAAGATAAAGACACAGAGAGCAAATGGAGGCACAGATAGATGGAGACATAGAGTCCCAAATCCCAGAGGGAAGAAGAGAGACACAGAGGAGCAGAGAGAGATGCAGAGGAGGAGGGACAGTGACATCCAGCCAAAGCTAGATGCAGAGTCAGAGGACTGGAAAGGAAATTACCTCCTTTTGGGTGCCTCCTTGGTGCCTGGCTCCGATTTGGGGGTGCTGCTGTACCTTGCTTCACTTAAGCACCAACAGCCCTTGAAGGTAGCATTGAGGAAGGCAAGAGATAAGGAAGACGAGGCTCAGAGAGGGGAAGACATTTGCCTGACATTGCACAGCCTGGGAGCAGCATTTGATGCTGGTCTGTTTGATGCCAGAGCCCATGTTCTCTTCTTCAACTTATGTTGGCTCGTGAAGACCAGGAGGGACAGGGCAGATGGGGTTAGGGGGCTACTGAGTGTGGGTCACAGAAATAGAGGGAAATAATCATGTATTCATTCAACTCATGTGTCCTGAACTTCCCAGAAGCCTGGCCCTTGTGGCGTGATGCCAGAGAGCCAGAGATGAGTCAGGAAACAAATTTCTGAGCAAGACAGATGGGGCGGAGGGCAGTGTTCAGAGGTCTGGAGAAGGAGCAGATAAAAAAACAGTCGGAGGGAGGAGACAGAAAACACAACTGGTAGGAGGATGAGTCAGAGAGGGCTTCCTGGAGGAGAGGGCACTTGAGCTTCTTATTAAAAGATGAGGGCATTTGGGGACATGGGGAAAGGTTGGAAGAGCATTCCAGGCAGAAGACACAGCATATGGAAAGAGTGGAGACAGAAATAAGGTGGGATGTGTGGGAGGGATTATTTATTTATTTATTTATTTATTTATTATTTTGTTTGAGACAGAGTCTTGCTTTGTCGCCCAGGCTGGAGTGCAGTGGCGCGATCTCGGCTCACTGCAAGCTCTGCTTCCCGGGCTCACGCCATTCTCCTGCCTCAGCCTCCCAAGTAGCTGGGACTACAGGTGCCCGCCACCACACCCGGCTAATTTTTTGTATTTTCAGTAGAGACGGGGTTTCACCGTGTTAGCCAGGATGGTCTTGATCTCCTGACCTCGTGATCCGCCCGTCTCGGCCTCCCAAACTGCTGGGATTACAGGTGTGAGCCACCGCGCCTGGCTGCGGGAGGGATTATTTATATAAAATAATTAATAAAGGGTAGGTGGAGAATGTTTGGAGGGGTGAGGTTGGGAGAGGGAGGTGAGGTTAGATCATGCAGCTCTTTCAGTCCAGGTGAGGGGCTGAAAGTTTGTCTAAGGCACTGGGGAGCCCTGGGAGGGCCGTGAGCAGGGCAGGGGCAGGTCAGTTCCGGGCACAGAAAGACCACTCTGGAGCCTCACTTGTGGGGAGAGGAATGAGGGCGAGAGAATGGAGGATGGGGCGGCCAGGAGGCTGGGCCAGGTGTGGTGGCTCACACCTGTAATCCCAGCACTTTGGGAGGCTGAGGTGGGAGGATTGCTTGAGCCCCAGAGTTTGAGACCAGCTTGGGCAACACGGTGAGACTCCATCTTAAAAAAAATAAATAGCTGGGCGTAGTGGTGTGGGCCTGTGGTCCCCATTACTCGGGAGACTGAGGTGGGAGGATTGCTTGAGCCTGGGAGGTCAAGGCTGTTATACCGCTGCACTCCAGCCTGGGGGACACAGTGAGACCCTGTCTCAAAAACAAACAAACAAAAAAGGAGGCTGGGGCAAGGGTCCCAGCAGGAGAGGACGAGGTCTGAGTGGCTGCTAGAGCTATGGGAGTAGAGAGGAGAGGAAGGAGAGGCAGAAGGAATAGAACTTGGAGACAGATAGGCTGTGAGGGTCAGGTGTGCCTGTGGTCAAGGCAATCATGTCCTCCATCCCGCTGAGATAAAATTGCCAGCTGGAAATGGAAGACAGCTTGATGGGAGAGAAGCAGATGTGAAGATGCCAGGAGGGGGTCAGGGCCCCCAGAACTGAGTAAGACTATTTCAATCTGGACTGTTTTAATTGCTAATAACGGAAACGCAAATCAAATTGACCTAAGCATAAAAGGAAGTTTATTGATTGGATGAGGGCTTCAGGCATTGCTGGATCCAGGTGTTCCAATCATCTCCAGGAATCCAACTGTCTGTATCTTTGGGCTATGCTTCCCTCGTGTTGTCTTTGCTCTCAGGCAAGTTATCTCCCTGCATGGTGATGTGGTAGCACCGAGAGCTCCAACCCTGGCTCTGACCAGCCCCAAAACCACAGGGGAAAAACCCTGTTTTCTAACAGGTCCAGCAAAAGTCCAAAGGTTGACTTTGTAGCCTAGATTGATTCTTAAGCTCGCCACTGAACAAATCACTGAGGAAATCAAGGTGCCACCACCTAGAACGAATACTTAGTAAGCAGGAACAACAGACAGTCCAGAGACCATCTGGATGTGGAGAAAGAGGAAGAGAAAGAGATACAAGTAACAGAGACAAAGACTGCAAGGACAGACAAAACAAATAAGCGAAGGTCCAGCTTCCTCTCCCACAATTCCTGCAGAGAGCTCTGCAGACCCAGAGAAAGGGATGCTGAACAGGCACCTACACGGCTAGACCCCTTCTCTCTAGCACGAGAGGCCCCGTGAGACCCCAGACCCAGAAGTCCAGGCCCCCATCCTCTCCTCCCTCAGACCCAGGAGTCCAGACCCCAGGCCCTCCTCCCTCAGACCCAGGAATCCAGGCCCCCACCCCTCCCCCTCCCTCTGGAGGCACCATGGCAACCAGGCCCCCTGCCCACCATCCCCTCCCCACTAGAGAACCCACTTTCGTTGGAATCTCGCCTGTTTCTAACCAGTTCCTGGCTGGGGCAGGGATGAGCAGAGGGCAAGTGGGAACAGAAAGGGGATGACAGAGGGGAGGGGGCCTCAAGGGGGCAGTGGAGGCAGCTAGGAGAGGATAGAGATGGGGCAAGGAGACTGGTGAGAGGTGGGAAGACAGAGAGAGGGTGACGGGGTTAGGGAGAGGCAGAAAACGATGAAGACAAGGAGGGACGGGGGCCTGGGGAGATGCTGGGGAAACTGATGGAGACTGAAGAGATGGAGCCCAGGAGAGAAGGAGGGAGGAGGAGGGCAGAGAAATCAAGCAAAAGAGTGGTGGAGACGTGGGGACAGAGGGGAGGAGGCAGGGGGGCAGAGAGATGGGGAGAGAATGAGGAAGGGAGGTGGAGAGAGAGGGGTGGGGAAAGGGACTCTAGGAGACAGAGAGAGATAGGAGGAAAAACAGGGAAATGGGAAAGAAGGGATTGGGGCACACAGGGAGTCCCTGAGGTCAGGGGAACCCAGATCTCCACATGGTCTCAGCCTTCCAGTTCCTCTGTAATTCTACCCCGGGGCTTCAAAGAGGAGGTAGAGGAGGCAGCGGTGGGGAGAAGGAGCTGGGGTGGGTGGCCCAGGCAGAGCCTCTCTTGCCACCTTCCTGAGACATCCCTCACCCACCTTCCCAGGATGCAGCCAGAGGTGGAGCCCGTGTGCTTCCCTGCCATGGGCAGCCCCACCATGCACAGGAAGGCAGGTACTGAGCTGTGTCTTTGGGGGAAGGGGTGGACTTCCTCCATCCAGGCAGTGCGTAGTAGCCCGGGCTCACAGTGTGGCCTTAAGCGAGTCACTGGCACTCCAAAGTGAAAGCCATCCCTAGCATTCCTGGATTCACCAGATTCCTGGAGAGCGGCCCCCTTGGACCTCAAACTACATTTCCCATGAGCCTCTGCAGTTCCTTGGCCAATGCCCTGGACTCAGAACTACATTTCCCATGAGCCTCTGGGGCCTAAGCAACACCTCTGAGGCCATTCTTCTCCTAGGTAACCTCACTGTCTTGTCTCCCACCCTGAGCTCAGCATCTTCCCCCAAAGCTGCTCTCCTCCTTCCTGGTTTCCATTTTCAAATGGCCCCACCGCCAACCCAGTCACTGGTGCCATCCTTCCACCTCCCACAATTCCCTCCCACAGCCCATCAGGCCCTATCTTCCTGCCCTCTGACTCTCCCTTCCCCATTCCTTCCTCTCTGTCCCCGCAGCCCTGTCCCAGGTCTCATCCTCTTCCATGTGGACCCTCTCCTCACCTCCTCCCTGGTCCCCAGTTTCTCTCCTCCTACCTATCCCTCCATGGCTCCAGAGAGGTCTCTCTGACTTCCTGCAGTGATCCTGGCTGTCCCTTGCTCATAACACTTCCTAGCTTCCTGTCACCTCTAGGACAGAGACCCAAAGCTCCAGCCTGGCTTTTGAGGCCCTGTGTGGTCTGACCCCTGCTGACAACTTCAGGCTCCTAGCCCAGCACTTCCTGCTAGCACTCTGTGCTGTAGCACAGCTCATGCAGTTACACTCATTCAACATTTATGGAGTAGTATCTCAGTGAGGATGCATGTAACTGCAGGTAATAGAAAACCAAACTCAGGACTGGGTGTGGTGGCTCACGCCTATAATCCCAGCACTTTGGAGGCCGAGGTGAGTGGATCACCTGAGGTCAGGAGTTCAAGGCCAGCCAGCCTGGCCAACATGGTGAAACCCCATCTCTAAAAATACAAAAATTAGCCAGGTGTGGTGCCGGGTGCCTGTAATCCCAGTTACTAGGGAGGCTGAGGCAGGAGAATCGCTTGAACCCAGGAGGCAGAGGCTGCAGCGAGCCAAGATTGTGCCACTGCACTCCAGCCTGGGTGATGGAGGGAGACTCTGTCTCAAAAAACAAAACAAACAAACAAACAAACAAAAACACCCAAAACCAAAACTCACTGCAGCCTTGAGCTCCTGGCTCAAGTGATCCTCCCACCTCAGCCTTCGAGGCCGAACAAATGCCCTGATGGCAAAACAGGCGTTGTTTCTCTGCCTTTAGGTCTCTTTTAGTGCTTTTGAAGGCATCTTTCTTTTGGAGACCCCACAATGCACCATCTCTAGCCTAGACTGAGGCACCCACGTGACATGTAATTTATATGTAGCTCCAGAAAAGTCAAGTGGAGTTGAGTCGACCAGTTGGCTAGTTTTGTTGATCGACGTTTGTTCATTTCGATTTTGCTGTTTTCTTTGCAGCGTTGTGGAACCAATCACATTTTTTAGTTGATCAGGTTGCAAACTTCAGCATAGGCCATTAGAAAGCCCCTGGGTCCCAAGCATTTTGCCTGTAGTGCCTAATGGATGAAACGGCCTGGCTTGTTCTCATGCTGGGAGAGGAGACGTGAAACACGCCATCTCACAGATCATTCATAGCCTCCAATGGCAATAAGCGCTCTTTAGTCTTGGGGCTCAAGGGAATTCTGGGAAGTTCTTGCAGGTGACTCTCTTCTCTTTTGCTCAAAAACCTTGGCCCATGCTAGGCCCTTCATGGGAAACATCCTTCTCTCTGTCACCTCTTTATTTGGTAAATACCTTCTTATTCTTTAGGTCTCACTGTGGACACCTCCTCTAGAGAGCCTTCCCTGATTGCCCCTAGACCGGGAGACTGGGCTTTCCCTCCACCTTGTAACACTTTCATTGAAACACACATTGCCCTTTATCTGAGAGTTCTGAAAGGGCAGAGGTGTGTCTCATTCATCTCTTGGTCCCCAGCATCCTCCAAGGCACACAGGGGCCCTCTGAGATGCCTGTTAAAAAAATTTAACCAGCTACTTGGGAGGCTGAGACAGGAAGATCCCTTAAGCCCAGGAGTTCCTGGCTGCAGTGAGCTATGACTGCACCATGACCCTCCAACCTGGGCAACACAGTGAGACTCTGTCACCAAAGGAAAAAAAAAAAAGCTTGAAATGGTTGCATTTCCTCAATTTTTCAATAAGTACTTATTTTTAAGTTTATGCTTATGTTAATTTAATTACACATATACATTTAAATGTATTAAATACATTTACATATATTAAAATCACTGTTGTAACTAGAAATAGTTCTTATTTCTAATGTCATATTTCATGAGAAACTATTGTATTCACATTTTTTCACATGCATCTTTGATGCTGCTAGAGTTACTTTTTGATTCATTTAACGCTTGTACAAGGCTATTTTTTAAAATTAATTTATTGTGTTGAGACAGGGACTCACTTTGTAACCTAGGCTGGCATGAATTGACACCATTGTAGCTCACTGCAGCCTCAAAATCCTGGGCTCAAGCGATCCTCCTGCCTCAGCCTCCCAAAGTGCCGGGATGATAGGTGTGAACCACCATGCCCGGCCTATAATTATTTTTGAATATCATCTCATACCTAGTACATATTTAAATTTCCCTAATTATCTCAAAATTGTATTTTTTTATAGTTGGCTTGTTTAAATTAGGGCCCAAACAAAGTGCACACATTTCAGGCTTTATTCAATAAATACTAAGGACAACTATAAGCCTGGCACTTTGCTAGATGCTGGGGACGAAAACACAAGTCCCTGCCCTTACGTTGCTCAGAAGACGTAGGGAAGACAGAGTGTAATTAGGGAATCATAGAAATAAAGGTAAAATTGCAATACTATGAGTACAAACATACTGTGCTATGAGGAATGGCATCAGTGGACCCTCAGGGAGACTTGATTAGCCAAATGAGGGGGAAGAGAGATCCACGCAGAGTTACAGCATTGGCCAAGATCCTGCAGCAGGAGGGGTCAGAGAGTCCAAGTCGCAGAAAAACAGCGTTTTTGGACTGCAGCAGGTGAAAAGGACGATTGTGCTTGATCAGGTTTAAGACACTAGCACGGTCTGATCACGTGTGGTCTTATGGTCACTGGAAGGACTTTGGACTTTATTCATCCCACAGACAATGAAAAGTCCTGGGAGGGTTTTGAGGAAGGGGCCATAGGGTCAGGTCTACATGTCAAAATCCTGCCTTGCTGGGGTAACTGGAGAGCGAGAGGAGTTAGGAGACCAGGTGAGAGTGAGGTGAGAGGAAGGCACCTGGGGAGATTGAGAACACGCACACTGGATCCAGATGCTTACATTTTTATCCTTATTCTATCATTTTGTGCTGTGTGACTTTGGGCAAGTCACTTAACCTCTCTGTGCTTCTGTTTCATCATGTGTTAAACAACACTACCTCGGAAGGTTGTTGTGAGGATGCAATGGAAAGTATTTTATTCTATTCTATTTTATTTTATTTTGGCACTAGAGTCTTGCTTTGTCGCCCAGGATGCAGTGCAGTGGCACGATCCCGGCTCACTGCAATCTCTGCCTCCAGGGTTCAAGCAATTCTCCTGCCTCAGCCTCCGGAGTACCTAAGACTACAGGTGCGCGCTACCATGCCCGCCTAATTTTTTGTATTTTTAGTAGAGATGGGATCTCACCATGTTGGCCAGGCTGGTCTCGAACTCCTGAGCTCAGTCAATCTGCCCACTTTGGCATCCCAAAGTGCTGGGATTACAGGCGTGAGCTACTGTGCCCGGCCACAGTGGAAAGTATTTTTTAAAGTGTTTGGCATATAAAAGGGACAGTAAGCACATAGTTATATTGTTAAGTGGACAGACTTGAGGAGGGGATGGCTGTGTTTGAGGGATGGAGGGAGGCCGGTATGACTGGAAGAAAATAATGAGGGTAGGTATTTCTGGAAGGGGATCCCGTGAAAATGTAGATTTGAATCCAGTAGGTCTGGGGGTGGGCCCTGGAGTAAGTGTCTACCGCACGTGTGTGTGTGAGAGTGTGCAGGAGAGCCCGTTGTGAAACATATACCAGCACACCACTGACTATAGTTAAACCAAGTTGAATGTGTTGACTTATTGTAATGAGAGACAGCACACACACACACACACACACACACACACACACACACACACACACACACACACACACACGTTGTCTCAGTAGAAGGGTGTTAGCAAGGACTTATTGTTAGAGCCGGGCTGTGTCAGGTGACTTTGGGGAGGGTTCACGGGGGTGGGGCTTTGCTCTGGATGGGAGACTGATGGAAAGCACAGGCAAGCCCATGACTGGGAATCTTCATCTCATTGGGAACCAGGAGGGGTAGATGGAGCTAATGCTGGGGTTAATGAAAAAGCAGCCGTCGGCTCTGAGCTGGGAGGGGGGGATTTTGGTCATTTTTGTGGTTTGGACAATGTTCATGTTTGTTGTGTTGAGACATGATTCAGGGGTGGTCTTGTTTTTGTCTCAGTCCATCACGGTCACAGAGTGGCCTTGCTTGATGTTGGTGTTACGGGAAATGTTTTATGTTCGGCAGGAGAGCACCAGGGCCGGGCTGTCAGTGTCTGCTTCCCTCCCTTTCAGCAGCTATAACAAAGACACCCCAAAACACAACATCATAAAGAAGACAGAAGTGTATTTCTTTTCTTTTCTCCCTTGCTCCTTTCCTCTCTTTCTCCTTCTTCCCTCCCTCCATCTCTCTCTTTTCTTTCTCTCCCTCTCTTTTTGTTTTTGAGATGGAGTCTCACTCTGTCGCCCAGGCTGGAGTGCAGTGGCGCAATCTTGGCTCACTGCAACCTCTGCCTCCTGGGTTCAAGTGATTCTTCTGCCTCAGCCTCCCGAGTAGCTGGGACTACAGGCACACACCAACACACCCGGCTTTTTTGTATTTTTAGTAGATGGGGTTTCACCATATTGGCCAGGATGGTCTCGAACTCCTGACCTCGTGATCTGCCCGCTTCAGCCTCCCAAAGTGCTGGGATTACAGGAGTGAGCCACTGCACCAGGCTCCGTCCCTCCCTCCCTCCCTTCCTTCCTTCCTTCCTTCTCTCTTTCTGTCTCTCTTTCTCCCTTTCTCTGTCACCCAGGCTGAAGTGCATTGGTACAATCATGGCTCACTGCAACCTCTAACTCCTGGCCTCAAGCAATCCTCCCACCCTAGCCTCCTCAGTAGCTGGGACTACAGGCACACAACATCATGCCCAGATAATTAAAAATTTTTTTTTGTAGAGATAGGGTGTTGCTATGTTACCTGCCTCAGCTGGTCAAGAACCAGAATTGTATTTCTCTCTTGTGTAATGAAAGGCAGGGTTGTGGGACATCTTGGCTTGGTGAGAAGATTTAGAGATAAGAGTTCCTCCCATACTGTTGCTTGCCATATCTGAACATGGTGGAGGCTGGGTTATTGCTAATCCACATTCCAGTCCAAGAGAAAGGGCAGAGTCCAAGAAAAGCAGTAATCTTTTAAGCAAATGACTCCAAAGTTACACCTCTCACTCCAGCTAACACTTCATTGGTGAGAGCATGGTCACATGGCCACACTTACCTGCAAGGGAGTCTGGGAACTGTTGTCTCTAGCTGGGAAGCCATGTGCTGGGTAAAACTCTAGGATTGTAGGGGAAGGGGAAAATGGAGTGCATGGAACAACTAGCACTTGGCCATAAGAGAGAGACCAGTTAGCTGATGGTGGGGTGGTCAAAAAGGGTCCATATTTGAGAACTGTTATCTGTGAAGTTCCAATCAGGAGACTGATTCTGAGAGTGTTGGAAAAACTGAAAACTGGGCTGGGCATAGTGGCTTATGCCTGTAATCCCAGCATTTTGGGAGGACGAGGCAGGAGGATCACAAGGTCATGAGATTGAGATCATCCTGGCTAACACAGTGAAACCCCGTCTCTACTAAAAATACAAAAATTAGCTGGGCGTGGTAGCGGGTGCCTGTAGTCTCAGCTACTCGGGAGGCTGAGGCAGGAGAATGGCGTGAACCCGGGAGGCAGAGCTTGCAGTGAGCCGAGATTGCGCCACTGCACTCCAGCCTGGGCGACAGAACAAGACTCTGTCTCAAAAAAAAAAAACAAAAAACCTGAAAACTGGATTCAAGTGTTGTTACTGAAGTGATGCTGCCACAGTGAAGAAGTAAGCCTGGGGTGACTAGAAGAGGAAGCAAAAAGGAGCAAGTTCCTCCTGCTTCCTCCTGCCTTGCAGGCTCCCACTGGCGCCCCTGTTAGGCAGAGCCTAATAGGAACCCAGCTGTTGAAGGAGAAATGTGGTTAGTAGAGTCTCAACCCAGGCATCACAGAGCCGGTGTCATGGGGTGGAGTTTGGAGCTAAGAGACAGTAACTCAACATCTGGCATACAAGCTATTCTGGGTGTGGCATGGGCAAGCAATTGGTGATGGCCATTTAAGCAGAATCATGGCTGAGGAGGGCTCAGGGCAGCTGACACTGGGTTCTCTGTCCTCAGGAGCCCTCCTTATGGACCTGGAGACCCCAGAGGAGATGCAGGCTCGGAGCCTGGGCAGGCCCATCAAATCCTCGTGAGTTGTCCCTGGCCCCCATGACCTCTATCTTCCGCCTCCCCAAATGTGATGGCAGTGAACCCTGACCTCAGAGGTCCCTGCCTGTTCGCTCTCTCCCTAGAAAGCAGTACCTGCGGCAGGTCATTGCAGAGTACGAGGCACTGGACCGAGAACTCCCGTGCATCCGGAAGTTCCCCACACCACCAGCTTCCCAGCCCCTCTGCCTCTGCATGGAGACCTTGGTGAGTGGACCTGTGCCCTTATTTTCTGCACAGTTTTGGTGGGGTGATGGGAAGGGCACAGGCTGAGAAGCAGTGTGGCCAGAGTTTAAATTCAGGCTTTTGGCTTATAAGCTGTGGGCTTGCCACCAGGACAGTTTGCTGAAAACTGATTGTGAATTTGTCAAAGGGTCAGTCATGAAATCTACTGCTCATGTCAGAGGGGAGACCAACGGGCAAAGAAAGGGGAGGCTGAGGGGGGCAGGGAGGGAGGACAAAAGGAGTCCTACTAATCCACTTCTGTAAAGTTTACAAATATAACAAAAACTCAAGAAAAAGCCCATGTGTGTCGGGTGCGGTGGCTCACGCCTGTAATCCCAGCACTTTGGGAGGCTGAGGTGGGTGGATCACTAGAGGTCAGGAGTTTGAGACTAGCCTGGCTAACATGGTGAAACCCCGTCTCTATTAAAAATACAAACATTAGGCAGGCGTGGTGGCAGGTGGCTGGAATCCCAGCTACTGGGGAGGCTGAGGCAGGAGAATCGCTTGAACCTGGGAGGTGGAGGTTGCAGTGAGCCGAGATCGTGCCACTGCACTCCAGCCTGGGTGACAAAGTGAGACTCTGTCAAAAAAAAAAGGAAGGAAGAAAGAAAGAAAGAAGGAAGGAAGGAAGGGAGGGAGGGAAAGGAAAGGAAAGGAAGGAAGGGAGGGAGGGAAAGAAAGAGGTCATGTTTTTGACAGATTCAGTAAACTGGTCCTCCCTGCCTTCAATCAGAAGAGGTATATATGAGAGTCCCAGGCACTCAACAATTGACTGAGAAGAGCTGATGTCAATAGGTGCTTACTGTGTGCCAGGCACAGGCCTCCAAGGTACCCTCTCAGCTAATCCGTGTAACTCTCCACCCTGCATACAGGGATTGCTGTCCTCGTTTTAGGGATCAGTCTCCACCCCATCACTCCACTTCTTTGTGGCTTTGAGCAAGGGACTCTCCAGCCTCCCCTCTCACCCCAGTCAAGGAATGACTTTCTGGAAGTGACATCATTTTTCAGTGAAATCGTGAAAATTTTCATTTCATTTTAGTTCCTCAGCAATTTTATGTGCTATGACAACTGTTATCACCCTTGACATGCTAATCACGTGATGCAACTGTGTTTAGTGATCAGTCCACGTTTCTGAATGTTAAATAGATTGACAAGACATCAAAACCCCTATGACCCTTATCTTTTGACTACTGAACATTCTTAAAATGCTAATACGAATATAAAAGGAAAGGTGTGTAACTTAAATCCTGGCAGAAATTTTCAAGAACTTTCAGGCGCATCCATTGCAAATTGCTGGGAAAGTTTTTGGTAGATTCGTAAAGTTGGCTAAGTTGGTGAATCATTCAGCCAACTGTTCATTGACTTTGGGGCAAATTGGCTTGGTGAGAATTGATTTTTTTGGAGAATGACCTAGAGTGATAGTAGATGCTTTCCCATCTGAGAGATAATCTGTCGTCTCCTTTGACCATAGCGACAGTACCCTGGGATTAAGAGCGATCCTTGCCCCTCAAATGCCACCTGGAACTCTGTGGCAGGTTCTGCAGGTGGGGTCTAGGGTGGTGACTTCTGAACCCAAAATGAACCAGGAGGCCACGGGCTGAGGTTCTCTCTCCGACACCCGCAGCCCGAGGAGGATTTTACCCACCTGGAGGTGCTGCAAGCCCTGGAGGCCCAGTTACCAGGGGCCATGGAGAGCGGGCGCGTGAGCAGCATCCGCTTTGAGAACATGAACGTCATCTGTGGGACTGCTGGGCGCCGGAACCGGTGAGTAAGCGGCGGGGGCGGGGCCTGGAGCGAGCGGGAGGGGCGGGGCCCGGGGCGACCGGGTAAGAGCGTGGTTGGTTTTAGAGCGCTGAGGGACGTGGCCAAGAGTGAAAGCATGAATGGGCGGGGCCCGGGGCGACTAGATAAGAGCGTGGTTGGTGTAAGGGTGCTGAGGGGCGGGCCCCGGAGCCACTAGATAAGAGCGTGGTTGGTGTAAGGGTGTTGTGAGGCGGGGCGACAGTGGAGTGACAGCTTGGGGGGGCGGGGCCAGGAGGGACTAGATAAGAGCGAGATTGGTGCAGAGCCACTGAGGGGCGGGGCCAAGAGTGAGCGCGGTTGGAGGTAAGGTCCGGTGAGATCAGAGAGAAGGAGGGATCTCGAGTGAGTAGGGGCCCGAGTTTGAGTGACCCAGTAGTGACCGGGATAGAGGTCTGAGCCTGGAAAGGCAGCTGTGAGGGGGTGGAAGAGACTGAGCACATAGTAGGTGTGGGGCCAGGGGTGATAGGGTGGGGACAGGCCTGGAGTGCCTAGGGTAGAGCGCAGCCTGCAGTCGCCAGTGGAGGGTCGGGCCTTTGGGCGGTTTGAGATGGAGCCTCGACAGACAGTGATTAGGACGCAGAACCAGGCTAAGAGAGCGTAAGGAGCCTAGAGCGACCCAGGCGAGAGGGCAGGGCTGGAGGGGAGTTTAGGGACGGAGCGATGGTCCGCTGGACCAGGGCCTGTAAACGACTCCAGGGACCAGGCAGGGACTCTTCGACGATCAAAGCCAGGGCTGAAACGACCTGCGAGTTCCTTTTCCGTCCCCACCCCCCTTACAGGTGGCTCATCGCGGTCACGGACTTCCAGACGCGCTCGCGCTTGCTGCGCTCCGGGCTCAGTCCCCGCGGGCTTGCGCACCAGATCGTGCGCCACGACGACCTCCTGCTGGGCGACTACCGCCTGCACCTGCGCCGCTCCCTGGTCCGGCGGCGCATGCTCGAGGCCCTGGGGGCGGAGCCGAACGAGGAGGCCTGACGCCCGGGCGGGCCCCGGCAGCGCTTGCGCACCGCCCCGCGGGCTGGGGCCACCCACCCGGAGCCCCGGAGGACAGGGGGCGTTGCCTTCCCAGGAAGGAGGCGGGGCCGGCTCGAGGGGGTGGATACTGTGAGTTTAATTATAAAGAATGACCTGGTACAAAAGCCATTTCTCTCTGCAAAATCTTGGTGGGGAGTCAGGGGAAGGGAGGTGATGGGGGGTAGGAATGAACCCCCATGTTATAATCCCGCGTCCCTAATCTTCCTCCAGTCCCTGTACGTGGACGCCTGGGTCCCAATCCCTTGAGGGATGAACTGAAGCCCGCGAAAGGGAAGACCTGGGCACCGGGGCTTTCAGCGCGTGCCGAGCCCTGTCTCAGCGAGAATCAGACGTCCTCATCCGCCCCCCTCCTCTTCCCCTCCCACCCCCCCTTGGAAGACAATTCTCGGGCTTTTATTTCAGGTTTTTTTTCTGGATTTTTTTGTGTGTTCTAGGGGTTTTGTGTTTTTTTTTTCTGTTTTTTATATTTTCTTCTTTTGTTATTGTTCCTCTTTTTGCTTTTTCTCTCCTCTCCACCCCGCGCTGTCCCCGCATTCGGTCCCTCCCCACTCCCCACCCCGACCTCTCCTCCCCCCCCCACCCCCTACACCCTCCCCAACCCCGCGGCACCCATCCAGAATGAACGAGCCCTTGATAGACGGGCGCCGCGCAGGCCCCCTGCGGACTGGGGGCATCCGACAAGGGGGAGGGGGCGGGTAGGGGTCCAGCGCGGCCTCTGCCCCTCTCTCACCACCCCTCCCCCCTCCCACGACCCTCCCACGAGGTTCCCCGCAGATCCCTGACATGGTGAGGGGAGGGGGCTTGCAGCCCCCTCCCCTCATGGACGGAGCGCCCCCCCCTCTCGGGGGTAGGGGGCAGCAGAGGGGGAATGGGCTTGGGGAAGGAGGGGGAGCTCCCTTCTTTGGCAGCTGAACATGGGGGGGGGACCTGAGGGCAACGCCCTCCCCCCTTTACCCACAGCAGGGGAGGGGGCTTTTCAGGGGGAGGGGTGGCTTAACATTCCCAAGCCCCGGGAATAAGCGGAGAGAGGAAGCGTGCGGGAAGGAACAGCCATGCTGGAGGGAGAGGGAGCTTCTTGGAGTGGACAGGTTAGGAGAGGGCAATCTTCGTGCAAAAGGGATGGACAGATGGCCCAGGAAAGACAGAAGAGGGAGGATGTGAGGAAGGGTGAGGGCTGGAGGCAGGGAGAGGCTCGAGTGTGGAAGCATGGTGAGCAGGAAGCCAGTGTGCATAGGGTCTTCTCTCACCAGGAAGAGAAAGAGCTTAAGGAGGTAAGAGAATCCGAATGAGAATGGCCGCAAGAGCTGCTTGTCAACAGGAATAAAAAATAAGCGTGTCAGGAAAAGAAATGACAGTTACAGCCCAAGAGTGCATGGAATGAGATGAGTGTGCAAAAGGAAAGAAGTGGTAGAGCTCTCATCCAGGTAGAAAAGACAAGATGCGGTGTGCAGCCATGTCATGGTGCGCAAGAACATTATTAAAGGGGAGAAACAAGGCTTCCGGAGAGCACTGAAAATGCTGGGGGGGGGGGCGCGTGTGCAAAAGCAAGTGTGCAAGAGGGTTCACAAAAGAATCAAAAATGCAGAAGGGCAAAGATTTCAAACAGAAAGGGGCAAGGGAGTGGGAGCCTGGCAAAGAAGAAGAGAATGAGCATGTGTGAGAGAAACAGTTTCTGGGAGGCAAGTGTGCAAAAGGCGTGACCAAAAGTGACGGTGCAAAAGGGGCAAGAGGGAAGGCGGGGGGTGGGGGGCTAGGAGTGTCATGGTGAGAGGGGAGAGTTGGGGAGTGGAAGAATCTGGGGTTTTTAAGAATAAGAAGGGAAAGTGCTTCAACGTAAGAAAATGGAGGTAAGAGTGTGTCAGGAGGGGTGCATAAGATAGCAAGTGTGCAAGGGCTGAGCAAAGAGCAGGGCACTCCAGAGAATGAATGATGTGCATGGAGTCTGTGAGGGGGAGGGAAAATGTGTCCCAAGTGTGTCTGCAACAAGGGTCCAGAGCGAGCGGGGAGGAGGAGATGTGAAATGGAGTGTGTAAAGGAGGGCCCTGGTAGGGGAAAAGTGTGTAAGCAGCAAGAAGCAGAGAAGGAGGCATGGAGCGTGAGAAAGGAAATGCAGCGTGTGCGAGGAGAGCAGAGTGTATTTGAGCGGGCCTCGCCAGCCAGAAGCAAAGGCAGAATGTGCAAGACAGCGAGAGGGCAAATTTGTGCAAAATTGCAGCCCGGGGACGGGAGGGGAGAGAGGTGAGCAGGCGTGCAACGGAGCGTGCAAGAGGCTGAGGGGGGCAGCTGTGTGTGCTGGGGAGAGGGGAAGGGGGGAGAGCTGAGGGGCCTGGAGAGAGTGGGAAGGGTTGTTAGAGGGGTGGCAGGTGGTGGAATCCGAGGGCACCCCCTTCCCCTGCGGCCTGGGGGACAGTCCCCATCCAATCGGGCTCAGGGCTGACCCTCTATGGCTCTGTCTATCCCCTCCCCCCAGAATAGGCCCTTCCCTCCTTCTCAATTCCCCTCTGTAATTTCTCCTATCCCCCCTCCGCTCCCCGCTTCACACACACACACACACTCTTGTGTCAGCTGCCCCCCTTCAGTGAGGTGCAAATGTCCGGCCTGGATTGGGCCACCTGGTGACCTCTGGCCTTGGGAGATGAGGGCAGGGCGCAGTTTGAACAGAGTCCCTGGCCCGGGGAGAGAATGACAGTCAGGGGTCAGAGGTCAAGAGGCCAGCAGGCTCAAGAGTTCTGTGGACGGGGCTGGTCCGTCCAGGCCAGCCATCACCTCTCCAGGAAGAATTTGAGAGCCCGGTCGATGTTCATGCGGTGGCCCACCCTGGTCACACCTAGATCGACGTAGTCCTCCTTGGTCAAGGCGGGCAGGTGGGAGCCATCGATCTCGTGGTCCAGGAACTGGGCTCGGTGCTCCGCCAAACCCAGCCACTCCAGCCAATCAGCCACGTCGAACTTGGTCCAGAACCCCAGAGGTTTAGCGCCAAACGGCTTGTCCGGGGGCAGCGAGAGCAGGCGGGTCGGTGAGAGGGAGCGCGAGGCCCCTGACAAGGCTCCCCCGAGCCCCCCGGATATCCCCGGGTGTGGCGGCACAAAGACTGGGGCGAAGGGGTCAGCCGAGCCTCCTGCCCCTCCAGTTGGGGAGCCACGGATGTCAAAGAGGCCTGGGTAGAGGGGTCCGGAAGGCAGGATGGGCAGGGACGAGGGCCTGGGCGCAGGGCTGACCTTGTGCTCCGAGGCGGGCAGCAGCGAGGGGCTGGGGGCCCGGCGGAGCAGAGGGGGCCGCATCTCGAACTCCACGCCCTGGAGGTGGCGGGTGGACGTGGAGGAGGAGGAGGCTGAGGGTGAGGTGGCCCCTGGGGCCGCAGCGGCTGTAGGGGAGACCCCTGTTCCGGTGGGGAGTGGCGGCAGAGGTGGTTTGGGCCAGTTCTGAAACAGGCTGCTGACAGGCTTGGAGAGGAGTGAGGACTGGGAGTCGTCGGAGAGTCTGGAATGTGACAAGGGGGCAGTGGGGGAGGACAGGGATTTAGGGGGCAAGGGCAGGGGTGAGAAAGAGGCAGAGGTCAAGATATAGGGAGAGAGGAGGAGAGACATAAGGGTAGGGGGAGAGACGGAGGAGAGACGGGAAGAAATGGAGGGAGCAAGGGGTAAGACGGCCGGCCGTCGAGGAAAGAAATGAAGGGAGAGAAAGATGAGAGGACAGGGAGAGGGCGACAGTTAAGAGAGATGAAAGAAAAAGAGACATTAAGTGATAATAATAATAATCGTCACCGCTTACTGATGCTCACGTGTGCCAGGCATTGTTCTAAGTGCTTTACATGATTGCATCTCAGTTTAATCCCCACGACAGCCCTGATGCAGGTTACTATTATTATCAGCACAGAGAGGTTAAATAACTTGCCTAAGGACACACAGGAAGTGGCAGAGCCCGGTTATATGGCACCAAAGTCTGAGCTCTTCACCACTATTCTATACTGCCTTTCAGGTTATGGCCAGTCGTAGCAGAGTGAAAGATGGGGAGACAGTGAGAGAGAGACAAAAAGAGGGTGAGCATCCAGGGGAGAGAGATGGAAGGGACAGGGGACACAGAGAGAGAGAGATGAAGAGAGGGAGATGAAAGAGAGAAGAAACAAGGGGAGAAAAAGGTTCCCCTCATCCCTTTCGTTCCCTCCCCTCCAGCACTGTCCCACCTCAGGGCCTTTGAACTGGCTGCTCCCCCTGCCTGGCTCACTCTTGCCCTGGGCAGCTGCTCCCTCTCCACTTTCATTACTCTGCCCACCTTGCCTGTTACATGAGAGACCTTCTCCACCCATCCCATTGTGGTAGCTTTTTTTGTAGGATGGTTGCAATTATTTTGTTTACTGCCCCGCCCCCACTCCTATGTCCCTAGACTATGAGCCCTGTGGAGTTGCACAGTCTTTGCCTGTCCTGTCCAGCAGGGGATCCCATCACCCAGAAGGGCACTCTGCACACATAGGTCATGAGTCAATAATTAATGCAATTGTTGACTGAATTAAGCATCCTTCCTGTTGCTGCTACAAGCAGTGGAAAAAAAAAAAAAGAAAAGAAAAAAAAAATCCTCTTCTCTAACCAGAATACTTAAGAATAGTCAAGGAATTGCATTCAGTTCTTAAAGGCCTAATAAACCCACATTTGTTTGTTTATTTTTACAGCGTAGGAGCATTGATTCAAGTTGCTCTAATAATATACACTTCCTTTTTCTTTTCTTTCTCTCTCTCTCTCTCTTTTTTTTTTTTTTTTTAAGACAGGGTCTCACTTTGTTCCCCAGGCTGCAGTGCCTTGGTGTCATATCAGCTCACTGCAGCCTCAACCTTCCAGGCTCAAGTGATCCACCCACCTCAGCCTCCTGAGTAGCTGGGACTACAGAGGCAGGCCACTGTGCCCAGCCTCCTTTTTCTTTTCTTTCTTTTTTTTTTTTTTTCAACCTGGGAGCATAGATTTAAGTTGCCCCAAATATACACTCCCTGAACCCACATTTGAAGGTCAGACACATTTGGATAGCAGACCTTCAAACAGAATTCAAGTGAACTCTGTAGATGGACAAGGATATTTAAAACCTGCTCCCAACCCTCTGTGTATCTGAAGCAGAAATGTAACTCTACTTTCTCTAGGACTAGAAGGTCTTGAATGGGCTCGAATTCTGCGACGATGCAGCTGACTGGCTGCTCTGGGAAGCATCTGCATCATCCCGTATTTCCCCACGTAGAAGTTGCTGGGCTCTTGTTCGAGGCCCCCTCTTCCCCCATCCCATGTTACAACAATGGCACACACTAAATCCTCTCAAAAACTCTTTGGGCTGGCACTAGGCCATTCCACTTCTACAGAGAGGTGGATTCATTTGCCTAAGATCACCCAGGTAGAAAGTGCAGGGTTGGGACTGGAAGCTGAGAAGGTGGGCTCTAGAACCACACCTATAACTGCATCCTGTCTTGAACCACACTGGCTTCAAGGGACTCACAGATTTCAGGGACTGTCAGAAAGAAGTGGCAGCTCACCAAGGAAACAAACATAAGCAGGTCTCACTCCAGTCTCCTTTGTTAATAACTTTTTTTTTTTGAGACGGAGTCTCACTCTGTCACCCAGGCTGGAGCACAGTGGTGCAATCTTGGCTCACTGCAACCTCGGCCTCCCGGGTTCAAGTTATTCTCCTGCCTCAGCCTACTGAGGAGCTAGGACTACAGGTGCCCACCACCATGACCGGCTAATTTTTTGTATTTTTTTTAGTAGAGATGGGGTTTCACCGTGTTAGCCAGGATGGTCTCGATCTTCTGACCTCATGATCCACCCGCCTCAGCCTCCCAAAGTGCTGGGATTACAGGCGTGAACCACCACGCCCAGCCTGTTAATAACTTTTTGTTCATCATGGGATGTAGGTTGTGATGGTGATGGGCAGAGACAACAGAAGCTACTGAAATAAATGGAAATTTAAAGGCTGGACCCAGTGGCTTACACCTGTAATCACACTTTGGGAGGTCAAGGCAGGAGGATCACTTAAGCCCAGGAGTTTGAAACTAGCCTGGTCAACGTAGCTTGTCTCTACAAAAAGTTAAAGAAAAAATGGCCAGGGCCAGGCATGCTGGCTCATGTGTGGAATCTCAGCACTTTGGGAGACCGAGGTGGGATGAATCACCTTAGGTCAGGAGTTCAAGACCAGCCTGGCCCACGTGGCAAAACCCCTCATCTCTACTAAAAATACAAAAATTTGCCGGGCATGGTGGCGGGCACCTGTAATCGCAGCTACTCAGGAGGCTGAGGCTGGAGAATCGTTTGAACCTGGGAGGCAGAAGTTGCAGTGAGCTGAGATTGTACCACTGCACTCCAGCCTGGGCAATAGAGTGAGACTCTGTCTCAAAAAAAAAAAAAAAAAAAAAAAAAAGAAGAAGAAAAGAAAAATTGGCCAGGCATAGTGGCGTGCACCTATAGTCCCAGAGGATTGCTTGAGCCCAGGAGTTTGAGGCTGCAAGTGAGCTATGATTACACCACTGCACTCCAGCCGGGTGACAGAGTGAGACCCTGTTTCTAAAAAAAAAAAAAAAGCCAGGCATGTTGGCTCATGCCTGTAATCCCAGCACTTTGGGAGGCCAAGGCGGATGGATCACCTGAGGTTGGGAGTTCGAGACCAGCCTGACCAACATGGAGAAACCCCATCTCTACTAAAAATACAAAATTAGCTGGGTGTGGTGGCATGGGAGGCTGAGGCAGGAGAATCGCTTGAACCCGGGAGGCAGAGGTTGTGGTGAGCCGAGATCACGCCATTGCACTCCAGCCTGGGCAACAAGAGTGAAACTCCCTCTCAAGAAAAGAAAAGAAAAAAAAAAAAAGAAAAAGAAAATATTTGTGAAAGCATGCTTCTGTGACAGCAAACTCCTGCCAACCTGGTTTCTGTTTCCTTTCTGCCACCCTGAGACCCTAAAGGGACACAGCCATGCCATCAACACCTCTGGCCTCCCTTGTTGGCCACCAGCCCCCGCTTACCTCTGCCGCTGCAGGGAGGAGGTCCTCTCGGGGACATAGCTGGCTCCCCCGTGGTGGCTGTCTCCGCCTCCCCCACTGCCTCCTCGGGCCCAGGGCAGAGCGCCGCCAGCTGCCGAGGAGCCCCCAAACTGCTGAAGCTTGGAGCTGAGTTCACTGATGATGCTGGCTTTTACTGTGGCCAAGGCTGAGGCCTGAGGCTGGGCCAAGGGCCCGGGCAGAGGTGGTGGCGGTGGGCCCGGGCCCTCCTCCCAGGGCAGCAGCTTCCGGGGCAGAGAGGAGGCCGTCGGCAAGGGCACCGGTGGGACTTCTGGCTCTACAGCCACCGGACCCCCCGCCACGCCTGCCGTGGGGGGTCCTGAACAAGCACGCAGGGCCAGCAGCCCATCGGTTCCAGCCCCTGTCACCGAGACGGTGGGGCTGGTGGGGGTAACAGGGTCTCGGAGTCCCCCGCTGGGGCCAGGCCGCAGGCCTCCGCTGGCTCCTAGCGCCCGGCCCCGGAGCTTAGAGGGAGTCATGAGCTGAGGAGGGTATGGCGGGCCGGGAGTACTGCTGCCCCCAAAGGCCTGGCCGTCCAGGTAGGCCACATAGGTGTCCAGAAGCTCCGGCCCACTGGCCACACCGGCCCCAGCCCCGCCCCCACCCCCTGCGCTGCCACCACCTTCGGCAGATAGGCTGCTCAGCGTGGAGGCGCTGCTGATGGTCTCCAGTGGGTGGTCACTGCTGCTCCGACTGTCCACCTCCTCGATGCCAGAATCCGTGCCAGGCGGAGGGTCCGGGCCAGGCTGTGGGGCAGCGGGAGCCGGTGCTGCTGGGGCAGGCGGGCCTGGTGGATGGGGGTCCCCAGGAGCGGCGGAGGCCCCCTGGGTCAGGGTGGCCACCTCGCTGTCATAGGATGTCAGGCTGGATGCGGTGGAGTCCAGGGTGGGAGGGGCTGCGGCCACAGCCGGGGGTGGCACAGGGGGTAACGGGGTGGCAGGGGCAGGTGTGTCGGGCAGCGGGTGGGGAGGCCCAGGCGTGAGGGGCGACTCTGGCTTTTCGAAGCTGTTGGAGAATTCCAGAGGCGGAGGCAGCGGTTCCACGAAAAGGAATTCGCCATCTTCCACATCCACCGAGGGGGCGGGAGGCGGCAGGACCAGCAGGGGCAGCCCGTTCTCTTCGCTGGCCCTCGGGGAGGTCGGGGAGGGGGGCACGGACCGGCGTGGGCTGGGCGGCGGGACCCCCGGCCCGTCCTCCGAGGGGGGACCCCTTCCGCTCGTCACAGGGGCCCGGGGCTGGCAGTTTTCAAGGAACCGCACGTGCAGCGGCAGCCGCTCGGGTTCTTCGGGGGCTGCGGACCTCCAGGGCTTGCTTACTCCGGGGTGCGGGGCCGGGGGCTCCGTCCCCAGCTGCAGCAGGAGGGGCCCCACCCCGGGAGCGGTGGGCGGCAGGCGGTGTAGCAGGGAACGCCGGGCGGCGGGCGGGCTGGCGGGAAGGGACTTCTCCTGGCTGCCCAGCCCGGCCCTGTACCCCAGCTCCCGGCGCGCAGGGTCCGGCGGGGAGGCCCCCCAGAGACGCAGCACTGGCTCGTGGTGGGCGTGGGGCGAGTGGTGGTGCGGGGTGGGCGGCGGGGCCTCGTAGCGGGGCGATGGGGGCCTGGGAGGCGGCTGGGGGGCCCCGCCGCCCTCCGAGGACTCCTTCAGCGCTCGCTCGCGGGCGGCCAGGGCCAGCCCCAGCGGGGAGGCGGGATCCAGGGCCTTGCCGGTCAGCGGGTGCACCAGGGGTCGCGGGGGCAGGAAGCTGGTGAAGGCGCTGCTGCCCCCGCCACCCCCGTAGGCTCGGCTACCGGCCCCGTAGCCGCCGTAGCCCGCGCCGCTGCCCGCAGACTCCAGTCGGAGGTAGGGCTCGGCGGAGAACATGCCCTCGTCGATGGATTTGGAGTGGCGCAGCCGCGGGCCCGGGGCCGCCCCTGTGCCCAGCCCGCCGTCCCCGCCGTCCTCGTCCCCCGCGTCGGTGGACAGGAACAGCGTGGAGCGCCGGCGCGCCTCATTCTGCCAGCCCCCCTCCCTCCGGGCCGCCCCCACCAGGGCGGCCCCGAACTGGCTCGTGAAGTCCAGCGTGGCCGGGCCGCTGGGCGAGGCGGGGGTGGGCACGGGCGAGGGGGACGGGGGCACGGGTGACATGGCCGGGGCGGGGCTGGGCGAGGAGCCGCCGCCGCCGCCGCCTCCCGTGGGCTCCGGCTGGGTGGGGGGCTCCGCCTCGGTGCTGCTGCCCTGGCTGCTGCGGCCGCTGCTACTGGTGGACGGGGCCTTGATGATGATGGTGGGGATGGGGATGGAGTTCTTCTCCGAGGGCGCGGCCACGGCGGGCGGCGGCTGCGGGGAGGCCGGGGACGTGGGCGACGGCGCGGGCGGGAGGCCGCCGCCCTTCTGGGGCTCGCCTTCCACCTTGGTCTGCTTGACCAGCGGGCCCTTGCGGCCGCGGCCCGAGCGGGCGGGCACGTACATGGCTGCGCTGGCCGCCCGCGGGGGCAGCTGGAAATAGCGTAGAGCCGGGCCCTGGGAGGAGCCGCCGCCCCCGCCCGCGCTGCCGTGGTGCGATGGGGACGGGGCCCCCGGGGTCGGGCTGGGCCCGCCGCCCCTCCAGCCTCGCAGGCTGGGCTGGGGCCCCAGAGCCAGGCGGGGTGGAGGGTCGTCGGGAGAGCCGCCTGTCTCCATCTCGGGAGGATGAGGGGGGTGGGCGTGGTGGTGGTGGGGCTGAGGGGGCGGGGCGTGGTGGTGGTGGTGGTGGGGCGGGTGGTGGTGGGCCGGGGGCAGGGGCCCACTGTGGTACAGGCTCTTCTCGCGGCTCCCCACGCGAGTGTCGGGAGGGGAGGGCCCGTCAAAGGATGCAGGGGAGGAGGCGGGGAGGGGGCCACCAGAGCCAGGGTTGAAGGGCCCTCCCCGAGGGGAGGGGGTGAGGCGCCCTGAGGAGGAGGGGACTGGAGGTGTGCTGTAGGGAGGCTCCGGTGGGGACGTGGTGGGTGGCGGGGGAATGTCCTCCGAACCAGGCACAGACAGGCTGCGGCTGAATTTCATGGCTGGGGGTGCTAGGTAAGGTCTGTCATCTTCTGCCGCACCTGGGGAGATACAGAGGCTCAAGGAGGGGGACCCTGGCGGGGAGGGTCTCCCTGCTCCACTATCCCATAGAACCGCAACAATACTAATGACAAGAATGGCACCCCGTATATGCCAGGAACTTCACGTGGACTCGCCCAGCTCTTCCCTATTTGAGGTAAACCCAAATCTGCTTCATACAGAGGTACAGGTTGTGCACTGCACAACTGCAAACCGCAAGGAAGGTGAGGAAACTGAAATTCAGCAGAACTTCCTCCCCACGCCAGGAGGGGGCGCCATTTTCTAATTCCGTTCAAAGGCTCAGTGAACGGTTTGGGGCCAGCAAAAGTGGCTGGAGCTGGGAAGGGATAGTCCCCTCGTGTTTATGCATAGATGCGTGTTTCTTTTCACGTATATGCGGGAAAGAAATGCAACCAGCACATCAAAGCTGTGATTCTACAGAGAGAACCACTTATGATGAGGCTAAAGTTTAAAAGGGATTGGATCTATAAAAAAAAAAATCAGGTAAACGATGCGAGCCAGGTGGACCCCACACTCAGTGGGAGTGTAAGACTCACACTGGTGGACTTTGAACGCCAGGAGTTGGGGAAAGCTGAATCCAATCAGGGAAAAACAACTCCAGGAGGCGTGCAGGAGTTAAGTCTTTGCTTACTTCACTGCCAAGGCTCGGTCTTTGAACCTCTTCTCACCTCTGACTACTCCCTCTCAACTAGTGACCAGCTTCATTCACTGCCTTTCTGCTGTCGACGCCCACGTTTATGCCTGGGGCCCCATCCTCCGCCCTGAGCTCTGGGCCCCTATATTCAAATACCCACACCCAGCTGGCTGTCTCACGGGCATCTCAGACTCCAAACGCTCCAACCCAAGCTCCTGATCTCCTCACCAACAGACTCCTCCCAGCCCACGGTCCCTCCCCACCACCGCAGCAAACAGCAGCTCTGTCCTTTCAGGTGCTAAGACTGAAAACCTTGCAGCCACTCTTAGCTTTCTTCCTCAAGTCACCCACATCCAATCCACCAGCAAATCCTGTTGTTTCAAAACATATCCGGAATCCAATCCCTTCTCACCCCTCCAGAGTCAACACCCTGGGCCAGCCACTATCATTTCCTATCTGGATAGCAATAGCTGTCACCTCCTCTTTGGTCCCCCGGCTTCCCAGCTCATCCCCTTCAATCTAGTCCCTTCACAGCAGCCAGAGGGTTTCTGTTAAAACCGAAGTCAGCTCATGTCCCTCCTCTGCTTAGAGCCCTGCCATTCACTCACCTCACTCAGGGCAAAGGTTCAAGTCCTCACCATGACTCCCCAGACCCTGCAGGATCGGGACCCTGTCCCCCCACTGCCCTCATGTCCAGTGCTCACTTGGCCCCTGCTACACAGGCCTCCTCCCTGTTCTGTAAACGCACCAGACTCAGCCCGACCTCAGGACCTTTGCAGAGGTAGTTCGCTCTGCCTGGAATGCCTCAACCCCAGGGAGCCTCACGATTCCCCACTTCATCTCTAGGTGTTTTTTTTTCTTTTCTTTTTTTTTGAGACAGAGTCTCGCTCTGTCGCCCAGGCTGGAGTGCAATGGTGCGATCTTTGCTCACTGCAACCTCTGCCTCTCGGGTTCAAGCTATTCTCCTGCCTCAGCCTCCTGAGTAGCTGGGATTACAGGCACATGCCACCACGCTTGGCTAATTTTTGTATTTTTAGTAGAAATGGGGTTTCATCATGTTGGTCAGGCTGGTCTTGAACTCCTGACCTTGTGATCCGCCTGCCTCGGCCTCCCAAAGTGCTGGGATTACACGTGTGAGCCACTGTGCCTGGCCCATCTATAGGTTTTAGCTCAAACCTGCACCCTGCCCCCTACCCAGCACTCCCTATCTCTCTTACCTTACTCCATTATTTTTTTTCACTCTTTTTTTTTTTTTTTTTTTTTGAGACAGAGGGTTGCTCTGTCGCCCAGGCTGGAGTGCAGTGGCACGTTCTCGGCTCACTGCAAGCTCTGCCTTCCGGGTTCACGCCATTCTCCTGCCTCAGCCTCCTGAGTAGCTGGGACTACAGGTGCCCGCCACCACACCCGGCTAATTTTTTGTATTTTTAGTAGAGATGGGATTTTACCATGTTAACCAGGATGGTCTCGATCTCCTGACCTTGTGATCTGCCTGCCTCGGCCTCCCAAAGTGCTGGGATTACAGGCGTGAGCCGCTGCGCCCGGCCCACTCTTTTTTTTGTTTTCCATAGCACGTACAACTGCTAACATACTAGATAATTTTCTTGCTTATTTTCCTTATAATCCATTATCTGTCTTCCCCTGCTATAAGGCAAGCCCATGAGGGCAGGAACCTTTAGTCTGTTTTATTCGCTGACGTATCCCCATTCTAGAACAATTCCTGGCATGTGGGGAGCGCTTGGTAAACACTTGTAAAATGAATGAATGGATGGAATCGGGTATAAGAGAAACAACCAGAAAGCTGTAGCGGGGGCTTTAGCTCACTGCATCCCCATTCTCCAGATGTAGAGCCAGAGGCCCAGAGAAGTCAAGCCACCTGCCCCAGTTCACACAGCTGGGAAGGAGGGGAGCCAGGATTCATGGCCAAGTTCACCCATTTCCAAAGCCTGAACTCTTAACCCAATTTGATGAAACTATGGTCTCTCTGGGAGCACAGAACATTTCCAAGTCTGCTTGCTTTTCCTGAACTGTCACGTTCCTGGCCTCCCCCAGCCCCCACATCTCTTCTTCTGGGTGGCATACCGATAGATTTTTGCCGGAGCATCAACCCAGGTCCTGGAGGCAGGAAAGAAGGACGCTCGTAACTTGGCTGGGCACGGTGGTGGGGATCGAAGCTCGACTTTGGAGCGGCAGTCAGAGGGGGAGAGAGAGAAAAGATAGAGAGAGATCAGTCAGCGCAGAAAGGCTTGTGGCTTCACTATACGGCTGCCCCCATTCCTTCCCTAAGCCCCTGCCGTAAGGGAGAGCAGTGTGAAGACGGTGGAAGGAGGCCGGGCAACGTGGCTCACGCCTGTAATCCCAGCACTTTGGGAGGCTGAGGCAGGAGGATCACCTGAGGTCAGGAGTTCAAGACCAGCCTGGCCAACATGGCAAAACCTCGTCTCTCTACTAAAAATACAAAAATTAGCCAGGCATGGTGGCAGGCGCCTGTAATCCCAGCTACTCGGGAGGCTGAGGCTTGAGAATCACTTGAACCCATGAGGTGGAGAGGTGGAGGCTACAGTGAGCCAAGATCACACCACTGCACTCCAGCCTGGGCGACAGAGCCAGACTCTGTCTCAAAAAAAAAAAAAAAAAAAAAAAAAGAAAAGAAGGCGAAAGGGAATTCTGCGGGAATGAAAAGCCTCAAGTCTGGGCAGGAAGGAGAAAGAAAGGAGAAGAAAGCAGATTTTCCATCGACTCTTGATCTGCTTCCTTCCTCCAGCCACTGCCCACATCCAGGTCCCCACCAGTGTTCTCCGGGATGGAGCAGCCTCTTCCCTCATCTCCCTGCTGCCATCCTTGATCCCCCACCCTGTTCCAGTCTGTTTTCCACACAAGAGTCAGAGGCATCTTTCAAAAAGCATGCTATTGCCCCTGCTTGAAATCCCATGTCAGTTAGGAGGAGATCAGAGGGGACCAAACTCCCAACTCTGGTCTACAAGACCCTCTATGGCAGGCACTGCTGGTGCCCCTGCAGCTGCCCTCCCCCTGGATGCAGCATCCCATCCCTCACCCACTGCTGGGAGGGTCACCTGCCTGCAGCCCTTAAGAATCACCCTCCTTCAGAGTCCTGGACTCGCCCAGTCCGTTATGTGTCCCTGCTTCCTGGAGCAGCCCACAGCCCACGATGGACGGATACGGAGGCCCGAGGCAGCACTAAAGCCGGGGTGCCCAGCCTGACCCCATGGGTTCCCACTCCAGCGTGAACCGTGTCTGCTTGACTTCCTTCCACAACCCCAGCCAGTCTCCCACACTCCCTGAAGGTTCCCCCGTAGCAAACCCTTGGTACAGGAATCCCCACCTCCGGCTCCCGTTCTAGGGAAGCCCACACGAAGACAGGTCCTGCAGGCGGGACCCAGCCCTGCCCCCATTTCCCACTTGCTCCCTTGGTCCACCTCCACCCCCACCTCTTCCTTCTCCTCTGTCAGCCCCAGGTCTACCCTCATTGGAGAACACCTGCGAGCCCTGGTTCTCTCGGCAACAGCTTTCCCTCTTATTGTCACAGTTCCTTTTCAGCGCGAAGTTCTCCTCGGCGAGACCTTCCCCGGCCCCCTACCCAGACTGCACTTCCCTCTGTCCCATTTTCTTCACAGCATCTCTCTTCCCCAGAAACCATCTTGTTTACTTGCTGTCTGTTTCCTCCACTAGCCTAGAAACTCCCTGAAGGCGGGGCTGATGTATCCCAGGCATCGCACCTACAGTGTCTAGGGCCCATGATGCTTTTAGGGGAAGTGTTTTCATTTCTTTTCAAAGTAGAAGTGAAAGAAAAAAAGAAAAGAGAAAATTGTACCCTGGATAATATCGGTCTTTGCAGCAACAAAGTCATAAAATTTAAACTTTTTTTTTTTTTTTTGAGACAGGGCTGGAGTGCAGTGGCGTTAACACGGCTCACTGCAGCCTTGGCCTCCCGGGCCCAAGCGATCCCAACCCCAACCTTCTGAGTAGCTGGGACTATAGGCAGGCACAATCACATCCAGTTAATTTTTAAATTTTTTTGCAGAGGCGAGTTCTTGCTATGTTGCCCAGGCTCATCTCAAATTCCTGGGCTCCAGCGATCCTCCCACTTTGGCCTCCCCAAAAGTTCTCAGATTACAGGCATGAGCCACCGTGTTGGCCTATTTTTTTTTTTTTTAATGCAGAAGGGCAAAAGTGCCTAAGGTTCATGGAAGTCATTATGAAACCTGCCTGAGGGTAGGGTAGTGACTTTATCAGTCTCCTTTCCTACTGAGTCCCCGGTCCCCGCATAGGGCCTGCTGTTCTACAAGCAAGTGTTAGATGAGTAACAGGGAGAATCAGCCAAGGTCAGGCACTTCGGGGCCCTGACTCCCCAGCTTCTGCCAGGTCACCCCATGTGTCTCCCTTCTCCATCTTTGAGACCAGAAGTGCAGAGAAAGGGAGCCCTCTCGGAATGAAGTTCGCACCTTTGGGATGAACCCTTACTTCCTGCACTTCCCACTATACCCCCTCCTGCCTCTTTCCTCCAGCCATTCACAACCATTCCCAGTTCCCTCGCTTCTCACTTCCGAGACTCTGCATGGAGCATCCTTTCCCTGGGCTCTGGGCTCTGCTTGGGAAAGCTCTGTTATCTTAGCCCTCCACCCTGGCCCGGCTACCCGCTTCCTTTAGGCCTGCAGTGCCCCCCTAGAGCAGCCACTAGCCATTCAACTGTACATTTCAGGCCAACGTGGTGGCTCATGCCTGAAATCTCAACATTAGGGAGGATCGCTTGACCCCAGGAATTTGAGACCAGCCTGGGCAGCATAGGGAGACTCTGTCTCTACAAAAATAAAAATTACAAAAATTGCTGGGCACGGTGGCTCATGCCTGTAATCCCAGCACTTCGGGAGGCCAAGGTGGGCAGATCACCTGAGGTCAGGAGTTCGAAACCAGCCTGGCCAACATGGTGAAATTCCACCTCTACTAAAAATACAAAAATTAGCTGGGAGTGGCGGCATGTACCTGTCATCCCAGCTATACAGGAGGCTGAGGCAGGAGAATCACTTGAACCCGGGAGGCGGAGGTTGCAGTGAGCCGAGATTGTGCCACTGCACTCCAGCCTGGGTGATAGAGCAACACTCGGTCTCAAAAAAAAAAAAAAAAAAAAAAAATTAACCAGGCATAGTAGCACATGCCTGTCATCTTAGTTACTTGGGAGGCTGAGGTGGGAGGATCACCTGAGTGCAAGAGTTCAAGGCTTCATTGAGCTATGATTGTGCCACTGCACTCCAGCCTGGATGACAGAGTGAGACTGCGTCATTAAAGAAACAGACCAACCAAAAAGACAAGTGTAAATTTCAATTAATTAAAATTAATTTGTAAAATTCAATTTCTCTGTTGCACTGGCCACATTTGAAGTATTCAACAGTTACCTGTGGCTGGTGGCTACCAAATTGGACAGTATAGATATGGAACATTTCATCATCACAGAGAGCTCTATTGGTTCTAGTCCAGAGTTTCCTGGGGTCTGTATTACATGCCTCTCACTACACTTCCCTTCCTGAATTGGGACTGTCTGTTTCTATGTTTGTCTCATTGATTCATTCATTCCAGAAATATTTATTGAGGACTTCCTTTATGCCAGGGACTGTGACAGATACTGCAGATACGACAAATTAGACAAATGTCCCAGCCCACAGGAAGGGCAAGCAGGCCATAAACAGCATAAATTCGTAAAATATAACATTGGTCAGATGGAGGTAAGAGGGAGGAGAGAGGGAGAATGTAATTTAAAATATGGGCTGGTGCCAGGCGCGGTGGCTCACACCTTTAATCCCAACATTTTGGGAGTTCAAGGTGGGTGGATCATTTGAGGTCAGGAGTTTGAGACCAGCCTGACCAACATGGTGAAACCCCATCTCTACTAAAAATACAAAAAAATTAGCTAGGCGTGGTGGTGCATGCCTACGGTCCCAGGGAGGCTGAGGCAGGAGAATCACTTGAACCTGAAGGCAGAGGTTGCAGTTAGTCAAGATCGTGCCACTGCACTCCAGCCTGGGTGACAGAGCAAGACTTCATCTAAAATAAAATAGAATAAAATAAGGGCTGGCCAGGCACAGTGGCTCCTGTCTGTAATCTCAGCACTCTGGGAGGTGGGAGGATTGCTTGATGCCAGGAGTTCGAGACTAGCCTGGGCAACATAGCAAGACCCTGTCTCACCCCCAATTTTTTTTTTTTAATTAGTGGTGCATGGTGGCATGTGCCTGTTATCCCAGCTACTTGGGAGGCTGAGGTGGGAGGATCCCTTGAGCCCATGAGTTTGAGGCTGCAGTGAGCTATGATCGTGCCACTGCACTCCTGCTTGGGTAACGGAACAAGACCTTGTCTCAAAATAAATAAAATAAGGAGGTCAAGGAAGGCCTCACTGAGAAGGTATTATTTGAGCAAACTCCTGGAGGAGGTGAAGGAGGGGGCATAATGATGTGTAGAGGAACAGTGTTCCAGGCAGGTGGAACAGCAGGTGCAAAGGCCCTGAGGTGAAGGTGAGCCAGGCAGGCTCAGGAGGAATAGGAAGGAGGCCAGGAGCTGAAGGGTAGGAGTTGAGGTTAGACAGGTGATAGAAGGGTGGGAGTGGGTAGGACCTGCAAGTTTCAGGTTTCTTTCAGATTTCGGCTCCAAGGTCTCCTCTCTGGAGAGGCTTCCTCCTGTTACTCTGTCATAACTCCTTTAACTGATGACAGTTTGGAGTCATCATCATTATTTGCTTGCTTGTTTACTGTCTGTCTCCCTAGGCATGCAGCCCACCCCAATACTCTTTCTACTCTATTTCCTTGGTAAGAAAATGCCAATCTTATTTGGCACCTTTTGAGAGACTACACTTCCCAGCTTCCTTTGCAGCTAGGTGTGGCCATATGACTAAGGAAGGCCAACCGGGATGCCCAAGTGGGAGTGTTGTGTGTTACATCTGGGATGTCTTGGAGGTAACTCAAGAGGCAGCAAGGTGCCCTCTTTTGCCCTTCTGCCTTTCTGCCCTTCCTTGTTCCTGCTACCTGGAATGCTGGTGCAATAGCTAGAGCTCCAGCAGCAATTTTGGACTATGAGGCCAGTCTGCAGTTGGAAACATGGCTAAGATGGTGGAGCAGAAATTGAGAAGGATTCTGGGTCTTTAAGACCATGGAGGCTGCTAACCTGCCTGAGACTTCCTATCTCATACTTTTTTTTTTTTTTTTTGAGATGGGAGTCTCACTGTGTCACCCAGGCTGAAGTGCAATGGCACTATCTTGGCTCACTGCAACCTCCACCTCCTGGGTTCAAGTGATTCTCTTGCCTCAGCCTCCTGAGTAGCTGAGACTATAGGTTCCCACCACCACACCCAGCTAATTTTTGTATTTTTAGTAGAGACAGGGGTTCACCATGTTGCCCAGGCTTGTCTTGAACTCCTGACCTCAGGTGACCCACCCACCTTGGCCTCCCAAAGTGCTGGGATTACAGGTGTGAGCCACTCATGCCTGGCCCCCATACTTCTTTAACAAGAGAGAGATAAAAGCATTTTTCTTGGTCAAGCCACCATTATTTGCTTTTTCTCCCTCAGGTGCAGCAGAACCCAATTCTGCTAGTCTCCTCTTTCAAATGTAAATTCTCTAAAGGAAGTTACTTTGTTTGACTGATTCACTCTTATACCTTGAGAGCCCAGCAGCAGGTCCAGGATATAGTAGGTGCTCAATAAATATTTGTAGAAGGAAGAACTCATTGGAAGCAATACAAGACACCCTGACAAGATGTGGCGAGCAACTCCAGGGCAAAACCCCAGCCTGTTCCTCTGAACATCCCCATCAAACAGCACAGGGCCAGCTCCAAGCAGGCTTCAGGAGGTGTCGCCTGAAGGCATCCCTGCTTTGACGGATTTCCTGCCATGCTGCTCTTCTCTAAGCGCTTCTCAGCCTGCTCAATCCTTCTCCACTTTGCTGAATGTTTTTCTGACCCCCTCCCCCACCTCCTTCAGCCACAGACCAATACTCTGCTTGGCTTTCTGTCCCGTCCTGCAGCTGTGTGGTATCAGAGAGCAGAACCTTGCAAAAGATAAAGGCAGTAGAGAAGTGGCAAGTGGAAGGAGACACTCTTGTGTGAGCCATTTTACCTGCTATTTTTCGTATGTGTCCTCACTGGATCCTCACACCTGTGAGTTAGGGTGGATTATACCCATTTGGATGATAATGAAAGAGGCCGTGGATCAGAGAGAAAAGGTCCTTATCCTAGACCAGCCAGCGAGTAAGGAGGAGATTCAAGATGCATCGGAGAAAAGAGGTCAGAGTGGCTCAAAAACCCTGAGATAAAATGGGAGGGGTACGAAGAGCCAGGAGAAGGGGGTGTGACCAGTCAGGAAGCACACGGGGACTGCTGAGGGGCAGGGCTGGAGAGGACAGCAAGAACAGAGTCCAGGCAGGAGAGGACAGCTGGGAGGAGGGGAGGAAGGCAAGGGAAACACCTGCATGGGGCACGGGGGCAGGTGGTGGGGGCCAGAGGGAGAGGCGAGGGTCAGGTGACAGGTGAGGGTGAAGGTGATGAGGCAGGGATCCGAGTGACAGTGGAGGGGTTGATGTGACAGTGGAAGGGTCAGAGTGACAGGGAAGGGACCAGGGTGATGGGGGAGAGGTCAGGATGACAGGGAAGGGTCAGGGGGACAGTGGAGAGGTCAATGTGACAGAGAAGGGGTCAGGTGACAGAGTAGGAGTCAGAGTGATGGGGAAGGGTGAGGGTGACAGGGTGGGGGTCAGGGTGAGAGAAGAGGTAAAAGAGAGACAGTGGAGGAGTCAAAGGGAAAACGGAGGGGTCAGGGTGATGGGGAAAGGTCAGGGTGATGGGGAGGGGTCAGGGTGATGGGGAGGGGTCAAGATGATGGGGAGGGGTCAGGGTGTGGGGAGGGGTCAGGATGATGGGGAGGGGTCAGGGTGTGGGGAGGGGTCAGGGTGATGGGGAGGGGTCAGGGTGTGGGGAGGGGTCAGGGTGTGGGGAGGGGTCAAGATGATGGGGAGGGGTCAGGGTGATGGGGAGGGGTCAGGGTGTGGGGAGGGGTCAGGGTGTGGGGAGGGGTCAGGGTGATGGGGAGGGGTCAGGGTGATGGGGAGGGGTCAGGGTGATGGGGAGGGGTCAAGATGATGGGGAGGGGTCAGGGTGATGGGGAGGGGTCAGGGTGTGGGGAGGGGTCAGGGTGATGGGGAGGGGTCAGGGTTACAAGCATTACAGGTAAGGGGTGAGGGTGATGGGGGGGTGTCAGTGTGACGGGGAGGGGTCAGGGTTACAGGCAAGGGGTCAGGGTGACGGGAGAGGGCTTAGAGTGGCAGGGAACTGGTTAGAGTGAGGGGGAGGGGTGTCCCCGACAGAGGAGGGTGCAGAGTGACAGACGCCTCGTCAGATTTGCAAGCTGACAAAAGACACTTCAGCACCATGTGGAAGAAGAAGGGACAAAAATGGGTTAGCTTGACATAAGAAGGGTCAGGGTGACAGGAGAGATGTCAGACTGACGGAGGAACCATAACAATCTGATGGGGCATCGCACTGACTCCCCAGGGAGCACCTGAACTCCACCAACCAACGGGAGCATTCGCTCCCGCGCAGAAGGGACAGCCAATCAGAGTGCGCAGCCTTGCATGACGTCACTGGCTGCCGGGCAGACTCCCCTTCAGTCCGCCGCCCAAAGGCCCAGTTCTCCGTCACCTCGTGGTCTGGCGCCTCAGTGGCAGCGCATGTCCTGCCGCTGACCAGTGGCTGGGGAACTCCTGCTAAGGAGGCAGCCCTGAGAGGGGATAGGGGAGAGAATGGACGGGGAGACAACTGAAGAGACAGAGATGGGGGGACAGAGATAGACAGAGACAGAGAGAGGGAGACAAGGAGACACAGAGACAGACGTAGAGAGACAGAAAAAGAGAGACAGAGATAGAGAGACAGAGACAGACAGACAAAGGCAAAGATGGGGAGAGAGACAGAGATGGAGAGACAGAGACAGAGACAAAGGCAGAGATAGGGAGACAGAGATAGAGAGACAGAGAGACAAAGGCAGAGATGGGGAGATAGAGATGGAGAGACAGAGAGACAATGGCAGAGATGAGGAGACAGAGATAGAGAGACAAGGAGAGAGCTAGGGAGACAAGGAGACACAGAGACAGAGATGGAGAGACAGAGACAAAGAGACAAAGACAGATGGGGGAGAGAGGGAGGTGGGGAAACAGGGAGGGATGGGAAGAGAAAGATAGGGAGAGTGAGAGAGGCGAAGAGCGACAGACAGAGATGGGGCCTAGAAGGGGGAGAGACAAGGACTGAGAGATGAGAGGGGAAATGAGAGGGCGATGGGAAGCATGGGAAGCAGGAAGAGCCCAGAGAGGAAGGAGGGAGGGCAGCTCTGACTCAGAGAGGGCCTGCGCAGCCCCAGGAGGGAACCCCAGAAGTGGGGAGTGCAACTGAGAGGGAGCAATGACGTCTCAGACTGAGAGATGAGGGGGCACGAGGGAGCCCTCGGGCATCAGTGGCGGGTGACAAAGACAGTACCAGAGAAAGCCAAAGCCATACCGAGGGGCGGATGGACAGCAGAGCCCTAGGAGGAGACAGCCCAAGAGGTGCCCTGACCTAGGGTGGATCTGCTGGGCTCCGCGCCCCTGCTGTCCCTACCTCCTCTAGGTTATATGCAAAAGTGCATCTTTGGAGAGGGTTGAAATCTCCCAGTTTCCAAGTCCTTAGATAGTGGCATCTTTTTTTTTTTTTCCCCGAGACAGAATCGCACCCTGTCACCCAGGCTGGAGTGCAGTGGCGCGATCTTGGCTCACTGCAACCTCTGCCTCCCAGGTTCAAGCGATTCTCCTGTCCCATGCTCCCGAGTAGCTGGAATAACAGGCGTGCGCCACCACACCCAGCAAATTTTTGTAGTTTTAGTAGCGACGGGGTTTCACCTTGTTGGCCAGGCTGGTCTCAAACTCCTGACCTCAGGTGATCCACCCGCCTTGGCCTCCCAAAGTGCTGGGATTACAGGCGTGAGCCACCACGCCTGGCTGATAGTGGCGTCTTATACAATGCTTTGCTCTTGTTCACTTTTGTGCAGACCTGATCCAAGAAGCCTCGGGGGGTACTGCACCCCCCACCCCACTGCATCTAGACCAGAGGGAAGATGCAGGGTGAAGAGGGGAGAGGAGCCTAAATGAATGGGAAATCGAGACACCGAGAACAAGACCAGACGTCGAGAGAGGCCACCAAGATGCAGAAACCTCATGAAGGGGCATCTGTATTGACTCAGAGAGCGGGAAAGATAAAGATGGCAGGTGGGAAGGAGCAGAGAAGGCGGCAGAGAGAGCCTCCGACATGAGAGGGGGACCTGGAGAAGGCCCAGGGACAGATCCAAGAGGTGAGAGAAGAAAAGGCGAGGGGGATGTACAGGGCAAATGACTATGGGTCCTCTGGACACAGAGGGAAAGGAGGTCTCCCAGAACTCAGGTGAGTGCTTGTGAGTTTCATTTCTAGGAGGCAGGGGCAGGTGGGCAGCTGGTTTTATTACTGGCTGGTGTCTGGGCTCCTCTGGGGGTGGAGGTCTTTGGAGCTCAGAGGGTGAGTTCCCTGAGGGTTAGGCTCTTGACTGTCCTGTAACTGGGTTCGTGCAGGGTAGACCTAGAACTGTGGCTGCCTGGCACTTTACAGGAGCTCTGCGCATTTGTTGAATTAATGAAAACAGGACTTGCTCTAATTAGTTTATCAGAGATTTACACTCAGTCTGATACGCTATTGTGGGGTCTCTGGTGTTGCGGGGTCTCTGGAGGCATACACAGAGATCACTGGTGAGCCATGGTGGACTTTCTAGTTTATTTTATTTCAGTGAATTAATTTATGTATTTATTGAGACAGGTCTCATTCTGTTGCCCAGGCTGGAGCTCAGTGGCGCAAGCATGGCTCACTGCAGCTTTGACCTCCCTTGCTCGAGTGATCCTCCCACCTCGGCACACACCATGACTGGCTAATTTTTAAATATTTTGTAGAGACAGGGTCTCACTATGTTGCCCAGGCTGGTCTCGAACTCCTGGCCTCAAGTGATCCTCCTGCCTTGGCCTCCCAAAGTGTTGGGATTACAGGTGTGAACCACTGTACCTGGCCTATTTTCTTTTCCTTTTTTCTATTTTTTTTTTAGACGGAGTCTCGCTCTACTGCCAGGCTGGAGTGCAGTGGCATGATCTCGGCTCACTGTAACCTCCATCTCCTGGGTTCAAGTGATTCTCTTGCCTCAGCCTCCCAAGTAGCTGGGACCACAGGTGCACACCACCACGCCCAGCTAATTTTTGTATTTTTAGTAGAGACGGGGTTTCACTATGTTTGCCAGGATGGTCTTGATCTGTTGCCCTTGTGATCTGCCTGCCTTGGCCTCCCAAAGTGCTGGGATTATAGGTGTGTGCCACTGCGCCCGGCCCAGCCTGGCCTGTTTTCTATCCTGAGGGGTTTACCTTCTGTTGGGAGTTTGCTGTGTTACAGTTAACCTCATGGAACCCTCATAAGAACTGGGCAAGTTTCACTTTAGCCCCATTTTAAAGAACAGAAAACTGAGATGCAGAGAAATTAAGTAACATGGTCCAAGGTGGCAAATTAAGTTAGAGGAAGTCAGGATTTGCATCCCCATTTGTCTGTTAATATAGAGTTTCTGGGGGATCAGGAACAAACAGAAACACCTGGGGTATGGTTAGAGACCCAGAGAGGGAAATTCAGAGGGAGGAGAGTGTAAAATACAGACTGGGGGGAGGCATGAAGAAATGGGATTAGTGGGAGTACATTCCAGACTTCCAATAAATACTGAATAATTTAGTGAGTGAATATGGATGGTAGCATCCTGAATCTAAGTCCACTTAGGATAATCCTGGGGCTGAAAATCTTTTTAATCTTTTTCGTTTGTTTGTTTTTTAGAGACAGGGTGGTCTCTCTCTGTTGCCCAGGTGGGAGTGCAGTGGCACAATCGTGGCTTACTGCAGCCTCAACCTCGGAGGCTCAGGTGATCCTCCCTCTTCAGCCCCCAGAGTAGCTAGGACTACAGGTGCATGCCACCACATCTGCCCAACTAATTTTTTGTATTTTTAGTAGAGATGGGATTTTTGCCATGTTGCCCACTCTGGTCTCGAACTACTAAGCTCCAGGGATCAGCCAGCCTCAGCCTTCCAAAGTGCTGGGATTATAGGTGTGAGCCCCTGCGCCCGGCCCTGAAAATCTTTTAACCTTAGAATGATACAGGGCAGTGGTTCTCAATGAGAGGTAGTTTTGCCCCCCAGAGGACGTTGGGCAGTATTTGCTGCTGGCATCCGGATGGTAGAGGCCAGGGGTGCTGCTGAAATCCTACAATGCACAGGACAGGCTTCCACAACAAAGAATTACGCAGCTCCAAATACAGGCAATTGTGGCTATATGCAGTAGTTGTGTTATATGGGGTTGCCACACATTTCCCTCAACCAATCAATACATAACCTTGTTTTATGCATGTTTCTGTTGAAGGATGCCTTATTTAATATACATTGTTGATTCATTCACATCCAACTCCTGGCCACCAGTGCTCTAACTCATGCCTGAATGAAGCTTCTCTAACATACGTATTTTCTCCATAAGGCACATCACGGCCTTCTCGCACTTAGGAACGCTAGACAGCTCTTCAGCACCATGCTTGGGGGACCTTTTAAACGCTGATATCACCACTAAAAGGCCCAAAGATGCAAAGCACGTGGCACTAAACAGACCGAGAAAAGACACTCGTTCACAGTATAAGAGCCGAAATGAGAAGGCACCCTCGTTCAGCCTCGTCTGGGAACCCACACATAGGGCTACTCAAGATTTTCTCTGCTTTGCGCCTGTCCAAGAATAACCACAAAAGCCCTTCGCGTATTGATTCTGGGCTTCTAATAAATTTCAGCGAGTAGGCAAATTCGCAGACACAGAATCTGGGAATCATGAGGGCCAACTGTGTCAACAGCGCAGATGTTAGAAACTATGACGGACAGGAAGAGGTCTTGGACTTTGGTTCTGTCTTGATGAGAGACACACTTGATGAAAGGTCTCAGGCAAGTGAATGCAAATCTCTAAGACTGTTTCATCTTCTGTAAAATGGGAATGTGCATGCTCTGTCTTTCTTTCTGTTTCTGTACCGCCCTTTCCTTCTTAAAGCTGGTTGTGAAGAAGTTTGTTGAGGAATTATGAGAAGTTTGCTGCAGGGCAGTTGAGGATAGAAGAAGATCACAGGAGGAGGAAACAGGGTCAAAAAAGGTAAGAGCCCAGGGGAGGTAGATTTGGACTCCATATAAGGAAGAAGGTTTTTTTTTTTTTGAGACAGAGTTTCGCTTTTGTCGCCCAGGCTGGAGTGCAATGGTGCGATCTCGGCTTACTGCAACCCCCGCCTCGCGGGTTCAAGCGATTCTCTCGCCTCAGCCTCCTGAGTAGCTGGGATTACAGGCACATGCCACCACATCCGGCCAATTTTTGTATTTTTAGTAGAGATGGGGTTTCTCCACGTTGGTCAGGCTGGTCTCGAACTCCTGACCTCAGGTGATCAGCCCACTTCAGCCTCCCAAAGTGCTAGGATTACAGGCGTGAGCCACCAAGCCCAGCCTCCTACTCTTGATTTTTATAAAAGTACGAGCCCCTCCAGAGCATGAGGGATTGTGGATAGACTTCAGGGGCCTGTGCACTTGTACAGGAAAAAAAATCCTATGTCTTCATTTTCATCATCCTCCAACAAAAACTCAACCTTTCCTCAATTAAATATGTAAGCAGCAAACCATGCTAGTTTCAGCAAGACCCATGCCTGTATCCCCAGTAGGAATCACAGATATCTCCATATCCCATCACAGTGGTGCAGATTTCCCAAAATAGTGTTTATGCGCCTCGTGATTTTGAAATTAGAGTTGTTAAAATCCACCGCCAATGTCTAACATGTTGACAAAAAAAGATGATATTATGATATCACAAATTTTGCTTTTGAAAAATATTTTGAGAAACTACATTTTAGTGTAACTGGCCTCTTTTGTTATTTCATGTTATGCATTTATAAGCATTATTCTGAGAAGGACCACGGCAGCCTGCCAAAGAGATCCATGACCCCCTAAAAGCCAAAGGACCCAGTTTTAGAGTAAATGGACCCCTGACCACTACGTGGTGGATGCGGCCAGAGGATGGGGACTGGGCAGAGAAGAAGGAAGCGGGAAGGGAGGAGCAAGGCAGAGCGTGGCCTCTGGAGGAGACAGTTGGAGGGTAAGGGGTGGCACTGGCAAGCCTAGTGGGGGATGTGTTGGAGGGAAGGCACACAGCCCAGTGGAGTAGGGGCAACATCCAGGAAGGGAGCAGCAGGCCCCTACCAGGATAGCCAGGGCTGTGGCAGGACCATGGGTTCAGAGGGCTGCCTGCCTGGGTTAAAATCCCCCCTCCTTCCTTGAGCCTCAGTTTCCCCCTCTGTAAATGGGCTAACAACCTCGTGTACCTCCCAGGATGAATCTAAGGAATGAATGAGATAATCCATATAAAATTTGATGTCTGGCTGGTGGCTCACGCCTGTAATCCCGGCACTTTGGAGGGCTGAGGCGGGCAGATCACTTGAGGCCAGGAGTTTGAGACCAGCCTGGCCATGATGGCAAAACCCTGTCTCTATTAAAAATACAAAAATTAGCCAGGCATGGTGGCACACACCTGTAATCCCAGCTACTCAGGAGGCTGAGGCAGGAGAATCGCTTGAACCCGGGGGGCAGAGGTTGCAGTGAGCCAAGCTTGCCCCACTGCACTCCAGCCTGGGCGACAGAGTGAGACTCAGTCTCAAAATAAATAAATAAATAAATAAAAATTGAAAAATAAAATAAAATGCAGTGTCCCCCAAATTATCAACACCCCCTACAGGTTGGCCTCTGGTTGTGGGGAGAGGCAGACAGAGTGGCAACAGACATGACCATTCATATTTTAATAAGTACTACGTGTTGGGTATCTATTATTATGCCGGGGAATCTCCATCCATGACATCATTTTGCCTTCCTTGAGACCCTTAAGATGGGACGCAGAGGGACACAAAGAGGCGGGGCAAGAGCTCAAGTATAATAGCAGGGGTGGAAAGTGGAGAGAGAAAAGGACAGAGATGGGATTTGAGGGAAAGGGGATAAGGAGGAAAGGAGGTCTCCAAAGTTGGGAGAAAGGAGGAAACCCTAGGATGTGTGTCGCCCCTCCAGGACCAGCCTAAAGCACAGAGGCGTCAGGAGGGTTTTGGAAAGAGAAAGGCTCCAGGTTGGTGTGTGAACCGCCTCCCCCCTGGCAGTTCCTCCCCACACCAGGCCGCCTACCTCAGTGGCAAAGAAACCTTTGGGTCGGTGTTTGCCCAGGGACGCGAGGCCACCGGGACCAGGGCTTTCGCTTGCACTGATGGTCTGTTGAGCTGCGGCCAGGATTTCGTCCAGTTTGTCTAGGGGTAGATGAATGAACAGAGGTGGGAAGACAATGAAATGAAGTTTGCTTTGACCCGGGCCGCAAAGACCAGAGCTGCCGCCCGCAGTTCATCCAGCACCTGGATCAACCAGGAAAGGGCAGCCCTGCCTGGGTCCGGGTGGACGGGCAGTCCCGCTTGGAGACACAATCTCCCAGCCCAGTGGGCAGCACCCAGGGTGGGAAGGGGTGCGGGCAGGGAACGGGGCAGCCGTCGGGAGAGGGCGGGCGGAGGGAGGGGAGGTGGGATCGCAGCCTCTCTGGGGCAGGAAGGTGAGGGGCGCCGTGGGGTTCATGGTGGGACAGGGATGCAGCGGGTGCCGGGGCTGGGGCCCGGCATCCCGAGGAGCAGGGCTGGGCCGTCTTACTGAGAGCCATCTGATACACGGTCCGCTTTTTCTCCATGCTGGGCACCGGCGCCGGCTGCTGCTCGTACTCTGTGGGCAAAGAACACGGATGACGCCCAGGGAGCCCCCGGGGGCGGGGCGGAGCGGGCTCGGCCTGTGGGCGTGGCCAGCAGGTGCGGGCCAGTGGGCGTGGCGGGCGCGAGAGGGGCAGTGAGGGGCCGGGGTCAGGGAGGGGCGAGTCCGCCGGCGGGGTCGGGAGACGGGGGCCCTCCCGCCAGTCCTGTGCCCACTCACCACTCTTCTTCTTCCAGGGGGAGACTAGCCCGGGGGAGAGGCAGTAGAGGAGCCAAGAGTTAGGACGTCAGGGGAAGGTGAGGGGCCCCCTGTCTGGAAGCCCGCCTCCCTCGGGGCCCCGGGGTGGGGGCGGTCAGCTGTCCGACCAGCCCCCTGTCAGGGGAAATGGGACCCCCAGGTCCACTCGGCCTTGTCTGGAGGGAGGGGCTCGCTTTCCTCTGTTATTGGGGGTTGGGGGGAGCTGGTGGAGGGAGAGATGTTGAATGGGGCTGGGGGGTGAGGTGGGACAAAAGGAAGGAGACAGAGAGACCCGCAGAGAGGGTACATACAGACCCTGAGAGAGACCCCAACGGAGAAACAGATACAAGAGCACAGAGGAAAGTCGTCTCTCAGACACCCCTTCCCAGAGACACACACACACAGGCCAGAGTCCGACCCATGGACTGGGGACAGGATGAGGACAAGGACCCCTGGTCACTAACAACACTAACGAACTCAAGGGATGGTCCAGCCCTCCTTCCCCTCTCCCCCCGGCCCCCTGGCCTCAGCAGCCCCGCAGGCTCACCCATCTCCTCCAGCTCTGAGGTCATAGATTTGGAACGCAGGGAGATGGTTGGGGGCGGCAGCCGCTTGGCCTGCTGGGGTGCTGAAAAGGTGATGAGGGGAGGCATCAGTATCATGGGGGAGATGCCCCCACCACCCTCTACCACCACAGGGCTCCCAGGGCTCAGAGAATAGCCATTGCCAGCGTGCGGAGCCCTCCCTGCCTCAGTTTCTCCCCACAAGGGTCACGGAGAAGCAGTGCTAGGGAAGGGAAGGCCTTGGGCAGCAGCAACCAGCCCTGGGGCTCCCGCAGGGCTGAGCCTGGTGGCAGTGGGGTGGCTGCGAGAGTGGCCGCAGGAGCACCTTTCTTGTGCACTGCCTCATCCATGTCCGGGTGCCTGGTGACCATCACCACCTTCACCATCAGCGTGTTGCCCCCTTGGCGGATCATGTTCACCACCTGTCGGTGGCCGACCTTCACCACATTCTGCCCGTTCACCTGTGGCACAGACACCCCCAGATCACACAGAGTAGACGAGGGGAGGGGTGCTTGCAGCTTCAGAGACCCCAAGGAGGATGCCTCCTGCGCTGCCCTGTCCATGGCCCTCTGGGCTATGTTCCTCTCCCTCCGACCCTTCATACCACCGCCTCCCTGGGCAAGCCCCCTTTCCCACCCTCCCTGGCCCCAGGGTTGGGGGAGAGGCTCAGCCTACCCTATTCACTTCCCCCTCCCTCCTTGTCCCCAGTATTTATTTATTTATTTACTTTTATTTTTAAAAGACAGGGTCTCTCTCTGTCACCCAGGTTGGGGTGCAGTGGCCCAATCATGGCTCACTGCACCCTCGACTTCCTGGGCTCAAGCAATTCTCCCACCTCAGCCTCCAGAATAGCTGGGACCTCAGGCACACAGCACCGGCTAATTTTTTTTTTAAGAGACAGGATCTTGCTATGTTGCCCAGGCTGGTCTCAAACTCTTGAGTTCAAGCAATCCACCTGCTTCAGCCTCCCAAAGCACTGGGATCACAGGCGTGAGCCGCTGTGCCTGGCCATCCCCCGGTATTGTGTATGTGTTGGGGACAGCTCTGTGTCACTCTTTTGAGATGCCTCAGAGGCCTTTAGATGGAATCGCTGGGGAAAGCAGAGGCTGGCTGGGGGGTGGGCAGGGGGCTGGGAATCCTGGTGCCAAAGGAGAATAAAACTGGGCAGCCAGATCCTGGTGTGAATCATGAGGGGGTCTGGGAACTTGTCACAGGGTCCCAGGGAAGAGAGGGGGCCTGGACTGACCTCGATGAGGAAGTCTCCCATTCGCAGTCCAGCTCGCCATGCCACGCCACCCTCGTCCACCGACTCCAGGTACTGCAGCGCCGGGAAGGCCGGGGTGGGGGTGAACTCCTCGATGGGGGTCTGCGCTGCAGACAGGGAGGAGCCGGCGGGGTCGGAGGGGAGGGGGTGGAGAGGCCGAGCAGGGGATGGGGCTCAGACCCAAGTCACGGAGGCCTCACCGCAGCTGAGGGACCAGCACCCCGGGGTGGGGTGGTGGGCGGGCTGGGGTCCCTTCCCCTTTCCAGCCCCCATTTTCAGCCCTGCTTCTGGGGTCACAGAGCCCTTCTCCCATCCCCTCCCCGGCTGGCACTCACCCTTGGCCCCCCGGAGCACGAACCCAAACCCCTCACTGTCCTTCTTCTGCAGCAAGACTGTCTTCTCCTTAATGATGTAATCGCTGGCAGGGAGGCAGGAGAAATGGGGGGGTGGTGGGGGGAGTGGAGAAGACATCATGAGACACAGAGGCTGTCCCCCACCCGGCAACCCAGACCCAAACCTCTGCTCCAGGGCCATTAATTGCATCTCCTAGGATCTCTGTCACCCACTCTGTGTGTGTATGCTAGCCCTGATGGGCTTCCCCCTCAGAGCCGGCATGCTCTCTCTCTCACTCCCTCTCTCCTCATTCATCCATCCATGCATCCATCCACCCATCCATTCAGCACCAGGCACGGTGGGGAGGATGGGGAGAAGAGCTTCCAGATTACCAGACAGCCAGGCTTGGGTCCCTGCTAGTCACTTCCTGCCTATGACCTTGAGCCCACAACTTTAACCTTTTGTGCCTCAGTTCCCTCATCTATAATGGGGGGCTATCACAGATCCTACCTGATGGGGTTGCAGTGGGAATCCAGTGGGGGTAATACACATTTAGTATTTCGCACAGTGCCTGGCACATAGTAGGTGCTCAATATGATCTGCTCGATGTCCTTAGGTCAGAGTGTTAAGTCAAGAGGACTCATGTACTTTGATGATACCCCTCAAAATTCCTTTATACATATGTCACCTCCCAGGAACCCCACACAGGGTAAAATTGCTAATTCTGCACTGCCCAATATGGTGGCCACTAGGTGCACGTGGCTGTTTTTATGAAAGCTAATCAAAATCAAATGGAAAAATTCAATTCCTCAGTCACAGTGGCCATATTTCCAAGTGTGCAGAAGCTGCACATGGCTGGTGGCCACCACATTGGACAGTACAGATATAGAACATTTCCATTGCTGCAAAGCTCCCCGTGGACAGCACTGTCTTCTGTATTCCCTGGTGCATCTCAAATGGAGCTACTGCATGCAGTCAGCATATTCTATTATAGTAAAATGCAAAGCACCCATGAATATGGGTGGTAGTTTCCAGTAAAGCCATCAAATGCCACCAGCACATTTAGGTAAGGCTCACGTACCCAGGAAATGTCAATGAAACTCAGATACAGTTCATGGATCTCAAGGCTCACTCAAACAGCCCCAAACTCCTGACATGACCACTGTACACCTCAGGAATATACATCCATTCCATTCCCAGAGGATCCGACACCCCAGTCTACATCAGGAATACTCAGACACCCTGGCTGCAACCCCACTGCCTTCAGAATACCCAAGAACACCCAGGAGTCACTGGAACGCGTGCTCTGCTGTGCTGAGCTTCCTTCAGCACTGTCTAAAGCCTGTCCCAGGGCACACTTGTAGCACCTCCCACCCTCACAATCCCAGTGTATTCCAATAATACCCAGATCCCAGTAACATCCATGTGGCCCTAATACACTCCAATCATAGCCAAGCATGCTCCCCAATTACCTGCCCCCACAAATTCAGCAAAACAGCCGTCCTCGAATACTCCAGTATGTTTCGGCAACCCCCACACATCCCAGTATGTTCCAATAATAACTCCCCCTCACTCGGATCTCAGTGTATTCCCATAACACGCCCTCTGAACACATACATCCCAGCAAATGCCAATAATACTTACTGTGCTCCACTGTATTTAGGTACCACCCCCACAAGCACCCCTGTATGCTCCCAGGACCCCCATGGCTCCCCTTGTAAAAATCCATACATTTGCACCATGGCGACAGGGTTCTGGATGTGCACGTGTCCTCCCTTCCTGCTGCCACCCTCCTTGTGGCACCTCAGTGCACCTAACACCACGCATGTTCACATGTACATACTCCAGCAACAGTCCTCGCTCAAAGTTCGTAACAGTCCAGTAAACTCATCCACACCATACCCGCCATGTCTTCCTCCCCTGGATAGAGAGGTGTTGGCAGAGAAGGAGGGAAGGGGCTGAAAGGGGTGAATGAGGGTAGGAAAAGGGAGAGGGGAAGGGAGGAAAGGGGCCGAGAAGGCCAGAACAGCAAGTGGACGGGGAAACTGGACACAGAAATTGGCTCAGAGGTCAGAGCTGCCTGTTTCTAACCATGCATTCTGTAATGTCCCCATTCCCACCTTCTTACTCCTCCTCCTGTATCTCTTCCAGGTCTCCAAGGCCCCCCAGCAGCCAGCAGCACCCTTCCTCACTGGAGGCAACCTCACTTTCTTTCACTCATGCCACAAACCCCTCCCTTCCTCCATCTTTCTCCCTCCCCTCTGGAATCTCTCTTGCCCCCTCATCAGCCTCATACCCCATACATAAGCCTTCCCCAAATGTCAGCCAATATAGTCAATAAAACTCCCATATCAATATGCCAAGAAGGAGCACTTGCCATTGGCTGGGCAGTATCTGAAGCCCTTCACAGATAGATCATTAAATTGTCTTCTCATAACCAGCCTCTGGGGCAGGGATAAGTACCAGTTCTACTTTATCTATGTATTTATTCATATTTTTTGAGACAGAATCTCACTCTCTTGCCCAGGCTGGAGTGCAGTGGCACAATTATAGCTCACTGCAGCCTCAAACTCCTGAGCTCAAAGGATCTTCCAACTTCAGCTTCCCAAGTACCTAGGACTACAGGTGCTTGCCACCATGGCCAACTAATTAAAAAAATCTTTTTTTTTGGTAGAGATGGGGGTCTCACTATCTTTCCCACGCTGGTCTTGAACTCCTAGACTTAAGCAGGCCTCCCACCTCAGCCTCCCAAAGTGTTGGGATTACAGGCATGAGTTGCCACACCCAGCCCTAGTTTCACTTTATAGGTGAGGAAACAGAGGCACAGAAAGGTTAAGTAACTTGTCCAAGGTCACACAGTGAGTATCATTCTTCAACAATACCCAAGAGAATACTCGGGTAACTGCAGTGGTAATACCCTCCACTCCACAGCACCGAAATACCTTGAGCACATATATCCATCTGCTCGGAATCCACCCTGAGCTCGGCCCTGCAGCACCTGGAGTTTATCCCAGGGTGTGGCAGTAACACCATGACAATGAGGAACACTTATCGAATTATTACTGAATGCCAGCCATGATTCCAAGCACTTTGCATTTATATATTTCCATTTATGTATTCAGTTAGTCCTCACAACAACCCAGGGAAGGGTTGACTGTTATTCTTCCCATTTTATAAATGGGGAAACCGAGGCACAGAGAAATAACTTGCTCAAGATGACACCAGCTAGAAAAATGTCAAAGCCAAGATTTGAATTCACCAGATATATATATATATATACACACACACACCAGTGGTGATCTGAGGCAGGGAGGGGGGTCCAACCACATCCAGACCCACCCTGTTCCTGCTTCTGCTTCTCAACCACCCCCTATCCTACACATGCTCCATTCCCCTCTCTGCTCCATGACTCCCTCACCCAATCCCCAGCTAGGACATACGTGGTGTTGCCCTCATCCCACCACAGTCTCCTTGAACTTCCCAACTGCTCTCTTGCTCCCACAGCTCCATGTACCTCTAAACTCCCTCTCCCCAACTCCTGTGTACCCCTCCTCTCTGCACCTCACTCCCTACTCCTCCATGCCATGTTGAGGTTCCACATCGCCCTAACCCACCCCCCTCATCCCTGACTCCCACAAGCCCTCCTCACACCCTATGGAGCCATCCCCCCATTTCCCGTGTCCCCTGACACACCCTACCCCCCTTTCCCCCTAAACATCCTCCTCAGACCTCTGTGACCTCCTCACCCTTGTCCTGCGACCTCTCCCTCATCCTTTGGCCTCACCCTTCCCACACCCTCCTGCACCTCCGTAAGTAATCTCACTGGCTCCCCTAAAGTACCTCTGGTCCCTTTCATACTTCCTGGGTACCCTCTTTTGCATCCGTGGAAACCTCCACCTATTTCTGCCCCCTCGACTCACTTCACCACATGCCCTCCCGCCTGCATTTACTGGCAGCTGCGTTTCATTTACATTCCCTGTGTCCTCTTGGTATTCTCCCCCTACTGCCCAAATCCCCACCCCCAAATACCCCCCCACATTCCCTGAATTCCCTCCCCACCCCATTTCTCTGCTCCGAACCCTCGGTGCTCCAGCCGCCACCCCTCCCCCACTTCAGTGTCCCCACTCTCCCCTGTTCCATTCTCAACCCTGCACCTCCTACCCAGACCCCTCTAGTCCCTCCCCCTTGCCCCCCATCTTGGCTGCCCCTGCAGCACCCCATTCAGGCTCCCTCTGGCTGACTACCTGCCCTGCAGGAGCCCACACAATGCTTTTCCCCAGGCCATCCCTAAGCGACCCTGAGCGGCCTCCAGAGCTCAGCAGCCAGCTCTTGTTCACTGGATCCCACACACAGGGGCACTGCAGCGGCCTGCACTCCCCTCCCCACCCCAACGTCCCTCTCACACACCCAGGGTCCGCCAGCCCAGAGCCTGCTGCTGTGCACGGGCGCACCCCCAACCCCGCACTCAGCCCCTTCCCACGTACCCGTGTCCATGGCCTGCCCAGAGGCCACCACAGAGGGACGCCAGCCCCCCTCCCCATGCTGAGAAGTGGCACACACAAGCGGATGCGGCTCCCCATGCAGCTCAGCCGGGGCTCAGCACACGTGCCCCACATGGGCAGAGGGCAGAGCCAGTGACTCAAGTACTCCTGACATGCACAGACCCCCGGGGGCAAGGGGGCAGGGGAGAGGAGCACATGGGGACAGAGACACAGGATGGACCCTTGAAGTAGGGGCCTGTGGGGGAGGGGTAGGCCAGGCCCAGGAGGGTGGGTGTTGGGAAGCACAGCCGCAGTCCCTGGGACAGACCCACTCCAGCACACACCACACACACACACACACACACACACACACACACACACACACACAGTCCCAGACAGCCTCGCTGTCGCTCCAAGTCATACAGAGACAGACGCTGTCACACAGGGACACACAGATGGACACAGTTGGGGGGTGGGCTGGGAGCCCACCATCTCTCCATTTCTCTCTCTCACACACACACGCACACACACGCACGCGGCTGCAGGCAGTCACACACACGCACATCGACACAGCCACACTGACACACGCACCGTCGCACAGTGACACGCAGCGGAAAAAGAGGAGGGGAGGGGAAGCCGGGGGCGGGATGCGTGTGTGATGGAGGGGGGATGACTGTGAATGGGAGAGAGGGGTATGAATGGGGGGACTTGCCAACACCGTGAAGAGGTGTGGGGATGTGGGGATCAGAGGGACAGGGGCCTGGGATGTAGGCGGATGCGGGTAAGCCACGGTGGCTCCCCACAGGGAGGGCTCCGGGGAATGGGGGCGCTAAGGGCGGCAGAAAGGCGAGTGGGCTCCAAATCCTGGAGGGGGGTCGGTTTAGGGGGCCTGCTGGGAGGAAGGTCTTGGGGGAAGAGCAGAGGGGGGCCTGGAAGGGCCTGTGAGGGGGTGGAGGAAAAGATTCCCAGGGCTGACGAGTGCGTATTAGGGGGGAGGGTCGGGGAGAGGATTCCAGGGAGGAAGATGGAGAGGAGAAGGGTTGAGACCAGGGGCCCGAAAGGGATTTCGGGCTGAGAGAAGGTTAGGGAAGAGGAGCGGAGGGGAAGGGGCGGGTTGGGGGAAGGGGAAAGGCCCTGGGGCTGGGGTTTAGCGGCGGGGGAGGGTCGCCACCGCGGGCCGGGGCCTGCCGGCCGGCCCGCAAAGCAGGAGGCGGCGCGCTCCGTTACCTGTAGATGTACCAGACGCTGCGCCGCCGGGGCCCCAGGGCTGGCCAGCTGGAGGACAGCGCGGGGGGCGGCTGCGGCAGGGAGCTCCCACCGGGGCCGCCCCCGAGACCCCCGCCGCCGACCGCAGACAAAGCCATCGCCGCCGCGGCCCCAGCCCCGGCCCGGGTCCCGGTGCCGGCCGCCCCCGCCGCCGCCGCCGCCGCCGCGTCCCCGTACCCGCTCGGCCGAACCCCCGTGTCCGGGCCCCCAGGCCCCGCCTCATGCTGACCCGCGCCGGGAGGGGGGAGGGGGAGGGGGCGCGCACCCCCTCCCGCGGGAGGGAGGGCAGGGCCGGGGGCTCACATGCCGGGGGGCGCGGGGGCGCGGGGCGCGGGGTCGGGCCGCGGCGGTAGCGCGAGGACCGCGGACGGCGCCGGCTTCAGCACCGCGGACAGCTCCGGAGGCGGGCGGCGGGCGCGAGGCTTAACCCCTTGGCGTCCTGCGCCGGGCGGCGGAGGGGGCCGGGCAGGGGGGAGGGGGCCGGGAGGGGAACGCGGGGGCCCCCTTGGCGGGAGAAGGGGGAGGGGCGAGGCTTGGAGGGGGGAGGAGAAGGGGAGGCACTTCCGGTCTGGGCCCCCCCTTAATCCCCCTCCCCCCTCCAGAGCCCTCCCGCGCAGGTGCAGAGCTAGAGAGCGCGGGGAGAGGGAGGCACAACATCACACAAGATGCCTCGCAGCCGCGTGCACGGACGCGCGGACGGAGCCCCGCTTCCCCGGCAGGGACACCGCGGGTGAGAGAGGCCCCAGGCGGGGACACGCAGCCCACCACCACAGACCAACACGCAACGCACCTCGACACAGTCGGCAAGAAAGGCCAGGACATTCAGACTGGGCCCCAAGGCCATGAGCAACACCCCTCCCCCACCAGAGAAGCCCAGGCGGAGGGGCGAACACACCACCACAGCTCCCCGAGAGAGCGTGGACCCCGAGCCAGCGCGGGGAGGGGGCGGCACACGCCAGGAGGGGAGACACACGGAAGGACCGCCCAGCTCCGGCAGGGAGGCTGGGGTTGGGCCCTGGCTGCCGGGCGCACGGCACAGCACAGGCCAGGCCAGCGCAGACAGGGTCCGGGAAGAGCGGGGAGGCAGGAGGAGGGGAAGCTGAGACGCACCACACACACAGCAGCACGTGGGAGCCAGCGAGAGGCACGGAGGAGTAGGGGAGGAAGCCCATTGACAAGACAGAGTAGAAGGAGGAAGCTGAGGGTGACGGGGACCACCCGCATTCAGCTGGTAGGACAAGTGACCCCCACAGACGGAGGCCAAGGAGAGACCCAGAGAGACACTGGTAGACAAGAAGCAGAGGCCGACATAGAAGCTCGGGGTGTGGGGGGGTGTACCCCAATACTCACCCGGTGCCCAGAGCAGGAGACGCGCCAGGCAAACACGCACAACGGTCAAGCGCCTCAGACACTCGGGGCGCAGGGTGGCACCCCAGCCCCACCCTCTCTCCCCATGTTGCCATTTCTCTGTCCCCCCCATCCCCGACCCATCCCCACTGGCCAGAACACAGACACGTAGGTTTGGACACATTTAATGGAAGGATGCTACGCACAAGGGGACTCTTCCCTGGATTGGGGGGAGCAGTGGAGGAGAGTGTCATATTTTAGACACCAAATTATGACCCTCCCTCCCCCACAGCCCTGTCCTTCTGGAGGCCCAAGCCCTGGAATCCTCCCCTCCTCTGCCCTTCCCTCCCCCAACATCCCAGGTCCTGAATCTCAGATCAATCAGACAGACGCACATGCATGCACACACGTTAATGTGCGAGTACACACGCACAGTGACATGCACAGAGAGGGACGGATGTGTGCAGAGACCCACCTGTCCATGTGTGTGAGCAGACTCACTGACATGCCCTGTGGTGCTTGCCCACGGATTCAGAGAAGCACAGATGTGCAGAGCCAGCCCCACAGTCATCATAGCCACAAAGGCACCAGTATATACAGAGCAGGGCAGACCCTCCAGCCCCGGGCATAGGTACAGGTACATCCAGGCCACACATGCACACAGATGCGTGTCATGCACACCTACAGAGACACACGTTCACACACCAAGAAACCTCAGCTCTGGTCGTGCACACACGTTCACACGCCCCCCAGGCACCCCGTCCTTCCCCTCCTGACCCCATCCCCTCCCTGCCCCTCGCCTCTCACCTCCCTGGGCCAATCCCATCCATTAAGCTTCCGAAGCAAGTCAGCCAGCAGCCAGGGAGGGGAAAGGTGTCAGTGCACCCATCTCCTCACCCCAATCCCACCCAGCCCTGACTGCACCCTCCCCACACCGGTGCATGGGACACACACATTCCCACTGCACATGACTGCACAGAGATGGGGCACATGAAGGAGACAAGGGCCTCCAGCCAGCCAGACATAAGAGCGCCCCGGCCCCCCCAGGCATCCCCACCCTGCCCTGACCACCCCGTTGTCTCTGGCTACCCCAGAGCTGGGCAGTCTTAGTGGCTGCCGAAGATGGTTTGGGGTTGGGCTGTACTGTCTGAAGCTAATTCTGGCTTATCCCACCCCTGGATCAAACTTGAGAAGGAACAGATTAGAAAGGGGGCTTAGAGGTGATGGAAATATTTAAAGGTGTACATTGTGAAGGGAACTTGGGGTGAGGGGGGTTGCCCGAGGGTGTAAGGACATTTACCTTGGGGCATCAAAGCTGTCGTAGGAGCCCACGGTATAATGCCGGAAGAGTCTCTTTGCCTTGTCACTGCGGCTTTCTGCAGGGTGACAACAGACAACCTTGGACTCTTGTTTTGGAAACCACAATCCCAGCCCTAGAGCTCCTGGCCCAAGTCTTCCCATCTACCTCCCAGTACCCCACCCCCATTAGGAAGGGAAAGGAGTGGACGTGGGAATCCTAGGGTCCATTGAACACTGCTGGGGGTTCCGCATTACCTTGCTTGCTCTCCTGAGAGCGATTCGCCACTTCTTCCAGGCAGTCAGAGGGGAACCAGCCAACACGACCTTTGACCTGGCCTTCCCAGAAGCCTCCTTCCCCGATGCTAAGTACTGGATGGGGAACGGGGACATAGAGACATTTCTGTGTTTCTGTGCTGCCCCTCAACTGCCAACACACTCAACTTAGAGCATTCCCACAGTTACCAGCTCCTGGCCCAAGGCCATCCTTAATAAACATCTGAGGAAGGGGCGAGGAGCTTGGGGGAGACCCATATCATATCACTCTTGCATTCTAGTTTCTGGATCCAATAAGGATGACAGGCATTGGGGAAGACGACTGTTCCATAACATGGTCTTCCTAGGTTAGAGGCAGGTCCACAATTGGTCCTTGTCTCCCCTGGTAACTGGTCACAGCTCAGTTGTGTAATTCCCCTTCACCCTCCTAGGCTCTGTGGACTTAGATCACGGATGGGGCGACAAGTTCTACCTCACCCTCCCATCACTGTCCCTGCCACCTCCCAAAGTCTCCTTGCCACTTAATCTTTAGTCCTTTGTCCCCAGACCCCTGTCTCTGTCTCTCTCGGCCTCTCCTGGCTCTAGAAGGGAAAAGAGATTAGCATCACCTCTTTCCTTCTCTCCCTCTCCCCTAATGGAAGCGGCTTCCCCCTGCCCACCCTCCCAGGCCCCACCGCTTCCCCATTTAGCAAACATCACAGACTGCCTGTTACATGCCTGCTGCTGAAAAACAGAGATATATGACAAGAACAGCTAATGCGTATCCAACTCTCACCTGGGCCAGAACCCTAAGAGGGGCCACTTTCATTATCCCCCTTTTACTGATAGGAACACTGAGGCTTGGAGAGCCAAGATCATTTGCTGAAGGTTACAAGGCTAGTAACTGACAGATCTGGATTTGAACACAGCTCAGTCTGCTTCCAGAGGGCATACTTTCAGTCACTCATGTGCGCTACCTCTCCATGCAACGGCTTCAGTGCATGACAAGGGCACCAGTGGCAAACACATGGTCTTCCATTTCTCCGGCATTTTTCATGACTCTGCCCCCATTCAGCCCTTCACATAGTTTCCTTCCTCGTTCAACCCTTGTGCCTACCCAGGTAGGTAACAACTGTTTTTCCATTTTATAGACAAAGAAGCTGAAGCGAATGTGGAGAAAACCCTTGCCTGGAGATGGCTCCAGCTATGCTAGGGGTTGAGTTGGGGCCATCAGATGTATTCCCCTCCACAAACTGCCTCCCTTGAGAGCATCTGGGGAGACCAAATGAGGGGAAGCTGAAAGTCATGGAAGAGAGCAGGAGATGGGTTGTCAAGGGGACTGGGTTCTTGGCTGGTACTGCCATGCCTGGCTTGGTGGTCTTGTAATCAATCATTTGTTCACTGTAAAAATATTTAGTTAGTGCCAGTCATGAGTCAGGTACCAGGGTAGACACTGTTGAATATAATCAATGTTGTTCCTTCCTTTGAGGAGCTTCCAGAGCAGTGGCCAATAGAGGCATAACTATACAAGTGACTGTATGATTGGAAGTTGGGGTCAGAGCTCAAGGGAAAATAAGAGGGTGTTTGGAGAGAAGCCAGATGGGAGTATATAACTTATAATGGCAAAGGGGTCCAGGGAGGTGTCCCTGAGGTGTGACACATAGGTTGAGACCTGAAGGATCCTAGGAGCTGGGGAGGCAAAGAGAGCATGGAAGAGTTCCAGGCAGAAGGACCAGCATGTTTGAAGAGTTTGGTGTACAAGAAAGCTTGGGACATTGGAGGAATGGAGGGGTTGGTATATCGGAGGACTGGAGAATTGGAGGGCTCAGGGCATTGGGGGATTGGAAGGCTTGGGGCATTGGAGGAATGGAGGGGTTGGTAGCACTGGGGAACTGGAAGGCTTGGGCACTGGGAGGATTGGATGGCTTGGGCCATTGGGGGAATGGAGGGCTTGGGGCTTTGGGAGATTGGAGGGATTGGGGCATTAGAGGATTAGAGGGTTTGGGGCATTGGAGGATTGGAGGGCTCGGGGCATTGGAGGATTGGAGGGCTCGGGGCATTGGAGGATTGGAGGGCTCGGGGCATTGGAGGATTGGAGGGCTCGGGGCATTGGAGGATTGGAGGGCTCGGGGCATTGGAGGATTGGAGGGATCGGGGCATTGGAGGGTTGGAAGGCTCGGGGCATTGGAGGATTGGAGGGCTCGGGGCATTGGAGGGTTGGAAGGCTCAGGGCATTGGAGGATTGGAGGGATCGGGGCATTGGGGGATTGGAGGGCTCGGGGCATTGGAGGGTTGGAAGGCTCGGGTTGGAAGGCTCGGGCACTGGAAGATTGGAGGGCTTGGGGCATTGGGAGATTGGAGGACTCGGGGCATTGGAGGATTAGAGGGTTTGGGGCATTGGAGAATTGGAGGGCTCGGGGCATTGGGAGAGTGGAGGACTCGGGGCATTGGAGGATTGGAGGGCTCGGGGCATTGGAGGATTGAAGGGCTCGGGGCATTGGAGGATTGGAGGGCTCGGGGCATAGGAGGATTGGAGAGCTCAGGGCATTGGGAGATTGGAGGACTTGGGGCATTGGAGAATTGGAGGGCTTGGGGCATTGGAGGACTGGAGAGTAGGATGAGGTCCCTGGAACCTTGTGGGTGAAAGGAAGAGTCGCATGAGATGAGGTTGACAAGGTGGGCAGAGAGGCAGCTTGGAGGCCAGGTGAAGACTCTGGGCTGTGATTCTGAGAGTAGCAGGAGTCAGCTCCCTCATCAGGCTGTGTGAAGCTCAGTGACATCGTGGATGTGGGTGTGCTTTGAGGCAATTAAGTCCCTCTTAATGGAAGACGAGGATATAAAAACAGAAGGCAGTGTGTTCTCTCCCTGCGTAGAAGCATTGAGCTTGTAGCTCAGCAAGATACTGCCCATGGTCCTCTGCCTGCCCGGAAGGTCCTTTACCTCTGGCCTCAGCTCACCTTTCTTTTCTCCCATCTCCCCCAACCCCACGTGCCTACATCCCAGGCAGCTGGCCCTGAAGGAGCTGCACCTGGCCCCCACAGTAGCTCCTGAATTTGATCATTCATTCACTCAACATATGTGCATTAAAGCCTCCTGTGTGCTGGGTCATTAAACTGAGCCCTAGAGACCCAGAGACCAGTGACTTATGACCTCACCTACAGGAACTCAGGCTATGGGAAGAGAGACTAGGAAACACATGCAGTTACACAGCCCACCTGATGTTCTGACCCCCGAATACCCTTCAAGGCCTCACTCAAGTTGACCTTCTATGGTAGGATCCTCCCTGCTTATTCAGGGGCCCAGGTCTCTCTCCTCTAAGTGCCTGAAGTAGGGGCCACTTAGGAAAATGATGGCTTTTTTTTTTTTTTTTTTTGAGATGGAGTTTCACTCTTGTCAGCCAGGTGTGATCTTGGCTCACTGCAACCTCCGCCTCCCGGGTTCAAGCAATTTTCCTGCCTCGGCCTCTCAAGTAGCTGGGATTACAAGTGCGTGCCACCACACCTGGCTAATTTTTTTTTTTTTTTTGTATTTTTAGTAGAGATGGGGATTCACCATGTTGGCCAGGCTGGTCTCAAACTCCTGATCTCAGGTGATCCACCCTCCTCGGCCTCCGAAAGTGCTGGGATTACAGGTGTGAGCCACCTTGTCCGGCCAAATGATGGCTCTTATATGGCACTTGTTATGTAGGAAACATTGGTCTAAGTACTTTACATGATCTGACTCCTCCAATCCTCATCAAAGTCCCATTTTACAGATGAAGAAACTGAGGCCCAGAGAAATCACTTGGCTGAGGTCACCCTGCTAGGAAGTGGTGGGGTCTGGATTTGAACCCAGGCTGCCAGGCTCTCAACCTCTATACCGCTCAGCTCCTGGGCAGCCTAGAGTCTGGCAAAGAATTGTTCCAATGCCTCGTATTAACGGCCACACCTGCGGCACGTGGTGGTCTCTAAAGCATCCTTCTATCCAAGAACACGTCAGCAGCCCTGCAAAGCCTATAAGCAGGGGAGACTGGCTCCACTTTCCAGATGAAGGTGGAAAAACCAAAGGGAGGTGAACCCTGATAACAGCACCACCATTTTGGGAACCCTCGCCACGGCCAAACATCTTATATCTGCCAGCTCGTCGGGGCCCTAGAAGTAGGTCCCTGCCTGTCTCTCAGTTGAGGACCCCTGGACAGATGCAGGAGGCAAAGTTAAGGCTGCTCGGCCTCACGCTCTGCACCAGGTGGCAGGAAGGACTGTGGGCTTGGACTGAGGACCTTGGGCAAGTGGCTTCACCTGTGTGAGGTTCTGTTCCTTCAACCATGCAATGGGGCCCATGACCTCCCTCCCCAGAAAGGGCCATCAGGAGTCTAATGAGACGATTTGGTGAGAAGTTCCAGCCATGCCCTGCACACGGCATCAGTGTCCCGCAGTGGGACACGGCTCACTTCACTGCCTCCTGACAGGGTCATCTGAGCTACACTCTATGGTCCTCCAAGCCTCAAGGGGTGTCCTGGGGCTCTCTGAGGTCTCCAGAGTGCATGAGATACTCCAGGTGCCCGAGAATGGTCTGCTCTCTGCTCCACATTTTCCCTGATCGCCCCCACAGCCCAGCCCAGCCCAGGCCCTGCTTCCACCCTGGGTACCTTTGATCTTCTCGCCCTTGCTCAGGGAGATCTCCCCCTCGGCTTGGGCCTGGTAGGACTTCACAGCCATGAAGGAGCGTCCGGGTACCGCTGAGTAGAGCTTCCTCCGCCTCCCGCGGCTGCCCAGGGAGCCCCCGGGGCCCCCTGAGCCCCCCGTGCCCCCGGCTGGCCCTTCCCGGGGTGTCCCGCTGGAGCTGCGTACACAGAGGGCATGAGAGGAGGGGAGGGTGGAGGGAGGGGACACCTCTGGGAGGACAGGGGTCCTTGGGTGGGGGAAGAGGACGGTGCATCAGGGGGGAGGGGGGGTTTCCCAGCACTGGCGTCCTCCAAGGAAGAGGGCATTTGGGGGCTCCCTCTGCCTGCCCGCAGCTGCCCCAACCAGCCCCCTCTCCTGCCTCCTGGCTTCCGGCTCTGCCCCCTCCCACGGTCCTGCGCGCACCGCCTGATTCAGCTTCCTGAGGCTGAGCTGGGACTGTGTCATCCCTCCGCTCACGAGCCTTCCGCGACTCCCAGCTTCCTCCTGGGTCAGGTCCAACTCCTCTGCCCGCCGTTGCCAGCCTCTCCCCCACTTCCTCGGGACACGCCTGGCTGGCCTTCGCCTCCTTCTCACCCTCCTCTAGCCAGGTGGGCTTCCTGACCCCGGAATGTCCCCCGCCCCTTCCTCATCCTCCCTCCAGAGTGACCTCTCTGTCCCCCTCAAGTCCCTGCCACCCCCCCCATCCTCTTCCTGTTCAGCTTCCCTCCACCTCACCCTGTCATTCTGTCTGTCCCCAGGGGCTGGGGCCCATGTTTCTTTGGGGTACCCTCTGCCTGGGGCCCCTGTCCTGGAGCAGACATCCAGCTAACATGTGGTGCACCGGGGGTGGAGTCGGGACAGTAGCTCCCAAGGCCTTGCTTTACCCCAAGGTGACACTAGGGACTTGGATGAGGGCCTACAGAGGAAGGCAGCTGGGCTGGCCTCGGGGGAAGCCGCCGATCTGGAGAGGGGATTTGACGGGGCTGGGGACTGTGGAGCCAGGGCTGCCTCCCCTACCTGGGCCGGCCTCGGGGCTGCCTCTTGGCGTCCTCAGGGTGCCTCCCTCGGGATGGAGAGCGGGCCCTGGCACCCCGGGGGCTGCTGGCACTTCGGAGGGTCCCGCTGCTGAGCTTGGTGGTGGGGGCCGAGGGCTGCGACTGGCCCTGGGACCCTGAGGTAGGGCCAGGGGCCCCAGAGGACGCGGCCCCCGGGGCGGAGAACACCATCCAGTCGGGCAGCGCCATGCTGGTGTCACTGTTGGCCCGCAGCAGCGCCGGGGGCACCGTCAGCCCTGTGCCTGGGGGCCCCCGTCGCCGGGCCGCGTACTTGGGGGACTCCTGGAAGGGCACTGAGAGGGCACAGTGGCGGCGGGGGGCAGATGTTAGGGGAGAAAAGGCAAGCAGGGGGCCATGCGGGGGCAAGAGATGGTGGGAGAGAGGCATGAGGGAGAAAGACAGAGATGAGAAAGGGAGGGGGGCCTGGAATTGCTCCCCCACCACCATCCAGACATTTTTGGTCCTCTAGGGTTTTCTCCATCCTATCCTGGCCCCCAAGTCAGGTCCCCCAACTCCCCCATCCCACCATGAAACCTCAACCGCCCCAGGTTCTCTGTGCAGTCCGAGCTCCCTGTCACTCACCCACATCCTGTTCTCGGTGGTTTCGGATCAGCTCCCCCAGCTCAAAATTCCCAGCAATCACTGCCACCTGGAGGGAGGGGGTAGAGGCAGGTCGGCCAGGGGGGCCCAGGCAGCAGAGAGAGGGCAGGGAACGTGGCGAGGTCCCTGGCCCGACCCAAACCTTCCACTCCGACAATGCCGCCCTCTGTCTTCTTCCAGCTCCCCCTCCACGGCCTGTCTCCTTGCTTTCCTCATTGTCCCCTTCCTTATCCACTGGGTGTCACTGTCACCCTTTCCTTAGCCCTGGAAACTCCAGCACATCCCCTGCAGCCCCAGACCTGGAAGGGGGTCTGTCCGTTGTTGTTCTTCACATCCTTGTCGGCACCTCGATACAGGAGGATCCTGGCACAGGTCTCCTGCGGGTAATGGCCAGTGGCACAGGACAAAGAGAGAGAGAAAAAATTAAGATCACCATGAGTGGATGCAGGTTCTGTGCTAAGAGCCTCAGGAATAAATACTCCACCCTAAACCCGCACCACTGAGGACAGCAGCCACCTGCCAGGTACGGACCAGGAGCACTTTAGTTTAAACGTGGCCGGCCCAAACGGAGATGCACCATGCATGCGAACTACACACTGGATTTCAAGGATATGCCATATGAAAACAAGAAAGAATTTAAATGTCTATAGCCAGGCGTGGTGGCTCAAGCCTGTAATCCTAAGACTGTGGGAGGCCAAGGCAGGAGTTCCAGACCAGCCTGGGTGACATAGTGAGACGCCCCCCGTCTCTACAAAAAAATAAACAGAAATTAGCCAGGCAGGTGGTGGGTGCCTGGAGTCCCGAATACTTGGGAGGCTGAGGTGGGAGGATCGCTTGAGCTCAGGAGTTGGAGGCTGCAGTGAGCTGAGATCAAGCCTGAGTGACAGAGCAGGGACCTGTCTCCCCCCCAGAAAAAAAAAATGTCAGGTGTGGTGACACACACCTGTAATCCCAGCACTTTGGAAGGCTGAGGTGAGTGGATCACTTGAGGCCAGGTATTTGAGCCCAGCCTGGCCAACATGGTGAAACCCCGTCTCTATCAGAAAATACAAAAATTAGCCAGGCGTGGTGGTGGGCGTGTGTAATCCCAGCTACTCAGGAGGCTGAGGTGGGAGAATCACTTGAACCCAGGAGGTGGAGGTTGCAGTGAGCCGAGATCCTGCCACTGCACTCCAGCCTGGGTGACAGAGTGAGACTCTGTCTCAAAAAAAAATAATAATTTCTGTATTGATTCTATGTTGAAATGATAATGTTTTAGATACACTGTTATAAGTAAAATATGTTGTTAAAATAAATGTCACCTAATTATTTTCCCCTTCTCTTTAACATGGCCACTAGGATATTTGAGGGCATTTAGGGTATGTGCTCATGCTATGTTCCACTGGATGTTGGGGCCGGATAATCCTTTGGTGATTCATTGGTTTGTGGAGGGTGTTCTGAGCCCTGTGGGATGTTGAGTAGCATCCCCGGTCTCTACCACTAGATGCCAGTAGCACTCCCCTCCCCAGTCATGACAACCAAAAATGTCTCTAGACATTGCCAAGTGTCCCCTGGGAGACAGAAGCTCCCAGGTTGAGAACCACAGGTCTAGACCTTACGGAGGCTTACCATGTTACGTGCCAGGCGCTTGGCACTTTAGAGGCAGAAGCTCATTGAATTGCCCAACAATTCCAGGACATGGAAATTGTCTCTATTTTACAGAGGAGGAAACTAAGGCTTTCAAAAGAGCCCAAGGTGGGCCAGGGGTGGTGGCTCACTCCTGTAATCCCAGCACTTTGGGAAGCCGAGGAGGGAGGATCGCTTGAGCCCAGGAGTTTGAGACCAGCCTGGGCAACATGGCGAAACCCCGTCTGTACAGAAAATTTTAAAAAATTAGCCTGGCTTGGTGGCACACGCCTGTAGTCCCAACTACTTGTGGGGCTGAGGTGAGAGGATCACTTGAGCCCAAGAGGTCGAGGCTGCAAAGATCCTTGTTCATGCCACTGCACTCCAGTCTGGGTGACAAAGTGAGACCCTGTCTCAAAAAAAAGGGGGGGTTGGGGGGGCTCAAGGTCACACAGCTGGTGATTATCAGCCTTGGATTCGAACCCAGATCTCTCTGACTCCAAAGTCTTCTATCTTAATCACACTTTCTGCCAGGCCCAGAAGGAAGGGGACACACATTGTGGAGGAAAGGGTGGGGGCAGGACTGGGCCAGTGGGGACAGGGATGCCTTCTACATTCAGATCAATTTCTCACCGGTGTCAATCACATGGCACCCATCATCACTTTTTGGGCTAAGCACAAAGTCCATGCCACGGCCTAGGAGGGTTAGGGTTAGCTGAGCTAACCTGAGCTGCCTGCCCTGCCACTCCCCACCCTGACCCTCACCAACTTCATCTTCTACCACCTGCCCTTGCTCCCAGGCTGCAGCCACACTGGCCACCTCCTTCCTCTGACAGCACACTAATGCCCCAGGACCTTTGCACGGCTGCTCCCTCTGCTTGGAATCCTTTCCCGCTAGATCTCAGCATAGCTTGCTTCCTCACTTCGTTCAGGCTTTTGCACAAATGCCGCCTCTTCAGAGAGGTCTTCTCTGGCCATCCTGTCTAAAAAAAAAACCCTTGTCCTCTTCCTTGCTTTATTTTTATTTATTTATTTATTTTTAAAATTTTTTTGAGATGGAGTTTCGCTCTTGTCACCCAGGCTGGAGTGCAGTGACACGATCTCGGCTCACTGCAACCTCTGCCTCCCAGGTTCAAGCGATTCTCCTGCCTCAGCCTCCCAAGTAGCTGAGATTACAGGCACCCACCACCATGTCTGGCTAATTTTTGTATTTTTAGTAGAGACAGGGTTTCCCCATGTTGTCCAGGCTGGTCTCGAACTCCCAACCTCAGGTGATCCGCCTGCCTTGGCTTCCCAAAGTGCTGGGATAACAGGCATGAGCCACCGTGCTCAACCCTTTGCTTTATTTTTTAGTACCACACTGATGTATGTGCCAGGCACTCTAAGCCAATGTTAACTCATTTTCTTCGTAACCCCGTCTCACTGAAATTCCATTTCCTGTTATTTGTCTCAGTAGTGTCTCTTCTCCTCTACACCATAAGTTGTACAGGGGCATGATTTTGCCTGTGGCACCCACCACCTGGATTAATGCTGGACCCACAGGGACTATTCGGTAGAAGGAGTGTCCTCTCCCTTTTATCTTGGCCTGGCCAAACCCAACTTGGCCTCCAGCTCAACTCTACCCCAGCGCCCTCTGATGCTAATTTAACCACCATTTCCCAAGCACCTCCTTGATCTTACCCCTTCCACATGACAAATCCACCAAGGGGTTTGTATGGGCCTATGTTACAGGACAGGTTCAGAGAGGGCAGATGCTACGCCCAGGGCCACACAACCAGTTAGTGGAGCAGTTAGGATTCCAACAACCTGGCCTTCTTCTTCCTTTTTTTTTTTTTTTGAGACAGAGTCTCGCTCTGTTGCCAGGCTGGAGTGCAGTGGCGTGATCTCGGCTCACTGCAGCCTCCACCTTTTGGGCTCAAGCAATCCTCCTGTGCACCTGGCCTTCTGATCCTATGGTTCACCTATCTCCTATGAATGGACGACTCTGACTGCCAAAGTCACACATCGGGCAGCAGAGTTAGCCCAGTGTGTGTTCTGGGTGTGTTTGGGAGTGTGTGTGTGCATGTGAGTCTGTGTATGCCCGTGCTGCTGGCCAACTAGACTGTTAACTCCTGCCATGTGTACTTTTGCGTGTTTTTCTTTTCTTTTCTTTTCTTTTCTTTTCTTTTCTTTTCTTTTCTTTTCTTTTCTTTTCTTTTCTTTTCTTTTCTTTTCTTTTCTTTTGAGATGGAGTCTCACTCTGTTACCCAGGCTGGAGTGCAATGGCGCGATCTCAGCTCACTACAACCTCTGCTTCCTGAGTTCAGGCAATTCTCTGCCTCAGCCTCCCAAGTAGCTGGGATTACAGGTGCCCGCCACCATGCCTGGCTAATTTTTGTCTTTTTAGTAGAGACAGGGTTTCACCATCTTGGCCAGACTTGTCTTGAACTCCTGACCTCGTGATCCGCCTGCTTCAGCCTCCCAAAGTGCTGGGATTACAGGTGTGAGGCACCGCGCCTGGCTTTTTGCATGTTTTCACAGCCCCAACACCCACACTGGGGGCACAGGGCCAGAGCACAGCCCCTAAGGTCACCTGCTCCTCATCCTACTCTTACAAAGCTGAGAAGGTGTGCAAGTCAGAGTTGATGGCTCCCTCCCCTGGGCACCAAGAGAAACTCGCATTTAACGGCATCCTAGCACTTATCTCATGTCGTAGCCATGATTTGCTTACACGTCTGCCTCCTCACCAGACTGTGAACTCCCACCCCCCCCAACCCCGCCCTCGCCCTCCCCAGGCCAGATGCTGTGTCTGATTCATCTCACATCCCCAAGGCCTGGTGCTGTGCACATAGTAGGTGCTCAAGGAACGTGCATGGAAAGGATGAGGATGGAGGATGTGGGGTTGAGTCAGTCAAAATTCATTTGTTCGAGTCATTCATTCATTGGTTGAGTCATTCAGTCTGTTGAAACAAGCAAACACCTGTTGAATGCTCTGAGCCAGGCACTGTGCACAGTCTTGGTGGAAATCCAAGAGGGCTGACCCCATCATTCATTCACTCATTTTCATTCATTCATTCACTCACTCAACAAAGATGGAACTAGGCCTGCTGTTTGCTGGGGTCCTGGAACAGAGCAAGTAATCAGACTCAACCCCCACCCTTGAGGTGCTCACAGCCTAGACACGGATCTGACATTCACCACCAAATGCTAGACGGGCATATCAGGAGGCCAAGGCGGCAGAGGCTGAGGAAAAACTGTCAGACTCAGCCCTGGCTCTTGGAAAGCTTAAAGCCTGGGAGGAAGACAAGGGGGGAAATGGAGGAATCAAGTTCGTATGTGTTATGCATCGGTTTGTTAAGCCCATGGCAAAGGCAAGCAAACCTATTAACCCACTTGATCCTTTTGCATGGTAGATATTTATTTATTTATTTTTTTGAGACGGAGTCTCGCTCTATCACCCAGGCTGGAGTGCAGTGGCATGATCTTGGCTCACTGCAAACTCCGCCTCCCGGGTTCACGCCATTCTCCTGTCTCAGCCTCCCGAGTAGCTGGGACTACAGGCGCCCGCCACCACGCCTGGCTAACTTTTTTTTGCATTTTTAGTAGAGACGGGATTTCAGCGTGTTAGCCAGGATGGTCTCAATCTCCTGACCTAGTGATCCGCCCGCCTCGGCCTCCCAAAGTGCTGGAATTACAGGCGTGAGCCACTGCGCCCGGCCTGCATGGTAGATATTAATTATTGACCCATTTCACAGCTGAGAAAGGAGATCAAGGAGGGGAAAATGACTTGTGCAACTGTCCCACTAAGAAAACTCTGCCTGCTGTCTAATTCTAATTTTTTTTTTTAAGGCAGGGTCTCACTCTGTCACCCAGGCTGGAGTGCAGTGGCATGATCATAGCTCACTGCAGCCTCCACCTCCCAGGCTCAAGCAATCCTTCTGCCTCAGCTGCCCGAGCAGCTGGGACTTCAGGTGCATGCCACTGTGCCCAGCTAATTTTTGTATTTTTTCATAGAGACCAGGTTTTCCCACGTTGCCCAGGCTGGTCTCGAACTCCTGGGCTCAAGCCATCCTCCTGCCTTAGCCTCCCAAAGTGTTGGGATTACAGGCATGAGCCACCGTGCCTGGTCTAATTCTCTATACCAAAATTTCTCTGTTTATCTGAACGGTACAGTTTCTGTCTCTCGACTGGACCCTGACTGACACTGGTGATGGTAACAATGACAATTATTATTCTGATGGCTGCCTTCCAGGGATGAGCACTTAGTATACACGATGGCTCACCCTCGTCAATAAGAGCTGGCGTTATTCCCATTTCAGGAAGAAGGATGGAGCCTCAAAGAGGGGGAGGGACTTGTTTGCTCCCCACCCCCATCTGCCTGTGGGGCCAGGGCTTCTTCCCCATCAGCTGCACGAGGGCCTGGGAGTCAGAGGATTGGTTGTGAGGCCTGTGTCGCAGAGCAGGAGACAGGAGCACGTGGGGAGAGAAGTGCCGGCACCATGTTGGTTCGGTTTGACAAACACTGAGTCTTCCCTGGGCTCCAGGCATACTGCTGGCTGCCACAAGGCGGCACGTGGCCACCCGCCAAATCCCCAGCACTGCAAGTTCTGCCGAGGCAGAGGGGGCTGAGGGCTGTTTTGGAAGACTTCCTGGAGGAAGGGGGCTGACAGACCAGCTCTGTCATGCTAGCGCCTGTCTCTCTAAGTACCCCCACCAGCTGCCCTTCAAGGGCAGGAAGCATCAAGAAACAGGTGGGGAGATTGAGGCTTTCCATGGGGCTGACCTGCCCAGGATCATCTGCAGCTCAGGTGGCTAAAGTACCAGAGGTCATGACATTGAAAGACCCGGCTCTTGCCAACCAGCTGCCACGAGCCCCCCTGCCTGCTCCGTACCTCTCCTCTCCTAGGAACTCCAGAAGTGGGGGTGTTCTTCCCATCTCCCTTCAGCACTCCCTTCCTGCTCAGGGACCCAGGTTGTCAGGACCCCCAAGGTCCTGAATTGCTAAAACTCCCATCCCACTGTCATTCCCTTCAGGGGCCACGGGGGCTGCACGTTGGCCTTTCCCCTGTGCCCTGCCGTGCCGCCACGTGGCACCTGCACACACCACTGGCTGAATGCAGACACAGGGGAACTGAGGACCCACAGCCCCCTTTCCTCTGGCTTTCTGCACAGGCTGTGCCCCCACCCTGGAGCACCCCTTTCTCCTCTTTTCTACTCCTGCTCATCTTAACACTGGGGGCACCTCCTCCAGGAAGCCACCTTCACCCCCAGCCACTCCATCCCAAGCCCAGTCCCAGATGTGGGCTCCCGCAGGGATCTGGATTCCCTGTGACTTTGCTCTGAGCACTCTGGACTGTAGCAGCAAACTATGTTGTCTGCCCTCTGCTAGGCCATGAGCTCAACACTTTGTCCCCAGCACCCAGCTCCAGGCCTGATACAGAGGAGCTCAGTAAATATCTGTTGGATGGATGGATGGATGGATGGATGGATGGATGGAGGAATGAATGGAGGAATGACTGGATGAAAGGGTGGAAATAGTGAAGAAGTGGAGGGTGCAGAGATGCAGTCAAGAGGAGTGTCTGAGCTTGGCCCTGGGGGAGGCGGCTATCGGGGATGTGAGGGGCCTGGGGTGGCCGCTGCTAGGCAGACCTTGTTGTAGAGGGCGCAGATGTGCAGAGCCGTGTTCCCCGAGGCGTTCTGGGCTCCAGGCTCAGCCCCGTAGAAAAGCAGATGCTCCAGGTGCTGAGAGTGACCCCGCTGGCAGGCCTGGGCAGGACAGGGAGCGAGGGGCATGGATCAGACCCAGGCTGTTCTCCCTCTGGGCCAAGAGTCTGTCTATGACCTGTGCACTGGCCTTCTCATCCTATCGTTCACCGCATCCACCTCCCCATCACCTTTTAGCCCCGCTTCCTGCTCTGGGACCCAGGCTGTCAGCCTCAAAACCCAAATGTTCAGTCATTCCAAGGCCCAGGCGTCTGGTCTGCCTCCTTAAGGGGGTCAAGAGGACAGCCCATCCCTCTCAGGGGTCAAGGCATCAGGTTCCCCAGCCTATGCCCCCTTAGGGTCTTTCTGCCTTCACCCCCACCATTTCCTCTTTGGGGACCATGTTATTCTCACCCCCATGCTCTGTGAGGACCCTGGCATCTGGTTCCCAGCCCCAGCCCCTTGGATGCCTCAGGGACTGGGTCCCCCACCCCAGCCCTTCATGGCCTGAATCAGGAGCACCTGGTGGATTTCCTGCCAGCCGTTCTCATCAGCTATGCCCAGCTGGGCCCTGTTGAACAGGAGCAGCTCGCAGCATCGGGGGTCACCACCCACCATGGCCGTGTGGAACAGAGGGGTCAGCCCCCGACGGTCCTTGTAGTTGGGGGAACCCCCAAGGTCCAGGAGCGCCTAGGAACGGAGAGAGAACCCAGTAGAAAAACACAGATGACAGTCACACATTAACCAGCTCATTCTGAAGGGCCAGGGGGACTGGACCGTCCTGGGTGACCTACAGTGGCCAATGACAGTCTCAGTTCTGCCGTGATGCCCTTGTGCAACCTTGAGCCTGGCCCTTTCCCTCCCTGGGCCACTCTGATTCCGTGTGAACAATGTGGGACTTGGGTAGATGCCTCCAGAGGACACTTGCACTCTGACATCCCACCCAGCCTTCCCCCTGGGGGCGATCTTGGATGAGCCATTGAAAGACATTAGGGGCCACAGTACCCACCCATTCCACTTCCTACAGGTGGGTTGTTGGGGACAAGTGAGAGGACAGAGTCTGGATGCTGGAGGGTCTCTGACCAAGTGGGAGGTGTTATTAGGTCCAGGATCTCAAAGAAGGGGCACAGCAGGAAGCCAGGGGACAGGTAAGCTTGGGTAAGGGCAAGGATCGGGCCGGCCTCACTGGGGCTGGAGGCCACTTCCTGCCCCCACTTGAAGGACAGCTCTGGGTGTGGAAGGCTGGCAATAATGAACATTAATAGGAGAAAGTCTTGGCAGCAACCTCGTGTGAGGACAGCCTGTAGCAGTGCCACCCAACAGAACGTTTCCCCCATCATGGGGATGGTCTGCAACTGCACCACCCTATATGGCAGGCACGTGTGGGCCCCTGAGCACTTGAACGTGGCTAGTGAGCCTGAGGAACTGAAATTTTAATTTTACTTCATTCTATTTAATTTAAATTTAAACAGCCCCAGGTGGCCAGTGGCTACTGGCTTGGATAGCGCAGGTCTGGAGGCTGGGAGGGGCGTGTGTGAGCAGGATGTGGGTTTGGGGGTGAGTGTGCATGGGAGATACATGAAGAGGATCTGTTAACTCCAGGGGTATACTGCAGATCTTTGTGGCTGGCATCTGACTGCATTAGGGGCTCTTCAGGAAAGCATCTGAGGGAGAGAAGGGAGGGGCCGTTTAGCTGGAGCAGCTGTGCGTCGGGGTGCTTCTCAATGGCTGTCTTTGGGGGCAGCCCATCCTGACCCTCATGTGAAGAGCAATCAGGTGTCCTGGCGGGGGCAGGGGGAGAAGAGTATTTTAAAATTAGACTGTGCAGCTGCCGCTGTGTATGTATTTTGTGGGTGTATGGGTTTGTCTATTTGGGAAAGTGCATTTGAGGCTGTGTACGTGGGGAAGGGGCTGTATTTGCATGTGAGAGAGGAGGGAGGGGAGCTGGTGCAGTGCTGGTTTGGAAGGGTAGCTGGGGGGCTGTTTTCAGGGTGTGTGTGGAGGGGCTCTATCTGGGGGCATAGCAGGGAGCTCACTTCGTATTTTAAGGAATGAGAAGGGTTTACACCTTGGGGAGACAGAGGCAGATTTGGTATTAAGCTGGGCCACAGGGGATGGAGACGTTCTGGGTGTTTAGGGGAGGAGGCCGTGCCCGGGTCTGTGTGATGTCAGCTATAGCCCAGGTGGGTGCATCTGGGGGGCCTGACAAGGGTGACAATAGGGGCTGTGTCTCAGTCTATGGAAAGGGGCTTTGAACTGGGGACATGAGAGGGCCTATTTTTAACTGAAACCAAAGAACTGAGGTTTGAGAAAGAACAAAGGGAAAAGGAGAGAGGGCCCCATGGCGGGGATGGGGGGTCCCCGAAGCCTCACCGTGAGTGCCAGGCAGTGTCGGGCGCATGCGGCCTTATGCAGTGCGGTCATGCCATCCCGGGCCCGGAAGTCAATGTGGGCCCCGCCCAGGCACAGGGTTCGAATCACCTCTACAGAGCCTTCGGTCTGGGCCGCCAGTGTCAAGGGGGTCTCTGAAGGGCGGGAAAAGCTGGTCACATGAAGCCCCTTCTCCTCCCCTCCATCCCTTCCCATTTTCCAGGCTCTGCAGCTCTCCACCCCACAGCCTCTGGCCCCGTGGCCTCCCCCTTGGACAGCAATGTGTTTGGGAGACACCAGTCAGGAATGGATGTGAATGCAGATGGCACCCCTGCTCCCCAGCTCTGTCCTGGCCCTGAGGTCCTCCTGATGCGCACCCCTCCCTACCTCCCGAATCCGAGTCATGGTAATTGGGGTCCAGCCCCTTGTCCAGCAGCCGCGCCACCTTGTCAGATGTCCCGAGCTGCACATACTCCAGGAACTTCTTCAACCCCGTCTGAGCCATGGGCAAAGAGAGAGAAGACAGGACAGTCAGGAGCAAGGCAGAGAAGCAGGGTCCTCAAGCAGCGACGTCCAGTGAAAATATACGTGGAGTCACATACGCCATTGAAAAGCTTCTAGCAGCCTCCTTTACAGAGAAAATACCCAGCCCTTTGGGAGGCCGAGGCGGGAGGATCACTTGGGCCCAGGGGTTCGAGACCAGCCTGAGCAACAAAGTGAGACCCTTATCTCTACAAAAAATGCAAAAAACTAGCCAGGTTGTGGTGGCACACGCCTGTAGTCCCAGCTACTCGGGAGGCTGAGCTGGAAGGATCCTTTGAACCCTGAAAGGTTGAGGCTGCAGTGAGCCATGATTGCACCACTGCAGCCCGGGTGACAGAGCAAGACCCCGTCTCAAAAAAAAAAAAAAAAAAAATCAGGGTGGTTGGGGGTGAAGTGTTAGTTGTGTTGAAATTCGTGTTAATGATATATGTTATTTAACTGATATAGCTACAATGTTACTGTTTCAACAGGTAATTGAGATGAAAATTATTAATGAGGTTATTTAACTTTTTTTTGGTACTAAGTCTTTGAAACCCAGTGTGTATTTCACACTCACAGCGAGTCTTAGTTGGGACCAAACACACTGCAAGCACTCAGGAGCCACACTTGGCCAGTGGTTCCCAAAGTGGACCGTGAAAGTCTGGAGGGATGGAACATTTAGGGGAGGAAAGAGTTCAATGCATGCTGTGGTGGGGAGAGGGTAGACAAGGAGGGACTGGGAGTTTTTCCTTCTCAAGGATCAAGAGTTCTTCATTTCTGACCAAAGCAGTTCCCGATTTCCTCCCAGCTCTCACCATCGAGACACAGGACAGACAGGGGCTGAGGACTGGCGGGCAAGGTACCAGGAGGACAGATATGGCTGGAAAGGGGGGTGTAATGGTTGGATTTTGCAGAGATTCAGGCTATGAGGTTGGGAGAAATGTAGCCTGTCTTTGAAATAGACTCTAGGCAGAAGGACCTTCAGTGTCAGGGTCCTAGGCCAAGGTGGGGAAGTAAAGAGGCCTTGGATGGATATGGGGGGAGGCAGGGGAAGAGAAGGGAGACTCAAAGGAGGCCAGGTGGGAATGATGTGGGCCCAGGCAGAGGGATGAAGGGCAAAAGAGGAAAGTAAGAAGGGGTTGTGATGGGGATAATGGGGGGTATTTGTGGTTGTCTCAAATGTGGTACAGCATCCCAAGTTAAGCGGGGGCAGTGGCCAGAGGGATCGCTGGCTTGGGGAATGTGGAGGTCTATTGGGAAGAGGTGGGGAGAGAAAGTGGTTGGGTAGGGGGCTCCAGTGGTAGGGGGCTATAGGGGATAGATGCCAGCAGGGTTTTCTCACCTTCGTGTGCAACTTGGCCAGCTGCTTCTCATCCAGGTTGGTCTGTTTGTAAACTCGGGTCTTGTATCGGAACTGAGGTCAAGGGTAGGGTAGTGAGAGAGACACAGAGACTTGGAATCAGGGGCCTGGGGAGAAGGCTTGGGGTAGGGGAAGGTCTGATCCCCTTCTAATTCCCCGGGGTAGCTCAGGGTGGGAGTGAAAACAGCCCTGGAACCTTGGTCTAGGCGGTAGATGGGTGGCAGTGGCTTTTCCGACAGTGCTGGGTATTATGGTATATGTGCACTGCAACCCCTGCCTTGAAGGAGGAGGAGTCTGGACCCCACAGGGAATGTTCTAGAGTGCCTACTGTAATTGGGAATCCTCCCCCAATTTGATGGGTGAGGAGAAGCTTGGGGCAGGAAAGTGACTTGGCCAAGGCCACTTAGCTGGTCAGAAGCAGAACAGATGGTAATTTGAACTCAGGACTCTCTGACTTCCCTGTGATGCTTAGAAGGTCTGGACTCGCACACTGGGTGCCCCCTCGTTAAGGTTTCGAGTGTGTTAAAAAGTGGGTGGGGGGCAGATGTGTTTTAGGGCATGCCTTCTCTTATCAGTGAAGGAGTTGGGGAAGCTTCACCTCCAGGTAGGGGACCCCCTTCTCAAAGGACTGGGGGTACTCCCGCAGCAGCCTCTCCTCCTCCAGGAAGTTGGCATCGCGGCCGGAGGTGGCCGGTTGGAACAGGCCATAGTTGAGCACATCCTGCAGGCTCTCGCTCAGGGCACAGAGCACCTGCTGCTTGGCCGTCCAGATGGTGGCATCGGGGTTGAAGCGAAGGCATTTCTGGTTGGGGAAGAGATAGGGGCTAGGGTGGGCCAGGGGCCAGAGGAGAGCCTGAGGTGGGTTGGGAAGTGAGCCAGGAGCTGAGTGTGGGGGTGATTCCTGGGAGGATACCCAGCACCAGTGGACTCCCCATGTCGGTTGGGGCACTGTCCCTCTCCTGCCGCTGGCCAGTGGGCAGGTACTCACTGTCTGGTGCAGGTCCGGGATGCCAATCCTGAAGACCATCATGCTGAAGTGGGCGTCGTCTGGGACGGACATTGAGCGGCCCTGGAGGCCTCTAACAGAGGCCAGGCTACCAGGTGCCCCACTGCCCTGGCCCCGGGTCCCCCGGGGGCCTCGACCTGGCCCGTCTGGGGAGCTGTCGGACTCTGAGCCCCCCTCGGGACACTCGCTGGCACTGTGGCGTTCCTCGTCCTCGCTTGTCGCGGGGCTGTGGGTCATTGTGGGGCCACGGGGCGACGGGGGACGGCAGCATCACAGGCGGCTGCAGGGGCCAAGGGCGGCCATCAGACTAGGAGCCCGGGACCCCTCAGAGGCCGCAGGCGCTATTCGGTGGTCAAGCGGTCAAGGGCAGCCTACCCCCACTGCCCAAGATAGGCAGGAAGGAGGCTGGACACACCCTCGGCCTGCACGGCCTCCCCTGCCGCCTCCTCCCACGCTGGCACGCACACACCCCTGTCCCTGACATGCTTCTGGCATGTGTCTCCTTCCCTGCCCTTGGCCCCGCTTGCAGCCCGCCCCCTGCGCCCCACTTTGCTGGTGACCCAGCGTGGCCGTGTCCCAGAAACCGCAGAATCACCGCGGGAGCTACTGGCCCACTTTGCCAGGCCACAGAAAATGCAGCTAAAATTAGCTAAGGACAGACAGGTGGACAAACTGACAGGCATCCTGCCCTCCTGGCCCCAGCCTGGCCCCTCATCCCAGGGCCGGGGGGTGGGGTTGGGGAGAAGCTGAGGCTGACACTGAGATGTAGTAAGGGGGAGAGGGAGGTGTGGTGAGCCTGGAGCGGGTGGAGCTGGTGACTTCACTCAAGTGTGGCTGACAACGCGTGGCATGCCGAATAGTGCTGGGGAATCTGCCGTCCCAGGGGAGCAAGGGGCACTGAGATGGGGGTGTCATGGGCAGAGCATTTGGCCTAGGGTGTCCCCAAGGGAACCACAAGAGGTGGCTTTTGGAGACTGGGGCATCTTGAGAGGGTGTGCGGGTAGGTGGGGAGGTCGGCCTGGGGAGTGCTGTCCAGGTGACAGTGGTGTGGTGGCCCGGGTAGATGTGGGTGGCTGCAGATGACCTGTAGCTCTTTTCTAGGACTGCAGGGTGGGTGGGCTGGCTTGCTGGGTACTAGGGGCTCCACTCTGAGGACTGGGGGTGTTAGGAGGGAGGCTAAGAAGTGAGAGGAGGGTCTGGGGAACTGAGTGGGGGATCATCTCTAGATCCTTGCTGTTCTCCCTTGAGGTGGCCTTATGAGGGTGGAGCCCCTTCCAAATGGGGTCCGCCTCCCTTCTGTTCTCCCCCAACTCCCACCCCAGCACCGGAAACCAGAATGTCTGGTCTGGTCCCTCCCCCCAACACCAGGCCCGGTTCCTGCACCGTTGCCATGGAGATGGGAAGCAGTGGAGGGTACTGCTGACTTTGGGGGAGTGGGGATGGGCTGGGGGGTTGGGAAAGGGAAGACTAAATGTGTGTGGTGGGAGGAGAGTTCCAGGAGGTGTGGGCGAGCGAGCCTCTAACCCAGGGCCGGCGGACCCCTCCCCCACGCGCGGCAGCGCTGCGAAGCCCCCTCCCCCTCCAGGTACCCAGCCACGCCGCCCCACCTCGTCCCTGCGGAGACCCCGGCTGCCTCCTCCCTGCCCCGCCGCACAGCCCACCTCGCGATCTGGGGCCCGCAGACACTCCCCCTCGGCTGACCCTGGCTGACCCCCAGCCTCAACCCCGCTCGGAGGGGGTGGCCGGTGGGATGAAAGAAAAGCTGGCTAGGGCCCCCCGCGCGTACGGCTGCCCCAGCCCCCCCGGGCCGGCTCCGGCCCCTCCCCCTCAGGGCTCGCGGGAGGGAGCGGGCACGCTCCGCCGGGGCGGCATGAATCAAACGCTCCGCGGCTAAGAATAGCTGGCACGCAGCTGGTACCGAGACGGGCTGAGGAATCGGCGAGGGGGGTGGTGGAGGACGCGAGAGAGGGGGTGCCCTGGGAGGCTGTGGGGGGACAGGGGGCGGCTGGCGTGGCCGAGAGCGGGGCCGGGGAGAATGAATGGAGGCGGAGGGAGGCGGGGAGGGGCGGGGAGAGAGAGCCGGAGCCGAGGCTGGGAAACTGGTGGGGGAGAACCCGGCCGGGGAGAGGGGCGGGGGGCACCGGGGAGCAGGAGTCGGGGGCGGGAGCCGAGGGGGCGCGCCGGCCGGCGGTGTAGGGACTGGAGACCTGGTGGGGACGCAGGGAGCTTGGACAGGGGTGGAAAGGGACTGGAGGAGCCTGGAAGGAGAAGCGGGAGCTGGAGGGGTCGAAAGGGGCGGAGGAGGCCCGGGCCTAGACCCTCGCTGGAGGGGAGTGGGGACCAGGGTGACCTGGCGGAGGGGCCCAGGTACGCCAGGGAGGGCGAGGCGGGGGAGTGGCCGGGCTGGGCGGGGAGGCGGGTACCAGGACCGAGCCCTTGGCCCCGGAGAGCCGGGAGGCGGGTTCGGGATAGGGGCTCTGCTGGCCGGGGGTGGGGGGCGCGCCCTCCCATCAAGGATGCGATCTGGGACGGGGCACCGGGGACCCGGGCGTAACCCAATTTGGTGTCGCCCAGGGCAACGCTCCCCACCTCACCCGTACCCCCAGCCGCACACCCAGGCCAGGAGCCCGGCGCCGGGCCAAGGACATCCGGGGCGCCCTCGCCCCCTCCCGCGGCCCCGGCCCCGCAGCTGCCCCAAACCCCCAGGTTCTCGACCCCCTTACCTGCCTGGCGGGGCTGCTGAGTCCCGGTCGGCGGCGCCCGCGGCCCCTCCCCCCTCCCCCCACCCCCCACCCCCCCGGAGACGGGGACCCTCAGGCCATGCCCCACCGCCCCGGAGGGCGAGCGGGCCCGGGGAGGGGGCGGGCGGGGACCGGGGGGGAGGGCGGGAGGGCCGAGGACCTCACCCCCCCCGCGGGCCGGGCCTGGCCATCCGCAGAGCGCCCCCCCTTCCGCCGCGGCCGCCGCGCCCCTCCTCGCCCGCCCCCGGCTCGGTCCGGCCGGCTCCGGGCGCCGCGTCTCCGCCTGCTCTTCCTCCTCCTCTTCCTCGGGCCGCCGCCGCCGCCGCCCGCTCCGCGCCTCCTCTGCCACCCTTCTCGCTCTCTCGCTCTCGCTGTCTCTCCCTCACCCTGTCTCTCTCCCTCCCTCTCTCCCTCCCTCCCCTCCCTCCGCCCTCTCCCCTCCCTCCGGGAGCCGGCGGAGGAGACATCGCCCCTCCCCGCGCCCCCAAACCTCGCCCATCCCCCACCACCGCCGGCTCCGCCCCCTACCCTTGCCCTCCCCCACCACTCCTCCCCACCTCCGAGTCCCCAAATCCTGACTCCGCCCCTGCTTGCTCCCATACCCCGAGGAAGGGGTCCTGCCCCCATAAGGTGCCCCCCCACACACACCTCAGGACCACCCCCTCCCAGAGAGCTCCCCGCCGCCCTACACAGAGTGGGGCACAATAAATATTTGTTGCCAGACTCTACACCCCCAAATTTAAGTGTGAAGGCTATAGATTCCCACCCTGTCCCCCCAAACACACACACACCCTTTCCATTTAAGCACTGGGTCAGGGCACACGTGGACATACCTGGGCCAGGCCACATTTCCCCAAGGCACAGGTGCATAGTCACCAGCTGTAACGGCACCTGCAGAGTCCCCACATACACACACTCTCCAGCGCATGCATGCCCAGACACAATGCACCTGGGGTACACAGCTACAAACACACCCAGCTACATGCAGTTGTCACACCCCTGTGCCCGGGCACACACGCAGCACATGCACACATTTGCCCACCACACACGCACGTGCGCGCGCACACACGCACACAGGCGTTCACCCCGGTATGCATGCCCAGATCTCTCAACACCAAAACGGAGTTACAGCACTGTAGAGACGTGTGCACGCCTTCCCATCACACCCACCCACCGTGCTGTCCATTGCACTGGCTCGCACTCACCCGTTTACATGCCCAACACCGTGCCATCCTTCCCCTCCAGGATAGTTACTGCTGACATTCCTGGAGCACTTTCTGTGTGCCAGGCTCAGGGACTTTCGCCATCCCCATTTTCCAGAGGGGGAAACCAAGGAACAGAGAGGCTAAGTAACTTGCCCAAGGTCATCCAGCTGTAAGGAGGTGGTAACAAGGATCAGGAACAGGTAGGCTGGCTCCAAAGTCCTCACTTGACAACTATGGTGCACTACTGGGCATATCCCCTCATAGTTGCATATCCTTATTCATCACACACAGACACACCCAACCGTCTCCTCAGAGTTTGCACATGTCTGTGTAGGCACGCATATGCAGCCAGCTGCAGGCAGACAGCTCATTCATGCCTGGGACGCACCCACAGGGACAGAGCAGATCCCACAGGGCAGCAGTGAGTGGTGAGTGTCCCCTTAGCCCAGGCTTCCTCATTCTCCCAGCTCCAACAGCACCTCCAGGGCCTGCAGGGGGCAGTTCTAGGCAGCTTCTGGGTTCCCCTCCAGCTGCAGGCTCTCCGGGGTACCCGAGTATGAGCTGGAGGAGGTGCCTGCTCAGCCTGGGGAGGCCTCTATCTTGATGCGTACCCACTAGCCCAGGTGGTGAGCAGCTGGGCCCGGGGAAAGCACAGCTGCCCATGTTGGCTCCAGCAGCCAGAGAGGCTGTGCACCCCTGCACACTTTACAAGGCCTTTCCCCACATACGCATTATTTCTTGAGGTCTGTAGCTCCTGGTGAGGGGCCCCAGGTTCCCGATGGGCACCTGAGAGGCCCAGGCTCTGAGGCAGGGAGCAGTCTGCCCAAGGTCACAGTGCCCTCGATGTACCAGGATTTCTTGGAAAACGGAAGGCTGGAGGCACTGATTTCCAAGGCCCCTCCTGGGGCTCCCGGCAGCCGAGGGCAGATGCCCTGCTCTTGGAGCCAGAAACCTTGGCTAGCTGCCGCCACACTGGTGACCTCCAGCAGGCTATGCTGTTTCAGAGCCTCGGTCTCCTCCTTTGAAGAGCAGGCCCAGTGATCCTTGGCTGGTGTGCCCCATGCTTGTTGGCACCACCAGCCAGGCCTGGGCGGGAAAAGCCCTGCATGACTCATGGGCCTGACATAGAGGGGCATGGCATGGCATTGTTCTTCCTTGCCTCCAAGCCTCTCTCCCACTGCCCTCACCACCTCTACCTACCCTGCCACCACCACCCTGGGAACTTGGGTGCCAGCAAACCAAAGAGGTGAAGCTTCCAGGCCTTTGACCCCACCAGGAACGGCTACCCTCTCGCCCACTCAACAGGTTGATTGAACACCTACTATGTGCTAGGTAGGCCTTGTGCTAGGAGATGCATCAGTGCATAAAAATCCCTGCTTTCATTGGCAGGGAACAGACATAAACAAACAAGATCATGCCAGTCTTGATTATACCAAAAAGATGAAATGGGGCATTTTAATAAAGTAACTTGCGGAATAGATAAGGTGGTTGGGGAAGACCTCCTGGAGCTGAGACCTCGATGATGAGAAGGAGCTGGGGAAAGAGGCTTCTAGAAGGAGGAAAGGGCTAGTGCAAATGCTCTGAGGTTGTAATCAGCTTAGTATTTGGGGATGAGCCAAGAGGCCAGGGAAGGTGGAGGCTGGGGGTGGGTGAAGGGAATGGGGGTGATGAGGCTGCAGAGGTGCAAAGGGTTCTTCCTTCCCAGCCCCCAGCATGGTAGGCTGCGCTGAGGACTGAGGCCCGGGCTTGGCTTCCCTCCTGCTTATGATGGGAAGGTGGGGGAGCAGGGGAGTGGGGAGTGATGTGATCTGATTTATGGTTTGGAAGGATTGCTTTGGCTGCGGCAAGCAGCCGGGATTGGAGGGGCTCAGGAGGAAGGAGGGGGAGGGCGAGACTGCAGTGGTCCAGGCTGAAATGAGGTGGCTTGCTGAATGCTCAGAGCTCCTTGAGCACACAACCTAGCGTCTGTCGATTTCACCTCCTGGAGAAACCTTCCCTGACTGCTCCGCCAGACTCCTCACCCTCTCCCATCTCCAGCCCCCTCATCCCCGGAGCTATCTGGCTGCTGGTCTGCAAGCAGCTGGAGTCCCCAGCATCACCCAGCCCACAGCCTGGCCTGCAGGAGGCTTCTAGTAAAGTGGCCAATTAATCCCCGAGCCCCGTCTTCCAGGGTCATGCACACAGTCACACGCGTGCTCTTCACATGTGTCACCCTGCCCCCACACACACTCACTTGGATCTCCAGACAAGGGCTTGGAGGGTAGGATGGGCAATCTAGGGGGCAGGAGGGGCCCTGGAGTCTCCTCCATTGAGTGTGCAGGCGATGGTGGCCACAGGGTAATAACAACCTCAGCGAGACCCTGAGGTCTGCCCCTCCTTAGGAATGGCCAGGCAGGGAAGAAGGGAGCAGTGCTCGGTCCCAGCATCCCACCACTGCCGAGATGGTTCTGAGCGGGTTCCTGGGCTGAGGCCGGGGCCTGTGTTTTCCAAGATTCCTTGGAGAGCCAGCTCCATCCTCTTCCTGATTATCTGATCTTTGGGCTACAGCAGAAGGAAAGAGCAGGGCGGAAGCGAGCTCTGGAAAGTGGAAAGAGGAGGGTGTGCGAGGAGACCCAAGGCGGGATCTAGGCTTTGGAACGTTGGAGGTTTCCGGCCACAGAGGCAGGGCCTCCGGGGAGCCAAGAGGGGCGGGGAGAGACACACACAGAGAAGCAGAGGAGACCAACGGACCGGACAGAGACGAGGAGAGGAACAGGAAGAGAGAAGCTGGGAGAATCGGGAACCTGGGGGCTAGTGACCTGCACACAGGGCAGGGGCACTCGGCAGTTCCCAGAGGCCACCCCTCCCACCCCAGACATCCAGACATCTGGAACTTTGGGTGCCAAGAGTCCAGCTTAATGCAGGCAGCCTGGCTTTTGGGGGCTTTGGTGGTCCCCCAGCTCTTGGGCTTTGGCCATGGGGCTCGGGGAGCAGAGAGGGAGTGGGAGGGAGGCTGGGGAGGTGCCCAGGAGGAGGAGCGGGAGAGGGAGGCCCTGATGCTGAAGGTGAGCTCTGGAGTGTCAGGGAGCTATGGGTGGTGAACTGTGGGTCTGGGAGGGGGTATTGCAAGGTTAGGGAAATGGACAATGAGGAGCGATTGGGATAGTCTCAGAGGAGTGGGAGGGTGATGGGCTCAGAGACAGGACTCAGGCAGCAGAGAATGAGTTATGAGTTGGAAAGGGGTGAATGGGGCATCTTGGTGGCAGGCTGGGGCTCACCACCCCTCCCCTGCCCCAGCATCTGCAGGAAGCCCTAGGACTGCCTGCTGGGAGGGGGGATGAGAATCCTGCCGGAACTGTTGAGGGAAAAGAGGACTGGGAGATGGAGGAGGACCAGGGGGAGGAAGAGGAGGAGGAAGCAACGCCAACCCCATCCTCCGGCCCCAGCCCCTCTCCCACCCCTGAGGACATCGTCACTTACATCCGTGAGTAACCAGAAGCCCTCACCCCCAAACTCCTAGGCCGCCGCGGTCACTTTCGCAAAAATGAAGGGTCGGTTCACTGCCAAGTGGCCTTTCAGTTGTCCATTGCCCAGCCCAGAGCCCCCACACCCCTAGGAGCCCCAGGTCCACGGCCATGCCTCCTAAAGGCCTGGGCCACTCGACCCTACCTTCCAGGAGTCCGGGGTGCCCCCCCCACCGCCACCCCGCCCTCAGGAGCCCTAGATCCCAGTTCTCCAGGTCCTCAGGCCCCCCGCTGCATCTCCAGGCTCCCCCTCCAGCATGATCCCTGTCTGTCCGCAGTGGGCCGCCTGGCCGGCCTGGACGCAGGCCTGCACCAGCTGCACGTCCGTCTGCACGCGTTGGACACCCGCGTGGTCGAGCTGACCCAGGGGCTGCGGCAGCTGCGGAACGCGGCAGGCGACACCCGCGATGCCGTGCAAGCCCTGCAGGAGGCGCAGGGTCGCGCCGAGCGCGAGCACGGCCGCTTGGAGGGTGAGTCCGCGGCGCGCGGGGTGGAAAAAAATGAGACTATCTGGGCCAGGAATGGGACTGGTTGAGAAGGTGACCCTAGGTGTCCGGGGCGGGAGAGTTCGGGAGAGCTGCTGTGTGCTAGCGGACGGGGTTAGAGAGCTGGGAGGCTGAATGCAGGGAGCGGGTGGGCACTCCAGACCCGCGCGGACCCGACTGGGGCAGCACCACGCCCCCTACAGTCCAGCTCCCACCGCCTGGCCCCGCCCCTGGCGGACCAGACTCTCCACCTCCTGGCTCCCGCGGTTCTGACCACGCCTCCTCCCAGCCCTCCCCATGAGTTCCTGGCCCCGCCTCCCTCCACCCCCGGATGTTTTGTCCTCGCCCCCTTCCAGACTCTGAATGCATGACCCCGCCTCCTTCTCTACCCGGCCCCGCCCACAGGCTGCCTGAAGGGGCTGCGCCTGGGCCACAAGTGCTTCCTGCTCTCGCGCGACTTCGAAGCTCAGGCGGCGGCGCAGGCGCGGTGCACGGCGCGGGGCGGGAGCCTGGCGCAGCCGGCAGACCGCCAGCAGATGGAGGCGCTCACTCGGTACCTGCGCGCGGCGCTCGCTCCCTACAACTGGCCCGTGTGGCTGGGCGTGCACGATCGGCGCGCCGAGGGCCTCTACCTCTTCGAAAACGGCCAGCGCGTGTCCTTCTTCGCCTGGCATCGCTCACCCCGCCCCGAGCTCGGCGCCCAGCCCAGCGCCTCGCCGCATCCGCTCAGCCCGGACCAGCCCAACGGTGGCACGCTCGAGAACTGCGTGGCGCAGGCCTCTGACGACGGCTCCTGGTGGGACCACGACTGCCAGCGGCGTCTCTACTACGTCTGCGAGTTCCCCTTCTAGCGGGGCCGGTACCCCGCCTCCCTGCCCATCCCACCACCCGGCCTTTCCCTGCGCCGTGCCCACCCTCCTCCGGAATCTCCCTTCCCTTCCTGGCCACGAATGGCAGCGTCCTCCCCGACCCCCAGTCTGGGCGCTTCTGGGAGGGCTCTTGCGGTGCCGGCACTCCTCCTTGTTAGTGTCTTTCCTTGAAGGGGCGGGCACCAGGCTAGGTCCGGTGCCAATAAATCCTTGTGGAATCTGACTTGAGGGGCAGTGAAGGCAGTCTTGGACTTTATCTCCTGCAGGGGAAGCCGGGAAGGGCCAGACCCTGGTCTTTGGGCGCGTGTCCTGGCCTTTGGATGCCTGTTCTGCTTTTTACAGATGTCATTTGAGCCCCAGATGGAGTGATGGAGAAACACAGGTGCATATGTACACACGGTCATCTGTTCTGTGCACAGATGGCCGGAGTACACGCGTACAAACGCTGTAGACACCTTCACCTCCATCGTGCCCTCTCTCTCGGCCTTTGGGACCCAGGGCCTGCCAGTTGTCCCAGGCCTTGGTCTTGGTCCTGGTCAAAGAGATTTGGGAAACGTGAAGGGGCTAAAGGCTCTGACAAGTCCGGCAGGAAAGAGCCCGTTTAATTTGTTTAAGTGGCGTGTCCAATTTGTTTCCCCAGATGATATGGTTTCATGGACTTGTTGGGATGATATATTGAGACATGGACTTAAGGACTCACCCAACCCTGAAGCTTAGACTTCCTCCCAATTTTCCCTCCTCTGCTTCCTGCCAGTGAGGCCAGGAGCCAGTCCCTTCCCCTCTGTGAGCCTCGGGTTTTTCATCTGAACGTGGGCACAATCCCTCCTACTTTGTGCGGCTCTTGGGATGTTCAGGTGAGACCAGGACAGTGTGCATTTGGTGGTGGCTGAACTTGAGCCACACACTACCTTCCGTCCTCACCTTTTTTTTTCCTTTTTTGAGACACGGTCTTGCTCTTTCGCCCAGGCTGGAGTGCAGTGGTACAATCATGGCTTACTGCAGCCTCAATCTTCTGGGTTCAAGCAGTCCTCCCACCTTAGCCCCCCAAGTAGCTGGGACTACAGGCACGCCCCACCACACCTGGCTAATTTTTGTATTTTTTTATAGAGGTTGGTTTTCGCCACGTTGCTCAGGCTGGTCTTGAACTCCTGAGCTCAAGCAATCTGCCCTCCTGGGCCTCCCAAAGGGCTGGGAATACAGGCATGAGCCACAGTGCCTGGCTCTCCCTCACCATTTTTCATACCTTTACTCCCTGGGGGCAGTGAAGACACCCAGGAGTCCGCCAGCCGGGGCCTCAGCATAGTGGCCAGCTCTGTCTAGAGGAGAGGCTCTTTGGAAATCACCCTAGTACCTCCCCCAAGGTTGGCATCATGGGCGTGACCCTGACATCAGGGAGCCTAGGAATGGGGATGTGACCCTGTCTGTCCTTACCACTCTGCCCCTTCCCTTCCTTCAGCCATTGCACCACTGCCTAAAGGGTGACCATTGGATCCACACATGGGAGGAGCAAGCCATCACTGTCAGCTTGGATAGAGGGGAGATCACCCACCCTTCTCCCTTCAGGAGACATTTCTCAGCCCCACATCCCCAGAGGAATACAGAATAGGAGAGTGGGGGTGTGGCCTGGAGTCAGCCTTCCATCAGAAATTCTTCTCATGCTGAGCTTCAGTTTCCCCGGGGAGGGATAGGCAGCCCTAGATCTTATAGCCAACCAGAGGTCAGATTAGGCAGACAATGATGAGTATCTATTATTTCCCAGAGGGGTCTCTGCCCTGGCAGAGCTTCCATTCTGGAAAGTATTTGGGCATGGTACACCATGGCTACCCGCCCAGATTCTAGAGCCAGATGGCCCAGGTTCCAATCCTACCTCAGCCACTTATCTCCTGGGAGAACCTGAGTGAGACATAACCTTGCTACTTCTCAGTGTCTCCATCTGTACTGTGGGGATAATAACAGTATTGATCTAGAATAGTACCAGACACAGAGGGGTCTTTGCAGTTCCCAGATCTGAGCTTCACCAGGGCAATTCAACCTCACCTTCATCTCTCTGTACTCTCTCCTGACACTGTGCTTTTGTATATGCAAAGATCTCCATCCTCCCTCCTCTCTAGGGTAAACACCCACTTCCAAGAATTGGATAACACATCACCCCAACAACCAGCCCTTCCCCCAGCCCCTTGCGGGGTTAGGGATCCCCTTTGGTATCCACAAACCCCTTGTTCCTCTCTTGACCCAGCCCTGATCAGACAGGCTGAGGGACACTCCAGGTGCGTGGGGGAGGGCAGGACAAGGTATGACTATCTCTGTCCCCAGCATCGCCTGGCATATGGGAGCCCTTTGAATGAAGATGCTTGTGTGGCATCATGCAGGGGACCCTGAGATGAGTCGGATCTCGGCTGCTTTTCCTCCCTGGCCTCCCCAAGGCTGGGTGAGGCACCTTCTCTAGTTTCCCGTAGGGTCCAGGGCTTTCCACATCACTTTAGGTGCCACTGTCTGGTCTGACAGACAATGTCTGTCTCCCTGGCAGGGCCTGGAGCTATCATACCAAGCACAGGGCCAGCTGTGGGCATGCAGAGAGAGAGGTCTGAAGTGGGGAGTGGCGTGCCTGCAAGGACGGTTTATGCATCAGAACAGCACGCCTATATGTGGCATTCGGCGCTGATTCCTGACTCTGGTCTGCGTGGGAAACCTACTCTCTCCTCCAGGAAGCCCCCCCAGACTTCCTGCGGGCCAGAGTTTGCCAATGTCCTCTCCCTGGCTCTCTGCGGAGCGCTGGTAGTGTGCAAGGCCAGAGCCATGGACCAGGGGAGGCCTCGGCAGCTGATTGGAATAGATGCATTAAGGGATCCCAGGGAAGTAGTAGAACAAGGGCAGGAGGCCTGGGATGATTCGACGGAGGAGGAAGAACCAGCGGCCGCACGGGCTTGCAGGGCGATAAAGCCCAGGAGGCCGAGCAGCAGGCGCATCACCGCCTTACCAGCACCACGTTTTTCCGCAGTAACCGGATGACTCCTACGGGTCACCTCGCAAGCCCCGCCCCCTCCTCCCATGTGAGGTTCGCCTGCCTTTCCCCGCAAGCCTGAGGGCCACGCCTTGGCGGTGAGGTCGGAGCTCCGCAGTCTCCAATCAGAGCTCAGACCCCTCCTCTCCACCCAGGCCTCGCCCCGAGGTACTCTGGAAAATGTAGTCCTGTCACGCGCCCACGGGTAGGAAAACCCCAAGTCGCGAAGCCTTAACATTCAACTCACGTTTGGATCTCTCAGACGAGAGTTTTTCAAAACAGGTGCATTTCCTTGGGTAGATCATAACCACTTTTTAAAAAGTGAAAAAAGTTCGTATGAAATATTAGTATCATAGAAAATGGTAAGACGCTTTTCAAAATTTAAACGTCGATATGCTGAATTAACAATATAAAATTCAATATAAAATTTCTTTGTGGCTAACCACTGGTCCAAACCAACTTAGTTTCTTTCTTTTCTATTTATTTTCAGGTTCTGTTTTTTTTTTTTTTTTTTTGAGACAGAGTCTCACTCTGTCGCCCAGGCTGGAGAGCAGTAGTGGCACAATCATAGCTCACTGCAGCCTCGACCTCCTGAGCTAAAGCAATCCTCCCGCCTCAGTTTCCTGAGTAGCTGGGACTACAGGCGTGCACCTTAAAAATAAACAAAAACAAAAAACAAAAAAACCAGACAATTTTAATTTGGAAATAATTTTAAACTTATAGATAACCTACACAAATATAAACACTGGAGTACAAACAAATCCTCTACTCTGATTTGTTTGTTAACAGTTTACCTCATTGCTTTGGCTTCATCATTCCATCTATCCATCCATCCACCCACCCACCCACCCATCCTAGCCCAATCATCAGGGACAAGCAAGACAAAGTCAGGTTTGTTGACCCACTGAAATGAGAGCGATCAGCCCCCAGAGGAGAAGCTGCAATCAAGTTATAGGATTTGGAAGAAGAGAGAAATTTGGATGAAATTTAAGTGAAACAATGTTTAGCTAGGTTTAGAACAAGGTAGGAATGTGTATAAGGGAGTCAGCATCAGGCCTGGGCCGCATACAGTAGCTCATGTCTGTATCCCAGTGCTTTGGGAGGCCAAGACAAGAGGATCGCTTGAACCCAGGAGTTCAAGACCCGCTTGGGTGACATCTCTATGGAAGGAAGGGAGGGAGGGGAGGGAGGGGAGAAAAGGGGAGGGGAGTGAGGGGGGGAGGGAAGGGGAGGAGAAAATTATCTGGGTGTGGTGGCACACGCCTGTAGTCCCAGCCACTTGGGAGGCTGAGGTGGGAGGATTGCTTGGGCCCAGGAGTTTGAGGTTGCAGTGAGCTATGATTGTATCACTGTATTCCAGTCTGGGTGACAGAACGAGATCCTGTCTCAAAAAAAAAAAAAAAAAAAAGGAAATATCAGATTTGGACTGCAAAGTGGACCTAAGGTCTTGTTTCCCTGGAAACTACAATGTTAATATAAATGTGGCATGCTGTGCCCAGAAACTTTTTATTTAAAACTCTGCACCAGGGCTGGAAATGGAGGCTTCTTATCTTTGTCAAAGTGACAGATCTTCCAGGAAAGAAAGATGAGTCTGTTTCATTCTTACGGATAGACTTTCATACCGCAGAGTTTCCCACAGTCTATGATTTTAGAGAACAAAGTTTCTCAGTGAGTAAGATAGCAGTAGTCGCTCATAAAGGGGGCTGTTAGAACACTTTTACTGCTGCAGCTCGCCCCTGGGTGAAATGTGTCCTGTTAACCTTGCGGTTGGCTTTATCTCAGTCTATAGATGAAGGGCAGGCCAGATTTTTATAGTATTAGCTGGCTTTAGCTCATATATATATATATATAATTTTTCTTTTCTTTTGCTGCCTTTCTTTTTCTTTCTTTCTCTCTCCCATCTTTCTTTCCTTTTTCTTTTGTCTTTTTTTTTTTTTTTTTTTTTGAGATGGAGTTTTGCTCTGTCATTCAGGCTGAAGAACCATGGTGCAATCTCGGCTCACTGCAATCTCCACTTCCTCAGTTCAAACAATTCTCCTGCCGCAGCCTCCTGAGTAGCTGGGACTACAGGTGCCTGCCACCACACCTGGCTAATTTTTGTATTTTTAGTAGAGACAAGGTTTCGCCATGTTGGCCAGGCTGGTCTTGAACTCCTGACCTCAGGTGATCCACCCGCCTCGGCCCCCCAAAGTGCTGGGATTACAGTTGTGAGCCACCGCGCCCAGCCAGTTGTCATGTCTCTTTAGCCTCCTTGAATCTGGAACATTTCCATATTTATAATATTGACATTTTGGTGGCCGGGCGTGGTGGCTCACGCCTGTAATTGCAGCAGGTTGGGAGGCCGAGGCGGGTGGATCACGAGGTCAGGAGATCGAGACCGTCCTGGCTAACATGGTGAAACCCCATCTTTACTAAAAATACAAAAAATTAGCCGGGTGTGGTTGCAGGCGCCTGTAGTCCCAGCTACTCGGGAGCCTGAGACAGGAAAATGGCGTGAACCCAGGAGGCAGAGCTTGCAGTGAGCCGAGATCACGCCACTGCACTCCAGCCTGGGCAACAGAGCAAGACTCCGTCTAAAAAAAAATTTTATATATATATATGCACACACATTTTGGAAGAACAGCTCCTTGCCCTTTTAAAAATAGAAGTTCCACATTTTTAGTCGGTCTGATGTTTCCCCATGATGATTAGATTCAAGTTATACATTCTCCACCAGAATAATGAGGTGAGGTGTGTACTTCTTTGAAGGTATCCCATCTGGACATAGTCAGTGTCCTACTGTGCCTCATTAGTGAAGTGAGTTTTCATCACCCAGCGAGCTGATGTCCCATTCCCCAGCTCTATAATACTCCTTTGCAGCTAATAAGCAGTCCAGGGGCAGATACTTTAAGACAGGCAGTATCTGCCTTTCATCAAAATTTCCCCCTTGATTTCGCACCCATTGATGATTCAGCTGATGTGGGCTTATTATGAATAACAAAAGATGCTCCTGGCCTGGTAGGGTGGCTCACGCCTGTAATCCCAGTACTTTGGGAAGCTGAGGCGGGAAGATCACTTGAATTCAGGAGTTTGAGACCAGCCTGGGCAACATAGTGGGATCTTGTCTCTAAAGAAAATATAAAAATTAGCCTGGCATGGTGGCAAGAGCCTGAAGTCCCAGCTACTTGGGAGGATGAGGTGGGAGGATTGCTTGAGCCCAGGAGGTCGAGGCTGCAGTGAGCTGTGATCATGCCACTGCACTCCAACCTGGACAACAGAGGGAGACCCTGTCTGAAAAAAAAAAAGACAAGAAAAAGAATAGGACGTTACTGTTAAACGCCTTCTCCCATCCCCCTCGCCAGTACCTACCATCCTGACTTGTGTTTCGCCGTTGCTTGATTTTCATTATTATTTTAGCATGTGTGTATGTTTCCCAAAAAACATCTTATTTAGTTTTGCTTGTTTTTTGGGCTTTGGAGTAATAATACACGTATTCGTTGTCTCGAACTGCCCTTATAAAGTACCACAGGCTAGGGGACTGAAACAGCAGAATTGATCATCTCCCAGTTCTGGAGGCTGGAAGTCTGGAGATCAAGATGTTGGCACGGTTGGTTTCTTCTGAGGCCTCCTTCTTTGGCTTGCAGACGGCCGCCTTCTTGCTGTGCCCTCATGTGGTCCTCTCTGTGTGCACATCCCTGGTGACTCTCTGTATGGCCATATATCCTCTTCCCATAAGGATGAAGTCCAATTGGATTAGGGCCCACCCTAATGGCCCCATTTAACCTTCACCACCTCTTTAGAGATCCTATCTCCAAATACAGTCATGTTCTGATGTACTGGGGGTTAGGGCTCCAAAATATGAATTTTGGGGGCTGCATTTCAGCTCACAACCATATCTTACTGTATGCAACTTGCTATTTTTTTTTTTTTTTTTGAAACAGAGTCTCGCTCTGTTGCCCTGGCTGGAGTGAAGTGGTACGATCTCAGCTCACTGAAACCTCCGCCTCCTGGGTTCAAGCCATTCGCCTTGCTTCAGCTTCCCAAGTAGTTGGGACTACAGGCACACACCACCACACCTGGCTAATTTTTGTATTTGTACAGATGAGGTTTCACCACGTTGACCAGGCTGGTCTCGAACTTCTGACCTCAAGTGATCCACCCGCCTCGGCCTTCCAATGTGTTGGGATTACAAGTGTGATCCATTGCACCCTATCAATGCAACTTGCTTTTTAAAGACAAACTCCTATCACTAAGATGCGTTCGTGATGGTGCCTGTAGCTTTTGTTTGCACATTTTTCAGGGGTATGGTATGAAAATGCTTAAAAATAATGTGGGGAGAAATCGATGAAATGGATGGGGGAAGAAAAGAAGATTAACAAAACTAAAAGCTATTCTAATTTTTGAAAAAGCAACTAAGACAGACTTACTTTTGGCAAACCGATTAAGAACAAAGAGACAGGCTGCAAATAAAATACAAATTGTAAAGTGGTGAATAATTACAGCCAGGACAGAGATATAAAAAGTAATTATATTATGGCTATGTGCTAACATTAAAAACCTGAATGAACTGGTTAAATTACTAGCAAAATATACAATGCGAAAATGACACAAAATTACAGACTGAATAAGCCAGTGACTATTGAAGAATTTGAAATTATATTCAGAGATCTCCCCTCTCCCCAAAAAACCCCCAGGCACAGATGGTTTTCTAAGCAAGTGATACCAAACATTCAAAGAATGTTTAATTCCTATCTTGTATGAATTATTCCAGAAAATCGCTGGAAAATTATGTAATAACTGCCTGATTCATTTTTAGAGACTAATGCAATGTTGAATCCAAAATCGGATAAGGACCAGATGCAAGAAAATTATAGATTCATTTCGCTTGTGAATGAAGATGTAAAAATCCCAAATCAAATAATTGCCACTTCAATCCAGCATATCATAATTCTTCATGATCAAATAAGATTTCTCCTCCTAATGCGAAGATGGTTCAAAAATTAAAAAAAAATTCTTTCAATATAATTCACCATATCAGTAGACCAAGGAAGAAAATATAATGATTTCAACTGATGTGGGAAAATAATTTCATAAGGCTGTACATCTATTTACGATTAAAAGTTAAAACACTCCACTTTGGGAGGCTAAGGCAGGAGGATCGCTTGAGCCCAGGAGTTTGAGACCAGCTTGGGCAGCACAGTGAAACCATGACATGGTGGTGTGTGCTGGTGGTCCCAGCTACTTGGGAGGCAGAGGTGGGAGGATCACTTGAGCCTGGGAGGCTGCGTGGTTTTGAATTGCATTTCTGTGATGATTAATGGTGTTAATATTTTCCTGGACATTTAGCCCATTTATATATCTTCTCTGGGAAATGTCTGTTCAGATCATTTGCCCCTTTTTTGTTTGGTCGTTTTATTTTATTTTTTGAGACGGAGTCTCACTCTGTTGCCCAGGCTGGAGTGCAGTGGTGGAATCCCGGCTCAGTGCAGCCTCCACCTCCCGGGTTCCAGCGATTCTCCTGCCTCAGCCTCTCAAGTAGCTGAGATTACAGGCACCCACCATCGTGCCCAGATAGTTTTTGTATTTTTTAGTAGATATGGGGTTTCGCTATGTTGGCCAGGCTGCTCTCAAACTGCTGACCTTAAGTGATCTTCCCGCCTTGGCCTCCTAAAGTGTTGGGACTACAGCTGTGAGCCACCACGCCTGGCCTCACCCATTTTAAAATTGGGTTACTTGAGTTCTTTGCACATTTTATTTTTTGTTTTTGCTTTTTGGAGGGTTACTGTATACATCTTAATTTATCAGAATCAGTTTCAGATTTATACTAGCTTTATTACAGTGAGATATAGAATGGTTATTCCTAGATAGTTCTATTCCATTTCCCCTTGTTGTGGTATCATTATAAACTTTTTTTTTTTTTTTTGAGACGGAGTCTTGCTCTGTTGCCCAGGCTGGAGTGTGGTGGTGCAGTCTCAGCTTACTGCAACCTCTGCCTCCTGGGTTCAAGCTATTCTCCTGCCTCAGCCTCCTGAGTAGCTGGGATTACAGGCACCTGCCACCACGCCCAGGTAATTTTTGTATTTTTAGTACAGATGGGGTTTCGCCATGTTGGCCAGGCTGGTCTCCAACTCCTGACCTCAGGTGATCTGCCTGCCTTGGCCTCCCAAAGTGCTGGGATTACAGGCATGAGCCACTGCACCAGACAGTAATGCATTAAGCTTTGAATACCTAAGCTCAAGAGTTGACATCAACCTTTCCCCACAGATAATTCTGGTGCTTGTGAACTAGTGGTCTCCGTAGATGTTTGCCACCAAGAAGGTCCTGGGGACTCGCAAAAACAGTCTGTGGGAGATGGATATGTGAGTCTGCTTCTAAGAGGCTCTTTGGCCGCCTCTGGCACACGGGGCCATCTCTCTCCTGCTTGCCCTCTGCCCTCTTCTCTCCCTCCATTTTCCATAATTTCAACAAAATCAGTTAATATTTACAAAGCACTGAGAACAGCACTTGGGACTCAGTAGGTGCTAAAAAAAATCATCAGCTGCTTCTTTTTTTTTTTTTTTTTTTTTTAGACAGAATCTTACCCTGTTGCCCAGGCTGGAGTGCAGCAGTATGATCTCAGCTCACTGCAACCTCTGCCTCCTGGGTTCCAGCAATTTTCCTGCCTTGGCCTCCCAAGTAGCTGGGATTACAGATGCCTGCCACCACACGAGCTAAGTTTTGTATTTGTAGTAGAAACAGCATTTCACCATGTTGGCCAGGCTGGTCTCGATCTCCTGACCTCAGGTAATCCACATGCCTCGGCCTCCCAAAGTGCTGGAATTACAGGCATGAGCCACCATGTCTGGCCCATCAGTTGCTATTATTAGCATTATTCCTTCTGGGGAATGTTTTAGATACTGCATTTCATGGACTCTAAGAAACTCCACTTTTATGGTTGTTACAAAGAAAGAAAAGTGTATACTGTCTATAAGATGCAACAATGCTTCCTTACCACTTGGAATTTTTATTTCTTATTTACTGAAAGAGCTTTTATGGGTGTATTTATTGCGAACAATAAAGGAAAATACAAGTAAAATAAAGGATTCCTAAAATTGTTCCACAATTGAGATCCTTTTTTTTTGTTTATTATGGAAAAGTTATACAAAAATTAGCTGGACATGGTGGTGTGTACCTGTGGTCCCAGCTACTCGGGAGGCTGAGGTGAGAGAATCACTTGAGCCCGGGAGGTCGAAGCTGCAGTGAGTCGTGATGGCGCCATTGCACGCCAGCCTGGATGACAGAGTGGCGGGAGGGAGACCCTGTCTCGAAAAAAAAAGAAAAAAAAAGGTTGCGTGTAAGAACTAAAAATCATTACTGCTGGGCTCTTGATCCAGCTTTGCAATTAGAGGAGACAGTTTATTGCTGACTTCTGTTTTCAGAGCAAACACCAAACACAACTTATTCCCCACCAATTCCCCCTGACCCACCCAGGCCCACCAAGTTGGTTCCCGGGGGCTGAGAGTGCCCCACTCTTGTCTGCTGGATTTTCTTCTGGGCTGTGGACACCCCTTCTGCAGGTTTTCATGCCTTTCAAACAGCAGTCGTATGGTGCCAGACGTTGAAAGATGCCTTCCGGTTTCAGAGGCGTCAAGATATGGGAAAAGTGGCTTCTTAGAATTGATCAGTTACGATGTGTTTTTCAAAGGTGGCGTCTCCTTTACTGCAGGCAGTTCCTTCTCTAAGGGAGAGCTTGTGGGATGATGGTTGTTCTCCCCAGGCTCTACTCTGCCTGGATTTGGGCACTGCTTATTGCCAAGCTGATATCCTAACTAATATTTTCAAGTGGGCAGCCTGGTTTCGGATACTTAATTTCTAGCAGCATTTCCCCTGCTGCCACGCCATCTTCAGTCTTTTAAAATTGTAGTACCCTGGGAAGAGTTTATGGCATTCTTACCCAATTCCTTCTTGGCGCAAATTTAAGGTTTTTTTGTTTGTTTGTTTTTTTCCTTCCCTAAGTGTTTTGCTATTGCAATGTCAAACTAAATAAGAAACACAGAGAGGCTTCCAAAAGAAAATATGTTATCTGGGAATAGATCACTGCAGTGGGAAATGCATGTCATAGTAAACTATGTGCGTATGCAGGGAGGTAAAGGAAGAAGAAGGTTTTTAAAGGGAAAGAAGAGGAGGATTACATATTGTTTCGAAATAATTATCCTTGGCTGCAAAGATCGATAATAAAGGTGACACCAGTCTGAGGGTGAACAGGCAATTGTGGGGGAGATGTCCTTGAGTATTTTTGGTGGCAGGTTGTGATGGCTTTTGTGCCAGGTTGTGGTTTTTATAGAGTCTTGTAATAGGTGTTGTTGGTTTTTGTTTTTGTTTTTGTTTTATTTTGTTTTTGAGATGGGGTCTCACTCTGTCACCCAGACTGGAGTGCAGTGGTGTGATCTCAGCTCAATGCAGTGCAGCCTCCAACTCCTGGGCTCAAGCGATCCTCCCACCTCAGCCTCCGGAGTAGCTGGGACTACAGGCACATACCACTATGCCCAGCTAATATTTGGTATTTTTTGTTGAGATGGAGATTCGCCATGTTGCCCAGGCTGGTCTCCAACTCCTGGGTTCAAATTGAGCCTCCCTCCTCGGCTTCCCAAAGTGCTGGGATTACAGGCATGAGCCCTCATACCACGCATGTGATAGTTTTTGTTATCAAGCATACAAGCATGATAACCCTCTCTTCGTGGCTCTAGTTGTCAATGTTTAAAAATATTAGTACCTAGGGATGGGTGCGGTGGCTCACACCTGTAATCCCAGCACTTTGGGAGGCCGAGGCGGGCGGATCACGAGGTTAGGAGATTGAGACCATCCTGGATAACACGGTGAAACTCCGTCTCTACTAAAAATACAAAAAACTAGCCAGGTATAGTGGCGGGCGCCTGTAGCCCCAGCTACTCGGGAGGCTGAGGCAGGAGAATGTCGTGAACCCAGGAGGCGGAACTTGCAGTGAGCCGAGATTGCGCCACTGCACTTCAGCCTGGGCGACAGAGCGAGACTCCATCTCAAAAAAGAAAATAAATAAATAAATACTAGTACCGAGGGATGGGCGCGGTGGCTCACGCCTGTAATCCCAGCACTTTGGGAGGCCGAGGCAGGCGGATCACGAGGTCAGAAGTTTGAGACCAGCCTGGACAACATGGCAAAACCCCGTCTGTCTGTACTGAAAACACAAAAATTAGCTGAACGTGGTGTTGCTCCCAAGTAATTCCAGCTACTTGGGAGGCTGAGGCAGGAGAATCGCTTGAACCCGGGAGGTGGAGGTTGCAGTGAGCTGAGATCACGCCACTGCACTCCAGCCTGTGCCACAAGAGTGAGACTCCGTCTCAAAATAAATTAAATACATAAATAAAATAAAGACAAAAATGTTAGTACCTCTATTTTGATTTTGGTGATTTTTACAATAAATAGTGCTGCAAATGACACCTTTGGGGATGAAGCTTTTGTCCGTGTTTAGGATTTTTTCTTTGGTCTCGATTCCCACAAGTGGACCCCAAGAAAGAAAAGATCTTGTTTCTGTCACTCAGAAGGTCCTGACAACCCTACAACCGAGCAGGAGAGAGGCTGCCCTGGCCTGCCGCACCGCCCCGGGAATTCCTGTGAGATTGTTCCCTGGTTGTTGATGGACGGGGTTGGATTTTGATTTCTTGTGTGCGGGAGCGTCTTCCTGCCATGATGGTTGGCCACTCCCTCTCTTTCCGATTTGCAGATGTGTCTCCTTGTCTTTTGCCCACTTGCCTACTGGAATCCAACTTTGTTGCTTTTCTGTGTGGTTTACATGATAAGATTATTGACGCTATTTCTGTCACAGGGGATATAAGTTTTTTTCCAAGTCTATTTCTTGACTTATAATTTTAGTGTGAGTTTTGTTTTATACACAGAGATTTTAATTTAAAGGCTGTCAAATCTGTCTCCTTAATATGAGAAAAAAGGAAAAAAATTAGCATTTTTTAAATAAAGGCATAATTTGCATACAGCACAATTCACCCTTTTTAGGTGCAGTTCTGAGGTTTTGGCAAATGCACGCATCACGTGACCACCCCGCAACCAAAACACAGAACAGTTCCATCACCGCAAATTCCCTCACACCCCGTTACGGCTCAAGTGTTCAAAACATAAGAAAGCTAAAAGAATAGACGTGAATAGGCAATTCTTTTCTCCGGGTTGCTCTATGTTTTAAAAGATTGACCCCCAATTTTTTTGTCTTTTTTTCTTGAATAAAACCGAAAATGCCAAATTTCAGGGGGAGGAATTGCAGCTCAAACTAAAATTGGTAGTTAAAGAGTCCCCTGCCATCCTTGTTCTTCCCTCAGATAATGAGAATTGTTAACAAGTTCCTTCCTTTCCCTCCTTCCTTCCCTCCTTCCTTCCTTCCTTCCTTCCTTCCTTCCTTCCTTCCTTCCTTCCTTCTTTCCTTCCTTCCTTCCTTCCTCCCTTTCCTCCTTCCTTTCTTTAAATAGAGATGGGTTCTCACCATGTTGCCCAGGCTGGTCTCAAACCCATCCTGGGCTCAAGTGATCCTCCTGCCTTGGCCTCCCAAAGTGCTGGGATTACAGGCATGAGCCACCGTGCCCACCTAAGTCTTTCTTTTGAGGGCTTTCTCTCTGCCTTTTATTTCTCTTCACGTATTCATTCACGCACCAGGCACAGGTGGAGCCCCGCCATGCACGCCCGCATCTGTGCGTGTTCCACAGTGTGCACCATTCCTGGGCTCCCTCATGCATTTCACCTAACAGCATCATTGTCACGTTCTCCTCCACCATAGCACAGAGCGTCTAAGGGTGCCACCCTCTCCCATAACTAGAGACACATGAGTGACAGCAGCAATGAGCTGTCCCATCTGCTAGTCGTCGACACAGAAGAGCCAGACTGAGAGAGCTGGGTGCCAATCACACCACGCAGGGACAGGCTGTCTGCCCAGAGGAGGCCGGTGGTGTCCACACCTGCCTCGCTGGGGCCGTTTCAACACAAATCTTCCAGCAGTTCTTAACTGAACGTCTGACCTACCGACTCCACTTTCGGGAGTTTATCCTTTGGTGATATTTTCTCAAAGGGCCAATAATCACAGTGGCTCACAGAAAAGAGTTCTCCGTGTTTGCCGGATATCCTGCTGAGAATTTGACACTTTGATCTCATTTAAACCCTGCAACAACCTTGAGGTGGGTGCTGTTGTTACTTCCATATTAGAGCGGAAGAAAAGGAACTCAGAGAGATGACTTTACTTATCCAAGACCACCCAGCCAGGCGGCAGGGCTGGGAACCCAAGCATGAAGTGAAATAGCCCCGCCCTGGACTGGCTGGATGGTAGCCACAGTCTACATGTGAGTAAGACACTGAATTTAAGAAAAGAAATCACTTTATTAAGATATAATTTACATACCATGCAATTCACCCACGTAAAGAGTAAAATTCAACGGTTGTTGGTATATTGCGTTATTCATTTTTAACATTATGTTAATGTGTGGCATAAAATTTCCATTGAACCGTTTTTAAATGTATAATTCAGCGGCATTAATTACATTCATAACGTTGTGTAACCATCACCACAATCTATTTAAAAACTTTTTCATCCCCCCCAAACGGTAACTCTGTAACCGTTAAGCAGTAAATCCCCTTTCTCTCTCCCCCATTGCCTGATGAAGTAGGAGGTGGGACTAGACTCTGGAGGTGGGACTTGCACTCAGGATCAAATTGAAGACCAGCTGAAACAGGGAAGAGGGGAAAGCGCTTCTCCATAAGACACGCCCACCAGTGCCATGTCAGTTTCCCGTTGCCATGACAACACCCCGACGTTAACACCCCTCTCCATGGCAGTGACTTGATGACCTGGAGGTTACCACCCTTTTTCTAGTCACTAGTGGATAATCTGTACCTTAATTTGCATATAATTAAAAGTGGGTATAAGTATGGCTGCTGGGCACACTGCCTATGGGGTAGCCTTTCAGGCAAGGAGCAGTACCCGTGTCGCTGCTGTACACTGCGGCTTCGATAAAAGTTGCTGTTGGTTAGGCATGGTGGCTCACGCCTATAATCCCAACTAGGAGGCTGAGGCAGGAGGATCACTTGACATCAGGAGTTCGAGACCAGCCTGGCCAACATGGTGAAACTCTGTCTCTACTAAAAATACAAAAATTAGCCAGGCATGGTGGTGGGCACCTGTAATCCCAGCTACTCAGGAGGCTGAGGCAGAATTGTTTGAACCTGGGAGGCAGAGGTTGCAGTGAGCCAAGATTGCAGCACTGCATTCCAGCCTGTGCAGCAGAGCAAGACTCTGCCTCAAAAAAAAAAAAAAAAAAAAAACAAAACAGTTGCTGTCTATACTTTCTGATGACAGGTAAAAAGAAGTTGCTGTCTAACACCTCCAGCTCACCCTTGAATTATTTCCTGGCCAAAGCCACGAGCCCTCCCAGGCCAAGTCCCAATTTGGGGTCTCACCTGTCTAGCATCCCTGGGACAACAGTAGGAGCCGCTTGAGCTTGTGGCTTCTCCTCAGCAAATATGGGAAACAGAGAAAGATCTGGAATCAGACAGAGGTTGGTGTCATTTCTGCCTGTTGTAACCTGTCATCTAGGGCAGGTCCCTCTCTTCCTGGGGCTCTCAGTCAGGTTCTGTACAAGGTTCTCACCCTCCCCACGGAAGGAGGCTGCCAGGAGGAGCCAGCAAAGCTATTCAACTTGCAGGGGCTCCAGAATAGCCTCTCCTGTGGCCTCTGTCCACTCCCTACCCCTGCACCTTCAGCAATTCCCACCCAGTGGCGACCGTAAGATGCCCAGACACAGAGCATTATTTCTGCTCTTTCACTGCATACCCAATGTTAGTCCAAACTGCACCATTTTGGAAGCCTTCTGCCATTTTGCAGGTCAAAGTGAAATATTCCACGGGGGTTCAGGCGGGGAGAAACATCCTTATCATACCCTGCCGTGCAAAGGCCCGACTGAAGGAAAAATCCCTGTCATATCCTGCTGGGCAAAGGTCCAAGGAATATCTTATCACATCCCACTGGAAAAAGGGCCAAACCGCCTGATCGCACATCTTATCAATATCCTGCCAGGCAGCAAGCCACACTGCTCAGACCCCTCCCACCCATACCTTTAAGTACCCCAGCCTATAAGCGGCCGTGGGCTCTGGCCCTAAGCTGGTCCCCCATCTCCGCAGGTTTTTGCAATATACCTATGTTGCTGTTGAGCCCCTGTCTCTCTCTCTCTTTCCCTCTCTCTGTTTGTGTTTGTTTGTTTGTTTTTTTGAGACGGAGTTTTGCTCTTTCACCCAGGCTGGAGTGCAATGGCACGATCTCGGCTCACTGCAACCTCTGCGTCCCGGGTTCAAGCAATTCCCCTGCCTCAGCCTCCCGAGTAGCTGGGATTACAGGTGCCCACCACCACGCATGGCTGATTTTTGTATTTTTAGTAGAGTTGGGGTTTCACCATGTTGTCCAGGCTGGTGTCAAACTCCTGACCTCAGGTGATCCACCCATCTAGGCCTCCCAAAGTGCTGGGATTACACGTATGAGCCACCGTGCCCGGCCTGTGGTGTCATTCTTTAACCCTCGCCTTCCCTTCAAAACCTAACACCCTAAGGACTGGAATGCCTGCGCCACATACTCAGCCATGTGGGTGGGTCTGAGCTCTGGCCTGGGCTCCCTGTGGGGAGGCTGGTTGGGAGAGGAGACATGATGGGATTCCAGCCCTGGGACTCACTGCCTTGTCACTGGAGCGGGTTTCCTCAGCTCTCTAGGTCTCACTTTATTCATTCTGCAGTGAACATTCCCTGAGTCCCTGCTGTGAGGCTCACACAGCTGTATCCAACCAGGAGCTCCATCCTAAAGGGATCCCAAGAGGTTCTTCCCCCAATTTCCCAGTTCTCCAACATCAACCAGGTGCCCAACCATTCAATTCAGTTCCAACATTGACTGCCCAGAGTTAGTGTCAGATGCTGCAGGTTATGGACTTGGGCCACAAAACTGCCCCCACCTCAGGCCAGGCGTGGTGGCTCACACCTCTAATCCCAGCACTTTGGGAGGCCGAGGCAGGTGGATCATGAGGTCAGGAGTTCAAGACCAGCCTGGCCAATACGGTGAAACCCCCGTCTCTGCTAAAAATACAAAAATTAGCTGGGAGTGGTGGCACATGCCTGTAGTCCCAGCTACTTGGAAGGCTGAGGCAGAAGAATTGCTTGAACCTGGGAAGCGGAGGTTGCAGTGAGCCGAGATTGCACCACTGCACTCCAGCCTGGGCAACAGAGTGAGACTCCATCTCAAAACAAAACAAAACAAAATAACAAGCAAAAAAAAACTGCCCCCACCTCAGATGCCAGCTACAGTAGGGTGTCCACACTACCTTAATTTCTGCCCAGCCAATCACCAGTTCAGGGGTTCCCAAAACTCTCACTGATATGGTTTGGATGTTTGTCTCCTCGACAAATCTCACGTTGAAATGCGACCTCCGGCGGGCGCGGTGGCTCACGCCTGTAATCCCAGCACTTTGAGAGGCCAAGGCGGGTGGATCACGAGGTCAGCAGATCGAGACCACCCGGGCCAACACGGTGAAACTCCGTCTCTACTAAAAATACAAAAAATTAGCCGGGCGTGGTGGCGGGCGCCTGTAGTGCCAGCTACTCGGGAGGTTGAGGCAGGAGAATGGCGGGAACCCGGGAGGCGGAGCTTGCAGTGAGCCGAGATGGCGCCACCGCACTCCAGCCTGGGCCGCGCCACCGCACTCCAGCCTGGGTGACAGCGAGACTCCGTCTCAAAAAAAAAAAAAAAAAAAAAAAAAAAAAGAAATGCGACCTCCAATGTTGGAGGTGGGGCCTGATGGGAGGGGTTTGGGTCATGGGGCGGATCCCTCATGAATGGCTTGGTGCTGTCCTTGCAGTAATGAGAGTTCCCAGTCTGTGAGCTCGTATGAGATCTGACTGTTTAAAAGAGTCTGGGTCGGCGCAGTGGCTCACGCCTGTTAATCCCAGCACTTTGGGAGGCCGAGGCAGGTAGATCACCTGAGATCAGGAGCTCGAGACCAGCCTGGCCAAGATGGTGAAACCCCATCTCTACTAAAATGCAAAAATTAGTCAGATGTGGTGGCCCATGCCTGTAATCCCAGTTACTCGGGAGGCTGAGGCAGAAGAATTGCTTGTCCCCGGGAGGTGGAGGTTGCAGTGAGCTGAGATCGCACCAATGATCTGCACTCCAGCTGGGGCGACAGAGTGAGAATCTGTCTCCTGCCCCACATCAACCAAAAAAAAAAAAAAAAAGAGAGAGTCTGATACCTCTTCCTTCTCTCTCTTGTTCTATCTCTCATTGTGTCATGTGCTGGCTCCCCCTTTGGCTTCCACCATGATTGGAAGCCCCCTGAAGCCCTCACTGGAAGCAGAACAGATACAGGTGCCATGCTTGTACAGCCTGCAGAACAGTGAGCCGAATACATCTCTTTTCTTTATGAATGACGCAGCCTCAGACATTCCTTTATAGTAATGCAAATGGAATAAAACACCTACTCAAATACACTAATTCGCTACAGGTTGGGCACAGTGGCTCACGCTTGTAATCTCAGCACTTTGAGAGGTCAAGGAGGGAGGATTGCTTGAGCCCAAGAGTTGGAGACCAGCTTGGGCAACATAGCATGACCCCATCTCTACCAAAAATAAAATAAATTAGCCAAGTGTGGGGACATGCACCTGTAGTCCCAGCTACTCAGGAGGCTGAGGCAGGAGGCTCATTTGAGTCCAAGAGATTGAGAGCACAGTGAGCTATATGATCAGGCAACTATGCTCCAGCCTGGGTGACAGAGCGAGAACTTGTCTCAGAAAAAAAAAAAAAAGAAAAAGAAAGAAAAGAAAAAGAAAAAAGAAAAAACAATCACTAGAACAACTCACAGAATTCAGGCAAGCATTTTACTTATTATTACTGGTTTATTATAAAGGATAGAACTCAGGAATGAAAGAGATACATAGAGTGAGTTATGGGGAAGAGCATGGAGCTGCCAGGTCCTCTCCAGGCACCACCCTCCCAGCACCTCAATGTGCTCACCAGGCTTCATGGTCCAGGGGCTGTGTGTATATATGTGTGTGTGTGTGTGTGTGTGTGTGTGTGTGTGTGTGTGTGCGCGTGTGTTTGAGATGGAGCCTCCCTCTGTCACCCAGGCTGGAGAGCAGTGGCGTGATCTTGGCTCTCTGCAACCTCCACCTCTCGGGTTCAAGTGATTCTCCTGCCTCAGCCTTCCAAGTAGCTGGGATTACAGGTACGTGCCACCATGCCTGGCTAATTTTTATGCATTTTGGGTAGAGACGGGGTTTTGCCATGCTGGCCAGGCTGGTCTCGAACTCCTGACCTCAGGTGATCTGCCCACCTTGGCCTCCCAAAGTGCTGGGATTACAGGTGTGAGCCACTGTGCCCAGCCTCTTTGTATTGCTCTTGTAACTTTTCTGTAACTGTGAAGTGATCTCCAGGTTAAAAAAAAAATGTACCCCGCATAATCTCACTTATATGTGGAATCTAAAAGAGTGGAACTCGGCTAGGCGCAGTAGCTCCTGCCTGTAATCCCAGCATGTTGGGAGGCCGAGGCAGGAGGATTACTGGAGGCCAGGAGTTTGAGACCAGCCTGGGCAACATAGCAAGATCTCATCTCTAAAAAAAGAAAGAAAGAAACGAAAAGAAAAATATGAACTTGTTAACAATTCTCATTATCTGAGGGAAGAACGAGGATGGCAGGGGACTCTTTAACTACCAATTTTAGTTTGAGCTGCAATTTCCCCCTCATTTAGCATTTTCGGTTTTATTCAAGAAAAAAAAAAGACAAAAATTAGGGTTCAATATCATAAAACATAGAGCAACCCGGAGAAAAGAATTGCCTATTCACATCTATTCTTTTAGCTTTCTTACGTTTTAACCACTTGAGCCGTAACGGGGTGTGAGGGGATTTGCGGTGATGGAACTGTTCTGTGTTTTGGTTACGGGGTGGTCACGTGATGCGTGCATTTGCCAAAACCTCAGAACTGCACCTAAAAAGGGTGAATTGTGCTGTATGCAAATTATGCCTTTATTTAAAAATGCTAACTAATTTTTTCTCTTTTTTCTCATATTAAGGAGACCGATTTGACAGCCTTTAAATCAAAATCTCTGTGTATAAAACTCTCACTAAAATTATGTCAAGAAATAGACTTGGAAAAAAACTTATATTCCCTGCGACAGAAATAGCGTCAATAATCTTATCATGTAAACCACATAAAAAAGGAACAAAGTTGGATTCCAGTAGGCAAGTGGGCAAAAGACACGGAGAGACGTTTGCAAATCGTAAAGAGAGGGAGTGGCCAACCATCATGGCAGGAAGACGTTCCTGCACACAAGAAATCAAAATCCAACCCCGTCCATCAACAAGCAGGAAACAATCTCACAGGAATCCCCGGGGCGGTGTGGCAGGCCGGCGCAGCCTCTCTCCTGCTCGGTTGTAGGGTTGTCAGGACCTTCTGGGTGACAGAGACAAGATCTTTTCTTTCTTGGGGTCCACTTGTGGGAATCGAGACCAAAGAAAAAATCCTAGGCCAGGCGCGGTGGCTCACGCCTGTAATCCCAGCACTTTGGGAGGCCGAGGCGGGCAGATCACGAGGTCGGGAGATCGAGACCATCCTGGCTAACATGGTGAAACCCCGTCTCTACTAAAAATACAAAACATTAGCCGGGTGTGGCGGTGGGCGCCTGTAGTCCCAGCTACTCGGGAGGCTGAGGCAGGAGAATGGTGTGAACCCGGGTGGCGGAGCTTGCAGTGAGCCGAGATCACGCCACTGCACTCCAGCCTGGGCGACAGAGCGATACTCCGTCTAAAAAAAAAAAAAGAAAGAAAGAAAGAAAGAATCCTAAACACGGACAAAATTTTCATCCCCAAAGGTGTTATTTACAGCACTATTTTTAATGCAAAACAGTTAGGGAGGAAAAAACAACACTTAAATTTGCCAAGAACTGATTGGGTAATAATGCCATAAACCACCGTGAGGTACTATGATTTAAAAAAAGGTTCAGAGCCGGCAGAGCAGCGGTGGTGAGTGGCTGGTAGGAGATGAACATAAAGCTGGGGGCCGGGCACGGTGGCTCAGGCCTGTAATCCCAGCACTTTGCGAGGCTGAGGTGGGTGGATCACCTGAGGTCAGGAGTTCGAGACCAGCCTGGCCAACATGGCAAAACCCCATCTCTACCATAAATACAAAATTATTTGGGTGTGGTTGTGCATGCCTGTAATCCCAGCTACTTTCGAGGCTGAAGCAGGAGACTCGCTTGAACTTGGGAGGCGGAGGTTGCAGTGAGCCGAGATCGTGCCATTGCACTCCAGCCTGGACGACAAAAGAGAAACTCCGTCTCAAAAAAAAAAGGATGAAATCTTGTGCTTTGTGGTAACATGCATGCGGCTGGAGACCATTATCCTCATGGAATTCACGCAGGAACAGAAAACCAAATACCACATGTTCTCACTTATAAGTGAGAGCTTAACATTGGGTACTCATGATGTAAAGATGGAAAAATGGGCACTGGCGACTGCTAGAGACCGGAAAGGGGGAGGCGGCGAGGGTTGAATAACCAACTGTAGGGGACTACGCTCAGTACCTGGGTGGTGGGGTCATTCGTAACCCAAACCTCAGTATCACGTAATATACCCAGGTCGGCCAGGCGTGGTGGCTGACGTCTGTAATCCAAGCACTTTGGGAGGCCGAGGTGGGCGGATCACCTGAGGTAAGAAGTTTGAGACCAGCCTGGACTACGTGGTGAAACCCCGTCTCTACTAAAAATACAAATATCAGCCGGGCGAGGTGTTGTATGCCTGTGGTCCCAGCTACTCGGCAGGCTGAGGCAGGATAATTACTTGAACCCCGGAGGCGGAGGTTGCAGTGAGCCGAGATTGCACCATTGCATTCCAGCCTGGGTGACGGAGCAAGACTCTGTCCACTGCCCCCGCCCCACAAACATACATATATAAATATATAACTATTATATATAAATATATAATATATATCTATTAAATATATAACATATAATATTTATATCTATAAATATATATGAATATTATATATAAATATATAATATTTATATCTATAAATATATATGAATATTATATATAATATATAATATATATCTATTAAATATATATAAATATTATATATAAATATATAATATATATCTATTAAATATATATAAATATTATATATAAATATATAATATATCTATTAAATATATATAAATGTTATATATAAATATATAATATATATCTATGAAATATATAAATATTATATATAAATATATAATATATATCTATTAAATATATATAATATATAATATTTATATCTATAAATATATAACTATTATATATAAATATATAATATATATCTATTATATATAACATTATATATAATATTTATGTCTATAAATATATATAAACATTATATATATATTATATATCTATTAAATATATATAACTATTATATATAATATTCTATATCTATAAATATATATAACTATTTTATATATCTCTCTCTCTCTTTCTCTCTCTCCAGGTCCATGTACCCCCTGAATCTAAAATAAAAGGAGAAAAAAATACCAGAATGGCCACCAAAACAAAGCAAAAAAGGCTGAATGTTGTGTGCAGCAGGAGAAATACATTTAGAATTTCACCATGGGAGGAGGTAATCCCCAAATCCAGGCAGAGCACAGCCTGGGGAGAACAACCGTCATCTCACCAGCTCTCCCCGGTGTTGCCCTTAGAAAAGGAACTGGTTTCATTTTTTAAATTATTATTTGTTTTTGAGATGGAGTCTCACTGTGTCACCCAGGCTGGAGTGCAGTGGCGCAATCTCGGCTCACTGCAACCTCCGCCTCCTGGGTTCAAGTGATTCTCCTGCCTCAGCCTGTCGGGTAGCTGGGACGACAGGTACCCGCCACCACACCTGGCTAATTTTTTGTATTTTTAGTAGAGATGGGGTTCACCATGTTGGCCAGGGTAGTCTCTAACTCCTGACCTCAAGTGATCCGCTGGCCTCAGCCTCCCAAAGTGCTGAGTCACTGCGCCCGGCCTTCACATGCACTCTTTAAAGCAACACCAGGTTGACGTCTACTTGGGTTTCACAAACTATGACCCACCGCCCAGGCCAAATCTGACGCACTGCCTGTTTTGGGGCAGTCGGTGAGCTCATGGTTAAGCAAAATCAAAAGAAGGATAATAATGTTCACGACACACGAAAATGATGTGAAGTTCAAAATTCAGTGTCCATAAATAAAGTTTTATTGGCACAAAGCCCTGCCCACTCCTTTACCTGTTTTTCGTGAATCTTCCGTCATCCCACAACAGCAGAGCCCTCCTACCTCAGCCTCCCAAGTAGCTGGGATTACGGGCATCCGCCACCACACCTGGCTAATTTTTTTTTTGTATTTTTAGTAGAGACGGGGTTTCACCATGTTGTCCAGGCTGGTTTTGAACTCCTGACCTCAAATGATCTGCCTGCCTTGGCCTCCCAAGGTGCTAAAATTACAGGAATGAGCCACCATGCCTGGTAACTGTATTTCTCTTAAAGGGGTCCTTTCTTTTGGAAATTGATGCTGAAATATTTATTTATTTATTTATTTATTTATTGAGACAGAGTTACACTCTGTTGCCCAGGTTGGAGTGCAGTGGTGTAATCTCAACTCACTGCAAACCTCTGCCTCCCGGGTTCAAGCGATTCTCCTGCCTCAGCCTCCTGAGTAGCTGGGGCTACAGGTGTGTACCACCATGCCCGGCTAATTTTTGTATTTTTAGTAAAGATGGGGTTTCACCATGTTGGCAAGGCTGGTCTTGAACTCCTGACCTCAAGTGATCCGCCTGCCTCGGCCTCAGGTGGATCACCTGAGGTCAGGAGTTTGAGACAAGCCTGGCCAATATGGTGAAACCTCGTCTCTACTAAAAATACAAAAATTAGCTGGGCGAGATGACACCCACCTGTAATCCCAGGTACTCGGGAGGCTGAGGCAGGAGAATCGCTTAAATCTGGGAGGTGGAGGTTGCAGTGAGCCAAGATCGCACCATTGTGCTCCAGCCTGGGCGAGAGAGCGAGACTCCAACTCAAAAAATAAAATAAAATAAAATAAGCATTGGATTGCATTTTTTAGGCTGTGTCTTTGTGATACCTTACCCTGTTTTAACCGGAGTGACTGTCTCCTAGCAGAGAGAGCTGGACAGACTCCATTTTGGTTTCTTCACTTGGGGCCCCCCGTATCCCCCTTAAGGGAATAACTAGTGCAAGCTGACACCAAGCACATCCAGGAATGCACCTGCTGATAAGATATTGAGGCAGCCTGTATTAGCAGCTCCTGCTCGGTGGAAGGTACCTAAAAGCCCCTGCATTTATCTCTTAGTGATAGTTTAAGCCCCTGCACCTGGAACTGTTTATTTTTTGTAACTGCTTCCATAACCAATTAATTTTTTAACTTTTTGCCTGTTCTGCTTCTGTAAAACTACTTCAGTTAAACTCCCCCTCCTCTATTTAGACCATAGTATAAAAGAGAATCTAGCCCCTTCTTCGAGATGGAGAGAATTCTAAGCGCTAGCTGTCTCTCAGTCGCTGGCTAATAAAGGACTCCATAATTTGTCTCAAAGTGTGGCATTTCTCTCTAACTCGCTTGGTTACAACATCTTGTCTTTCTGGTGACACCTGTTGACATGATGTGCCTTAGAGTCAGTGAAATGTTACTGCTGAGGCCGCAGCATTCTCCCGAGGGAATAAAGCCATGTGCAGCATAACGAGGTTTCTGTCAATGACAGACTGCACGTCCGACGGTGGCCCCACCGATTATAATGGAGCTAAGACTGCAATTGCCCGGTGATGTTGTCGCTGTCCTAATGGAGTAGCTCAAGGCGTTACTCTAATGTTTGTGCCGATGCTGGTGTACACAGACCTACTTGACTGCCAGTCATAGAAAAGCATAGCACATATAATTGTGTACAGTACATCATACCTGTCAATGGCAACGGGCAGGACATGGTGGCTCGCACCTGTAATCCCAGCACTTTGGGAGGCTGAAGTAGGGCAATCGCTCGAGGCCAGAAGTTCGAGACCAGCCCATGCAACATAGTGAGACCCTGTCTCTACAAAAAAGAAAAAAAAGTCAATAAACAACTATGTTACTGGTGTATATATTTACTATATATAGGTTTCTTTGTTTGTTTTTTGAGATGGAGTCTCGTTCTGTCACCCAGGCTGGCTCACTGCAACCTCTGCCTCCCCAGTTCAAGTGATTCTCCTGCCTCAGCCTCCTGAGTAGCTGGGATTATAGGCATGCACCACCATGCCCGAATACTTTTTGTATTTTTAGTAGAGATGGGGTTTCACTATGTTGGCCAGGCTGGTCTCGAACTCCTGACCTCAAGTGATCCACCCACTTTGGCCTCCCAAAGTGCTGGGAAACAGGTATGAGCCACCACGGCCGGCCTTTATTCACCGTACTATAGTTTTTATTGTTATTTTAGAGTGTACTCCTTTTACTTATAAAGAAAAGTTAACTGCTTGAGTCTAAGAGTTCGAGACCAGCCTGGGCAATATAGTGAGACTTAGTCTCTGCAAAAAAGAAAAAAATGTAAAAATTAGCCCAGTGTGGTGGTGTGTGCCTTAGTTCCCGCTACTCAGGAGGCTGAGGTGGGAGGATCGTTTGAGCCTGAGAGGCATAAGCTGCAGTGAGCTGAGACTGTGCCACTGCATTCCCGCCTGGGTAACAGAGTGGGACCTTGCCTCAAAAAAAAAAAAAAGGAAAGGGAAAAATTAACTGTCAAAACAGCCTCAGGCAGCTCCTTCAGAAGGTGTCCAGAAAAAAGCACTGTTATCCTAGGAGACGACAGCTCCAAGGGTGTTATTGCCCCTGAAGATCTTCCAGTGGGATAAGACGTGGAGATGGAAGACAGTGACGTTGATGATCCTGACCCTGCATAGGCCTAGGCTGATGTGTGTGTGTTTGTGTCTTACATTTTTTCTTTTTCTGAGATGGAGTCTTGCTCTGTCACCCAGGCAGGAGTGTAATGGTGTGATCTCGGCTCACTGCAATCTCTGCCTCCTGGGTTGAAGTGATTCTTTTGCCTTAGCCTTCCCAGTAGCTGGAATTACAGCACTTTGGGAGGCCGAGGTGGACGGATCACTGGAGGTCAGGCGTTTTGAGACCAGCCTGGCCAACATGGTGAAAACCCATCTCTACTAAAAATACAAAAATTATCCAGGTGTGGTGGTGCATGCCTGTAATCCCAGCTACTTGGGAGGCTGTGGCAGAAGAATCGCTTGAACCTGGGAGGCGGAGGTTGCAGTGAGTTGAGATTGTGCCATTGCAAATCAGTGTGGGTGACAGAGTGGGACTCCGTCTCAAAAAATAAATAGATGGTCGCATTTGGGCTATGGCCTAGACCCCTGTGCTAGATCATCTGGCACAGGTGTGTAGCAGACTCTCCCACCTAGGTTTGTGTAAGCACACTCTATGATATCTATACAATGATGAAATCACCTAAGGATACATCTCTCAGAATTTATTCCTGATGTTAATCGAAGCAGGACTATAGCAGTATTAATAACGAGACCTAACAATGCTTGAGCACCTACTATGTGCCAAGAAGTTTTTTTTGTTTTGTTCTGTTTTTGTTTTTGATGAATCTCACTCTGTTGCCCAGGCTGGAGTGCAGTAGCTCAATCTCGACCGGCTGCAACCTCCACCTCTGAGGTTCAAGCAATTCGCCTGCCTCAGCCTCCGAAGTAGCTGGGATTACAGGCACCCACCCTGATGTCTGGCTAATTTTTGTATTTTTAGTAGAGACAGGGTTTCGCCATGTTGGCCAGGCTGGTCTTGAACTCCTTGTCTCAGGTAATCCACCCGCCTTGGCCTCCCAAAGTGCTGGGATCACAGGCGTGAGCCACCGAGCCCGGCCGCAAGAAGTTTTAAGTGTTTTGTATCTCTTAACAAATTTCATTAGCACAAAGAGGGCAGAGGAGAATTGGAATGGCCTTGCGGAAAGACCTCCCTGGCACCCGCCTCCTCCTTATGCCCCAAGCCTGCAGCCCCTGGGGCCTATTATTAGGGCCCACATCTGGTGACATTTCCCGGACTGATAGCGATCTCTGAAGCTCTTGCTCAAGGTTCTTTCCTGGACGTTTATCTGCTCCAAAACTCACAGCTAGCTTCCTGCCATCAGCCCCCTACCTTTAACGTGGGCTCAAGGCTGGCGGCCACCTGGGACTGACGACAGAGACAGAAAGAGCCCCCTCACCTTGCCTCACCCTCAGACACAGCACAAGGTGACGGGACCGGGATTCGTTGCGGGGTGTGTCTCAGGGAGCCAGGAGGTAGGAGCTTGGGGATTAGGAGAGTTGAAGGGCACTCTCCAGGGTATACAAAAAGGAGGTAGTGGGCTGGGCACAGTGGCTCACCCCTGTAATCCTAGCACTTAGGGAGGCCGAGGCAGGTGGATCACCTGAGGTCAAGAGTTGGAGACCACCCTGGCCAACATAGTGAATCCCCATCTCTACTAAAAATACAAAAACCAGCCGGGTGTGGTGGCAGCTGCCTGTAATCCCAGCTACTTAGGAGGCTGAGGCAGGAGAATTGCTTGAACCCAGGAGACAGAGGTTGCAGTGAGCTGAGATCGTGCCATTGCACTCCGGCCTAGGCAATAGAGTGAGACTCCATCTCAAAAGAAAAAAAAAAAAAGAGGTGGCAAAAAGGGGCTGAAAGTTCTGGGCCACCTCCTCTGGGTGAGGAATGTTCTCATGCCATATGCGTGAACTGTGCCTGGTCAGAGGTATTTGACTGTCTTCATCACTGCGGTACCCCCAGCGCTTAGGATAGTGTCTGGTGTACAATTTGGGCTCAATGCATAATTTTACACTAAATGAATGAATCCATCCTCAGATGACAAAGGAGAGATTGCCCTCCTTAATGGATCACTCATCGATTATTTACCAAGTGCCTGCTGTGTTCCAGGGGCCAGGAGCAAGCCACACACCAGCCTCGCCTCTAGGGAACTCAGAGATGAATAATGCAGATGGGTGATCACCAAATGATCCAACAAACGCGGTCTAATTGCTGCTGCCTGTAACCAGCTCTTTTTTTGTGGGGGCTCGGGGGGAACGGGGGGACAACAGAGTCTTGCTCTATCACCCAGGCTGGAGTGCAGTGGCATGATCACAGTTCTCTCCAAACTCCGCCTCCCGGGTTCAAGCGATTCTCCTGCCTCAGCCTCCCAAGTAGCTGAGATTACAGGCATGCACCACCACACCCAGCTAATTTTTGTATCTTTAGTAGAGATGGGGGTCTCACCATGTTGGCCAGGCTGGTCTCAAACTCCTGACCTCATGCGATCCTCCCACCTTAGCTTCCCAAAGTACTGGTATTACAGGTGTGAGCCACCGTTCCCAGCCTGTAATCATCTCTTCATGGGAGAGAAGCTCCTATAGGAGGGTCTGATTGAAAAGGGCAGGAAAAACTTTGGGGAGAAAGTGAAATTTGCACTGAGATCGCAGGAATGAGTTAAAAAAAAAAAAAAGCAGAGGAAAGAAAAGGTGTTCCAGGCAGAGGGGCAGCACATGCAAAGGCCCTGGGGTGGGAGGGAGATGAGAATCTTGGCAATGGACACAAAGGTAGGGAAGCCGGGATTTGGTGCACAAAGAGGGGGAAGGTGCAAGAGAAGTCTGGAGAGGCTGGCAGGTGCCCCAGCTCTCACCAGTGGTGCCGGGGAGACTCATATTTATCCCACAAGCAATGAAGAGCCACAGTGTAATTTTCCAGTTTGAACTGTATTTTTTTTTTTTTTGAGACAGGGTCTCACTCTGTTGCCCAGGCTGGAGTGCAGTGGCACAGTCATGGTTCACTGCAGCCTCAATCTCCTGAGCTCAAGTGATCCTCGTGCCTCAGCCTCTCGGGTAGCTGGAATTACAATGCAAGCCACACTGTTTGGCCAATTTATTTTTATTTTGTAGAGACAGGGTTTCGCCTTGCCACCTAGACTGGTCCTGAAGCCCTGGCCTCAAGTGATTCTCCTGCCTGGGTCTCCCACAGCGCTGGGGTTACAAGGTTTGGGCTTTCAAAGGATCACTCTAGCTGTAGGGTGGTGAGTGGCTGGTAGGAGATGAATATAAAGCTGAGGGCCAGGCACAGTGGCGCACACCTGTACTCCCAGCACTTTGGGAGGCCGAGGTGCATGAATCACCTGAGGTCAGGAGTTCAAGACCAGCCTGGTCAATATGGTGAAACCCCGTCTCTACTAAAAATATAAAAATTAGCTGGGCATGTCCCCAGGGTGTGTGCCTATAGTCCCAACTACTCTACTCAGGAGGCTGAAGCAGGAGAATTGCTTGAACCCGAGAGGCAGAGGTTGCAGTGAGCCAAGATTGTACCACTGCACTCCAGCTTAGGCAACACAGTGAGATCCTGTCTCAAAAAAAAAAAAAAATGCTGGGGCGCTGTGTGCTTGGATGATAGGGCTGTGGAGACAGGACATAGTGGACAGAGGCAAGAGGCTTTTTGGAGGCAAAATCGACAGGGCTTTGTGATGAATTGGGTGTGCGTGTTGGGGGAGTAGGAGACAGAGGTATTCAAGGATTCTACACCTCTATCTCAGACGAGCATACTGAGGCTCAGGGTGGGGATGGGGGGCAGAAAGCTCTGAACCCAGGATCACACAGTCATAATCCAGCATCTCAACTAGAGCTTCGACCTATGCCTGTCTGCTGTGTAAGCTCAAGCTTTCCTCAACCCCAGACCTCTCTTCTCTGCCTGCACCTCACCCTCGGAGGTCATTTTCAGGTTCAAAGACATAAATAGTATCTAAATTATTTTTGTATTTTTTTGTAGAGACAAGGAAGGTCTTGTCATGTTGTCCAGGCTGACCTGGAACTCCTGGACCCACACAATCTTCCCGCCTCTGTCTCCCAAAGTGCTGGGACTAGAAAAGTGAGCCACTGTGCCCTGCTGGCATCTAAATTCTGACTCCCACATGCCCGTACCCAGCCAGGAACCCCTCTGTAATTTTTTTGTTTTAATTTTGAGACAGAGCCTCACTTTGTCACCCAGACTGGAGTGCTGTGGTGTGATCTTGCCTCACTGTAACCCCCATCTCCTGGGTTCAAGCGATTCCCCTGCCTCAGCCTCCCGAGTAGCTAGGATTACAGGCACCTGCAACCACACCCATCTAATTTTTGTATTTTTAGTAGAGATGGGGTTTTGCCATGTTGGCCAGGCTGGTCTCAAACTCCTGACCTCAGGTGATCCGCCCACCTCGGCCTTCCAAAGTGCTGGGATTACAGGCGTGAGCCACTGTGCTGGGCCCCCTCCTGTAATCTTGCTGCCGGTATCCAGCTGCCTAAGTGAACTTTCCCCGGGATGTCTTACAGGCATTTCAAAGGCGAAGTGACCAACCCGGAGCTCCTGGTCTTACCCCAAACCTGAGCTCCTGGTCTTACCCCAAACCTGCTCTCCTGCAGTCTCCCCCATCCCAGTGCACAGCAACTCCAGCTTCCATCGGTTCAAAAGTCCTGCAGTCACCCCGACACTGCTCTCCCTCTCACCTCACACATCCAGCCCAGCAGCAAATCTAGCCAGCTCCACCTTGACCCTGGAATCTGCTTCCCACCCCCTCCTCTGACATCACCCTGGTCCCCATCCCCATCACTGCCCACCTGGGTTACTGCAGCAGCTTCCTCCCGGCCTCCTGCTTCCATCCCACCCCCTCAGTCTAGTCTCAACCTTAAAGTCACAGTGATTGTTAAGACCTAAGTCAGATATTGTTCCTTCTCTGCTCAACAGTCTCTTGTAACTCCCATCTCACTCACAGGAAAGGCCAGGAGAGTCTGCACTATGACTCACAGGGTCCTGCTCCATCTGTCCGCTTCCCTCTCTGCCTTCACGTCTCACCTCTCTTCCCATTGCCCACGTGGCTCCAGCCACACCGGCCTCCCTGCTGTTCCTTGAGCATTCCAGGCACCGTCCTGCCTCAGGACCTTTGCACAAGCTGCTGGTTCTGCCTGAAGGGCTCTTCCTCCAGATACGTATGTGCCTCACTTTGTCATTTCCTCCAAAACTTTGCTCAAATGTTATATTCTTTTTTTTTTTTTTTGTAATAGTCTCTCCCTGTCTCCCATGCTGTAGTGCAATGGCGTGATCTCGGCTCACTGCAACCTCTGCCTCCCGGGTTAAAGTGATTCTCCTGCCCTAACCTCCCGAGTAGCTGGGATTACATGTGTGTGCTACCACGCCCAGCTAATTTTTTTGTGTTTTTAGTAGAGACGGGGTTTCACCACGTTGGCCAGGATGGTCTTGAACCCTTAATCTCAGGTGATCCTCCCGCCTTGGCATCCCAAAGTGTTGAGATTACAGGCATGAGCCACCGAGCCTGGCCAAATGTTATATTCTTATTGAGGTCTTCCCTGACAACCCCGTTTAATGTACCAGTGTCCCCTTTCTGCTTTCCGTCTTGTCCCTCACATTCTCAATTCTCCTTAACTTGATTTTTTTTTTTTTTTTTTGGAGATGGAGTCTCACTCTGTCGCCGAGGCTGGAGTGCAGTGGCCTGATCTCGGCTCCCTGCAACCTCCAACCTCCCAGGTTCAAGTGATTCTCAGCCTCCCGAATACCTGGGATTACAGGTGTGCACCACCATGCCTGGCTAATTTTTGTATTTTTAGTAGAGACAGGGTTTCGCCCTGTTGAGCAGGCTGGTCTCGAACTCCTGACCTCAGGTGATCTGCCTGCCTTGACCTCCCAAAGTGTTGGGGTTACAGGCGTGAGCCACTGCACCCGGCCAAAAAATTTTTAATTATTTATTTTTTATAGAGACTGGGTCTCACTATGTTGGCCACCTTGGACTGGAACTCCTGACTTCATCCAGTCCTTCTGCTTCAGCCTCACAAAGTGCTGTGATTACAGGCATGACCCTCCACACCTGGCCCCCTCCACTTTACTTATTATTTTTCCATAACACTTGGCAATCTTCTAAAGCAGTATATCATGAATTAATTTATTATATGTATTATACCTGACATCTCCCACTGGGATGTAAGTTCCACGAGGGCTTGTTTTGTTACATGAGTTATCTCTGGTACTTAGAGCAATATTATTGTGTCCAGTGAGCCGAGATCGTGCCATTGCACTGCAGCCTGGGTGACACAGCAAGACTGTGTCTCAAAAAAAAAAAAAAAAAGAAAGAAAGAAAGAAAAAAGAACAGTATTATTGGGTCATAAAAAGCATTCAGGCTGTGCTCAATGTCTCACACTTGTAATCCCAGCACTCTGGGAGGCCAAGGTGGGAGGATCACTTGAAGCCAATAGTTGAAGAGTAGCCTGGGCAACACAGCAAGACCCCATCTCTACAGAAAAGAAAACTAAGGCTAGGCACAGTGGCTCACACCTGCAATCCTAGCATTTTGGAGGCTGAGGTGGGTGGATCATGAGGTCAGGAGTTGGAGACCAGCCTGGCCAAAATCATAAAACCCCGTCTCTACTAAAAACACAAAAATTAGCCAGGCGTGGTGGCGTGTGCATGTAGTTCCAGCTACTTGGGAGGCTGAGGCGGGAGAATTGCTTGAACCTGGTAGGTGGAGGTTGCAGTGAGCCGAGATCAGGCCACTGCACTCCAGCCTGGGAGACAGAGCAAGACTGCATCTCAAAAAAAATAAATAAATAAAAAAAATTAAAAAAATTAGCCAGGCATGGTGGTAAGTGCCTGTAGTCCCAGCTACTCCAGGAAGCTGAGGTGGGAGGATCTCTTGAGCCTAGGAAGTGGAGGCTGCAGTGATCTATGATTGTACCATTGCACTCCAGCCTGGGTGACAGAATGTGACCCTGTCTCAAAAAGAATAATAATAATAATCATTCCATAAAAAGTATCAAATGGAGAAATAAATCATCAGTGGGGTCTCGGAGGGGACCAGGGGCTGCAGTGACAGGCAACCTGGGGCCCTGACACAGGGTCATTCCTGTTCCAGGAAGATGAATGCTTCCAGATGCCTGTCTGAGGAAGTGGGGTCCCTCCGCCCTCTAACCATGGCTGTCCTGTCTGCCTCCTTTGTCGTCGGAGTGCTGGGCAATGGGCTGGTGCCGTGGGTGACTGTCTTCCGCATGGCCCGCACAGTCTCCACCGTCTGCTTCTTCCACCTGGCCCTTGCCGATTTCATGCTCTCACTGTCTCTGCCCATCCTCGTGTACTATATTGTCTCCAGGCAGTGGCTCCTTGGAGAGTGGGCCTGCAAACTCTACACCGGTTTTGTGTTCCTCACCTTCTCCACCAGTAACTGCCTCCTGGTCCTCATCTCTGTGGACCGTTGCATCTCTGTCCTCTACCCCGTCTGGGCCCTGAACCACCGCACTGAGCAGAGGGCGAGCTGGCTGGCCTTCGGGGTGTGGCTCCTGGCCGCCGCCTTGTGCTCTGCGCACCTGAAATTCCGGACAACCAGAAAATGGAATGGCTGTATGCAGTGCTACTTACAGTTCAACTTGGAGAATGAGACTGCCCAGATGTGGACTCAGGAGGTCTTTGGGAGACAAATGGCGGTGATCATGGCCCACTTCCTGCTGGGCTTCCTGGGGCCCTTAGCAATCATAGGCACCTGCGCCCACCTCATCCGGGCCAAGCTCTTGCGGGAGGGCTGGGTCCATGCCAACCGGCCCAAGAGGCTGCTGCTGGTGCTGGTGAGCGCTTTATCTGCTGGTTCCCATTTAACGTGATGCTGTTGGTCCATCTGTGGCGACGGGTGATGCTCAAGGAATTCTACCACCCCCAGATGCTGCTCATCCTCCAGGCTAGCTTTGCCTTGGGCTGTGTCAACAACTGCCTCAACCCGTTCCTCTACGTCTTCGTTGGCAGAGATTTCCAAGAAAAGTTTTTCCAGTCTTTGACTTCTGCCCTGGCGAGGGCGTTTGGAGAGGAGGAGTTTCTGTCATCCCGTCCCCGTGGCAACGCCCCCCGGGAATGATGGAAGACTTCAGCTGGAAGCTGGAAGCCGTCCTTCTTAGTTTGCTTGTGGCCTCTTACCTTGACTGGCTTCTAAAACCCTGCCAAATCCTGCCTCTTCTTTCAGGAAGTCTTCCGGCAACCCCTCATCTAAAGCTCTGTGGTAGAGACAGCTACTTACTCCCCAGTGTCCATTCTTCCCTTTCTTTTTATCTTTTTCCTTTTTTATTTTTTGGAGACAGAGTCTTATTTTGTCACCCAGGCTGGAGCGCAGTGGCACAGTCTTGGCTCACTGCAGCCTTGACCTCCAGGGCTCAAGCCATCCTCCTGCCTCAGCACCCCCGCCCCCCACCCCCAAATAGCTGGGACTACAGGCATGTGCCACCAAGCCTGGCTAATTTGTAGAGATGGGGTTTCATCATTTTGCCCAGGATGGTCTCAAGCTCCTGAGTTCAAATGATCCTCCAGCCTTGGCCCCCCAAAATGCTGGGATTACAGGTGTGAGCCACAGCGCCTGGCCTCCCCTTTGCTTGTAGTAAGACTCCTGTTTGTTTCAAACGAGGCACATGCTTAACTAGAAAAGAAAAAAAAGACTACATTTCCCAGAATCCTTTGCATGTCGTACAGCCATGTGACTGCTTCTGGCCAATAAAATGTAAGTGGCAGCAATCAATGTAACTTCCTTGAAGAGCCATTAAATGGAAGAGGCCTGTCCTCCATTTCCCCATCTCCCCCTTTCTATTGTCCAGAATGCAGGCATACCAGTTAGCTCTTGTTGCGCAACAAACACCATCAAAGTTTAGAGGCTTAAAAACATAACCATTTTTTTTATAGTGTCTTGTTCTGTTGCCCAGGTTGGAGTGCAGTGGTGTGATCATAGCTCACCACCACCTCAATCTCCCAGGCTCAAGTAGTCCTCTCACTTCAGCCTCCTGAGTAGCTGGGATTACAGGCATACCCCACTGTGCCCAGCTAATTTTTTTTTTTTTTTCTTGAGACGGAATCTCACTTTGTTGCCCAGGCTGGAGTGCAGTGGCGCCATCTCAGCTCACTGCAAGCTCCGCCTCCCGGGTTCACGCCATTCTCCTGCCTCAGCCTCCCGAGTAGCTGGGACTACAGGCGCCCGCCACCATGCCCGGCTAATTTTTTGCATTTTTTTTAGTAGAGACGGGGTTTCACCATGTTAGCCAGGATGGTCTGTATCTCCTGACCTCGTGATCTGCCCGCCTCAGCCTCCCAAAATGCTGGGATTACAGGCGTGAGCCACTGCGCCCAGCCCACCTGGCTAATTTTTTTAAAAAAGTTTTTGTAGAGATGGAGTCTTGCTATGTTGCCCAGGCTGGTCTCAAACTCCTGGCCTCAAGCAATCCTCCTGCCTCAGCCTCCCAAAGTGTTGGGATTATAGACGTGAGCCACCACACCTGGCTTCATAACCTTTTATGATTTCTGTGGATCAGCAGTTTGGGCTGGGCTCAGCTCAGTAGTTTTCTCATCTTGCGTCTGGGTTTCTTTATGCATCTGTGGGTCACCTAAGTGATTCTGCTTCTGGGAGAGTGGCTGGCTTGGGGTGATGGGATTGGCTAATCCACATAGCTCTTATCATCCTGCAGGCTGGCTTTTTCGTTTGATGGTTGGGGAGGGTTCCAAGAGTAAGGAAAGTATGAGGCGGAGGCTCAGAACTTTGCACAAGGTGACTAGCACTCAAGCTACTGGTCAAAAAGCAAGTCACGAGCCTGGCTTAGATTCGAGGTGTGAGGAAAGGACTCCACCCCTTGATGGGAAAATCTAAAGAGTGACATTGCTAAGGAGCACGTATGCAGGAAGGTGTGCAGAACGGGGGCCATTTGTGTAATCTGCCACAGCAGCCCTGATGCAAAGCTACCGTGTACCCAGGGAGTCCCTAGGCCAGCCCTGAGATGCTTACACCCAGGTTGTGAAAGGGGAGGTTTCAAATTCCAGCTCATTGAAGCCACTGTTATTTTGTGTCTCTCCTGCAACAGCTGAATCTACCCCTTAACTATTAATTATGCTGCCAAACTCTGGAACTTGTGTAAAGTGACTTAATAAATTTCCTTATTGTTGAAGCCAGTTGGAGTCAGGTTTTCTGTTACTTAAAACCCCCCCAAAAAAACAAACTGGTGCATGTGAAGAATAGTCCTTTCTGGGGATTGAAGTCCCAGTGGTCCCTGGTCACAACAGGCCATTCCCTTGGCTCTTAAGTCGAGGCAAAAGAAAAATGTCATGCAATCCAGAAGCTGTCACACCACTTGCTCATGATTCAAAGAAGTAAATCTGCCCAGGTGGGGTGGCTCATGCCTGTAATTTCATCACTTTGGGAGGCTGAAGTAGGCGGATCACTTGAGGTCAGGAGTTTGAGACCAGTCTGGCCAACATGGTGAAACCCCTTCTCTATGAAACATACAAAAATTAGCCAGACGTGGTGGCAGGCACCTGTAGTCTCAGCTACTCCAGAGACAGAGGAAGGAGAATCGCTTGAACCTGGGAGACAGACGTTGCAGTGAGCCAAGAGCTCGTCACTGTACTGCAGGTTGGGTGACAGAGACTCTTTCTCAAAAAAAAAAAAAAAAAAAAAAAGCATCTATGACTTGCCATGAGAACTCCACCTCTCAGAGACTCATTTGCCCCCAAATCTATAAAATAGGAACAAATGTTTCCATCTTCTGGATGAGGAGAGGATTAAATGACACAGTGACTGAGTGCCAGGAAGCACAGAGTCACCTTAAAAAAAATTAACTCCTGGGCCGGGCAGGGTGACTCAAGCCTGTAATCCCAGCACTTTGGGAGGCCAAGGTGGGCGGATCACCTGAGGTCGGGAGTTCGAGACCAGCCTGACCAATATGGAGAAACCCCATCTCTACTAAAAATACAAAATTAGCCGGGCGTGGTGGCACATGCCTGTAATCCCAGCTACTCGGGAGGCTGAGGCAGGAGAATTGCTTGAACCCAGGAGGCGGAGGTTGCAGTGAGGCGAGGTCGCACCATTGCTCTCCAGCCTGGGTGACAGAGCAAGACTCCGACTCAAAAAAGAAAAATAAAAAGAAAATTAAAAAAGCATTGGATTGTATTTTTTAGGCGGTGTCTTGTCTTTCTGGTGACACCTGTTGACATGATGTGTCTTAGAGTCAGTGAAATGTTACCCGTGAGGCCACAGTATTCTCCTGAGGAAATAAAGCCATGCACAGCATAACGAGGTTTCTGTCAATGACAGACTGCACGTCCGACAGCGGCCCCACCGATTATAATGGAGCTGAAAGACTGCAGTTGCCCGGTGATGTTGTAGCTGTCCTAATGGAGTAGCTCAAGGCGTTACTCTAATGTTTGTGCTGATGCTGGTGTACACAGACCTACTTGACCGCCAGTCGTATAAAAGCATAGCACATACAACTGTGTACAGTACGTCATACTAGTCCATGGCAACAGGCAGGACATGGTGGCTCACAGTTATAATCCCAGCACTTTGGGAGGCCGAGGAGGGTGGATCATGAGGTCAGGAGATCGAGACCATCCTGGCTAACACGGTGAAACCCCATCTTTACTAAAAATTACAAAAAATTAGCCGGGCATGGTGGCGGGCGCCTGTAGTCTCAGCTACTCCGGAGGCTGAGGCAGGAGAATAGCATGAATCCGGGAGGCGGAGCTTGCAGTGAGCCAAGATCGCGCCACTGCACTCCAGCCTGGGTGACAGAGCGAGACTCCATCTCAAAAACAAAAAGTAATAATAATAATAATGAGAGCAGTATTAACAATAGAGAGCTAACAATGCCTGAGCGCCTACTATGTGCCAAGAAGTTTTTTTTGTTTTGTTCTGTGTTTGCTTTGTTTTTGTTTTTGATTATTCTCACTGTCGCCCAGGCTGGAGTGCGGTAGCTCAATCTCGACTCGCTGCAACCTCCGCTTCTCAGATTTAAGCGATTCTCCTGCCTCAGCCTCCCAAGTAGCTGGGATTACAGGCACCCACCCTGATGTCTGGCTAATTTTTGTATTTTTAGTAGAGACAGGGTTTCGCCATGTTGGCCAGGCTGGTCTTGAACTCCTTGTCTCAGGTAATCCACCCGCCTTGGCCTCCCAAAGTGCTGGGATCACAGGCGTGAGCCACCGAGCCCGGCCGCAAGAAGTTTTAAGTGTTTTGTATCTCTTAACAAATTTCATTAGCACAAGGAGGGCAGAGGAGAATTGGAATGGCCTTGCGGAAAGACCTCCCTGTCACCCGCCTCCTCCTTATGCCCCAAGCCTGCAGCCCCTGGGGCCTATTATTAGGGCCCACATCTGGTGACATTTCCCGGACTGATAGCGATCTCTGAAGCTCTTGCTCAAGGTTCTTTCCTGGACATTTATCTGCTCCAAAACTCACAGCTAGCTTCCTGCCATCAGCCCCCTACCTTTAACGTGGGCTCAAGGCTGGCGGTTGCCTGGGACTGACGACGGAGCAGAGAAAGCCCCCTCATCTTGCTTTCATCCTCGGACACAGCACAAGGTGACAGGGGACTGGGATTTGTTGGGAGGATCTCAGGGAGCCAGGAGGTAGGAGCTTGGGGACTAAGAGAGTTGAAGGGCACTTTCCAGGGTATACAAAAAGGAGCTGGCGGGCTGGGTGCGGCCGCTCATCCCTGAAATCCCAGCAGTTTGGGAGGCTGAGGCAGGTGGATCACCTGAGGTCAAGAGTTGGAGACCAGCCTGGCCAACATGGTGAAACCCCGTCTTTACTAAAAATACAAAAATTAGCTGGGTATGGTGGCAGGTGCCTGTACTCTCAATTACTCAGGAGGCTGAGGCAGGAGAATCGCTTGAACCTGGGAGGCGGAGGTTGCAGTGAGCTGAGATTGTGCCACTGCACTCCAGCCTAGGCAATAGAGTGAGACTCTGTCTCAAAACAAAACAAAACAAAACAAAAAGAGGTGGCAAAAAGGGGCTGAAAGTTCTGGGCCACCTCCTCTGGGTGAGGAATGTTCTCATGCCATATGCGTGAACTGTGCCTGATCAGAGGTATTTGACTGTCTTCATCACTGCGGTATCCCCAGCGCTTAGGATAGTGTATGGCGTACGATTTGGGCTCAATGCATAATTTTACACTAAATGAATGAATCCATCCTCAGATGACAAAGGAGAGATTGTCCTCCTTAATGATCACTCATCCATTATTTACCAAGTGCCTGCTGTGTTCCAGGGGCCAGGAGCAAGCCACACACCAGCCTCGCCTCTAGGGAACCCAGAGATGAATAATGCAGATGGGTGATCACCAAATGACCAAACAAACGGTCTAATTGCTGCTGCCTGTAACTAGCTCTTTTTTTTTTTTTTTTTTTGGTTGAGGGGAGATCAGAGTCTTGCTCTGTCACCCAGGCTGGAGTGCAGTGGCACGATCATGGCTCACTCCAACCTCTGCCTCCCGGGTTCAAGCAATATCTCCTGCCTCAGCCTCCCAAGTAGCTGGGATTACAGGCGTGTGCCACCTTACCCGGCTAATTTTTGTATTTTTAGTAGAGACAGGATTTCACCATGTTGGCCAGGCTGGTCTTGAACTCCTGACCTCAGGCGATCCTCCCACCTCAGCCTCCCAAAGTCCTGGGATTACAGGCGTGACCCACCATGCCCAGCCTGTAACCATGTCTTCATAGGAGAGAAGGTCCTATAGGAGGGCCTGATTCATCAAGGTGGCTGGGAAAAGCTTTGGGGAGAAAGTGAAATTTGCACTGAGATCTCAGGAAGGAGTTAAAAAAAAAAAAAAAGCAGAGGAAAGAAAGGGTGCTCCAGGCAGAGGGGCAGCACATGCAAAGGCCCTGGGTGGGAGGGAGACGAGAATCTTGGCAATGGACACAAAGGTAGGGAAGCCGGGATTTGGTGCACAAAGAGGGGGAAGGTGCAAGAGAAGTCTGGAGAGGCCAGCAGGTGCCCCAGCCCTCACCAGCGGTGTCGGGGAGACTCATATTTATCCCACAAGCAATGAAGAGCCACAGTGTAATTTTCCAGTTTGAACTGTATTTTTTTTTTTTTGAGACAGGGTCTCACTCTGTTGCCCAGGCTGGAGTGCAGTGGCACAGTCATGGCTCACTGCAGCCTCGACCTCCTGAGCTCAAGTGATCCTCATGCCTCAGCCTCCTGGGTAGCTGGAACTACAATGCAAGCCACCCTGTTTAGCTAATTTATTTTTATTTTGTAGAGACAGGGTTTCGCCTTGCCGCCTAGACTGGTCTTGAAGCCCTGGCCTCAAGTAATTCTCCTGCTTGGGTCTCCCACAGCGCTGGGGTTACAAGGTTTGGGCTTTCAAAGCATCACTCTGGCTGTAGGGTGGTGAGTGGCTGGTAGGAGATAAATATAAAGCTGGAGTCCAGGCACGGTGGCTCACGCCTGTACTCCCCACACTTTGGGAGGCCGAGGTGCGTGAATCACCCGAGGTCAGGAGTTCAAGACCAGCCTGGCCAACATGGTGAAACCCCGTCGCTACTAAAAATACAAAAAATAGCCAGGCGTGTCCCTGGGGTGCGTCTCAACTATACTACTTAGGAGGCTGAGGCAGGAGAATTGCTTGAATCCGAGAGGCAGAGGTTGCAGTGAACCAAGATTGTACCACTGCACTCCAGCTCGGGCAACAGAGCGAGATCCTGTCTCAAAAAAAAAAAAAAAAAAAAGCTGGGGCCCTGTGTGCTTGGGTGATAGGGCTATGGAGACAGGACATAGTGGACAGAGGCAAGAGGCTTTTTGGAGGCAAAATTGACAGGGCTTTTTGATGAATTGGGTGTGCGTGTTGAGGGAGTAGGAGAGAGAGGTATTCAAGGATTCTACACCCCTATCTCAGATGAGCATAGTGAGGCTCGGGGTGCAGGGGAAGCCCTGAGCCCAAGATCACACAGTCATAATCCAGTGTCTCAACTAGAGCTTCGACTTATGCCTGTCTGCTGTGTAAGCTCAAGCTTTCCTCAACCCCAGACCTCTCTTCTCTGTCTGCACCTCACCCTTGGAGGACATTCTCAGGCTCAAAGACGTAAATAGCATCTAAATGTTTTTTGTTTTTTTTTTTGTAGAGGCAAGGTCATGTTGTGTTGCCCAGGCTCACGCAATCTTCCTGCCTCTGCCTCCCAAAGTGCTGGGACTACAGAGGTGAGCCACTGTGCCCGGCTGGCATCTAAATTCTAACGACTTCGACATGCCCGTATCCAGCCAGAAACCCCTCTGTAATTTTTTTTTTTTTGAGTCTTACTCCGTGACCTAGGCTGGAGGGCAGTGGCGCCATCTTGCCTCATTGCAACCTCCATCTCCTGGGTTCAACGAATTCTCCTGCCTCAGCCTCCCGAGTAGCTGGGATTACAGCCACGTGCCACCACACCCAGCTAATTTTTGTATTTTTAGTAGAGACGGGGTTTTGCCATGTTGGCCAGGCTGGTCTCAAACTCCTGACCTCAGGTGATCCACCCGCCTCGGCCTTCCAATAAGTGCTGGGATTACAGGCGTGAGCCACCATGCCGGGTCCCCTCCTGTAATCTTGCTGCTGGTATCCAGCTGCCTTAGTGAAGTTTCCCCGGGATGCCTTACAGGCATTTCAAAGGCGAAGTGACCAACCCCGAGCTCCTGGTCTTACCCCAAACCTGCTCTCCTGCCGTCTCCCCTATCCCAGTGCACAGCAACTCCAGCTTCCATCGGTTCAAAAGTCCTGCAGTCACCCCGACACTGCTCTCCCTCTCACCTCACACATCCAGCCCAGCAGCAAATCTAGCCAGCTCCACCTTGACCCTGGAATCTGCTTCCCACCCCCTCCTCTGACATCACCCTGGTCCCCATCCCCATCACTGCCCACCTGGGTTACTGCAGCAGCTTCCTCCCGGCCTCCTGCTTCCATCCCACCCCCTCAGTCTAGTCTCAACCTTAAAGTCACAGTGATTGTTAAGACCTAAGTCAGATATTGTTCCTTCTCTGCTCAACAGTCTCTTGTAACTCCCATCTCACTCACAGGAAAGGCCAGGAGAGTCTGCACTATGACTCACAGGGTCCTGCTCCATCTGCCCGCTTCCCTCTCTGCCTTCACCTCTTACCTCTCTTCCCATTGCCCACGTGGCTCCAGCCACACCGGCCTCCCTGCTGTTCCTTGAGCATTCCAGGCACCGTCCTGCCTCAGGACTTTGCACAAGCTGCTGGTTCTGCCTGAAGGGCTCTTCCTCCAGATACGTATGTGCCTCACTACTTTGTTATCTCCTCCAAATCTTTGCTCAAATGTTATATTCTTTTTTTTTTTTTTTGACATGGAGTCTCACCCTGTTGCCTAGGCTCGAGTGCAATGGTGTGATCTCGGCTCACTGCAACCTCTGCCTCCCAGGTTCAAGTGATTCTCCTGCCCCAGCCCTCTGAGTAGCTGGGATTACAGGTGGGAGCCTCCACGCCCAGCTAATTCTTTGTATCTTTAGTAGAGACGGGGTTTCACCATGTTGGCCAGGCTGGTCTCGAACTCCTGACCTCGTGATCCGCACCTCTCAGCCTCCCAAAGTGCTGGGATTACAGGCATGAGCCACTGAGCATGGACAAATGTTACATTCTTATCGGGGTCTTCCCTGACCACCCTGTTTAATGTACCAGTGGCCCCTTTCTGTCTCATCCTTCACATTCCCAGTTGTCCTTATCTTGATTTTTTTTTTTTTTTTTTTTTTTTGGTGACAGAGACTCACTCTGTCACCCAGGCTGGAGTGCAGTGGCCTGATCTCGGCTCACCACAACCTCCAGCTTCCCAGATTCAAGCGATTCTCCTGCCTCAGCCTCCCAAATGCCTGCGATCACAGGTGTGTGCCACCGCACCTGGCTAATTTTTTTATTTTTATTAGTGACGGGGTTTTGCCTTGTTGGCCAGGCTGGTCTCGAACTCCTGACTTCAAGTGATCTGCTCACCTCGGCCTCCCAGTGTGCTGGGATTACGGATGTGAACCACTGCGCTTGGCCTTACCTTGATCTTTTTCTAAAGAAAACATTTCATGATCTTCATTTCTTCCTGTCAATATGTGTCACCATGTGATATTAACTCCTTTCAGCCTAGAGGACTTACTTCCTTAAGCAATTCCTGCGGTCTGTAGGCCATATATTATTTCAGATCTGGCTTATCTGAAAATGCCCTTTTTTCACTTTCATTTTTGAAAGATATTTTCACAGAATATAAAATTCTGGATTGACAGACTTTTCTGCTGCCAATTTTTTCAAATAGTGGAGTAATTTTTAATATTTTGTCCAGATTTTAATTTTTTTTTTGTCTGTGGCACCATTTGTCTGACAAAGTTACTCTGACATTATCCAAAGTTAAAAGAACCTCCATCTCATTATTTTTACTTTATTTTTATTGAGACAGGGTCTCGCTTTATCACCCAGGCTGAAGTGAAATGGCGTGACCATGGCTCATTGCAGCCTCGAATTCCAGGGCTCAAGTGACCCTCGTGTCTCAGTCTCCCAATTTGCTGGGACTACAGGCACGTGCCACCATACCTGACTAATTTTTTTTTTTTTTTTTTTTGAGACAGAGTCTTGCTCTGTTGCCTGGGCTGGAATGAAGTGGCACGATCTTGGCTCACTGCAGCCCCTGCCTCCCAGGTTCAAGGGACTCTCCTGCCTCAGCCTTCAGAGTAGCTGGGATTACAGGCACGCACCACCAAGCCTGGCTAATTTTTGTATTTTTAGTAGAGACAGGCTTTTGCCATGTTGGCCAGGCTGGTCTCGAACTCCTGAACTTAAGTGATCCACCAGCCTCAGCCTCCCAAAGTGCTGGGATTACAGGAATGAGCCACTACGCCCATCTCACGGCTAATTTTTAAATTTTATTTTATTTTTATTTTTTTGAGACGGAGTTTCGCTCTCGTTACCCAGGCTGGAGTGCAGTGGCGCGATCTTGATTCACTGCAACCTCCGCCTCCCAAGTTTAAGTGATTCTTCAGCCTCATGAGTAGCTGGGATTACAGGTGGCTGCCACCACACCCAGCTAATGTTTTTTGTATTTTTAGTAGAGACGGGGTTTCGCCATGCTGGGCAGGCTGATCTCGAACTCCTGACCTCAGGTGATCCGCCTACCTCAGCCTCCCAAAGTGCTGGGATTACAGGCGTGAGCCACTGTGCATGGCCACAAAAACTTGTAATTATTTATTTTTTGTAGAGACGGTCTCACTATGTTGCCCACCTTGGTTTGGAACTCCTGGCTTCAAGCAATCCTTCTGCCTCAGCCTCCCAAAGTGTTGTGATTACAAGCATGAGCCACCACACCTGGCCCCTCCATTTCATTTATTATTTTTCCATAACACTTGTAGTCTTCTAAAGCAGTATATCATGAAGTAAATTTATTATATGTATTACACCTGACATCTCTCACTGGGATGTAAGTTCCATGAGGGCTTGTTTTGTTACACGAGTTATGTCCAGTACTTAGAACAATATTATAGTGTCCAGTGAGCCGAGATCGTGCCATTGCACTGCAGCCTGGGTGACATAAGGAGACTCTGTCTCAAAAAAAAAAAAAAAAAAAGAACAATATTATTGTGTCATAAAAAGCATTCAGGCTGGGCTCAATGGCTCACACTTGTAATCCCAGCACTTTGGGAGGCTGAGGTGGGAGGATCACTTGAAGCCAGGAGTTCAAGACCAGCCTGGGCAACACAGCAAAACCCCATCTCTACAAAAAAGAATTTAAGGCCTGGCAGAGTGGCTCACACCTATAATCCCAGCACTTTGGGAGGCTGGTGGACGGGTCACGAGGTCAGTAGTTCAAGACCAGCCTGGCCAACATGGTAAAACCCTGTCTCTACTAAAAACAGAAAAATTAGCCAGGTGTGGTGGCATGTGCCTGTAGTTCCAGCTACTTGGGAGGCTGAGGCAGGAAAATTGCTTGAACCTTGGAGGTGGAGGTTGCAGTGAGCCGAGATCATACCATTGCACTACAGCCTGGGTGACAGAGAGAGCAAGACTCTGTGTCAAAAAAAAAAAAAAAAAAAAAAGGTAAAAAAATTAGCCAGGCATGGTGGTAAGTGCCTGTAGTCCCAGCTACTCCAGGAGGCTGAGGGGGGAGGATCTCTTGAGCCTAGGAGGTGGAGGCTGCAGTGATCTGTGATTGTACCTTTGCACTCCAGCCTGGGTGACAGAGCATGACGCTGTCTCTAAAAGAATAATAATAATAAGCATTCCATAAAAATTATGGAATGGAGAAATCATGAATGGGGTCTCGGAGGGGACCAGAGGCTGCAGTGACAGGCAACCTGGGGTCCTGACACGTGATCGCTCTTGTTCCAGGAAGATGAACTCTTCCGGATGCCTGTCTGAGGAGGTGGGGTCCCTCCGCCCACTGACTGTGGTTATCCTGTCTGCGTCCATTGTCGTCGGAGTGCTGGGCAATGGGCTGGTGCTGTGGATGACTGTCTTCCGTATGGCACGCACGGTCTCCACCGTCTGCTTCTTCCACCTGGCCCTTGCCGATTTCATGCTCTCACTGTCTCTGCCCATTGCCATGTACTATATTGTCTCCAGGCAGTGGCTCCTCGGAGAGTGGGCCTGCAAACTCTACATCACCTTTGTGTTCCTCAGCTACTTTGCCAGTAACTGCCTCCTTGTCTTCATCTCTGTGGACCGTTGCATCTCTGTCCTCTACCCCGTCTGGGCCCTGAACCACCGCACTGTGCAGCGGGCGAGCTGGCTGGCCTTTGGGGTGTGGCTCCTGGCCGCCGCCTTGTGCTCTGCGCACCTGAAATTCCGGACAACCAGAAAATGGAATGGCTGTACGCACTGCTACTTGGCGTTCAACTCTGACAATGAGACTGCCCAGATTTGGATTGAAGGGGTCGTGGAGGGACACATTATAGGGACCATTGGCCACTTCCTGCTGGGCTTCCTGGGGCCCTTAGCAATCATAGGCACCTGCGCCCACCTCATCCGGGCCAAGCTCTTGCGGGAGGGCTGGGTCCATGCCAACCGGCCCAAGAGGCTGCTGCTGGTGCTGGTGAGCGCTTTCTTTATCTTCTGGTCCCCGTTTAACGTGGTGCTGTTGGTCCATCTGTGGCGACGGGTGATGCTCAAGGAAATCTACCACCCCCGGATGCTGCTCATCCTCCAGGCTAGCTTTGCCTTGGGCTGTGTCAACAGCAGCCTCAACCCCTTCCTCTACGTCTTCGTTGGCAGAGATTTCCAAGAAAAGTTTTTCCAGTCTTTGACTTCTGCCCTGGCGAGGGCGTTTGGAGAGGAGGAGTTTCTGTCATCCTGTCCCCGTGGCAACGCCCCCCGGGAATGATGGAAGACTTCAGCTGGAAGCTGGAAGCCGTCCTTCTTAGTTTGCTTGTGGCCTCTTACCTTGACTGGCTTCTAAAACCCTGCCAAATCCTGCCTCTTCTTTCAGGAAGTCTTCCAGCAACCCCTCATCTAAAGCTCTGTGGTAGAGACAGCTACTTACTCCCCAGTGTCCATTCTTCCCCGCCCCCCCCCCCTTTTTTTTTTGAGATAGAGTCTTGCTCTGTCACCAGGCTGGACTGCAGTGGCGCGATCTCGGCTCACTGCAACCTCTGACTTTCTGGTTCAAGCAATTCTGCCTCAGCCTCCCGAGTAGCTGGGATTACAGGCACGTGCCACCACGCCCAGATAATTTTTGTATATTTTTTAGTAGAGACGGGGTTTAACCACGTTGGCCAGGATGGTCTCAATCTCCTGACCTTGTGATCCGCCTGCCTCGGCCTCCCAAAGGGCTAGGATTACAGGCGTGAGCCACTGCACCTGGCCCATTCTTTCCCTCTCTTTTTCTTTTTTTTAAAAATTTTTTAAAGACAGGGTCTGATTTTGTCACCCAGGCTGGAGCGCAGTGGCAAAATCTCGGCTCACTGCAGCCTTGACCTTCAGGGCTCAAGCCATTCTCCTGCCTCAGGACTCCCCACGCCCCACCCCCCACCTCCCCTCACCCTGCCTAGTACCTGGGACTATAGGCATGTGCTACCTGGGTAATTTGTAGACACGGGGTTTCATCATGTTGCCCAGAGTGGTCTCAAACTCCTGAGTTCAAGTGATCCTCCAGCCTCGGCTCCCAAAACTACTGGGATTACAGGTGTGAGCCACAGCACCTGGCCTCCCCTTTTTTGGTAGTAAAACTCCTGTGTTCTAATGAGGCACGGTGCTTAACTAGAAAAAAGGAAAGACTACATTTCCCAGTATCCTTTGCATGTAGGTACAACCATGTGACTGCTTTCTGACCAATAGGATGTAAGAGGCAGCAATCAATGTAACTTCCTTCAAGGGCCCCTTAAATGGAAGGGGTCTGCCCTCCATTTCCCCATTTCCCCCTTTCTATTGTCCGGAATGCAGATGTATCAGTTACCTTTTGCTGTGTAACAAAAACCTTCCATGTTTAGAGGCTTAAAAATATAAGTTTTTTTTTTTTTTCTGATAGGGTCTTGCTCTGTTGCTCAGGCTGGAGTGCAGTGGTGTGATCACAACTCACTGCCACCTCAATCTCCCAGGCTCAAGTGGTCCTCTCACCTCAGCCTCCTGAGTAGCTGGCATGTGCCACCCCATGCCAGGCTAATTTTGTATTTTCAGTAGAGATGGGGTTTCTCCATGTTGGCCAGGCCGGTCTCAAAATCCTGACCTTGAATGATCTGCCCGCTTCAGCCTCCCAAAGTGCTGGAATTACAGGCATGAGCCACCACACCTGGGCAGAACTACTTCTTTGAATCATGAGCAAGTGGTGTGACAGCTTCTGGATTGCATGACATTTTTCTTTTGCCTCGACCTAGAGCCAAGGGAATGGCCTGTTGTGACCAGGGACCACTGGGACTTCAATCCCCAGAAAGGACTATTCTTTACATGCATCAGTTTGGTTTTGGGGTGTTTTAAGTAACAGAAAACCTGACTCCAACTGGCTTCAACAATAAGGAAATTTATCAAGTCACTTCACACAAGTTCCAGAGGTTGGCAGCATAATTAATAGTTAAGGGGTAGATTCAGCTGTTGCAGGAGAGACACAAAATAACAGTGGCTTCAATGAGCTGGGATTTGAAACCTCCCCTTTCACAACCTGGGTGTAAGCATCTCAGGGCTGGCCTAGGGACTCCCGGGGGACACGGTAGCTTTGCATCAGGGCTGCTGTGGCAGATTACACAAATGGCCCCCGTTCTGCATACCTTCCTGCATGCGTGCTCCTTAGCAATGTCACTCTTTAGATTTTCCCATCAAGGGGTGGAGTCCTTTCCTCACACCTTGAATCTAAGCCAGGCTCGTGACTTGCTTTTTGACCAGTAGCTTGAGTGCTAGTCACCTTGTGCAGAGTTCTGAGCCTCCCCCTCATACTTTCCTTACTCTTGGAACCCTCCCCAACCATCACACGAAAAAGCCAGCCTGCAGGATGATAAGAGCTATGTCTCTAGTAAACATACAAAAATTAGCCGGGCATGGTGGCAGACACCTGTAATCCCAGCTACTTGGGAGACTGAGGCAGGAGAATCGCTTGAACCTGGGAGACAGAGGTTGCAGTGAGGCAAGATCTCATCACTGCACTCCAGGCTGTGTGACTGAGACTCTGTCTCAAAAAAAAAAAAAAAAAGAAAGAAAGAAAAAGAAAATAAAAGAAATGTAAAAGAAAAAAAAAAAAAGCAGCAGCTCTGACTTGCCCTGAGAACTCCACCTCTCAGAGCCTCGGTTGCCCCAAGTCTATAAAATAGAAGCAAGTGTTTCCATCTTCTGGATGAGGAGATTAAATGACACAGTGACTGAGTGCCAGGAAACACAGACGCACCTTAAAAAAATTAACTCCTGTGGGAGGCTGAGCGGGGAGGATTGCTTGAGCCCAGGAATTCGAGACCAGCCTGGGCAACATGATGACACCCCATCTGTACAAGAGATTGGCATGGTGACGCATGCCTGTAGTACTGGCTACGTGGGAGTCTGAGATAGGAGGATCACTTAAGCCTGGGCTGTGGAGGTTGCAATGAGCTGAGATCGTGCCACTGCACTCCAGCCTGGGTGACACAGTGAGTCTCTCTCTCTAACTCTCTCTCTCTCTCTCTGTCACACACACACACACACACAGAAAGAGAGAGAGAGAGAGAGAGAGAGAGAGACCTACCTATTCTGTTGACTAGTGGATCTGATTAAAAATAAATAAACTGGGGAAAGTATTATTTAAAAAAAAAAACTTGAAAGTGATGAGAAATAGTCCTCCCTTTCATTCCAAATCCTCCATTGTTACTTTTTCTCACGAGAAAACTGTTACCAGTTTTTTGTGTATCCAACCCATGCATAAGCACTTTCTTTCTTTCTTTTTTTTTTTTTTTTTTTTTGAGACAGAGTCTTTCTCTGTTGCCTAGGCTGGAGTGCAGCAGTGAGATCTCGGCTCACCGCAGCCTCCGCCTCCCGGGGTTCAAGTGATTCTCCTGCCTCAGCCTCCCGAGTAGCTGGGATTACAGACACCCACCATCATGTCCAGCTAACTTTTGTATTTTTGTAGAGACAGGGTTTCACCATGTTGACCAGGCTGGTCTTGAACTCCTGACCTCAGGTGGTCTGCCCGCCTTGGCTTCCCAAAGTGCCTGGGATTATAGGCGTGAGCCACCGCTCCCAGTGCATAAGCACTTTCAACACAAATAGAGCATGCCATAGCTATGATTCTACATCGTGAGTATTTTCCAAAGAGTATACCTTTGGGACGGCAATACATAAGATATCTAGCACATGACTTTTCAATGGTGGTGGCTAAGTATTCCCTTATATGTATATACTGTGCACGGAAGTAGTGTTCCCTAATCCCCTACTGATGAGTTGCTTTGAATTTGATGCAATGATATTTTTGAAACTTTGAAAATTATTCAATAAAACACACATTCTGAACAATACATAAAGAAAATAGAATGGGGGGAATTTGTTTGATTTATCACTAAGTGAACAACCAGGCAACCCAGCCATAAAACAATGTGGCCACCCCAGGGCTCCCCTCCCACCTCCTCGCCCTCTCAGTCAGTCCTCCATCTCCTTTAAAGATAACTTTTGTTTTGTTTTGTTTTGTTTTGTTTTCTGAGATGGAGTCTCCCTCTGTCATTCAGGCAGGAGTGTAGTGGTGCGATCTCAGCTCACTGCAACCTCCGCCTCCCGGGTTCAAGTGATTCTCCTGCCTCAGCCTCCCTAGTAGCTGGGATTACAGGCATGTGCCACCTCATCTGGCTAATTTTTTTTTTTTTTGTATTTTTAGTAGAGATGGGGTTTCTCTATGCTGGCCAGGCTGGTCTCAAACTCTTGGCCTCAGGTGATCCACCCGCCTCGGCCTCCCAAAGTGCTGGGATTACAGGCGTGAGTCTCCCCACCCTGGCCAATATATTTCAATTAAATATATCAATGCTGATATTTGTCCATCCTCACATTTTGTCGGTCTCTCTCTCCATCTGTCCACGCACTGTAGTACCTCCAGTATGATGAGCAGACAAGACGGGGACATGAGGTCTGGGAAACCCAGGGAGGGAGCCCTCAGCATACCCACTGTGCTGCAAGGGGCACAATGCTCAGAGGTACCTCCCAAAAATGTTGAACTGTGTTAAAGTCGGCGCAGGTAGGACGTCACGATATTTTACCTATTAATTCTTCAGCCTGTATCTTCTAAGAACAAGAGCATTTTCCCTGTAAAATTATAATATTATTATCTCCCTCAAGAACTTTACCATTGGTATTATCTAATAAACAGGCCATATTCAAATTTCCTAACTGTTCCAATAATAAACTTTAGAGCAATTTTTTTTTTTGAGTCAGGTTCTTGCTTTGTTGACCAGGCGGGAGTAGAGTGGCATGGTCATAGCTCCCTGCAGCCTCGAGCAATCCTCCTGCCTCAGCCTCCCAAGTAGCTGGGACGACAGGCATGTGCCATCATGCCCTCATTAAATTTTTTTTTGTAGAGACAGAATCTTGCTATGTTGCCCAGGCTGGTCTTGAATTCCTGGCCTCAAGCAATCTTTCTGCTTCAGCCTCCCGAAGTGTTGAGATTACATGTGTGAGCCGCTGCCCTTGGCATGGAGCATTTTTTAAAAAGCAGGATCCTGCAATGATATTCTCTGCCTCTCCTTGAAAAAAAAAAAAAAAAAAAAGACTATGCATTAGGTCACAAATAAAACATAGGTTGATTCCCCAAAGCAGAGGTAATACAGGCCATATTCAAATTTAGAAATTAATAACAAAAGATGAAAAAAATGCTTCAATTGCCTTGGACATTGCAAAACACCCTTCTAAATAACATCTTGGTTCAACTGTTAATTAAAACTTAAGTTCTACTTCATTTAAAGCACACTACATATAAAAACTTACGGCCAGGCGCGGTGGCTCATACCTGTAATCCCAGCACTTTGGGAGGCTGAGGCAGGCAGATCACCTCTGGTCAGGAGTTCGAGACCAGCCTGGCCAACATGGTGAAACCCCATCTCCACTAAAAATACAAAAATTAGCCAGGTGTGGTGGTGCATGCCTGTAGTCCCAGCTACTCAGGAGGCTGAGGAAGGACAATCACTTGAACCCTGGAGGTAGAGGTTGCAGTGAGCTGAGATTGTGCCACTGCACTCCAGCCTGGGTGACAGAGCAAGACTCTGTCTCAAAAATAAATAAATAAATAAATATTTTTAAAAAATCTTATGAGATGGGGCCAAAGCTGTGCTCAGAGGAAAATCTATAGCTTATTTATTTGTTTTGTTGTTGTTGTTGTTGTTTATTTGAGACAGGGTCTCACTCTGTCACCCAGACTGGAGTATGGTGGCACCATTGCTCACTGTAGCCTCAACCTCCCAGGCTCAAGTGATCCTCCCACCTCAGCCTCCCCAGTATCTCCACCATGCCCAGCTATTTGTTTAATTAATTAATTAATTAATTAATTTATTGGTAGAGATGGGGTCTTGCTATGTTACCAAGGCTGATCTCAAATACCTGAGCTCAAGCCATCGTCCTGCCTTGGCCTCCCAAAGTGTTGAAATTACAGGCGTGAGCCACTGCACTCAGCCTTTAATTTAATTGTAATTAGAAGAGAGAGAGAGAGAGAGAGAGAGAGACAGAGAGAGAGAAAGTCCGAGAGGAAATTAGCAAAGCAAACAATTCAGGAAGAAAAAAAAGCTATAAAATAGTGCACTGAAAGTTGAAAGAAAGCGTTCATAGAGATTAGAGGGAGTTAATTTTAAGTAAAAAATTATGGACAATAGTAAGAAGCTGGTTCTTTGGAAGGAGAAATACTCTTTTCCATGTTCTGTCTCTCTCTCATGTGTGCACACAGGTACACACACACAAAACCAACAATAATATTCTTTTACGTTTGTGTTTGTGTACTTTTGTGAATGCTTCAAGAAGGCAGAAGAGCACAATGGGACACAAGTTGCTTCCACTCTCTGTGCCTCAGTTTCCACCAATGTAAAATGGGGATAATGGCAGTAGCTCCCTGAGAGGGTCCCTGTGAGGATGACTTGCGTTGCCGTGGGTGGGGCGCTTGGCTCCGTGCCTGGCACCGAGGAGGTGCGATGTGTTTGCTGTGATCAGTATCATCCTCTGTTGCATAAATTCCTCCTGGGGAACTGCCGGGTTAGAGGGAGTGTTCGATGTCGCAGACGCCGCCGCGAGCGCTCTGCAAGCCTGTTTCCCACGGCTTCGCCAACGCAGCAACCGCCAAGTCAGCCTCTTTGATCTTTGCCTTCTCAGAGGAGAAAAGTGGGATCCCGGGGAGGTTTTTAATTTGCATTGATTTTCTAATGAATGCGGTTCAGCATTCTTCCAAGGAGGCTCTGCGGTTTTTAGAGCTGGCTGCAGGATCCTCCCTGGGGAGACGTGGTCTTTGCTGGGGCAGAGCCAGGCGCGGTGGTGGAGGTGGGTTTGAGTCTCGGGGAGCGCGCGGGAGCTGGGCACGGCCCCGTGCTTGAGAGGATCTGGCATTTTCCTGGGCAGCCTCGGCGAGAGAGAGTCGTGGAAGGTGAGTTAAGCCTCCGGATTATACTCTGCCAAGCAGGGACTAAAAATTCGTATCCAACAGAATTGCTAAGACAGCTGAAGACTGCGATTCACGCCTTCATCCCTTAAATAATGACAGCTCACAGGTATTGATCGTGACCTAAGTACCAGGCCCTGTCCAGAGCTTTCTAAACATGTGAACTCCCAAAGTCAGCATCACAACCCTGAGGGCGGTGCTGCGATTATTCCCGTTGTACAGAGGAGGAAACTCGAGGCTCAGAGAGGTAAAGTCATTTACCGAAGGTCACACAGCTGGCTGGGTACGGTGGCTCACGCCTGTAATCCCAGCACTTTGGAAGGCTGAGGGGGGCGGATCACCTGAGGTCAGGAGTTCGAGACCAGCCTGGCCAAAGATGAAACCCCCGTCTCTGCTAAAAATACAAACATTAGCCGGGTGTAGTGGTGCATGCCTGTAACGCCAGCTACTCTGGAGGCTGAGGCACGAGAATTGCTTGAACCCGGGAGGCTGAGGCTGCAGTGAGTCGAGATCGTGCCACTGCACTCCAGCCTGGGCGACAGAGTGAGACTCCGTCTTAAAAAAAAAAAAGAAGAAAGTCACAAAGCAAGTAAGTGTAGGATGGGAATTTGACCGGTCTGACTCCATTAACCCATCCAGTTATGTTTACCGAGCGCCTGTCTGGTGAAGGTCACTGTTTTTGGTGTGGGAGAAAGGCAAAGAAGACAAAGATACCTACCTTTGAAGGACTAGCATTCTAGGGAGTAGCACTGACATGCCGGGGGCAGTGGCTAACATTTAAGGGCGAGGGGCTAGCATTTAGGGGGAGTGGATAACTTTAGGAGGCGGGGCTAAAATTCCAAAGGGAGAAACTGATCTTCCAGGGAAAGAAATTGACATTCAGAGGGGAGGGACTAACATCCCAGGGGGAGGAGCTAATATTCCAGGGAGGAGGAGCTAACATTTCAGGAGGAGGGGCTAATATTTTTAGTACAATTATACACTGTTAATCACTACCTCTGTTTCTAACATTTTAGGGTAATTGCATGCTCTTAATCACTACCTCTGATTCTCTCAGGCAATAAAGGAGGGGCCAACCTTTATGAGGGAGGGGGTAATATGCCAAGGGGAGGAACTGACAATCCATGGGAAGAAATGGACATTCTAGGGGGAGGAGCTAACAACGAGGAGGGGCTAACATCGCAGGAGAAAAATTGACATTTAAGAGGGGAGAAGCTAACATCGCAGGAGAGAAATTGACATTTCAGAAGGGAGGAGCTAACATCATAGGAAAGAAATTGACATTTCAGGGGGAGGAGCTAACATTGCAGGGGAGAAATTGACATACAGGAGGAGGGGCTAACATTCAAATAAGGGTGCTAACATTCAGTGGGAGAGGCTAACATTGCAGGGGAGAAACTGACATTTCAGGGCAGGGCTGACACTCTCCATCCTTCAGATTCTACAGCCTCTGCCTCCTTGCTATACCCTGTCCCTACAAGTATTGGCTGAGCTCATAGTAGGTGCAAATCTCTGCCACCCTGGGGATTTGAACATGCCTGAATAGAATGGAGTCTGCCCTCATAGAGCTCGCAGCCTGGGGGCAGACAGTTCTGAACGGAATGATTACACAGAAAGACATTCACCTCCCAGGCAGGAGAGGTAATCACGCGCTCTTAATCACTACCTCCGTTTCTCTCAGGCAATACGGGAGGGGAGGCGGCACCCCCATCGTGGCCTGGTTTGAGATGTTCCCAGCCGTAGGAGACAGACTGTCATCAAGTGTCGGAAAATAGCTGTCATGGGAATCCTCACCTCCTGACACCTTCCCAGCCCCGTGCTCCCGAAACCCTCCCCGCGTGGCTGCAGAGTTGTAGGTTCTGCTCCTGGTGACGGGCAACCCCGTAATCTCCAATGCTCACGGCAGCTCTGCTGGGGCACAGCAGCTCCTGGGGGCCAAGGTCCCAGCCAGGACGTGGATGTCAGGGCCGAGACTGGAATGTAGAACCGTGGGAGTCCAGAGCCCAGGTCCTTCCCCACGAACCACCAGATGTGGTGTGGGTTTCCTGGTTTCCGTTCTTGTTCAAGTGGAATAAAAGGAAAAGGTGGGGGAGTGACAGCCACACCTAATGTCCCCCCACCATGGTGGGGGATTTTTGTCTGTTCCCTTTGCTGCCGTGTCCCCCGTGCCTGGGATGCGCCCAGTGCTGAACGATGCCCCTTTGCACATATACAGTCTCACGCTGATTGATCTGGGTTTACTAAGTGTCAGTGATTCACTCCCTTGAAAATGGGAGCCCCATTTTCAATGTGTGACTCCCATTGTGATCGTAGGTTCTGGGGACCCACAGAGGACAGGCCCAGACCCTGATCTCAAAAACGCCTCAGAGGCCAGGTGCGGTGGCTTACGCCTGTAATCCCAGCACTTTGGGAGGCCGAGGTGGGTGGATCACTTGAGGTCAGGAGTTCAAGACCAGCCTGGCCAACATGGTGAAACCCCATCTCTACTTGTGTGCAAACAGAGCTTGCTGGTCCTCGCACATGGGACAGAATGAGGGACAGGAGCAGGCCACCGGCTTTTCTGGTTTCTGAAGGAGTCTGTTGTGAAATATGCAAGTGCCTTCCGACCATGCGCACCAGGCCCTCTGCCCTGGGGAACAATGTGCTTCACGTTCCTTCATTTTCAAGCTCCTGAATGTTTCCAAACTAAAATGTAAATTTGGCCCCATGTTTTGAGTCTTTGATGTATCCACGGAGCTCCCTCTGAAATGCACTCAGCTCCAAGAGGAGGAAAATCGACCTCTGTCTTCTGGGAACGCATTACAGCGAGGGCTCTTGACCCTGGCTGCACAGCAGAATCTCTAGGGAGAGCTTTTAAAATAAAATCGATGCCCGGGCCCCATCCCCAGACCTTGTGGTTTAAGTGGTCCAGGGTGGAGCTCGGCTCTGGGAATTTCAAGACCTCCCCAGGGATTTCTGCGGGCAGCTGGGCTGAGACCCATCTCTCTGTGGTTGTGAAAATACAACCTCGGGCCAGGCATGGTTGCTCACGCCTATAATCCCAGCACTTTGGGAGGCTGAGGCAGGCAGATCACTTGAGGTCAGGAGTTTGAGACCAGCCTGGCCAACATGGTGAAACCCCGTCTCTACTAGAAATACAAAAGAAAAAAGAAATGCGAGCATGGTGGCTCAAGCCTGTAATCCCAGCACTTCGGGAGGCCAAAGCAGGTGGATCACCTGAATTAAGGAGATCGAGACCAGTCTGGCCAACATGGCGAAACCCCGTCTCTACTAAAAATACGAAAATTAGCCGAGTGTGGTGGTGCACACCTGTAATCCCAGCTACTTGGGAGGCTGAGGCAGGAGAATCGCTTGAACCCAGGAGGTGAAAGAAAGTTGCAGTGATCCAAGATCTTGTAACTGCACTCCAGCCTGGGTGACAAAGCAAGATTCCATTTCCAAAAAAAAAAAAAAAAAAAAAAAGAGAAAAAGAAATACCAAAAAAATTACCCAGGTGTGATGGCACCTGTAATCCCAGCTACTCAGGAGGCTGAGACAGAAGAATCGCTTGAACCCGGAAGGTGGAGGTTGCAGTGAGCTGAGATCGCGCCACTGCACCCCAGCCTGGGCGACAGAGCGAGATTTCGTCTTAAAAACAAAAAAAAGAAAAAGAAAAAGAAAATCCAACCTTGATAGCTCCCAGAGGACTGAGAAAGGCAGCACTGAGTGGTTCAAACCCTGGGGTGCGGATGGGAAACTGGGGTGAAAATGCAAAGACCAGCTTTGTTGTCAATATTCGTTAGTGGTGGTGGGGGTGCTGTGGCTCATGCCTGTAATCCCAACACTTTGGGAGACCATGGTGGGAGGATTGTTTGAGACCAGGAGTTCAAGACCAGCCTGGGCAACATAAAAAGACCTCATCTCTACTAAAAAAAAAAAAAAAAAAAAAATTGCCAGGCATAGTGGCGTGCACCTGTGGTCCCAGCTGCTAGGAAGGCTGAGGTGGGAGGATCCCTTGAACCCAGGAGGTAGAGGCTGCTGTGAGCCACGATCACGCCACTGCACTCCAGTCTGTGTGACAGAGTGAGACCCTGTCTCAAAAAAAAAAAAAAAAAAAAAGAAAACTGTGAACTGTTGCACAAATGTAAGGTTTGATGTTATCTTCTTCCATGTACTGTCAACTCCTTAAGGGTGGGAATGGTGTCTTTTTTTTTTGCTCCCTCCATGGCACCCCCCACCCCCATCCTGCGCTCAACACAGGACTGGGTGTAGAGATGACCTCATAAAACACACTGCACGGTAACTTGCATGGTGGCTTAGCAAACAAGAGGTGCTTAATAAATGGTAGCTAACGACAATGAAAAAAAGTGTTTCCCAAACGTTGACAGCCAAGCCCCAACTGTGGGTTCAGCAGGGGTCAGATGCTGTTCAGAGCGACCCCACCCTGAAGCTCCCTGTCACAGCCGGGAATAAGGGGAGGCAAAGTTGGGGCAGCAGACAGGAGAGTCTGACTTTGCTTAGCGTTCAAGGAAGCCTCAGGGGAGAGGTAGGGAAGTGACACAAAACAGACATGGGAGGCTGGGCGCAGTGGCTCCTGCCTATAATCCCAGCACTTTGGGAGGCCAAGGCGGGCGGATCACCTGAGGTCAGGAGTTCGAGACCAGCCTGGTCAACATGGTGAAACCCTGTCTTTACCAAAAATACAAAAATCAGCTGGGCATGGTGGTGGGCACCTGTAATCCCAGCTACTCGGGAGGCTGAGGCAGGAGAATCGCTTGAACCTGGGAGACGGAGGTTGCAGTGAGCCGAGATTGCGCCACTGCACTCCAGCCTGGGCGAAAGAGCGAAACTCCGTCTCAAACAAACAAAGACATGGGAAAGGGCATTCCAGGCTGGGACCCAGCAGTGCAAACGCGTGGTGCTGCATTTGGGACTATCTTCGAGTTCGCCGTGGCCAAGAATACACCAGGGTGGGCATGGGAGGTGGGTGAGATTTTTTTTTTTTTTTTAAGCCTGGAGGGGGTCAGGTTACATGCAGCCTCCAATGCTCAGTGGAGGGCCTGGGATTCTTATCTTGGGTGGGGGCACAGGGCCACTGGAGGGCTGTGAGGAGAAAGGGACAGGGTCAGCTCTGGGTCCCGGAGGACCCCTCTGAGGACTGGAGGAGAGAGAGAGAAGGCTGGGGTGAGGGTCCAGTGGGGGAGGAAGCCCAGGCAGGGAGGAGGGAGGAAGTGGCCAGGACCCCCCGCCCCCCGGTCTCAAAAAATTGTGGTTTTGAGTGAGACTCTGTCTCAAAAACAGACAGACAGACAGACAAACAAACAAACAGTTGTGGTTTTGCCAAAACCAAAGTTATTTCTTGCGCTCAACCCTTAAGGCAACCAATTTCTGGCTGAGAAAATAGTGCAACACCGCCACTATGTGGTTATTTGGAGTTTTGCAGCCAAGAATTTGAAAGTAAAGCCAGCCTCCAAATCGGGAAGCTTTTGAGAACTTCAGGAGGGCACTATTGCCACTGACGCTAAAACATTAGCCTAAAATGTTGGTGATCCACAAAACTTCTATTAATTCGAGATAAAATTATAGTGCAACTATGAATGTTTATTACTGAAATTTGGGGCCAAGCGCGGTGGCTCACACCTGTAATCCCAGCACTTTGAGAGGCCGAGGCGGGCAGATCACTAAGTTAGGAGTTCAAGACCAGCCTGGCCAACATAATGAAACCCTGTCTCTACAAAAAATGCAAAACTTAGCCAGGCGTGGTGGCGGGTGCCTATAGTCCCAGCTACTTGGGAGGCTGAGGTAGGATAATTGCTTGAACCTGGGAGGTGGAGGTTGCAGTGGGCCGAGATCGCGCTAGTGCACTCCAGCCTGAGTTTAACAGAGCGAGACTCCATCTCAAATAAAATACAATAAAATAAAAAGAAATTGGTGAGGCCGGGCACAGTGGCTCATGCCTGTAATCCCAGTACTTTGGGAGGCTGGGGCAGGTGGATCACCTGACGTTGGGAGTTCGAGACCAGCCTGACCAACATGGAGAAACCCCATCTCTACTAAAAATACAAAATTAGCCAGGCGTGGTGGCGCATGCCTGTAATCCCAGCTACTCGGGAGGCTGAGGCAGGAAAATTGCTTGAACCCAGGAGGTGGAGGTTGCAGTGAGCTGAGATTGCACTGTTGCACTCCAGCCTGGGCAACAAGAGCAAAACTCTGGGAAGAAGGAAGGAAGGAAGGAAGGAAGGAAGGAAGGAAGGAAGGGAGGGATGGAAGGAAATTTGTTGGGCTTTTTCAGGAAAACCTAGCACGTGCAGTCAACCCTACTCCAAAGCTGGCTTTTCAGATATTGAGCTGAAATGAAATTGCTTTTGACTAGATGAGAAGGTAGGTGAAATGCAATTGAAGGTGGAAGTGTCCCCCAGGGCATTGACCTGAGGATGCTGGAGGTAGAGGCAGGGGGTGGGGGAAGGGCGCTAAGCAAGGGGGCTGCTAGCGAACTGCCTGTGGGGGCGGGTCTGCACATTTTTATAGGAAGGGACATTGCTGGTGGGTGTTGAAGGTTAAATAGGAGTTTGTTAAGAAAAGAGGCTGAGCACAGTGGCTCACACCTGTAATTCCAACACTTTGGGAGGCTGAGGTAGGAGGATTGCTTGAGGCCAGGAGTTAGAGACCAGCTTGGGTGACATAGTGAGACCCTGTCTCTAAAAAAAATTAAAAAGTTAGCTGGGCATGGTGGTGAACACCTACAGTCCCAGCTACTCAGGAGGCTGAGGCAGGAGGACTGCTTGAGCCTGGGAGTTCAGGGTTGCAGTGAGCTATGATCATACCACTGCACTCTAGCCTGGGCAATAGAGTGAGATCTCATCTCAAAAAGAAAAGAAAAAAGAGGAAGATGTGTTGATACAGTATGACAGTGATGAAGATGATGACGATAACTACAGACCCACTGCAGCTGACAAAGTGCATTCACATTTTGGATCTCTGGCTGCCCTGGCTGTGGTTTTTTGGGGCCCATTGGACAAAGATTTTCGCCTTTGTCTGATGGAGAAGAAATCACGGGATCAAGGGAAATAACAAATCCGAAGTACACAGCAGCCTGTGTTGGTGCCGGGTGCTCAATGTGCCCTGCTTGTTCTTCCCTCTGTGCCCTTACACCAGGTTGAAATGTTCTTCCTCTTCTTGGAATTTCCCCACAGACTCCTACTCATCCCTGAAAACCCAGCGCAGATTCCCAGCTCCTAGCCTCAAACCTGCGAGGGTGGGTCCTCACCACTCTCCTACCTCAGACCCTGGAGTCCGGACCCCCACCCCACTCCCTTCTGAAACACAGAGCCCCAGGTGTGGTGTAGGCCCGAGGCCGGGCGCAAGGGCAGTGGGTCGGCGGAGCAGGATGTGCGGATTCAGTTACATTTATCTGGCCTCAGAGCGATGGCAGAGGGAGAGGCAGGGCTCTTGTGCGGGGAGGTCCTGTGTCTTCTCACTGCTGAGCCTGAGAGAGGAAAACAGGGACATATACAGAGATGTGGGAGAGAAAGAGAGACCAAGATGACAGAACTGGACCAGGGAGACAGAGACTCAGCCCCCACCTCCGCTCTTCTCCCGCTCACCTTGTTGAAGAAATAGATGGAGGTCAGGATGGTGAACAAGGCCATGGCCAGGGTCACATTCTGGGGGGGAGATCAGAGGTCAGGACCCTTCCCCTCCCTGCCCTCTGCCCAGCCCCAGGCCTCCCTTCCCTGCCAGACCCCTCCTCACTTCCTGAAAGTTCATGGCCTTGGGACTCCAGCCACCCCTTGGTTGGTCTTCTCTCTCTTTCCTGGGCCTCTGAGCCAGAGGGGGGAGAAGCCACTGGAACTCCGAGAGGGGGTTGTCGGAGAGACCAGAATGGTGGCCATGGCAACGGGGAAAGGGCATTCTGGTAGAGGGGACAGGCAGGGGCATAGGGCAGATACAGACCCTGGTGTGGCCCGCCACATGTGGTGTCTGAATGTGACATCGGGACGTGTGAGATTGGAGAGTCTCAACCCTGAACACCATACTGAGGTGTTTGGGTTTTGCCCCGGAGGGTGCTGGGGAGCCATGAGAGGGTTGAGAGCAGGGGAGGGACCAGGTCAGTTCTGGGTATAGAAATATCTCAAAACAGGAGCCTGCAGGCCAGGAGAACAGTAAGGGAGGCCCAGGCAAAATTTCCTCCTCCAGATGGGAGGATCACTTGAGCCCAGGGGGTTGAGGCTGCCATGAGCCAAGATCACGCCACTGCACTCCAGCCTGGGCAAGAGTGAGATCCTGTCTCCACAACTAACAACTAAGAAAAAATAAAATAAAATACATATGATACATTTGTGAGATACCTATTTACCTATCTATCGCTACCACAAAAATGGGGACTATACAATCTGCTACTCAGGTAGCTATTTGCGTTATTTGTGGCAGATATAGTCTCGCTATTTTTGGTAGTTATGTTGTACAACTGTGAACACTTATTGGGGAAATATATGTGTGTGTGTGTATATGTATACACACACACACACACACACACACACACACACACACACAAACACATATATATAGGGTTGGGTGCAGTGGCTCATGCTTGTAATCCCAACACTTTGGTTAAGTGAGACAGTAGAATTGCTTGAGCCCAGGAGTTCAAGGCCAGCCTGGGCAACATTGTAAGACCCCATCTCTTTAAATATATATAAATATAGGCCAGGTGCCGGTGGCTCACACCTGTTTTCCCAACACTTTGGGAGGCCGGGGCGGGAGGATCACCTGAGGTCAGGAGTTTGAGACCAGCCTGGCCAACATGGCGAAACTCCATCTCTACTAAAAAACAAAAAAACAAAAAAATTAGCCGGGCATGGTGGTGCACGCCTGTAGTCCCAGCTATTTGGGAGGCTGAGGCACCAGCAACACTTGAACCCCAGGCGGAGGAGGTTAAATTGAGCCGAGATTGTGCCACTGCACTCTAGCCTGGGCAACAGAGCGAGACTCCATCTCAAAATAATAATAATAAATAAAAATAAATAAATAAATAGAAAATAAATAGAAAAATATATACTTTTATTAATGAAGCAATGGGTCCTTATTTGCTGATTCAGTGGTCACAGTTATACAACATCGCTACTATGAATAACAAGAATTGATTGTAAACACGGTACCTCACGGCACTACCCAGAACATTCCAGAAGGCAACACATTCTGCAGAGCAAACGGCACCGTCTCTCCAACAAATCCATGCCACAGTGCAAAACAAAAGCAAGTAGCCTTGCTATATTTGAAAAAAATCCGTTAAGAGACACAAGACCAGCTTTGAGGGGTGATCCTGGACCGGGTTTTGGCTTGGACAAAACAAGTTATAAAGGCTCTTTGTGGGTGGAGGCCGAGGTGGGCGGATCACCTGAGGTCAGGAGTTTGAGACCAGCCTGGCCAACATGGTGAAACCCTGTCTCTACTAAAAATACAAAAATTAGCCAGGTGCAGTGGTGTGCACCTATAGTCCCAGCTACTCAGGAGGCTCAGGCACGAGAATCATCAGAACCCAGGAGGCAGAGGTTGCAGTGAGCCGAGATCGTACCACAGCACACCAGCCTGTGTGACAGAGTGAGATCCTGTCTCAAAAAACAAAACAAGACAAAGTCTCTTTGGGGAGAAACGGAGGGACATTTGAATAGGGAATGGGTATCAGACAAGACGAAAGCACTACTGCCAAGGAGAAGAGGAGGTTAACTGAAAGACGCAGGTTACAAAATTGCAGGTTCTGTATGATCTCATTTTGGTAAGAAGTACATACATGAAAAACTGCATTTAAACATCAGGTTTCACTCTGTCGTCCAGGATGGAGTGGAGTGACAGAATCAGGGCTCACTGCAGCCTCGACTTCAGGCTCAAGCGATGAGTGGCTGGGACTACAGGCATATGCCACTACACCTGGCCAGTTTTTTGGTATTTTTAGTAGAGATGGGGTTTCACCATGTTGCCCAAGCTGGTCTCAAACTCCTGGATTCAAGTGATCTGCCCACCTTGGCCTCCCAAAATGACAGGATTACAGGTGTCAGCCACCATGCCTGGCCCAGTTATATTGATTTTAGACTTCCAACCTCCAGAACTGTAAGGGAATAAATGTGTGTCATTTTAAGCCACTGAGTGGTAACTTGTCACAGCAGCCAATACATCAGTAGATAGGAAAGTGCTGACATCTCCAGGGGCTAGAACGTGGTTTCTAGTTTCTTAATTTTGCTTCAGGATTTTTTTCTCTTTTCTGTTTTTTTTAGAGACAGGCTCTTGGTTTGTTGTCCAGGCTGTAGTGCAAAGGCACAATTACAGCTCACTGAAGCCTCAAATTCCTGGACTCACGTGATCCTCCCATCTCAGTCTCTTGAGTAGCTGGGACTACAGGCAGATGCCACCATACCGTGCCTGGCTAATTTTTGTTTATCTTTTATAGAGATGGAGTCGGGTGCGGGGGGTGGGTCTCACCATATTGGCCAGGCTGGTCTTGAACTCCTGGCCTCAAGCAACCCTCCCACCTTGGCCTCCCAAAGTGCTGGGATTACAGGTGTGAGCTGCCAGCTCCTGGTCTGGCTTAAGCCTCCAGCCCTTCTACTTCTTTATTCCAGGGGCCTCTACCCTATTTCAAGTACGAGGAGAGACAGAGATTCACAAAACTTTTGTATCTGGTGCAGGGGCTCACACCTGTAATCCCAGCACTTTGGGAGGCCAAGGTGGGAGGATTGCTTGAGCCCAGGAGTTTAAGAGCAGTCTGGGCAACACAGCAAAACCCTGTCTCAAAAAACAACAAAAACCTAGGACAGGACTGGAGGCTGACTGTGCGCAGTGAGGCAGGAGAGCCAGCCAGCCCCAGGTGGTGCTGCGAAGTGTAGATTTTATTAGCATTGTGGGATGGTGAGGCCGCCTGAGCAGCAGACGATTGCCATTGAAAGATGACTTGTTGGCTGGGCATGGTGGCTCATGCCTGTAATCCCAGCATTTTGGGAAGCCGAGGCGAGTGGATCACCTGAGGTCAGGAGTTGAAGACCAGCCTGGCCATATATATATATATACAAAAATTAGCCGGGCATGGTCGCGTGTGTCTGTAATCCCAGCTACTAGGGGGGCTGAGGCAGGAGGATCGCTTGAACCTGGGAGGTGGAGGTTGCAGCAAGCTGAGACTGTGTCACTGCACTCCAGCCTGGGAAACAGAGTAAGACTACATCTCAAAAAAAAAAAAAAAAAGGAAAGAAAAGAAAAAAGAAAGAAAGGAAGATGACTTGTTATACTCACAGCTTCCCCAGAGGAGGGGGCATGCCACAGGGGCCACATGGGGACGCACCAATGGTGCCCAGGAGGTAGACCACGAGCAAGCGGCTTCCTTGTGTTTTCTGTGGGATAAGGTAGGGTAAAGAGTGGCTGGTTGCGCCATTTCAGCAGGCTCTGGGGCACAGGGGCTGTCCTGAGTTGTCCGATACCCTGCCCCGGGTGATCAGGGCAGGTGGATGGTGGCCTGGGTGGTGGGTTGGCTGGTTTGTACAGGAGAGGCATGCGCTTGGGCCAGTCCCTGACTATCTCCAGGAACTGGTAACCCTGGGAGGGGTGGTCCTTCTACGATCAGCAAGGCCCCTGATGTCAAAGCATCAGAGTACAGAAAATCAAGCACATAGTTACTATCGTCAGCCTCTGCAACTCAGGGGGTCAAGACTGTTGCTGAGACGAACAATGTGGGGTGGGGGTCTCTGTCCAAGTCTGCAACCAGGTTAAAGGCACCTGTGTTCAAATCGCAGCTTTGTCTGAGAAATCTGTGTTTTCTCAGGCCAGTTAGGGAACCCTTCTGTGCCTCAGTTTCCCCATCGGTACAATGGGGATGGTGGTAAGCACATCAGTGTCTCCTGGGGCAGCGATGAAGATGAAACGAAGATGAAACGGGTTAATCCAAGGCTGGCAGAGGCGCTGGGGAATGGGATCTGTGGCCCCTGGGGGAGCGTGCCAGGGCCTGCTATAATGGGGGTGCTGAGTGCAGGGCTGGGACAGGCGGGGCTGCGGCCCAGACAGTGGGCTGAGCTCAGCGTCTGGGCTGGGTGGAAATGGCCGGCCTGGGGTTTTGGGGCCACCCTGCTGGACCTCTCCTGCTGCTGCTGCTGCTGGTGCTGCCACCCCGGGCCCTGCCAGAAGGACCCCTGGTGTTCGTGGCTCTGGTGAGGCGCCCCCACCCCGGCCTGCCCTTAGCTCCCCCAGGGCTAGCCCTGACCAGTCCTGTCCCCAGGTATTCCGCCATGGCGACCGGGCCCCGCTGGCCTCCTACCCCATGGACCCACACAAGGAGGTGGCCTCCACCCTGTGGCCACGAGGCCTGGGCCAGCTGACCACGGTGAGAAGCGGGTAGGCGGTGAGGGCAAGGGTGGGAGGGGTGGGGAGTGGTAGGCTGAGGCTGTTCTGTCCCCAGGAGGGGGTCCGCCAGCAGCTGGAGCTGGGCCGCTTCCTGAGGAGCCGCTACGAGGCCTTCCTGAGTCCGGAGTACCGGCGGGAGGAGGTAGGGCCATAGTGACCCCCACCTGGCCCCCTGACCTCCCACCTGTGACCTCCACTGACTACAACGCTCTCTTTGGGCCTCCACCTCTGGCCTTTGACCTCCATCAACCTGACTTGCCCTCTACCTCTAATCTCTGACCCCCGATACACTGACTAACCCACACTGACTTCTGACCCCATCTCAACCTGTCACATCTCGACCTCTGACCTCCATCAACTCTGACTTTATTTTCTGGCCTCCATCTCTGTTTTCTAAGTCCCATTGACTCCAGTCAGACCTCTGGCCTCTGACATTTGACCCCAAACTTGATTTCGATCTTTGACCCTTGTTGACGTAACTTGCCCTCTTGACCTCTAACCTTTAACCTCTACGCTTTATCAATTCTGACCTACCTTTTCTGTCTCCTCCTATGTCTTCTGACATCCCCCAGCTACAGACAGTCCTCCTAACCTCTGAAGAACATGTATTGAACTCTGACTCCAAGTCCTCCAAGCTGCCCTCCTAAACTTGACCTCTAACCTCCAGCCTCTACTGATTCTGATCTTCCTTTTTGACCCTCATTGACTCAATTGACCCCCTAAATCCAACATGGCTGTCCAGCTTAGGACGTCCAGCCCAACTGCTCCTGACATTAGCCTCTGGACCCTTGATCCCAACTTCCAACTTCGAAGGCCACATGATTCTCAGTGTCTGACCCCTACTCCAAAGTGAATCTGAGGCTTCTGATTTGCCACGACAGCTGACCTCTGTCCCCAACCACGACCCCCCGCGTGCCCTCTCTCCACCCCGCTCCAGGTGTACATCCGCAGCACGGACTTTGACCGCACGCTGGAGAGTGCCCAGGCCAACCTTGCCGGGCTGTTTCCCGAGGCTGCTCCAGGGAGCCCCGAGGCCCGCTGGAGGCCGATCCCGGTGCACACGGTGCCCGTGGCTGAGGATAAGGTCAGGGGGCTGGACCCACGTGTGGCGAGGGAGGGAGCGGGTGGAGAGAGAGGCAGCTCTGGGTCTGGCCGCCTGAGCTGGCTCCGAGAAGCAAGACTGTCCTCGAGCTGGTCTGTCCAGACCAGGGTGAGCCCCGGCCCACGCTGCTCTCCTGGATCTGGGAGAAACTGCGACAAAGACGCAGGGGCCGAGAGCCCGGGTTCCCCCGACCCGCTGTGAGACCCAAGGCAAGGCACACGGCTGTCCTCTCTGAGACTCAGTTTTCCCCAGCTGCTGAGGTTCCCCATGCGCAGCTGTCCCCGATACCACGAGCTGCTGCGGGAGGCCACCGAGGCCGCCGAGTACCAGGAGGCCCTGGAGGGCTGGACGGTGAGCAGGGCGGCGGTGGGGGGCGGGATGCAGGGGATGGGCCTGGGCTCACCCAGCCCCGCGCATCCAGGGCTTCCTGAGTCGCCTGGAGAACTTCACGGGACTGTCGCTGGTTGGAGAGCCACTGCGCAGGGCATGGAAGGTTCTGGACACCCTCATGTGCCAGGTGAGCCCTGCCCCTTCCCAGCCAAGGGTTTAAGGACACCTGTTTCCAATCCCAGCTTGCTACTCACTAGCTGTGTTCCCTCAGGCATGTAGTTAATCCTCTGTGCCTCAGTTTTCCCATCTGCACAGTGGGGATGGCAACACCGGTATCAACACCTCCCCAGGACGCTGTGAGGATTCAAATGGGTTAATCCACGCACTGTGCTTACAATAGTGCCTGGTGTACAGTGAGGGCCTTGCCAGGGTTTGAGGCTACACATTTGGCAACTCCTCCCCACAGTCCTATAATCAGAAAACCCAAAACCTGGGCAGCGGGAGCTGACCTGAAATGATGCAATGCTTTTTTTTTTTTTTTTTTTTTTGGAGACAGGATCTCACTCTGTCACCCAGGCTGGAGTGCAATGGCATTATCATAGCTCACTGCAGCCTCCATCTCCCTGGCTATAGGAATTCTCCTGCCTCAGCCTCCCAAGTAGCTGAGGCAGGCAGGGGCACACCATCATGCCTGGCTAATTAAAAAAAAATTAATTTTTTGCAGAGATGGGGTCTATGTTGCCCAGGAACTCCTGGGCTCAAACAATCCTTTCGCCTCCCCAAGAGCTGGGATTACAGGCGTGAGCCACCATACCCAGCTAGTACTCTTGCTAGTCTTTGCTCACTCCAGCTCACGGGAATGTTCTGAATCGCAGGGTGGGAGCAGTGATGTGTGTGACTAAGGGGGCTGCCCCGGCCCTTGCTGTGTGTGTTCCATGCTGTGTGGTGTCAGCACCATCAGACCTTTCTAAAGTCCAGAATGTCTGAGCTGTGAAATACCTCTGGCCCCAGGGGTTTCAGATAAAGCCTTCTGGGCTGTGTAATGACGATGTCTATTATTAACTAATAATCGCTGTTGGCTGGGTGTGGTGGCTCACACCTGTAATCCCACCACTTTGAGAGGCTGAGGTGGGCAGATCACCTGAGGTCAGGAGTTTCAGACCAGTCTGACCAACACGGTAAAACCCCGTCTCTACTAAAAATAAAAAAAAAAAATTAGCCAGGAATGGTGGCACACACTTGTAATCACAGCTACTTGGGAGGCTGAGGCAGGAGAATCACCTGAACCCGAGAGGCAAGGGTTGCAGACAGCCAAGATTGCGCTACTGCACTCCAGCCTAGGTGATGGAGCAAGGCTCCGTTTCAAAACAAAAAACAACAACAAAAAAACACTGTTATCCACATCATGATTTCCCAGCCAGATCCAGATCCGGCCCATGGGGGGACTCAGAAGAGCAGGGGGCAGCACAGGCCTGCGGGGCCAGAGGCAAACTCGAGGGCTCAGGATGGTCCATCTGTCCTGTCTCCCCACAGCAAGCCCACGGTCTTCCACTACCAGCCTGGGCCTCCCCAGATGTCCTGCGGACTCTTGCCCAGATCTCGGCTTTGGATATTGGAGCCCACGTGGGCCCACCCCGGGCAGCAGAGAAGGCCCAGCTGACAGGGGGTGAGGTGTGGGTCTGGGAGGCTGGGGTGCCTTCCTCTGGGAGAGTCTAAGCTCTTTTTTCCCATCCTCAGGGATCCTGCTGAATGCTATCCTTGCAAACTTCTCCCGGGTCCAGCGCCTGGGGCTGCCCCTCAAGATGGTCATGTACTCAGCTGTGAGTCCTTGGGAAGCAGTGCCACATGGCACTGAGGCACAGGGATGAGGGTGACAGCGATTTAGGTGAGGAAGAGCCTGTGGTCCCAGTGGATCTCAGCCCACTGCCTGGGGTAACCCGTATCTCCAAACCCTACTCTCAGGCTCTACCATTAGTCTGGAAAGAGGGAGGTGACGGTGTTATGGGAGGAAGAATTTATGAATAAATATAATTCCTTGTTTTCTTTAAGAAACTATGATTGGACTAAGCAGTCTGTCCTTCCGGAGGAGAAAGGCTGCTTAGTCCAATCATATTTTGCACCTACTTGAGCAATCTTTATTAAGTGGCCGCCTGCAAATGTTGGTACTGCCTTCAGGATGGGAGGAAGGAGTAGCTTTGGGGGGTTGGTTCTAAGAAGCCTGGGGGACATCTGGATGCGCAAGTGTAGTGCTCAGGAGAAAGGCCTCCAGAGAGAAGTGCCGTCTCAGCCCTCGGGTCCACCTGCAGCATGACAGCACCCTGCTGGCCCTCCAGGGGGCCCTGGGCCTCTATGATGGACACACCCCGCCATATGCTGCCTGCCTCGGCTTTGAGTTCCGGAAGCACCTGGGGAATCCCGCCAAAGATGGAGGGTGAGAATGGTTTGGTGCCCAGGGACATGGGTGGGACAGAACTCTCAAAGCAAGGGGTGATGTGTCAGGCAGAGGGCATGGCCAGGTGGGGAGCTGCATGGGATGATGCTGGGAGGATGACAGGTGGGAGTCAGAAGCCCTTTTCTCCAGGCTTTAAGATCAATGACAGGAGGGAGGAGGTGCCACCATGTCCTCTCTCTCCAGGAATGTCACCGTCTCCCTCTTCTACCGCAATGACTCCGCCCACCTGCCCCTGCCTCTCAGCCTCCCCGGGTGCCCGGCCCCCTGTCCACTAGGCCGCTTCTACCAGCTGACTGCCCCGGCCCGGCCTCCCGCCCATGGGGTCTCCTGCCATGGCCCCTATGAGGCTGCCATCCCCCCAGGTGACAGTCCTCTGTGTTGGGGTGGGAGTGGAGGGTTGCCAAGTCCTGGCACTCACCCCCCGCGTGTTCTCCCTGCAGCTCCAGTGGTGCCCCTGCTGGCCGGAGCTGTAGCTGTGCTGGTGGCACTCAGCTTGGGGCTGGGCCTGCTGGCCTGGAGACCAGGGTGCCTGCGGGCCTTGGGGGGCCCCGTGTGAGCCAGAAACCAGGGCTTCCCTACCCCCAGCTGACACTGGACCCCAACATGTATGCTCAGTAGCTGCTCTGGCTTCTGTGACTTACTGTGCGCCTGTGTGCATGGGGAGCGAGGGCTGTGTGGAGTCTCCGGCCTGGAAACTAGTTTGTGTGTGCATGTGTCTGTGTGACGGTGGCATGAGTGTGCATGCATACGTGTCACATGTGTGAACAGTTTCTGCACTTAGACGCGTGCACAGGTGGTCTGTACGTACATGCTGGTAAAAAACATGTCTGTGACACACATTCAAGCACAAATGTACCCATGTCTGAACAAGCAGGCATGCCTGCATGGCACTTTTCTTGTAGAGACAAGGTCTTTGTGGCCCAGGCTGGAGTACTGGCATGAGCATAGCTCACTGCAGCTTTGAACTCCTGTCTCAAGTGACCCTCCTGTTTCAGCTTCTACAGGCGTGCACAATGCCTGGTTAATTTTGTTTTCTTGGTATGTTGGCCAGGTTGGTCTCAAATTCCTGGCCTCAAGCAATCCTCCTGCCATGGCCTCCCAAAGCACTGGGATTACAGGTGTGAGCCACCACACCCAGGTGGTATGTTTATGCACCTTTCCATATGAGCACTGGAAGCAGGTAGGCTGGCTGAGGACATGGTGGACCCTGTACGTACCTCCACTTGCAGCTTGTGACAAGGCCTTACTCAGTGAGCCTCAATGTGGACCATGTGCTCTGTGGAGACCAGGCTCACAGGAGTTGGACCCTCAAGTCTGGTTATTTGGTGACCTCCATAGCTCTCAATGCAACCATGAACTTGGGTAGAGTCAGAGGGATCTGGCAGCAGACCTGAGAAAGGTGCACGATTCAAAGCCTGGTTTCCGAGGCTGTGCGCCTCTGGGCAAGTGATAGGCCCTGATGTGTCTCACTTGGCAGAACCACGACTCTAACCCAGTGGACTCCACAACTCCAAAAATTAACTTCCTAGGGACAGGTAGAGAGCAGGGAAAACCGATGACACTCTCGGCTGTGCACTGTAACTGCTACAAGTAATGTGGAGGCGCTGGCCAATACAGTAGCCATGACCATGTATGGCTATTTAAATTTAGGTTAAATAAAATGGAGTGTTCAGCTCCCAACCATCACATGGGCCACACATCCACCACTGCAATCATTTCTCAGATGCTGATGAGAGCTACTCCTCCCACACTCATGCAGCAGCAGGCGCTGTGGAGCACCTGCACGGGTGCCCTTTGAGCCCCTGGCCCCCCAAGGGGAGGCTCCCATAGTGTGGCCTAGAGCAGAGCGCCCGCCCCTCCCAGGCCTTGCCCCACACCCATGGCTGTGTGGCACTGTCTAACCAGGGAACCCGTAGGGAGCCCTGGTACAGTGGATGCTTAATAACAGCCACTTGGCCCCCATTAGATGGGGCAGTCGGAGAAAGGTTCAAAGCCATTCCCAGTGACCCAGGACCTAAAAAAGGCACAGGATCCAGAAACGCCAGGGAGTGGAAGCTGGGACAACCCTTCCTCCACACAAGGGCCACCTGCATACTGCCCTAGCCCATTTCTTCCCAGGGTGCTGAGGGCAGCCTCTCATGCAGACTCATCCCTGGGGAGTCCCCAGACCTGCCTCACTGCCCTACCCGGCATTCCCTAGAGGAGCTGGGTGGTCATGGGCCACCCCAGATGGATGCCAGGAGCCACGACCCTGGGAAGGCTGAGGAATGAACACCCCTCACACTTTCTGGCCCTGGGAGGGAGCCTGGCTTCCTTGCAGGTTCATGGAGACCCCAAGTGCCAGGTGGGGTTACCTGTGGCTGTGACCAACTCCCACCTGGTGGCAAGAGCCCACCCTTTCCCAGCAGCCTGCTGGAAGGACCTGTTCAGAGCTGGGGGCCTGCTAGTGGGCAGAGGCCTGGGTGGCTCCCCCTGGACGCAGCTCAGCAGCTGAACCCACAGAGGATGAAGCACCAGAGTTTGGAGTGTTCTGTCCGCTGTTTAACAGGGGCCCCTGTGCCCAAGGCCTCAGCTGTGAGGTCAGAACTGCTAGGGCTCAGTGAGTCCTCACAGAGCTGTCACCTGAGATTCCGGCCCCAGCACACCCTAAACCCAGACCAACACAGAAGCCACACACAGCAAAAGCAGACCCATCAGAAGGGACTGGCTGCCCACAGCACACAGCCAATGCACGCTTTCAGAGAAGGCATAGCAACAGAGACCTTAAGAGAAAACCCGTGACAGGCCAGGCATGGTGGCTCACACCTGTAATCCCAGCACTTTGGGAGGCCGAGGTGGGCGGATCACCTGAGGTCATAAGTTTGAGACCACCATGGCCAACAATGGTGAAACCTCATCTCTACTGAAAATACAAAACTAGCCAGGCGTGGTGGCAGGTGCCTGTAATCCCAGCTACTCCGGAGGCTGAGGCAGGAGAATCACCTGGACCCAGGAGGTGGCGGTTACAGTGAGCTGAGATTGCGCCATTGCACTCCAGCCTGGGCATCAAGAGCAAAACAGTCTCAAAAACACAAAACAAACCAATCCTTATAAAAACGGAGTAAAAGCTTCAAGATGCTTTTATGTCAAGGGTGTGGGGTTGCCCTGCTTGGCCTGCAGTGCTTTGGGGCCCCATGTGGTGGAGGGGTGGGCACCCATGGTACCCACCCACCCTGCTGCCTGGGCAGAAGTGCAACATGGCACACGATGCCTGGGGGATCACTCCCCCCAGGGACTCATGGTCAGTGTCCACTCACAAGGCCTGCTTCCCTCATGACATCTGGCCAGTGACACCCACAGGGGAGGTTGGGGGCAGACACCCTTCTCTTCCGGTACCCTTGAACATGGTGTCAGGGTGTGGCTAGCTCGACGGACACCGAACAGCTCCACAGGGAGGGTAGTGCCCAAGGCTTTTTGCCTCCCCTACCATGTCCCGCACTTCCTGAATGCAGCTCAAACCAGGAGCAGCTCCCCCAGGATTCTGGCCTGCTTCACCCCTGGAGCACCAGGCCAGGCGGTGTCTGTCCTTGAGAGCCAGGCCCAGGTCTCACGGTGGCGTATGGACAGCTCCTCCCCATAGGCCTGGTCACAATAGGGAAGCGGGGGTGGCTCCTCCCCTAGCCTGCAGGAAGCCCTTGGTAGCCCACTTATCCACCTTCTCCTGGGTGTGTGGCTCAGCAGCCAAGTCCTTGTGCACTGGGTTGGGTCCCAGCATGAGCCTGGTGGCCTGGCGGGCCCTGGCACCATGGAGAGCAGCCTGCTGCCAGTGATGGCCTGGATCTCCAAGACGGCCTCCAGCACTGTCATGCCCTTGACCAGCTAGTGCTGGTACAGGACCTGGGTAACAGGCATGTCCTTGGGCGTCACTGGCTCAGGGGCAGAGGACGAGGTTGAGGAGGAAGCTGGATACCCCTGTCCATGGTGGGCTGGGGCTGGAAGGGTGGCTCAGTGGCCTCGAAGTGCCGGGAGGACTCCCAGCTGGCACCAGGCCATCAGCAGCCGGGTGGGCAGTGCCGTGCTGCTGTTGCCCTCAGGGCCTTGCAGTGGTAGCTGAAGATGGCACCTTATCAGGTTGGATCAGGTCACCCGGCAGCAGCAGCTCTCGAGAGCTGAGGCACAAGGCAGGGGCCCGGCTGTACACCTGCAGGACCCAGGAGAGCCTGTTGCAGTTCTTGCCCGAAGCGCCGAGATAGCCAGCTCAGTGTCCCTGCAGCAGGAGCAGAACCAGCTCTGGCCCAGGTGGGTGGGTGGCAGCGCTTTCCTAGCCATGGCTGCAGCCACGCCTAGGCAGGAAACAGCAGAGTGTCTGGAGGGATGCTGTCAGGGGAAGGACACAGAAAAGGCACGAATGGGGGAAACAGCCACACCCCCACCATCACCTCCCGGAGTGGGGCCCCTCAGAACCCCGGATGTCAAAGGTCCCGGGGTGCACCGTGTCCTCAGGGGCAGTCAGAGCCCAGTGCTGGACATCACGGGGTCCCCAAGTGCAGCCCTTTCAAGAACCCTGGACACTGGACATCTCACTGCAACCCAGCCCCAGCCCCCATCCCACCTCCGCCCCCCAACAGGGTTACTAAGGTTAATGAGCCCAGTGCTTAGGGCAGCGCCTGGCTCAGCACTTGCTGGGCACCTGTCTACATCTGCCTTCTCACCAACACCAGGAGTAACAGGCAGCCTCCTCTGTTCTTAATGAGTGATGGTCAGGCCCTTCAGCACCTGGAGGCAGGAGGGCACAGGGGAGGGGAGAAGGTCAGTGGGGTGCAGGGCAGCCAAGATACCCACCAGCCCTCCCCAGAGCCAGGGCCCCTCAGACCCCCGGGTGTCAAAGGTCCCGGGGGGCACCGTGTCCTCAGTGGCAGTCGGAGCCCAGTGCTGGACATCATGGAGGCCCCGGTGCCCTCACCCCCTCCTGATGTGGGTCCCAGGACCACCTACTGTCCTAAGGGGGACATCACAGAAGAGTGCTGAGAGATCAGGCAACAAACTGAATGACACTTGGTCCCTGGGGGTGCCAGGCTACCTCCCCTCCCCATCCAGCTCAGCCTGGGTATGGCTCCTTGTATGATCTAGGCCCACTGACCTCACCCCTCCCCGCCCCCCAGCAGCAGTGTTTCTCTGGAAAACGGGACTAGAGATGCCTGCAGACAGGCACATCTGTGGGGTTCAGTGAGAGGACGGGGCCAAACCCTTCTGCTTGGGCCTCCCATGCCTAACGGGATACCCCTCAATCGCCTCTGCTGCCCCCGGCCCAGCTCTTCTAAGCTGCTCTGACTTCACCAGAACCTTCTGTGACATGGGGAAGGGGCAGCTGCCTCTCACTGGGACCCTGGCAGGATAAGTTCAGTTTATTCTCCGCAAAAGCACTAACACTGTGGGTGCTCGCTCAGTGGGTGCTGCTGTTTAACAACCTCAGAAACACCAAAAGCCCCATTTTGCATAGAAATATGCTTTGTAGGAAGAGGGGGGTCCTTGTTTAAACTAATCAAGGAAAATTAAAAACCCAGCCCCCAGCCACAAACTAGCCACATTCCAGGTGTCCAAGAGCCACCCGTGGCCAGTGGCTGCCAGACTGGACAAGGCGAGGAACATTTCTATCTGGACAGTCGTAAGGAAGGCGCCGGCCCAGAATCCACAAATGCTACGTGTCCCTTCTGTCTCCCTATCCCGCATCAGCTCTGTCGTCTCACCTCTCACACATCCCTACCCAACTGGCACCGACACCACTCATGTCCCCAAGAATCCCCTCTAAGCCAGCCATGACAAACGCTCAGCTCCATTCACTACCCCACAGAGGATCTCGGATTAAGAGCACAGGACCCGGCCGGGCATGGTGGCTCACGCGTGTAATCCCAGCACTTTGGGAGGCTGAGGCGGGTGGATCACGAGGACAGGAGATCAAGAACACCCTGGCTAACACAGTGAAACCCCACTTCTACTAAAAATACAAAAAAAAAAAAAAAAAAATTAGCCGGGCGTGGTGGCAGGCGCCTGTAGTCCCAGCTACTCGGGAGGCTGAGGCAGGAGAATGGCGTGAACCTGGGAGGTGGAGCTTGCAGTGAGCCGAGATCGCATCACTATACTCCAGTCCAGGCGACAGAGCAAGACTCCCTCTCAAAAAAAAAAAAAAAAAAAAAAGCACAGGACCCTCAGAAAGATACTCAGGGGAACTGCAATCCCAGCCAACCCTGCCCAAAAGCCAGCTTCCCTGCCAGAAATAGCTGAAACCTCCAAGAACCCGGAGAACACACTTTCAGTTCTATTTCGCTGCAGCCACGGTTCCAGCTCCTGACACCTAAGGAACAAATGAAAATCTTCCCAGAGCTGAGAACACCTGTCTCTTTTCTGATAACACACACTCATGCTTGTCTGATTTTGCTCTTTGAAACAATTCTCCTGATAAAGCCTGTTATTTTTATTGTGAAAATAGGAGTTCCCTGAATTCTATCAGTTTATATATAAACGGTTCACTGCAGGCTAAGCTGTGCTTAAAGACACATTGCATTCAGCCTACAAAACCCATGAAGTAACGTGACAGAATCACCTGGTAGTTACTGTCTCTTTTCCACTGCTGAGTTTTGACATGTTTGATTAGTTCTTTCCCCTGAAACGCAAATGCTTGTTCCCTCCAGTCCACGCATTCCTCTTCTTATTCAAGCCCCACCTTCAGAAGGCGGGAAGCGCTAGTGCCCCGGGCCATTTGCTCGGTGCCTGTTCCACAGACACAGCAGTGAGGCGCAAAAGAGTGATGGCCTGGTGAATGTCTCCAAGCCTGTAAACAGCAGAGCTGGGGTTTGGACCCAGGCCTGCCTGCCAAGTTTTCCATAGTTGTGAGATGGGTGTTTTTTTTTTTGAGATGGGAGTTTCACTCTTGTTGTCCAGGCTGAAGTGCAATGGTACAATCTTGGCTCACTGCAACCTCTGCTTCCCGGGTTCAAGTGATTCTCCTGCCTTAGCTTCCTGAATAGCTGGGATTACAGGCATGTGCCACCACGCCTGGCTAAATTTTTTTTTTTTTTTGAGACACAGTCTTGCTCTGTTGCCCAGGCTGGAGTGCAGTGGCACAATCTCGGCTCACTGCAACCTCTGCCTCACGGGTTCAAGCAATTCTCCTGCCTCAGCCTCCTGAGTAGCTGGGATTACAGGCACCCGCCACCACGCCCAGCTATTTTTTGTATTTTTAGTAGAGATGGGGGTTTTCACCATGTTGGTCAGGCTGGTCTTGAACCCCTGACCTCATGATCCACCTGCCTCGGCTTCCCAAAGTGCTGGGATTACAGGCGTGAGCCACTGTGCCCGGCCTAATTTTTTGTATTTTTAGTAGAGACGGGGTTTCACCATGTTGGCTGGGCTGGTCTCGAACTCCTGACCTCAGGTAATCCACCTACCTCAGCCTCCCAAAGTGCTGGAATTACAGGTGTAAGCCACTGCGCCCAGCCTGAGATGGTTTTTGTATGTAAACACTGAGTACAATCATTGGCACATCAATCAGTTTCTAGAGGTACGGTATGAAGTCAACCTAGACAGTGAGATATTTTAAACCCAGGTGAGTGAAGGAGCAGGAGCAAGGGTTCTTACCTGGATAGGCATGGTGGGTGGTCCTAAGCTTGAAGCTGCACCTGTAACACAGAAAGACACAGTGAGAGTGGGGGAGGAAACAGTCTGCAAGTCCACAAGCCATTAAAACTGGGGCCCCTCAGACCCCCAGGTGTCAAAGGTCCTGGGGTGCACTGTGTCCTCAGGGGTGATCAGAGCCCAGTGCTGGACATCATGGGAGCCCCAGCCCCTCTGCAACCAGGTCCTGAGGCCACTTACCTTCAGGGACAGAGGCCAAGCTAACAGAGCTTAAAGAGTAGGAAACGCGGCCGGGCACGGTGGCTCACGCCTGCAACCTCAGCACTTTGGGAAGCCGAGGTGGGCAGATCACGAAGTCAGGAGTTCGAGACCAGCCTGGCCAATATGGTGAAACCCTGTCTCTATTGAAAATACAAAATTAGCCAGGCGTGGTGGAGAATGCCTGTAATCTCAGCTACTCGGGAGGCTGAGGCAGGAGAATTGCTTGAACCCAGGAGGCGGAGGTTGCAGTGAGCCAAGTCGTGCCACTGCACTCCAACCTGGGCGACAGAGCAAGACTTGTCTCAAAAAGAGTAGGAAATGCAAAACTCATCCAGAAGGTAGGAATGACCAGTTTTGCTCATGGAGACACCAAGATGCCCCAACCTCCCCAGTGTCACAGGTCCTCGGGGGACTGTCCTCATGGGATGGGTAGGACCCCAAATGCACTACATGAAGATGTCCCCGGTGTTCATCCCCCACTGTTTGCAGGTTTCTTTAGCACTGCCTACATCTGCACATAACCCATAAACAGAGAAAGCTGCCAAGACACAAATCCCCTGGAAGAACTTATTGAGAGAAGGAAGAAGAAACAAAGCCAACTTGTAAATAATAATGAGGAGAGACCCTCGACTGAGTCAGGTTTGAACATATCAGCTGTAAAAGACATTTCGAAGATGACTGAGGAACAACAGGCACAAAGCAGATTGTTAAATTGCAGTATTAAGGGTGACAATGCTAATAACATTAAGTAGAAAAATGTTACTGTAGGTACACAAGTACACTATTTTGAGTGAAATATGAACCTTTCTTTCAAGTAAGAGTCTGCTCTGTTGCCCAGGCTGGAGTGCAGTGGCGCGATCTTGGCTAAAGGCATTCTCCCACTTCCTTCATAAGTAGCTGGGACTACAGGCCCGCACCACCACGCTTGGCTCACTTTACTATTTTTTTGTAGAAATGGGGTTTTGCCATGTTGCTCAGGCTGGTCTTGAACTCCTAGGGTCAAGCGACCCACCCACCTCGGCCTCCCAAAGTGCTGGGATAACAGGCATGAGCCACCGCGTTCGGCCATGAAACTTACTTTCAAAACACTTAAGCACAAGGTTTTTGAATATGGCAAGATGGTGCAAATGTTAACTTTTCCCATTTGTTGGTAGATTTTAATATTGCCAAAGGACGACGTGCCAACGATGAATGCATGAAAAAATACTTTCACTTGTGACATGAACAAACTCAACGATTTTCTAGGTGGTTGCCTGAAGGAGGTAAGTCAAGTAGAGATCCTTGCTGGGGTCGTGGTGGGGGAGATAGGAAATGGGCTAGCTGCTTCCAGGCTGAGCCTCCTCGGCAGGGGCATGGGCCCCGCTCAAGTCAGGAAACCGATGTTCAAGACCTTAAAGGACCTAAGCCAAAAACTAACGTTAACAAAACCCTCTCACGTGGCATGAACGGTCAGAACGACTCCCGCAGGTAAGCAAAGGCCTCGTTTGCTTCCTTCTATATCCATTCCTACACGACTCTCAAACCCGGCAATTCACCTAGAAACTTCACTCTCACTTCTTTGGTAACTCGATACCCTATCTGTGCCCCCATGGAACCCCCCAAAACCCTCTCCCGTCCCCCAGTCTTTGTTCTAGGTTGCACAAAAATGCCAGCCATCCAGAATTTTAAAAGCAAGAGAGAATTCCTAAGGAAGCACCTGTAGGTAGCACGAAAATGGAAACACTCGGAAAGAACTCAATGTCGCCTCCCAGCCCGCCCACCCCTCTCCCCCAACCAAATCGACAAGATGGCGGAGGCCCGCGGCGTGCGGGCAGCACAAGGGGCGAGCTCCGCCGCGGGGCAGACGGAGGGGGGTCCGCCCCAGCATCCCCGCTCGCGCCAGCTATAGGAGTCGCAAACTCCCAGGCGGCCCAAACAGCCACCACCATCCCCGCAGAAAACTCCCAGGCTCGCCCCGGAGGGCGCTCTCTGGGTCCTTGCAAACGCCCTGACCCTTTCCACGCGACTACATGGCCGCTCCCGTCGCAGCCTCGAACCCTTCAGGACACGTGCGTCTTTCCACACAGCCGGAAAAAGTAATAAACTTAAGAACCTCACCCCAGCATTTCTCTCTCCGAAGCGGGCGCGGGTTGCAGCACGCGCCATTTTATAGTGCGCGCCGCTCGCAAGGCCGGTCCTCGGCGCCAGCCCGCGCTCCGCCCGAGGCGTCCAATACACACGCCTGTTTGGGAAACCCCATTTCATGCTTAGGGAAAGGAATACTGCCTGCTTCCGCTAGAATCTTCCTGAACAAGCGAGGAGACGCTGTCTCTGGGGCTGACAAAAAGGGGCAAGGATATGATGGAAACGATTGTCTTGTCCCCTGCGTCCGGCAATTCTGAAGACAGCATCAAAGATGGGCCGTGAAGAGAAAGGACCCCGAGGGCGGCCCGACACGAGAGAGAATCCGCTGGGACTATTTGCGCGGCAGGGGCTTGAGCTGAGTGAGGCTGCAGAGGCGGGGCCCAAGCCGAAGGGCCGGACCCAAATTAAGTCCCAGCCACTGGGCTGGAGGCGGGGCCAGTGTGGAGATTGACAGGGGGCCGTCCTGGGAAAGCGCCCACGTGGCGCAGAATTAGAGGCGGAGCCTACACGGTGACGCAAGGGCCGGAAGGAGGGACCCTGTGTCTGGAGAAGCGGGAGATGGGGGCCTGGACCCCTGGGTCTGAGGGAGGAGGGGCTGGGGTCGTGATTCCCGTGTTTGGGAGAAAAGGGGGTTGGGAGCTGGGACTCCTGGGGCCGAGGGAGGCCTTTGGGGCTCCCACTCAGTTTTGACGGTCTAAGGCCTGGGGGCCTGGATTCTTGGTAGGGTTGGAGATCTCAGGAGTGTCTTTCCACTGATAGGATTATACATTCTTTCCACTTATATGATTATTTTGAAAATTAAAAAATGAAACTTCTCTACTCCAAACTCACTTTCTAGGAGTTTCACTGTCAACAATTTGGTGTGGACTTTATGTTTTCTTTTTTCAGATGGAGTCTTGCTCTGTCGCCCAGGCTGGAGTCCAGTGGTGTGATCTCAGCTCACTTCATCCTCCGCTTCCCGAGTTCAAGCAATTCTCGTGCCTCAGCCTCCCGAGTAGCTGGGATTACAGGTGCCTATCACCACGCCCAGCTAATTTTTTTGCATGTTTAGTAGAGACAGGGTTTCACCATATTGGCCAGGCTGGTCTCGAACTCCTGACCTCAAGTGATCTGCCTGCCTCAAACCTCCCAAAGCACTGGGATTACAGGTGTGAGCCACCACGCCTGGCCTGGTATGGACTTTATATATATATACACACACACACACACACACACACACACACATATTATGGATAAAGATACTTTTTTCCACTCTAATCTGTCCCATAAGTTGTTTCCCCACATGAGTACGTACAGAATTATCTCATTCACTGAACAATGGCAACGGGCTCCTTTGTGTGAATTGAACACGCTTTGTTTAGCGGGTCCCTGGTCATTTGGGTTGTTTTCTTCTTTCTAGTGAGGAGATTCCTTTCATGAACCTTGTGGTCTGGAGTAAAAGAAGAGACCTACATTCCTCTCTTAAGGCAATGAGAGACGTTTATGTCACTGGCTGCTGCCTCACTTTAGCATAAAAGCAAAGTCCTCGCTGTGACCCACACAGCCCTTAGTGATCTGGCCCCTGTCCCCTCTCAGCCTGCATCTCTTTCCTCTCCTTTGGCCTCCCTGGTGCTCCTGGAACCTGCCAAGGACGTTTCTACTTCAGGGACTTTGCATGTACTGTCCTCTCTGCCTGGAACTCTTTTCCCCCATCTACATGGCTTTCTGCCTCCCTTGGTCCTATCTCTGCTCAGATGTCATCCTGGAATGGAGTCTCCTGACCTCCTTGCCTCCACTTTATATGACTGTGAGGCTCTCTTGTTCCGAATCCCATCTCACCTACCCTCCTATATTTTTCGTCATAACATTTACCTCTAACCTATTGTCTGCTTTATTTTATTTTATTTTTTGAGACAGCATCTCGCTCTGTCACCCAGGCTGGAATGCAGTGGCATAGTCATGGCTCACTGCAGCCTTGACTTCTCAGGCTCAATCAATCCACCTGCCTCAGCCTTCATGTAGCTAAGACTACAAGAGGACACCACCACGCCCAGATAATTTCTGTATTTTTTGTAGAGACAAGGTTTCGCCTTGTTACCTAGGCTGGTCTTGAACTCCTGGGCTCAAGCCATCTACCCACCTCAGCCTCACAAAGTGCTGGGATTACAGGTGTGAGCCACCATGCCCGGCTCTAACTACTTGTTTATGGACATATTTTGCTGCCTTGCTGAATGTCAATTCCATAAAGATAAGGATTCGTGTCTAGTTTGATCAGTGCTATACATCCAGTGTCTAGCATATGGTTGCAGCTCCATCTGTGTTTAAAGATGAAATTTGCAGCGAGGAGTGGTGGTTTAACCCTATAATCCCAGCACTTTGGGAGGCTGAGGCAGGAGACTGACTTGAGCCCAGAAGTTTGAGACCAGACTGAGCAACATAGACCCCATCTCTAGAAAAAAAATTTAAAGTTAGCCAGGCATGGTGTCACATGCCTGTGGAGCCAGCTACTCAGGAGGCTGAGGTGGGAGGATTGCTTGAGCACAGGAGGTTGAGGCTGCAATGAGCTGTTGCACCACTGTACTCCAGCCTGCGTGACAGAGAGAGACCCTATCTCAAAATTAAGTAAGTAAATGAATAAATTTGGGAGCCTTTTGCAGGAGACAAGGGGGAGGATTATTGCAATAGTACAGAAAGAGCACACACTATGGACCAGGCATTGTGCTAAATCCTATCTAGATTAAAGTACTATTATTATCCTCATTTTACAGATGGGTTCTACACCTTGCCTGTGGTCACAGAGCTACTAGTGACAGAGCCTGGACTCAAAACCAGGCAGCTTAGCCACTGTATGAGAGGGAGATAGATGGCAGCCCCAGGCCAAGGCCCTGTAGGACAATGATATGACTTTGTACTTGGCTTTCAACTCTGCCCTGTCCAGGAAATGGCTCTCTGTTAGCCCCAAACCATCTTCAAAGGGCCATTACACAGCCTTGTGCTGGGGGACTCTGGGGAAAAGAAAGACGGGGTGGTGGTAAGAGCTACTGTTAAGCGTAGGAGGTGAAGTGTGGGTGCAGGGGGAATTTGCTTCCGGAAGGGTAAATTATTAAGGACTGCAAAAATAAAGGATGAAGCTAAAAGGGCTTGGGGAGAATGAGATATTCGGCAAACACTGATTAAGCACTATCTGTATGCCAGGGACCATTGGCTCGGCCTCTTTGTTGACCTTGTGCCTTGAGTCCCTTACTTATGAGTCCCTTCCCTTCCCTATCCCTCTACCCCAGAGGGCCCAAAGATGGCCCCAGAGAGGGGTTTCAGTTCCACCAATGCTTCCAAGGCTCAGAGCTAAATTAAAGAATATTCTGGGCAGAAAATACAGATTATTTTAAAAGAAAGATTATTAATCTGGATTGAGGCGGGTCAGAAGAGACTGAAAAAAGATGAGTCTTCATGGGGTTAGGGGCCAGAGAGCAGGGTTGTCAGCGTGGGGTTAGGGGCCAGAGAGCAGGGTTGTCAGACACTTGGCAGAGAGCTGTTGGAGCAGGCCAGCGGTGAGATCATTCGCGTGTCTTAGGTCCGGATGGGCTGGAGCGCCAGGATAGACCAGAAGTACATGTAATTCAGATAGGACAAGAAGCCTTGTGGAGAGGAAGAGGGCACAGGAGATGAGACACAGAGTTCACCCACCCAATCCCAATCACAGTCCTGTCCCCAGGCCCAATTGCATGCCCTGCTCTGCATCAAACCCCATCCCCAAACCTATTCTTAAACCCATCACCAATTCCATTCCATACCCTAACCTATTCCCAAACCCATCTCCAAACCGAAACTCACCTTCATCCCCTACACTGTCCCTAACCCATACGCAAACTCCAACCCAGTCCCATCCCCATTATCCAGCCCCATGTGCATCCCCAATCCCGCCTCCCACTTCAGTCACTTCCTATCTAGCCCTGTCCACAACCCCACCCCGTCCCAAATGCTATCCCAAATGCTATTCCTGTCTGCATCCCTGAACCCATACCCAAAGCCAACCTCATCCTCTCCCATACCAGTCATCAGGAAGAGGAAGACACTGGCCCAGGTCAGGTAGAAGCTGAGTGCCAGCTGGTAGGTCATGCCTTCCTGCAGGTACCTGTGGGCCTGCAGCAGGTAGAACAGGATACCCAGTACGATGCTGGTTCCTGCATGAGCACAGGTGTTAGGAGGCTGAGAATCAGATATGTAAGGACTCCTTCCCATAGTCATGTGGCTGCCTGGCTCTGGCTCATTATTTCCCCACTTTCTTTAACCTCCCAGACCCTGTACCTTTGCTCCTAAGCATGAAGATGGGCTTCTGACCAAGTCCTGCTAGAGGACACTGAAAGGGCAAGCCTTGGGCTTTAACCAGGCAATGGTAAGTCTGTAACCACAGGTTTTGAGGCCAACAGCAGGGATCTTCCCTGCCTCCACCTCTGGACTTAGGGCAGCCATGCCATATCTCTGAGCCTCAGTTTCCTCATCTGTAGAGTGGGCACAATCATAGGACCCATCTCCTTGGGCCGTCATGAGGAGTTACTGAGGTTGGCACATTTCCTGATACACAGCAAGCCCTTAGGGATTGGGATTGATTATTTTCATTCTATTGGGTCTTTAATTTAGGGCTTCAGAAGCAATAGACAAGGAACTTGGTCATTCTGGATATATTGGAATGACATGAATTAAAGATAATTTGTGAATAGGAAAAGACTTTTTCCCCTGGACAGTGGAGTACTGGGTAGTTTTGTCTGATGTTATTGAAAATAATATAGAAGGTATTTTTTGTTTAATTAAAAGGAGGAATAGACAGAAATGGTTTTCTTATAGAAAAATGTTCTGTTATAGATGGTTTAAAACGAAGGTGTTTTTTATAGTTTTTAGAAAACTCATGCTTTTTTTGCGCAATATTCTATACCTTGTACTTTATATTTAAACAATTAGGAAGAGCTACTAGATAAACTGCATAAATGCTTTTTTTTTTTTTTTTTTTTGAGACAGAGTCTCAATCTGTTGCCCAGGCTGGAGTGCAGTGGCGTGATCTTGGCTCACCACAACCTCCGCCTCCCAGGTTCAAGCAATTCTCCTGCCTCAGTCTCCCAAGTAGCTGGGACTACAAGCGTGCGTCACCACGCCTGGCTAATTTTTGTATTTTTAGTAGAGATGGGGTTTCACTATGTTGGCCAGGCTGGTCTCGAACTCCTGACCTCATGACCCACCCACCTTGGCCTCCCAAAGTGCTGGTGTGAGCCACTGCACTCGGCCAAGTACTGACATTTCTAATTCAATCCTCAGTACGTTTCCATGTGGTAGCAAATTTTGTCCTGATCCTACAGATGAGAAAACTGTGGCTTGGAGAGATGAAGTAGCTTGAACAAAATCACAGAGCTGCTGCTGCTGATGGGACAGGATTTGGGATGAGGTTAGAATGGGAAATAGGATTGGGTATTGGGTAGAGGTTGAAGTTTGAGTGTTAGAGGACGAGGTTGAGAGTGGTGTCAGGAATAGGTTGCAGTTGGGATGGGTTGTGGTTGAAGGTGGGTCGTAGTTGGGGTGGGTTGTGGTTGGGGGTGGGTTATGGTTAGGGGTAAGGATGGGTTGAAATGGGGTAGTTTGTGGTTGAGGATGGGTTGGAACAGGGATGGTCTGGTTGGGGGTGGGTTGGGATGGGGATGGGTTGTGGTTGGGGATGAGGATGGGGATGGGTTATGGTTGGAAGTGGATTGTTGTGGGGATAGGTTATGGTTGGGGGTGGGTTGTGGATGGGATGGTTGTGGTTTGGGTTGGTTGTGGTTGGAGTGAATTGTGGTGGGGAAGGGTTGTGGTGGGGATGGGTGGTGGTTGGGGGTAAGTTGTGATGGGAGTGGGTTGTGGATGAGGATAGGTCATGGTTGGGGATGAAAATGGATTGGATATGGGTAAGAGGATGGAGTGGGGAATGGACTAGATTGAGTTTGGCATTGAAGTTCACAGGTGATAGAATTGGGTTGCATTTGAAACATATGTTGAGGATGGTTGGGATGCTGCAAAGTTGGTTGTTGAGATGTTTGAAGAGGTTGCGGATGGTAATGAGGATGGTTTGGTGATTGGAAAGAATGTAGAATTGGGATGGAGTAGGGGCATGAGGGAAAGGGATGTGAATGAGTTTGAGATTTGTTGGTGATGGAGATGGGACTTGAAGTGGAGGCTGGTATTGGGGCTGGAGATAGGGTTGGGCTGGTGGTTGATGTTTTTTATGGGAATGGGTTAGAGATTTGGAAGGAGATGGGGTTGGGATTGCGGATGATGGTCAGGATGGGGATGGGATTGGAGTGTGGTGGGGATGGGATTGGGTTTCATGATTGGCACTGGAGGAGGTACTCCTCGCCTTGGTTCCTGAGGGAAGTGCCATGCCTGTCAGGATGCTGGTGATGAAGGTGAAGAAATCCAGCATGGACGGGTTGGAGCCGGTAAAGAGGATGGTGCTTATTAGGGCTATGCAAAGGCAGAAGCTGGTGATGCTGGAGAAGAGGAGGAAGGCCCAGGAAAGGTCCAGCAAGTCTGGGGAAGGAAGATAATCAGGAACACCATGATTGGCCCAGGCTCTGAGTATGGGGACAAGGGTCACCAGTTGGTGTGGGAGTATTCTCAAAGCTCCTCCCTTGCAAATTATTTATTCTCATTTTAGGAAAATTTAAATTGGGCTCCAGAGAAGAGACATTGAGACTGATACTTCCAGCACTGAGGATCTACCTCTAGGTTGGTGAGGGCAGCTTCTTGGGCAGTGAGAAGTGGGGTGGGCAGTGAGGAGCATTCCCAGAAGTGAGGACCACTCTAGGGCTGTGAGGACAATCCTAGGGCAGTGAGAACCCTCTGAGGCAGTGAGGACCGTCCCAGTCATTGAGGACCATCCGAGAGAGTGAGGACTATCCCAGGGAGTGACGACCATCCCAGGCAGTGAGGACCATCTCAGGCAGGGAGGACCATCCCAGGCAGGGAGGATCATCCCAGGCAGTGAGGACCATCTCAGGCAGGGAAGACCATCCCAGGCAGTGAGGACCATCCCAGGCAGTGAGGACCATCTCAGGCAGGGAGGACCATCTCAGGCAGGGAGGACCATCCCAGGGAGTGAGGACCATCCCAGTCAGTGAGGACCATCCCAGGGAGTGAGGACCATCCCAGGCAGTGAGGACCATCCCAGGGAGTGACGACCATCCCAGGCAGTGAGGACCATCTCAGGCAGGGAGGACCATCCCAGGCAGGGAGGACCATCTCAGGCAGGGAGGACCATCTCAGGCAGGGAGGATCATCTCAGGCAGGGAGGATCATCCCAGGCAGGGAGGATCATCTCAGGCAGGGAGGACCATCCCAGGCAGGGAGGATCATCTCAGGCAGGGAGGACCATCCCAGGCAGGGAGGACCATCCCAGGCAGGGAGGACCATCTCAGGCAGGGAGGGCCGTCCCAGGCAGGGAGGGCCGTCCCAGGCAGTGAGGACCATCTCAGGCAGGGAGGACCATCCCAGGCAGGGAGGACCATCCCAGGGAGTGAGGACCATCCCAGGCAGGGAGGACCATCCCATGGAAGTAAGGGCCATCTCAGGCAATGAGGACCATCCCAGGGTGGTGAGGATAATTCTGGGGCAGTGAGGATTATTCCAGGGCAGTGAGGACCATCCTGGACCAGTGAGTACTATCCCAGGGCAGTGAGAATCATTCGAGAGCAGTGAGGAGTATCCCAGGGCAGTGAGGACTATCCCGGAGCAGTGAGGACCATTCTAGAGCTGTGAGGACTATCCCAGGGCAGTGAGGATTATCCTGGGGCAGTAGGGACTATCCTATGACAATGAGGACCATCCCAGTGCTGTGAGGACCATCCTGGGGCAGTAAGGACCATCTCAGTCAGTGAGGATCATTTCAGTCAGTGAGGATCATCCTGTGGCTGGGAGGACCACCCTGGGGCCGTGAGACTCATAAAATACCTGTGAAGATCATTGCAGGAAAGGAAGAAACCATTCTGTGACAGGTGGAGGGGTCCCTGGGATAAAGTGGAGCGATGGGTCCCAGGAGTGGTGAGGGCAGGGCAGGCCTTCCAAGCATCCTGGCTGTGCTCATGCAGGCAGGAGATGTCACAGCACTGCTTCTCCTCCCCCAGAAGTCTAGCTCAGAACTTGGCCTCCGGCCTGGGCACTGCCTCATACCTGCCAGAATTGATCTCAATGGAGCTGCACAATGAGAGGTTTTGCATGTTGTCTAGAGGACTTTGGTTGAGTTCAGAGCTGAGCACACTTGCCTTCAGACTCTCCTGGGACTCCCAGGTAACTGATTCAATGCTTTTGATACTGGGCTCGGGGCCGTAGGTAAGTGATGGGAGCACATTGACAATGGCCCAGGCTTGGAAGTTGGGGGTTGGAACACTTAAATGGGCAGTCTCGGTTGTTGACAGGTAGTTTTGGTCATGATCTTTGTTGCTGGGGATAATTGATGATTAGTCAGGGGGTGAGAGCCTTGGATACTGAAGCAGCGAGTTTGGAAAATTGGTGAAGCACCTCGCATACTGAAATCGTGGCTGTAGGTAATGGCTGGTGTTTCTGGGATACTGATCTGTTGACTGCTGATAGCTGGTGTAGGGTCTTGGATACTGACCTGGTGATTGTGAATAATTGGCAAGGGGTCTTGGATACTGACCAGGCGATTGCTGCTGGCTGGTGGAGGCTGTTGGATACTGACCCCGTGACTGTTCCTGGCTGGTGGAGGGTCTTGGATACTGACCCGGGAATTGTAGGTAATTGGCACCACCGTGCCTGGCTAATTTTTTTGTAATTTTAGCACAGATGGGGTTTCACCATGTTGGTCAGGCGGGTCTCGAACTCTTAACCTCAGGTGATCCACCTGCCTCAGCCTCCCAAAGTTCTGGGATTACAGGCATAAGCCACTGCGCCTGGCCCTTATTATTATTTTTTAAGGTATAGAAATCTAGAATTTTTTTTTTTTTTTCTGAGACAAAGTCTGGCTCTATCACCCAGGCTGGAGTGCAGTGGCATGAGATCTCGGCTCACTGCAACCTCCGCCTCCCAGGTTCAAGCCATCCTCTCACCTCTGCCTCCCACGTAGTTGGGACTACAGGGGAGTGCTACTATTCCTAGCTATAATTTTGTATTTTTTGGTAGAGGTAGAGTTTTGCCATGTTTCCCAGGCTGGTCTCGAACTTGTAAGCTCAAGCAATCTGCCCACCCCAGCCTCCCAAAGAGCTGGGATTACAGGCATGAGCCACTGTGCCCAGCCTTAGAATTTTTAGGTAGTTTAATTTCTTCACCTTTGTCTCTGTGACTTTATTAATTGCTTCTTGGCTTCGGGAGGTTCTCCCTCCAGATTTTTGATGAACATTCAGTTCTGTTTTTTTAAATTCTCATTACTTATTTTTAGGTTTTGATTGTGATTTTGGAGTTGGTATGCAGGGAACATTGAATTCTGTGCTCCCTGCTGTCCTAAGGAAGGGACTTGAATTAGTCAGGAGTTTTTGGGTCACAAGTGACACAAACTCTTTTTTTTTAAATTTTTTTTATTTTTTACTTTTTTAAATTTGAGATGGAGTTTCACTCTTTCACCCAGGCTGGAGTGCAGTGGCGTGATCTTGGTTCACTGCAACCTTCACCCCCCGGGTTTGAGCGATTCTCCTGCCTCAGCCTCCGGAGTAGCTGGGATTACAGGCGCCCGCTGCCATGCCCGGCTAACTTTTATCTTTTTAGTAGAGACGGAGTTTCACCATGTTGGCCAGGCTGGTCTCAAACTCCTGACCTCAGGTGATCCACCTGCCTCGGCCTCCCAAAGTGCTGGGATTACAGGTGTGAGCCATCGTGCCCAGCCACAAGTGACACAAACTCTAACTTGAACTAGCTTGAGTGAACTAGTTGTATTAGCTTGAGTGAACTAACTTGAACTAGCTAGGGGATCCTTTATGGGATCACCTGAGTGAAAAATGGTAATGGTAGGAATGCCTTCAGGCATGGGTGGATCCAGGGGCCCAAGTGATAGTATCAGATATTACTGTTTTTTGGCTATGGGATTGGCTTCATTCTCAAGGCTCTGTGTAGTGGCAAGTCAGAATCCAGTAAGGAAAATAAATCATTCCAGATTCTTCAGAAGGAAGTAAATACAGGGAATTTGTTCGTGAGTAACAGAGGAGCTGAGAAGCCAATAGGAAATAGTGAGGCAAACCAGGAGTTAGGAACTACAGGATGCTGCTACTTGGCCAGAAGGACAAAGGGAGGAGGTGGTATTACTACAGTCCAGAAACTGCAGCCCTCTGGAACGCATAGGTTCATGGTTGGATTGCTCAGAAGTGGCTAGAATCAGAGAATAGATACAACTACTACGGAAGACCCACCACATGCAGAGATAGAGAGGCTAATAAATACCCTGGCTTGCCCTCTCCTCCCAGAACCAGTCTTCTGCCAGTGCCTCCCATTAGTCAAACACAGTGATAAGATGGTGAGCAAAGGAGGCTGGGAAATGTGGTCCTTGCAGTGCAGAACAGGACAGGGCGGGAAATGGATCTGAGAGCAGACAGACAAAAAACTGGCAGAGTTGTTAGCAACTTGGCAGAGTTGGTAATAACTGCCGAGTCCGGTAGAAAAAAGTTATCAACAGTTCTTGCAAGAATCCTGTGTGGCTTGGGGCACATGAGCACCCCGAGCCAATTATATGGCCAGTGGAGTACAGTTGGCTGATTGGCTTAAGACTGGGGCTGAGAATGGGGAATGGGCAGGAGGTGAAATGCATGGTGGGGAGGTAAGCTGCAAATATCCACTCATTCTGACCAAATCACAGAGTGGGCTGCTCTCTGGGATGACGAGAGCCAGGGACTTCAGTGTCAGCTCAATGCTCTTTCGCTTGTCTGTTTTCCTTCTTAGTTTTACTCTCCCCATGAAGCTAGGTCCAAGGCTTAGGCAGCTTCAGGCTTGTAATCCTTGAGGAGAGACTGCTTTTCCTTGACAGCTTCCTAATAAAAAGTCTTGGGGCAGAGCTTGATTGGTTGGGCTTTGGTCATGTGTCCATCTTTGGGCCAATTGCAGGGTCTGCAGCTGGGGTACTGTGATTGGCTCAGCCAGAATCACATGATTACCTCTGTGGCCCAGAGGCCAGCATATGCCAGGAGAATCCCTCATCCAGGGTTATGTGAGTTGGGTGGAGGGTGTCCCCAAGAGATGTCAGGCTGCTGTTCTGGGCAGACCAAATTCACCATTCAAGGTCTTGGTTTCTGGCTTGGTGCCTTCTCCCTGACCTCTGCTTCTTGACTCTTCAATGAGCAGAAAGAACTAAGGGAACTGGCTGGGCATGGTGGCTCACACGTGTAATCCCAGCACTTTGAGAGGCCAAGGAGGGAGGATTGCTTGAGCTCAGTAATCTGAGACCAGCCTGGGTAACAGTGAGACCCCATCTCTATGAACAAAACAAAACAAAAACAAAAAACCAAGGGGTCTGATATTTCCCCCACTTCCCAGAGTGCTGTTGCTCTTCTGTATATATGATGATCCTTTATCTTTCTTGTTGGGTATTAGAGATGTGCAGTTTGCCAGAAACAAAGCAGATGAGGTCTTGGCCTATTTGGCTAAAACAATTTTGCACTGTTGAAAAGTAGACAAAGTAGAAAAAGGGCTAAAAGGAGGAGATGTAGCATCTCGGAAACAGGTAAACCTCTCTTCTGCTGGAAGTCTAAGTTGGATAAATATCCACTGTAAACTGGAACTAAGCTTTTGGGCACATTGGTTTTAGAGTATTTGACTTGAAAGTTTTTCTTGTGTGCAAATCTGTATGTGTTTTGTGGGGGCTCTCAGGTGTGAACAAGAGATGACATTAGGATGTCTGAGGAGATTCTCGGCATGTGAATGGGGCCACTAGGGGACCTTGGGGGGTGACTAGCAGAGACTAGAGCAGAAGTAGGGTGACTTTGGAGAGGACTGGGGTGACCGTGGTGTCTTGGATAACTTTGAGGGTGCTGTTGAGGGTGTCTGGGAGTGAAACTGAGGATACTAACATGAGTTGTTATGAGACACCTTTTAGGAGTTCAAGTAGGGTGACCAGGGGTGTCTGTGGGGGTGGTTCTAGAAATGATCGAGGCTGGGCTCAGTGGCTCACGCTTGTAATCCCAGCACTTTGGGAAGCCGATCACCTGAGGTCAGGAGTTTGAGACCAGCCTGGCCAACATGGTGAAACCATGTCTCTACTAAAAATACAAAAATTAGGCTGGCGTGGCAGCAGCTGCGTGTAGTATCAGCTAATCGGGAGGCTGAGGCAGGAGAATTGCTTGAGCCCAAAGGCAGAGGTTGGAGTGAGCCGAGATCACACCACTGCACTCCAGCCTGGGCAACAGAGCAAGACTCCATCTTAAAAAAAAAAAAAAAAAAAGAAGAAGAAAGAAAGAAATGATTGAGGTGATTCTGTGGGGTAACCTTGAGGATGAGTGGGATGACCTTTGGGGGGTCCTCTGTGGGGTGACCTTGGGGGGTGTGTGGGATTATGAGAGTGTCTGAGAATTGAGTTTTAGGTTAAGTAGGGGTGATTTGGGACAACTCTAAGGGTGTGACTGGGGGATGACTTTAGGGGTCCCTGGGGGTGACCTTGTGAGTGAGATTGGAGTTTCTTTGGGGTTTCTAGGAGGTGACTTTGGGGAGGTGAGTAGGGGTGATTTTGAGGATGTGCCAGACTTTGGGGTTGTCTGTTGGGCTGCTTGTGGGTATCAGCAGAGATGACTTTGGAGGGTGACCAAGAGGGGTATCTGGGGTTGACTCTGGGGCCCCTGTCCCCCTCTCCCCAGTTCTCATCCATATGAGCAAGGGCTTCATGTTACTGGCCGTGGCCCTGTGCTGAGTCCTCCTCCCGCCCATGGCCCTCTCCTCCTGGCCAGTGGTCCTCCGCCTGAACATGGCCGACTTTGTCTTCAGTTTCCTCTGCCTCGGCATTGGTAGGTGTTGGCTTGGGGGGCGGGGGCCCTCCCTAACCCCAGCCCTGCTCTCTGGCTTTCTGGAGGTGTATCTAGACTTCCGTGCTGCTCCCCTCGGGGCCTCTGTCTTAGCATGTCTCTGGGGAGCTCTGACTCAGTTCTACTCTATCTGTGGGATGTCTCTCTCTCCCCCACTCTCTGTTTCCCTTTCTTTTTTTGTCCCCTCTCTCCAGGTATCTTTCTGTCTGTTGTGAGGGCGTGTGTGTGTGTGTGTGTGTGTGTGTGTGTGTGTCTGCTTGTCACGGAGGGTGGGAGAGGATGTCTCAGTCCCTCTTTTCTTACTGGGGGTCATAGGGCTCACTGTCCAGCCTTCTGTCTCTGGCCCCACCCCATTGCAGGGCTCCTGATTTCTCTTCAGCCTGACGCTCTTTTCAGTTAACGGCAAGGCGGTGCACCCAAGTCCGGTGGTGTCCTACCTGGTGACCTCCTACCTGTGCTGGGACGCCAGCGACTTGATGCTGCACTCCGGTGAGGGCGGGGCCTCGGGAGGAGGGCGGGGCCTCGGGAAGCGGGTGGGGCCTAGGGTGGGACTCGGAGTACAGCGGCCCACCTAGCCATCTCCCAGGAGCCGTGTCCTACCTAAGCCCAGTGGGCATGTGAAGCAGAGGGCAGCCCTTGAATGCGCGGCGGCTGAGCTACCGCGGGTGGGCCGTGCAGCAGGGCGCAGCGAGGCGGACATCCAAACAGCGGAACTCAGACGCTGACTCCGAGCGCACCCCGGGCCTTCCCATTTCATACACCCTCGAGGATGAGACCCAAGCACCTCCAAGGAATAGCACCCGAGGTCTTCAGGACACCGACCGGTAGCCATGGCCAGATGCCCGGCCAACCCCTTCAGCGTGGCCACGCCCTGGATATTCGACCTCCCCTGAGGCCCCACCCCCTGATATCAGGCCACGCCCTCCGAGGGGACCGGTGGCAAACTCCAGCCCTCGCTCTAGGGCCCGCCCTTTGCGGCTTTGTCCCTGCCCACTGGGTCCTCACAGTACCTCCACCCCAGAGGCCCAGCATCCCCTCCCGTTCTGCAGACACTTGTCCAGCGTCCCGCTGAGCTCGGCAGTGTGGCTAGTTTGTGTGGCCCTGCCCCTGGTGCCCAGCCAGGGTGGTCTGCATGGAACTTCTTTCCCGGAGTTCCGGCCTCAGCTCCGATGTCCACCCTTGTCCCCAGGTGGACACAGCACCGCCCAGCATTTGGTGCAACTCCACCCTTCTGCAGAACGGGCCCCTCCCTGGGAAGGCATGGCTTGCAATAACATCCCTCTGTACCTTTTCTGGCTTCCCCGCCACAATAAAACCTCTCAGCCTCAGACCTTCCATTGCCCCCCACCTCCCCACCAGGGCAGGGTCCATCCTAGTGTGAGTGAACTGTTCTGGCGTCCCTGACTTGCCCTTTGGGATCTGAGCCTTTCCCTGCCTGTTTGTCTGCACCTGTCACAGCCCCTTCCTTTCCCCACCTGCTGGTGACCTCAGACTTCCAGGCATGAGATTGACACAGCTGGGGTGGCCCCAGCCTCAGCCGAGTGGGTCCAGGTGCACCACATCTGGAAAGATAGGTGATGGCAGAACGTGACACACATTGGATGCACATTTGATTTTACTGGGGGTAGGGGACAGGGCTGGGCGTTCAGGAGTTCTCCGCTATGGTGTCCTCGATCCACTTCACATAAGACAGCACTCTGACGGCGACAGAAGGCTTATTGGGGGTGCCACAAGGGACGTAGCCCCATGATGTGACACCTTGGAGCACACCATCACACATCAGCGGGCCCCCTGAATCACCCTGGGAGCACAAGGTGGGAGGGGAGAGTGAGAAAGGTCTACGGGGCCCAAGTTCTGCCTGGGGAGCCCCAGCTCGCAGACAGGGCCTCCAGTGCCCACTCCCAGAGGAAGGTGGGCAGGGATTCCCACAGAGGGGACAGGGTCTCCAGTCCTGGCCAAGGGGGAAGGGACCTCAGGGTCCAGCTCCTGCACATGGGGCAGGGTCCAGGTGGACAGTGCCTGCAGACAGGTTAGGGGGAGGAGGGGCAGGACCATCTGCAGGACGCTGCCCCTGCGGGCACATCGCAGAGGCCACCTCTCCAGGACTACTCTCTGACTCGACGGTAACAACACATTACCACGAGGAACGGTGAACTCTGGTGTGGGGGGTGAGATGCAGTTGTCCCTGGATGGGCGGGGGAAGGAGGGGGAGCTGGGGCACTGATGGGGCGAGTGGCTACAGCTAGCTGGGAAGCAGTGAAGCAGATGCCTGGTTAGCTCTCAGAAGCCAGTTCAGAGGCTGAGTCCCCTCCCTCAGCCCTTCCAGACCCTGGGGGCAGGGCTGCCTCACCACACAGGTGTCTTTGCCACCTTCCAGGTGTCCGACACACAGCATGAAGTCTGTCACCTTCTGGACGTGGGCTTTTTTGCACTCATCATTAGGCAGGATTTTGAGGTCCACACACTGGAGATCATCTGGAAATGAGACTACGAACCCGGGAGAAAAAGGGCTGCAGCCCGACCTCACCTGCTTCCCTGGCCCTTTCTCCCTTGGACGCAGGAGTCCCCATCCCCGCCTTGGGCTACACAGTCTGCCCCCACATACAATTCTCTGGTTCGATGCTGCCCCAGCCGGAAGCCAAACAGGTGCTCCCCACTTCGGGTTCCTCGGTGGGCAACTCCACGACCTTCACAGCATCTGTGATGGTATCAGCAGGCTCTGTCAGGCGGAGCAGCATGAGGTCGTGGCTGTAGTCCTCGTCTGCTTGGCGGGTGTGGTTCTCCAGGAGGCTCATGTTGAAGCCAGGGTGTGGGAAGCTCTCACTGACATGAACAAACTGGGCTGTGTTTTCGTCGTCAAACAAGTTGTGGCGACCCAGCCAGAGCTGGTAATTGCTGGGGAAAGATGGGAATGGAGGGATGAGAAGACGGGAAGGGGAAAAGGGGATGGGGCAGGGGAGCATGGGGGAGGGTCCCCAAAGAGAGAAAGGGAAAGAGAAAAATGTGGGTGGGCGGAGACAGAGGAAGAAAGATATAGTTATGGAGAAATACAGACAGCGAATGGGAAGATGAAAGATTTTGAGAGTGCAAAAGGCAAATGAAGAGACAGAGCAAAAAAGAGCTCAAAAGGACAGAGGGGTGAAAAAGGCGGAGGGGAGGGCAGTGAGAAACAGGGTGAGCAAAAAAGAGGCAGATGAGAAGGATAAAAGACAGGGACAGCGAGAAACAGGCCCAGGGAAGAGGGAGGAAGAGGGAACAGAACACGGAAGGGAGCGAGAAGCAGACAAATGAAAAAGGACGCGGGACGTCAGAGTGAGAACTAGAAACAGAGGCAGAGAGGAAGCAGGAGTGACCGAGTGTGGGAGAGAAAAGGGAGGGAGGCCCTGGGGGAGGGTGGGGGCAGGTGGGGAGGGTGGGGGCAGGTAGGGAGGAGGGGAGGCCTGAGAGCGGCTCAGCTGCAGCTGGGGCTGTGGTGCGGGCTCCCCAGGGGCAGGTGGCCTGGCCTGAAGTCCAAGGTCGAGGCCCCCTTCCCTTCCCAGCACCCTCCCGCGCGTTTCTCGCCCCGCCTCCTCCTTCCTCCTCCCTCAGTTGCCCCACCCAGCTCCCGCTGAAACCAGCCCTTCCCTGTGTCTCTCCAGAGTGGAGGGATATCCTGTGGGGCGGGGAGCTGGACAGAGGGAGAGGCGCCCCCTCCCAGGCACACAAGTTGGGGATAAAGCCCTTCCTTTACTCTGGGGCCTCCCTTAGGTCCATCTGGGTGTGTGTTTAGTAGGGATGAGGGAGCGGTGAGGTAGAGACCCAGAGAGAGAGAGATGGGTAGAGAGATGGAGGGTGAGACACAGTGACAGAGATGCCGCAGAGAGACTCAGAGACAGACAGAGACAGGGGAGATGCAGAGACAAGGAGACAGAGGAGAGAGAGGAAGACAGAGACCAGAACACAGTCACACAGAGACACAAGCAGAACCAGATCCCAAGAGACCCAGGCAGCCTTGGAGAGGGGTGTCCAGCCCAGCTCTGCCCTGCCAGGCGACCTGCGCCAGAGCCTTCCTCTCTGCCTCAGCCCCCCAGTCTTGCCTGAGGTTATCCAAGGGGAATGCCACTGGCCTGTCAATCCTGTGGCAGCATAGATGCCCTCCTCCCAGACCCCAGGCCCCTACTCACTCGCTGATGCAATGAGCAGCTGTGAGCACCCACTGGCGGTGCACCAGGATGCCCCCACACTGGAAAGTGCTGAAATGGTACAGAGCCGCCTGCCAGGGCTGGGAATGCTGCTCACACTCCCAGCCTCCCACAATCCGGGACTGAATCGGGGGCGCAGCACCTGCAGAGGCGGTGCTGGGTCAGGAAGGGCAGGGTTGGCAGGAGAGGCCAGGGACAAGGCTAGGAGAGGGAGCTGGGCTGTGGGTCTGAAGGGACATTGCGGGTAGAGGACCAGGGCTGGAGGTTGGGGACATGGGCAAGGGGTGTTGGGAAGGGGTGGGACTCTGGACTGTTCCCTGGGCTTTTGGAGTGGTGGCTGGACCTGGTGGGGAGATTTTGTGCTCTGACAGTAGAGCAGCCTCCAGGGATCAGGGTAGGAGACAGGAGACAGTGTCTGGAGCAGACACTGCATCTGGGCGTCAGGTCATTTGGGGTCTGGGGCTGGGGGATGGGAGGTGGTGGGTTAGGGGAGTGGAAAGGGATTCTGGAAACCAGGGATCAAGGCGCCAAGGGTGGGACAGGATCAGAGGCTCACTGAGGAAGAATCTGGAGGGCTAAGGGGCTCCTAGGCTAGGGAAACAGGACCTGGGTTGGGCTTTTGAGGTTCAGGAAAGGATGCAGCTTTAGGGAACCAGGTCTGAGAGGTAAAGAAGAGCATCTGGACTGAAGAGTTTGGGGGTGACTTGGGGTCCCTACATTGGGGTTGGAAGGGGCCAGCTTGGCTGGGACAGTTAGATTTCAGGGCTTCCTGGTTAAAGGGTAAAAGAAAGGGCTATGGTTAAGGCTAGAGGTGGGCTTCCGAGAGGTTTTGGGGTCCTTCCTGTGAACCAGGAATGGCAATCTGAGGGGAGGTTGGGGCCCTGAGAACACAGTTGCGGTCAGGACTGGGACGGGGCTCAGGAGGAGGGAGGCGTGAGTGGCAGTCCTTCTCGGACAGGGTGAAGGATGGGATCTTCGTTTCTCATGGGGATGGGGTTCATGGTCTGAGGGTACTGGAAGGATATGGGGTCCTCTTGGAGGCAATCCTAGGAAGAGGATTGGAGAAGTGGTGAGAACAGGCGCCAAGCAGCTGTGGGAATGCAATGCAGGACCCACTTGACGTGAGGTTGTAGAATCACATACTGACTTGGGGGAGGCCAGGGCAGAAGCGCTGGCTGAGAAGGCATTCAGGATCCTTGGGGTGGGGTTCCAGAAAACCAGAGCTGTGTAGGAACAATTCAGGCAGAGAAGGGCTGGGGCCTGGGGCGGGATGGAACTTCCCCAAGGAAAGGAGCATGTGGTGGGAGGGTGTGGTGTTTTTCCTGGGAGAGCTGGGGGTGCTGGGTGGGAAGGGACATTTGCAGACCCCCCCCCATACCAGATGGGGGATCCCACATGCCAGTTTGGGAAGCAGGGTTTTCTGGTGAAATTTGGGGGACCCTGGAAGGACTGGGGAGACCAGATGTCAGGGTCTGGAGGACACAGTTGAGAGCGGACAGCTGGATGGAAAAAGTCACTGGAGTGTGGTGGGATTTGTAGACTCAGGAGCCAAATAGGTGGCCGCAGGGAACTAGGGGGCAGGAGGGGATGATCAGAGTCCTGTGGGGTGGGGGAAGCCCATGGGAGGGTTGGGGTCCTCCAGAGAGAGACAGAGATGGCCCAGAATCTGCCCCTTTGGTAAAGCGGTGGGACAGGGCGTTGGCTAGGGAAGAGGAGAAAGTACTGAGGCTTCCTGGGAGGAGCAGGAATCTGGTGTGGGAGTGAGCACTATGACAACATGGAGGAGCGGGGGTGGAAGTTTAGGGTGGGGCCGCGCAAGATAGATAAGAGCCGGGGCACCCCGGACTAGGATAGACTGTGGGCCAGAGGGATGAGGGTGGGGTGTTGGAGGGGAAGGTCTTATCGGGGGGGGATGTGAGGCCAGCAAGAGAATCAGGGCCCGTTCCCCCTCCCACATCCCCCCACTGTCTCACCAGTCCCCCCCAGGGACAGGGCGAGGCACAGAACCAGGAACCACATGGTGACAGAGGTGTCCAGGGGCCAGCAGGTGGAGGAACTGGGGAACCTCCCTGGGGAGGCTTTTAAAAGCCCTTATCCCCTCAGAGCCCCACCCCTGCCCTGCTGGCACCCAGATGTTGGCCAAGGCCCTTCCCCTGTTGCCTGGGGGCTGGACAATTGCCCCCCCCCCCTCCGATCCCCAGAGCTGTAGACGGGGAGGGAGAACCAGCACCTGTTCTGCAGGCCCTGGATCACGCTGGACGCATTCCTGGGGTTGAAGCCAGGTGGGGCAGGGCCTGTGGCTCTGGGGCTTTGCTCTGGGGAGCAGCCAGTGAGGCAAGGGGGGACTGAGGGGAAGCAGAAACAGGAAGACGGAGGAATCAGTGACCCCTGGTACAAAGCCCCATATACCTCAGTCTCAATTAAGGCCCTGCACCCCCAGACCTGGTGCCCTCAAACACCAGCAGTTAGGGCTCTGATTCCCTGCACCACTCGGAGCCAAGATACTAGCATCTCAGCTGCCAGTTCCCCCTGAAATATAAGCCTTGGCCTTCAGAATGCCCTGGTTCTTGCACTCCCAGACCCAGGACCTAGGTCCCCAAAGCTACTGTTCCTTTCATAATAAAATTTTGGGGTACACATCACCACATTCCTAGTGCCTCCAGATCCAGGAATGTGAAGTTTCAGGGGTCTCCCAGGGTAAGTTCTTTAGCATTACAAAATCCAGTGTCCCTCCCAAACAATGCTGGGGTCTCAATGAGCCTCCCACTTCTTGCTCCCAGTTATGGGTGCTCAACGTCCTGTCCTCCAAAGTCCCAGAGATCTGGACAACCTTCCCTCCCAGGTCAAGATCAGGCTAACCACAGATTCCAATGACCCTTCCCCCCCACCACCAGTACAATATTTAGGTCTCACGAGCCAGGTTCATGTACTTCAACATTCAGCGACCTTGAACATCACATTTTGTGGTCTCTGAAGATAATTAGGAACTAGATTCCTGCAGCCTCAATGGTAAACCCATAGGCTTCCAACAGGTTGTCTTGGCTTTTTGGTAAAATCAAAGCAGCTCAGAGTTCCAGCCTCTGCTGTATATCAGGGACCTGGCTAAGGAAAGGACAGTATTTGCCTTTTTGCCATGGCTACCAGGAAGCCCAGAACTAAATCTTTTTTTTTTTTTTTTTTTTTCTGAGATGGAGTCTTGCTCTGTCACCAGGCTGGAGTGCAGTGGCGCGATCTCGGCTCACTGCAACTCCTGCCTCCTAAGTTCAAGCGATCCTCCCACATCACCCTCCCAAGTAGCTAGGATTACAGTCGTGTGCCACCACGCCCGGCTAAATTTTTTTAGTATTTTTAGTAGAGATGGGGTTTCACCATGTTGGCCAGGCTGGTCTTGCACTCCTGACCTCAAGTGAGCCGCCCGCCTTGGCCTCCCAAAGTGCTGGGATTACAGGTGTGAGCCACCATGCCCGGCCCAGAACTAAACCTTAAAGAAAAAGCCATTCTTGGTAATCTAGTGTCTGTTAGGTCCTTTAACTGGGATCCAGAGATAGAGGGTATTTACTCAGTGCCAGACACGATTTTAATCAGTTCAGACGAATCATCTCATTTAATCCTCACAACAGCCCTTTGAAGTCAGCAATAAGATGGTCTCATTTTACAGATAAGGAAACCAAGGCGAAGTGAGATTGGGCCTCTTGTTCAAGATCACACGGGTGGTCATGTGTGTTGAATGAATGGAGCCCTGCTTCAAGCCGCTTCTCCTCACCTAGGGATCGGGGTGGTGGGTGAAAAGGAACAGTGTACAGTGTCTCGGGGTTTCTCTTTGACCCCAGAAAAAAGTCACAGAAATTCCTACAGAGCAACTTGGATCAGCGCTTTGTTATCTTGGCATTAAACAGGTGACCTTGAGCGCCAGCTTTGTCCTCAGGTGGGACAAGTCCTTGGCTAACATCTGGGCCTTGGACAGGGTCTTGGGGGATGGCTCCGTTCTGTTCCATGTCAGGCGGGGCTGCTGGCCAGCTGTGGGGGCTTCTGCTCAGTCAGGGGCACAGGAGATAGGCTAGAATAGTCAGTTCCTCTTCATGGTTTCCCTGATCCACTCCAAGTAGTGGCAGACTTTGGTATAGACACCAGGCTTGGTGGTGTTGTCACAAGGGACGTCACCCCAGGACACAATGCCCTGCAGGATGCCCCCACAGACCAGGGGTCCCCCAGAGTCACCCTGTGGGGAAAAGAGGGGGTCTCAGGTTGAGTGAAACCTCCTGGATTCATCCTCATCCTAATCACCATTTGCAATCTCACCCCAAACCCAATCCATCCCCATCCCAGGGAACCCCAACCCAACTCAACTCAATACAGCCCAGTTTATCCCAAACAGAGCCAACCCAACCCCAACCCCAACCCCAATTCAACACAGCTCAATACAACTCACCCAACCTATATCCAATCTCACCCCCATGCAACTCCAGTGCAACTGTACTAAGTTAAATCCAACTCAGCCCACATCCTCACCATTCAAAATCAAATCAAACCCATGCCCATCTCAAAATCCAATCTCAATCTTCATGTCTTCTGCATTCCAAACAAAATCTACCTCATCCCAATTCAACCCTGACGTATTTCCCACCCAGAATCAAACCAAACCATTCCCATTCTCAACCCCAACCCATGCCATCTCAAACTAACTATCACATTATCCACCTCAAACAACGCAATCCCCACCTATAACCCCAACTCCAACCTCACCCCTATTCTAACTTCTCTTCCTACTCCATCTCCAAGCCTAACCCTAGCATCTTCTCTGGCCCAAAGCAAAGAAAATCCAACCCCATCCGGACTCCCACACCTGTCCCCATCCCTCTTCTTCCGCCTGATGGCCCCTCTAGGCTCTGACCTCACAGGATTCTGCGCCTCTGCCCTCCGCGCCTGCACACACCATGGTGTTTGTCAGGCGCCCTGGGTAGCTCTTGTCACAAGATGTGTCCGAGATAATGCTGATGTTGGCACAATGCAACGTATCTGGGAGACTCACTGGGGAAGACAGTGGACTTGGAGCAGATCCATAAATTCCGGCCCTTGTCCCCTCCGCCCAAGAGCCCTGGAGCATAGGATTCCTTGAGGCCTCGCATCCAGCTCCATCCTTTCACGCACCTTGTGACCGGGGGCTCCCAGCGGTCCCAGGCTCGTTGTGGGACACCAGGCCCCAGCCAGACACCACACAGGCCTCCCCCGGGTGGGGGCAACGCGTGGGTAGCACCGCGGGGCGCACCTGGGGGTTCAGGCGTGCGGGCTGGACTAGGCGCAGCAACATGATGTCGTTGCGGTGGCTGCGCGCTTCGTAGCGCGGGTGTGGAATGACCCGAGACGTGGTCCGTAGTTGCTCTGGGCCATCGCGCTTGCGCAGGTTGTGCTCTCCCAGGCGCACTCTCATGAAGCTGTGCGGGCGAGTGGTTTTCCCGCCAGTGGAGTGCGGGCCAGTGGTTACCCGCAAGTAGAGGACAGAAAGATCAAAGAGTGGGCAACCCGAGGTCTCCCGACCCTTTAGAAATCTCGACATCCCATTACCTTTTCCCAAGACCCTGAAGCCAATGGTTCCAGCCCCTGCTCCTCAAGGACCAACGAGTCTGAAGTCAGGCACACTCCTAGAACTCGATCCCCTCCAACTACTCCCAGCCCCCTCCTGGTCTGTCCCCGAATCCAGGATTCTCACATCCCTAGAACTGAGGCTCAAAAGCTGGAACTAGTCTTCTCCTTCCTCCTTCAGAGATCGAAGGCTTTGAAACACACACTCCTTCCTAACCCAGGGGCTTGACATCCGGCCTCCTCGTCTTTCAGAACCCAGGAGTTCTGGCGTCTGCCTCCGTCTTCCCCCAAATCTAGGAGCTCTTCCCCCCGAACCAGGCTCCCTCAGGACCCTGAGCCCCTGCCTTCATACCGGCTTTGGCAGTGGGCCGCAGACAGCACCCAGTGTGGGGAGATGAGGGAAGCGCCACAGTTAAAGCGTCCACGCTCGTAGAGAGCCACTTGCCATGGCTGGGAGTGGGGTGCACACTCGTCACCTTCCAGCAACTTGTCACCATCCTGGGCTGCTAAGAGAAGGGGTAGAGGATGCCTGAGGACAGGGACGTTTACATTGCCTCCTACACCTTCCTTGCACCCTGCCCTAACTACTATATGCCTATGCCTTTCCCCTAACTTCTCAAGACACCCTGCCCTGTTTTTGTTTGTTGTTGTTGTTGTTTTTGAGACGGAGTCTCACTCTTTTGCCCAGGCTGGAGTGCAGTGGCATGATCTCAGCTCACTGCAACTTCCGCCTCCTGGGTTCAAGTGATCCTCCTGCCTCAGCCTCCCGAGTAGCTGAGGTGCCCGCCACCACACCTGGCTAATTTTTGTATTTTTAGTAGAGACGAGGTCTCACCATGTTAGCCAGGGTAGTCTCAAACTTCTGACTTCAAATGCTCTGCCCGCCTCAGCCTCCCAAAGTGCTGGGATTACAGGTGTGAGCCACCATGCTCCGCCTGCCCTGTTGTTTATTTACAACCGCTGCCTGTTTTCTCCAGAACTCTAGCCCCCACCCCATTTGCTATAAGACTCTGGGAGAGAGAGGAAGGGGAACAGACCAGAGGGCAAGAAGTCCTCTGTGGTTGGGGGTGGAGACAGGGGCACTGGATACAGGTTCAGACAGGTGGTCACTTGAAACCAGTCATTCACGGTCACCAAATTGTCACAGACGTCAAACGCATGTGGCCACTCAGTATGTGTGACCCAGCCTTGGCCCCAGAGTCTGGACATGTCAGCCAAATTCAGTGTGCAGTATGAGTCCCAGATGTGGCTATACAAGGTCATGGACATGCATACATGCACATCCAGCTTCCACACTTAGGTACAGCTATGGACAGGACTGGAAGCTGAAATTCACTTGCATGCACATGGGTTGCAGCTTCAAGAATCACAGCACAGGCTGGGCACGGTGGCTCATGCCTGTAATCCCAGCACTTTGGGAGGCCGAGGCGGGTGGATCACCTGAGGTCAGGAGTTCGAGACCAGCCTGGCCAATATGGGGAAACCCTGTCTCTAACAAAAATACAAAAAATTAGCTGGGCATGGTGGCGGGTGCCTGTAATCCCAGCTACTCTGGAGGCTGAGGCAGGAAAATCGCTTGAACCCGGGAGGCGGAGATTGCAGTGAGCGGAGGTTGCTCCATTGCACTCCAGCCTGGGTGACAAGAGTGAAACTCCATCTCAAAAAAAAAAAAAAAAAAAAAAAAAGAATCACAGCACAGATGTTCATATGTGTATATGAATATGGATGGTTAAGACATGAATACATACACACACACACATGCACACACAAACACACACACAGAATTGGATATTGTTCAGACCTAAATTCAACATCTCTAGTGTGAGTCTTGGCATCCAGTGTCACAGACACTTGCATACAGGGTCTGGACAAAGATGGGTCCTTAAGCCTGGGTTCGAATGTACTAGCTGTGAAACTTTGAGTAAGTTATTCGACCTGTCTGTGCCTCTGTTTCCTCATCTGTAAAATGAAGATTGTTGTAAGGATGAGGTAGGAATGTGTATGTGTGTGTGTGCATGTGTGTATGTATGGTGAGTGATACCTAGCCCTGGTAGCTACTTAATAATATTAGTTGTTTTTTGCAAATGACACCTGGATTTAGTCACAGGGACATACGTGTGAAAGTTCAGGTCCATCCTGGAGATGGCCAACATAAGTCAGACATCTGCACAGAATTACCTATAATAAATAGTCAAGGTTGGCCAGGTGTGGTGGCTCACGCCTGTAATCCCAGCACTTTGGGAGGCCAAGGCCGAGGTGGGTGGATCACCTGAGGTCAGGAGTTTGAGACCAGCCTGGCCAACATCGTGAAATCCCGTCTCTACTAAAAAATAAATAAATAAATAAATAAAAATACAAAAATCAGCTGGGCGTGGTGGTGCGTGCCTGTAATTCTAGCTACTCGGGAGGCAGAGACAGAATTGCTTGAACCTGGGAGGCGGAGGTTGCAGTGAGCTGAGGTTGCACCACTGAACTCCAGCTTGGGCGGCAGAGCGAGACTCCGTCTCAAAAAAAACCAAACAAACAAAAAAAAGTCAAGGTTAAAACCGTGATTCACCCACAAGACATTTTGTAGAGTTAGAGCTGCAGACACCAACCCAGAAGGCCAACACTCAGATGTGGACTTGCTGTCTGGGGCAGCACCCAGACACGGGGCTGGGCATTCAAGGTCAAAGACATGCAGCTGAAGCCAGAGGCAGCCAGGGCAGGACATATTTATCCATCTCTAGATCAGCCCCCAAGCCAGATCTGTGGAGTCACTGATTGGGTTTCACATATGGGGATCTGGCTCATGCATGTGGAGAGGATGTGAACATACAGGGCCTTGTATACCCACTGCACACGTGCATGTACACACACACACACACACACACACACAGAATGGCATTATGCTTAAGGACATGATTAGAGACATTCAAGGTCACAGGACCAGGACCCCTCTCCACTGGGCAATGTGGATGCATCCCCTGAAGGTTGAAGCCATGCACACTCCCACCCACACAGGGGCAGGATTTGCACAGCCAGACCAAATGCCCACACTCTCCCCATCACAGTCAGGAACTGGGCCAAAGGCCCCCGTGAGACCAGGGGAATGCGGATGTGGTGGACAAGGGGCTTAACAAAGGAAGGGTGAGGTCGTCCTCCGAAGGGCGGAGGGTACGGGCTGAACAGCTGGGCACCGAGGCTGCACCTGGCCAGTCCAAGCCAGAGGAAGGTGGAGGCCCCAGCTGGGCGCAGCAGGCAGGCGCGAGGCAGGTAGGTGAGTGCACAGAGAGAGCCGGAGGGGAGGCTGGAGGCGTGGGGGTCTCAGGGGCCCCCAGGAGTGAGGGTCATTTGTGGCAGAACGTTAATGAAAGTCCACCCCCCAATTTCTCCAGAAGAGAGGCATCAGGTTACAATTAATTTCTTGGTGTGTGGCAGCTGAGTTCAATCTGGAGTTTGCCTGACACCCAAGGTGACCTTGATGTTGTGGCCGTCCCTCTGAGCCACAGCCCCTTCCCTTGTCAAATGAGGTCGGTGGTGCCCACCACACATAGACGTTGTATGTAAGCTCTAAGCACCGTGCCTGGCTTGCACACCTGAAGGGGCACTACCTGGGCCAGGCTTATGCTTCTGCCTCACACACAACCACATTTAATCCCCTCAAAGACCCTGTAAGAGACAGGGAGTGGCAGGTGTGGGACTCAAGCTGGAGTCTGTCTGTGCTGTTGGCCTCTCAGCACTTGTCTAATGCTTGCTATGTATATTACCTCTGTTATGCTATTGAGACCTCACTGTTATTGTCTCAAGTGGGTGCTGTCTTATAGAGAAGGCATTCGAAGCCCAGAGAGGTGAAGCAGTTCCCTCAAGGACACACAGCAAGGAAGCGGTTGCCCCAGGACTCAGCTCAGGTTTGTGTAACCCCAGGACCGTGTTCCTTGTCGTGGGCAGCGAGAGGCCCCAGGCAACATAGCGACTCCAGAGCAGCAGCACCAGCACCTGACGGTAAGGGCTTAGGGACATTGGCACAGGTGGAGGGTGAAGGAAGGATCTTTAGTGGTCTCTGGGTGAGGTAGGGGCTGGCAGATCACTGGGCCCAGACATGCTTGGGAAGGGGGCACCTGCTCCCACAGACCTGGCCCCCTCCTGGGGCCACCTCACCTGTGGATGCCAGCAGGAAGGAGAGAGTGAGGAGAAGCCACATTGTGGAGGAGGGACCAGGGTTCGGCTGCAGTCTGGGGAGGGAGTGAGAGAATCCAGGTGAGGCAGGACCCTTCTGCCTCCACCAGGATCCCTCCAGACACAGACTTATCCCATCCACTGTTAATAAATTTCTTCTGACCACCGGTATCCCCTTCCCCCAACCCCACTCTGCGCTTCCTTCTGGGTCCCCCATCTCTGGAAGGTTTACTCTTCCTCTAGGCACTCGGACAGACCCTGCCCCACCTCCTCCACCTGTCAGCCTCCAGCACCATGCTACCAGCCCCTGGATCTCTCTCCATCATCACCAAGGACCCCTGTCCCAACTTTTTTTTTTTTTTGAGACGGAGTCTCACTCTGTCACCCAGGCTGGAGTGCAGTGGCACAATGTCGGCTCACTGCAAGCTCCACCTCCCAGGTTCACACCATTCTCCCGCCTCAGCCTCCCGAGTAGCTGGGACTACAGGCGCCCACCACCGTGCCCGGCTAATTTTTTGGAAATTTTTTTTTTTTAAGTAGAGACAGGGTTTCACCGTGTTAGCCAGGATGGCCTCAATCTCTTGACTTCATGATCCACCCACCTCGGCCTCCCAAAGTGCTGGGATTACAGGCATGAGCCACCGCGCCTGGTCTATCTCAACCCTCTTATCTGGCCTTTTGGGTCCCCCTCCAGTCCAGTCCCCTCCACCAGCTTGCCCTCCAGCCATGACCCCAAAGGGTCTTTCTACATCTGGAGCTGGCTGTGCCCCTCCCCTGCTCACCACCCTCCATGGATCCTTGGCACCACCAGGATAAAGTCCAGCTCTTCAAATTCACTTTCTTTCTTTTTTTTTCTTTTTTTTTTTTTTTTTTGAGACGGAGTCTGGCTCTGTAGCCCAGGTTGGAGTGGAGTGGCGTGATCTCCGCTCACTGTAACCTCTGCCTTCTGGGTTCAAGAGATTCTCCTGCCTCAGCCTCCCAAGCAATTGGGATTACAGGTGTGTGCCACCACGCCCAGCTAATTTTTGTAATTTTAGTAGAGACGGAGTTTCACCATGTTGGCCAGGCTGGTCTTGAACTCCTGACCTCTAGTGATCCACCCGCCTCAGCCTCCCAAAGTGCTGGGATTACAGGCATGAGTTGCCTGGCTCCAGCCTCACTTTCAAGGACAAAAGTGGCTTCTTCCCTTCCAGCCCCTCTCCCTGGGTCTCCCATGACCTTGTCCTAGACGCAGCCAGTGCTGCCATTTTCCCTCCTGCCATTTCATGCTTAGGCTATTCCTCCCACCGCATATCCAACGCCATTCCCTTCCAGCCCCGCTTCCTCCTTGAGGCCTTCTCTGACCTCCCCTGACCCTCAGTGGTGTCTGCCTCCCCTACGAGACTGGCAGCTCCCCGAGGAGCTGGTCTGACTCCACTCTGGGTCTCCAGTACTGCAGGGCCCGACCCACGGGAGGCCTCAGGAAGCTTTGAGGGTGAATTGAAATCCTTCTTCCCCATATCTTCCAAATTCATCTTTGTCCTCTGACACTCTGCCCCCACCTCTTCTGGGAGGCCCCAACACCTAACAGGTGTCTCCCCTGAATCCCACAGCACCCATTCTGTCTCCATTACAGCGCAGATGCCCCATACTTGCTGAGGTCTGGCCTGTTCTTTTCTCCATCTGGGGGTCTTGAAGATGGGGCTCAGGTCAGGTTCTTTCTGTGACCTCAGCACTGCCCCACCTGGGGCCTGGTACACAGGAGGCCTCCGGGAGGTTGTGCTGAACTGACTTGAACCCGTGATCACTCCTGACCACGTTCTTGGCTCTGATACAAGTACTTCAGGGACGTCCTCCTGATCCACTCCATCCCCCTCCCTCCCCACCACTGCAGCTCCTTCTGGCCATTCCAGGACATTTTCTTGGTTCAGGTTCAATTTGGGGCATTGGTAAAGGACACGTGGATCTACCCATGCCCTTGACACTCAGTTCTCCAAGCGTGGTCAACGTTTCCCCTTGAAACCAGGGCACAGTGAATCTCCCCTTTGCCCCTCCCTCAGTCTTGTCTCAAAGCTCTCACCTCCTCCAGATCCTCCAGCAGCATCTAGGGCAGCTTGGGTGCCAGAAGGGAGCAGGTACCAGGATGCCTGAATTTATAAGCTCCCAGTCCCAGCTGGGTCTGGGGGTGTGGTGGTGTAGGGTGGGGTGGGAGGTGGCTGAGAGTCAGGTTTACAGGCAGAGACGCCTTGGTTGCTGGTGGGGTGGGAGACTTGGCCTAATGAGCATTTATTAGGTTGAAGCTGTTGTCTGAGTCCACAAAGAGGAATTCTCCACCAGGAGCAGTTCCTCAAGGGGGAGGGGACAGGAGGACAAAAACAGAAATTAGGAGGAGATCAAAAGACAGAGTCTGGAATTTGGGGTCTGGAGTGTGGAAACTGGATCCTAAAGTCCCTGTTCTTGGGCTTGGGGCAGAGTTCTGGATCCCGGGTTCTGGATCCGGATCTGGTTCTGGATCTGGGTCTTGGATTCTGGATTTGAGGATCTTGAGTTGGAGATTAATGACCTGCAGTCTGGAATATGGATTTCAAAGTCTGAGTTCTTGGGCTGGGGGTCTGGAATCTGGATCCTGGAGTCGGGCCTTTGAGTGACAGATCGTGAACCTTGATTCTGGATCCCGGGGCATTCGAATCTAGAACCCACAATAGGAGCCTGGAATCTGGTGTTTGGAATCTGGCAATCGAGGCTGGAAACCTTTGCACCTGCTATGAGAAGCCTGGGGCCTAGACTACAAATGGTAGATTTGGGATTTTGAATTGTGGGGTCTGGATTCTTTTTTTTTTTTTTTCTGAGATGAAGTTTCGCTCTTGTCACCCAGGCTGGAGTGCAATAGCGTGATCTCAGATCACTGCAACCTCCACTTCCTGGGCTCAATAGATTCTCCTGCCTCAGCCTCCTGAGTAGCTGGGATTACAGGCGACCACCACCACGCCCAGCTAATTTTTATATTTTTAGTAGAGACAGGGTTTCACCATGTTGGCCAGGCTGGTGTCGAACTCCTCATCTCAAGTGATCCACCTGACTCAGCCTCCTAAAGTGCTGGGATTACAGGCGTGAGACACCATGCCAGGCTTGGGGTCTGGATTCTACAGGGTGGATCTAGCCTCTGAGCTTTCAGGAGTAGACTTTGGAACATACAGTCTGGAGTTTCAAATCTGTTTTTGCATTGAAAACCTGGACTGTGGCTGGGCCCAGTGACTCATGCCTTTGGGAGGCTGAGGTAGGAGGATTGCTGGAACTGAAGGGTTTGAGACCAGCCTGGGCAACACAGCAATACCTCATCTCTATGAAAAATCTAAATAAATAAATAAATAAGTAAATAAATTTTTAAAAGGCTGAATTGAGAGACAGGGACCTGGCTTTCACGATTCTGAGATTGCTAGAATCTTGACTCTAGAGTCTGAATTTAGAGTCTGGGAACCCAGGGTCTCTATTCTGGTCCTGTAGTCTTATTTCTGGGTTCTAGAGCTTGAAATCTGGATTCTGCATCCCAGAGGCTGGAGATGATCACTGAGATGACCCAAGGCTTTGGGTATTTGAGGCTGGCTTCCAATGTCTCAGAACCCCAGAGGGCCCCAAGCAATTATCTAGAGTCTATTTTGGCTTAATTAATGAGGAGGTCCCAAGACAGGAGGGACTGACCTCACTCAGGTCACCCAGTGAAGGATGGGACCTGTTGTAAGCGTGGTCTCTCCCCATGTGTGGAAAGTCATCATCTTTATGGGAAGGATTCAGCCATTCTAGAACTACAGGCCCCTGGAATTTCTAGAATATCAGACTTTCAGATTCTAAAAGCACAGGCCCTAAGACATTCTGGCAGTGGAGGACACTCTGGAAGGTAAGATTTTAGAATAGCCTAGAACCACAGAGCTCCAAACACTCTAGAACCTTCGAACATCGGGCACTCTGGAGTCCCCAGAAACCTCATGCATTCTAGAACGTCGGGTCTCCAGACATTCTACAAGCCCAGACCGGCAGACATAATAGATCCCCAGGTTGGAAGCTATTCTAGAACTCCTATGTCCCTTTGCCTCCCTCCCCACAAATTGATGCTCAAAGTCTGCGGGCCTCACCCTGGGCCACCGCTTCAGCTGAGCAGCCCTGTTTATGGAATGCGGCTGCAGGCCACTCCTCCGTGCCAAGTGCTCTCTTTGTAGGATCTCACTCCGGCTCCCGGCAGCCCTGTGAGGTGTTTATATTAATAACCTTATGGCTTCCTGCTGAATACGGAGGAAACTGAGGCCCAGACAGGAGGCAGCACAAGCAAGGTTCCTGCAGAAGCGAGAGGCCACGCGGGAGAGGAATCAGTGTTCCGACTCCGGAACGCCCGGTGGGCCCTTTCGCCGCCACCCCTGCAGCCGCCTCCCTCTGTTGGGGCGCGGTGGTGACGAGGGAAAGGAGCCGAGCCCCTGGGACTTCCTCGGTGCCAGGTCTGTGCTGAGCGCTTCCCGTCACGATCGCACGTGCTCCTCCTCCTAACCAGCCTAGGCAGGTACTGATGAAGCACCCCTGATACAGACGGGGACACTGAGGGCGCTCCCGCCGCGCCGAACCCAGGCGCGCACCCGGTCTGCGCTCGGCTCCCTGGAGGGCGCGCAGCCAGCGGCTCCCGCAGCCCCGCCCCCACGCGGTGACGTCGGCGCCCCGTCCCCGCCCACTGTGTCTGGCTCAGGCTCGCGCGATCGATGTCCTCCTGGACGTGTCCGCGGACGTCCTTCACCTCCACCGCGGCCTGGGTCCCGCCCACCGCGGCCTGAGTCTCACTTTTGCCCGGCTCCTCCTCCTGAGAACGTTCCCTGGGAGTTTTTCATCAACTCCCGTGGTTCATCCACCAACCACGCAGGTCTCCTCCATCTGACCCTGAACTCCGGCTTGGGCAGCCACCTGCTCCTGGGCGCCCCCTGCACCACTGTCCCTAGGCCCCTCTCACTTACCGAGTCCCAACTCATTGCTCTATTTCCCCAAACCCTCCTTCCCTGTTCTTCCACGTTCTTCATCTCAGGGGCAGCGTCACCGACCACCCAGTTATTCGGCCAGACGCCCTTGGCACTGACCTTGCCCCATCTCTCCCCTTATCCCCTACAGCCCATCGGTCCCCAGCCTTGTCCCTTCGGCCCCTGCCTCTCTCTGCCCCGTCCCCTCCTCTCTGTCCCCTTGGCCTGGCTCCAGCTCAGACGTCCTCCTCTCTCTCTGGACCCTCGCTCCTCCTGTCCGGGAGGACAGCCTCCTGTCGGTCACCACGTGGCCCTAGAGGGTCTCTCTGCACTTGGAGATCACCCCGCCCCTCCCCTGCTCACAGCCTTCCCTTGCAGCTCCCCATCACCCCTGGGCAAGGTCCCGGCTTCTCGGTCTGCAGTTTTAAGCCCTTTGAGATTCCCCAGCAGGAAAAAGCCTCCCCTCAAACCCCCTTCTCAGGGGGCCTGCAGACTGCCCACCTCCGGAGCGGGACTGGACTCGTGGTGCCCGAAGGGCCTCCCCATGAGGTGCTGGCCCTCTTCTAACTTAGTCTCACCACGGCCTCCGTTCCTTCTGGAACCAGACAAGCTGCTGTTTCAGGGCGCTGGGTCTGGATCCAGACAGCATGGGTGCAGATCTCTGTTCCACTACTTACTATTTTGGGAGACCCTGGTAAGAGTTTTTTCTTCTCTGTGTCTCAGTTTCTTATCCTTAAAATCAGAGGATCCCCTCGTAGAGTTTTTCGAGGAGTAACGACTTAGTTTGTGTTAGGAGCTCAGAGCATATAGTAAATTATGACGATTCATTCATTTAACACATGAGCAGACGGGAGTGCGGGGGTCACTGGTGAAGGTCACCCAGGCTGCAGAAGTGGAATCAAGAGAATGGTTCTCGGGGTCCTGGTGCCCCTTGTGAGAAGCATCAGCTCTCTGGGTGTCAGGTGCTCATCTGCGAAGGGGTCTTCCGTTGCGGTGGGGTGGAAATGGGAGGGACCTCACAGGGGTTGGATGAGGTCATACCCATGGAGCAGGTGTGCGAATCATAAAATCAGGCTGAGGCTTGCAAGACCGGTTAACACGGCACGTGATTCAGATGTAGCCGCTGGAGCCAGGTGGCCCGGGTTTGAGTTCTGCCTCTGTCCCATAATACTGTGCACCCTCAGGCAAGTCACTTAGCCTCTCTGTGCCTCAGCTGCCTCAACTATAAAGTGGGGGTAATAATTGCTCCTCCCTCTTCTGTGGGAGTGTTTTGAGGTGTTCATTCTTGAAATCTGTGCCCGGCACTGAGTGAGTGCTGGGCCATTATCAGTCTGTCCTATTACCCTTGGGAACTGAAAGCTGGGGAGGGATGGTTATGTGGGGTCTTTCTCAGATGACACAGTTGGGTAGCAGCAGATTTGGCACTGGAAGAAGCCACTGTGCTTTTTGTTTTGTTTTGTTTTCTGTTTTTTGTTTTTTTTTTTTTTTGAGACGGAGTCTCGCTCTTGTTGTCCAGGCTGGAGTGCAATGGCATGATCTTGGCTCACTGCAACCTCCGCCTCCTGGGTTCAAGCGATTCTCCTGCCTCAGCCTCCTGAGTAGCTGGGATTACAGGCACCCACCAGCACAGCCGGCTAATTTTTGTATTTTTAGTAGAGTTGGGGTTTCACAGTGTTGGCCAGGCTGGTCTTGAACTCCTGACCTCAAGTGATCCACCTGCCTTGGCCTCCCAAAGTGTTAGGATTACAGGCGTGAGCCACCGCGCCCAGCCAGAAGCCACTGTTTTGATCTCCCAGATGTGGTATCTTTTTCTGAATCCCTGTGACCCCTTTATCAAGACCCCTGTTTTACAGATGGGGGAACTGAGGCCCAGGGAGAGGAAATGGAGGTGTGAGACCCTGGTATGAGAGTGTGACGTCAAGCAAAGAGAATGTCACACGCAGACGAGTTCTTCTCTGAGACTTTATTTCCTGGGCTGTGCTGGGGGAAGCTGGAGGGGAGGAGGCAGAAAAACCCACATCTTCTCTTCTTTTGTCCTGGGAGGGCCTTACCGATAGGTGGCATCAATTGTGCGTTTGTTCATAGCAGTTTTACTCCTGGGTCTGAGGGAGGAGGGGCTGGGGGCCTGGACTCCTGGGTCTGAGGAGGGAGAGGCTGGTGCCTGGACTCCTGGGTCTGAGAAAGGAGAGGCTGGGGGCCGGGACTCCTGGGACTGAGGGACGGGTGGCTGGTGTCCAGGACTCCTGGGTCTCAAGGAAGAAGGGCTGGGGGGTCTGAGGGAGGAGGGGGCTGGGGACTCAGACTCTTGGGTCCAAGGGAGGAGCGGCTGGGGTCTGGACTCCTGGGTCTGAGGGAGGTGGGACTGAGGGCCCGGACTCCTGGGTTTGAGGGAGAAAGGCCTGGGGGATCTGAGGGAGGAGGGGCTAGGGTCTGAACTCCTGAGTCTGAGGGAGGTGGGGCTGAGGGCCTGCACTCCTGGGTCTGAGAGAGGAGGGGCTGGGGGGTCTGAGGGAGGAGGAGGCTGGGGGGTTTGAGGGAGGTAGGGCTGGAGTCTGGACTCCTGGGTCTGAGGGAGGAGGGGCTGGGGGCCCGCACTCCTGGGTCTGAGGGAGCTGGGGCTGGGGAGGTCTGAGAGAGGTGGGGCTGGGGGGTTTAAGGGAGGTGGGGCTGGAGTCTGGACTCCTGGGTCTGAGGGAGGAGGAGGCTAGGGACCCGGACTCCTGGGTCGGTGGGAGGAGGGGCTGGGGCATCTTAGGGAGGTGGGGCTGGGGCCTGGACTCCTGGGTCCTGCACTCTGGGGCTGGGAGAGAAAGGCCTGCCCTGCCTGCGTCTCCCTCTCTGTGTTCCACCCCCACCCATAGACCTCTTCGCTAGAGTCCTGAGCCCCCAGCCCACTTTCCAGCTCCCTCCTCTTCCCTTTCTGGAAGCTTCCCTTCTGCGTTTGTTCATAGGAGGTTTGCTCTTGGGTCTGAGGGAGGAGGGGCTGGGGTCCTGAGCTCCTGGGTCTAAAGGAGGAGGGGCTGGGGAGTCTGAGGGAGGAGGGAGGTGGAGGCCCAGACTCCTGGGTCTGAGGGAGGAGAAGCTGGTGCCTGGACTCCTGGGTCTGAGAGAGGAGAGGCTGGGATCTGGGACTCCTGGGTCTGAGGGAGGAGGGGCTGGGGTCCTGGACTCCTGGGTCTGAAGGAGGAGGGGCTGGGGGGTCTGAGGGAGGAGGGAGCTGGGGAGACGTGTGTCTTCTCCCTCCCGTGACTCCTGCTCACTTTCCCCATGTCTGTGTTTCTGCTCCCCTCTCCCCGTGATCCTGTCAGCTTCTTTTAGTTTTTATTTTTTAGAGTTGGGGTCTTGCTCTGTTGCCCAGGCTGGAGTGCAATGGTGCAATCATAGCTCACTGCTACCTCAAACTCCTGGGTTTAAGCGATCCTCTGGTATCAGCCTCCCGAGTAGCTGGGACTACAAGTGTGTGCCACCATACCTGGCTAATTTTTACGTTTTGTTTTTTTTTTTGTGGAGATGGGGTCTTGATATGTTGCCCAGGCTGAGATTGTAAAAAGTCATCATGGAACACCCCACCTCCCAGTGCAGGAAAGCTGGCTGTGGTATTGCCAAGAATGATGTTTATTGCAGCACTATTCCCAATAGCTAAGATTTAGAGACAACCTAAGTGTCCATCAACAAATGAATGGATACAGAAAATGTGGTACATATACACAGTGGAACACTATTCAGCCATCAGAAAGAATGAGAGCCTGTCATTTGCAACATGGATGGAACTGGAGGTTATGATGTTAAGTGCAATAAGTCAGGCACAGAAGATAAACTTCACAGGTTCTCATTTATTTTTGGGAGCTAAAAATTGAAACAATTAGCCGGGCACTCACACCTGTAATCCCAGCACTTTGGGAGGCTGAAGCAGGTGGATCACCTGAGGTAAGGAGTTCAAGACCAGCCTGGCCAACATGGTGAAACCCTGTCTCCACTAAAAATACAAGAATTAGCCAGGCGCAGTGGCGCGTGCCTGTATTCCCAGCTACTTGGAAGGCTGAGACACAGAAGTGCTTGAACCTGGGAGGAGGGGGTTGTGGTGAGCCAAGACCTCTCCAGTGCACTCCAGCGACCTGGGAGACAGAGCGAGACTCCATCTCCAGAAGCCTGGAGAAATAGGGACAAAAAACAAAAACAAAACCAACTGAGTTAATGGAGATAGACAGTAGAAGCATAGTTATCAGAGGCTGGGGAGGGTGAGGGTATGTGGGTAGTGGGGAAGTGCGGATGGTTAATGGGTACGAGGAAATAGAATAAGATCTAGTATTCGATAGCACAACAGGGTGACTGTGGTCAATAATAATTTAATTGTACATTTAAAAACAACAAAAAGAATATAATTAGATTGTTTGTAACACAAAGGGTGAATGCTTGAGGTAATGGATACCCCATTTACCCTCATGTGATTATTACACATTATATGCCTATATTAAAATATCTCATGTACCCCATAAATATATCCACCTGCTATGTACCCACAACAATTACAAATTAGCAAAAAAAGAATAATGTGGCTCTTGCCAGGTTTCAGCTCCACCCTTGCTGTGTGTGTGGCGCGTTGCGTCCCCAGGTCCCTCTCAGTGGTCCGTGGAGAGCATTACCACCTGTCACTGTCTACTATCTCAGGGCAGACCCTCTCTCCTCTCTCTTCCTCCATCTCTGCACCCCACAAATAAAGTGGCAACCCCCCCGATGTGTGTCTTTGCAGAACCTGAATGTGATGAGATTGCCAGAAAATGCCAGTGTGCCCCTGGATGGGTGGAGGAGGGTGGGGCGGGTGGAGGGGACAACTTTGCCCCATTGGGGAACCACTGGGCTATACCTGTCACTGAAGCTTCCTTTCTCCCCTGCACCTGACTCCACACCTCAGGACGCAGGTCAGGAGGGCTGGGGGATGCTCTAGCCTTGGCCAGGTGGGCCTGGAGATGATTGTTCACTGCAGGAGCATTCACCTTTTTAGATGGGTGCTTCCTGTCTAGAGAAGGAGACACGGGGAGCTGGAAAGAGAAGCCTGCAGAAATAGGGACCGGGCAAAAACAAAGGAGGGTGGAGTCGGGGAGTGTAGAAGAGATAAAGTAAGGACTGGAGTGAGGAAGAGGCATCAAAAGAGGGAGGGAATGGTGAAGGCAGAAAACCGTGAGAAACGGGGAGTGAGAAGATAGCATGAGAAAGACAGGATCAAGTCAGGCGTGGTGGCTCACGCCGGTAATCCCAGCACTTTGGGAGGCTGAGGCGGGCGGATCATTTGAGGTCAGGAGTTTGAGACCAGCCTAGCCAACATTGTCTCTACTAAAAATACAAAAATTAGCCAGGTGTGGTGGTGTGTGTCTGTAATCCCAGCTACTCAAGAGGCTGAGGCAGGAGAATCGCTTGAACCCATGGTGGGGTGGAGGTTGCAGTGAGCCGAGATCGCACCACTGTACTCCAGCCTGGGTGACAGAGTGAGACTCTGTCTCAAAAACAAACAAACAAGCAAACAAAAAAACCAGGTAAACTGAGGCTGGGTTTTGTATCCCAGACCAAATGCCTGCACTTTGAATGCCTGGTTGGGAAGCCTGAGATTATCCTGTAGGGAAGCATCGAGAGCATGAACTGAATGGTGTTAGGAGACAATTATCCATGGCTCTCTTACCTTTCTGCCTGTCTCCTGAAAAAGGTATTAGCCACTTTTGAGTTCCAGATTGTCTTTTTATGGATGTTTCTCTAGAGCATCAGAGCATGTTTGTTCACTGTCTTAGATAATAAAGATAATGTCCTTCCATAATGATTTATTTATTGGCTAGGATAGTAAATACAACATGTCCTTCCGGGGCAGGTGGATCAGCAGTCCGACATAACAAAGATAATATCTCTCCGAGTTTCAAAGTCAAGCAGATTTCCTTGCATCTCCCTTATAAGATTGAAGATTTGTAAATACATGTAAACAGAGGTTCCCCAGCATTGACGCAAACCACTGTGTGCGCAGCATCTGCCTGAGCCACTCTGATCATCCCTGTAGGACCTGGGGGGCAAGGTGAGCCCATGTGAACATGAATCTCATGCTGCCGGCTGTGCCATGAGTAATAAAGTCCTTTGTCTCTGACCCGGAGTTGTTGTGTGTTCTGCCAATAGTTTCACTGGATACAAAATTCTTGGCTGATAATTGTTTTGTATAAGGAGGCTAAAGACAGGACCACAATCCCTTCTAGGTTGTAGGGTTTTTGCTGAGAAATCTGCTGTCAATCTAATAGGTTTTCCTTTATAGGTTACCTGATGCTCCTTCATCTTGACTTTAGATAACCTGATGACTATGTGCCTAGGGGGGTCATCTTTTTTTTGTTTTGTTTTGTTTTGAGATGGAGTCTCACTCTGTTGCCCAGGCTGGAGTGCAGTGGTGCGATTTCGGCTCACTGCAACGTCCGCCTCCCGGGTTCAAGAGACTCTTCCGCCTCAGCCTCCCGAGTAGCTGGGATTACAGGTGCGTGCCACCACACCCGGCTACTTTTTTATATTTTTAGTAGAGAAGGGGTTTCACTGTGTTAGCCAGGATGGCCTCGATCTCCTGACCTTGTGATTGGCCTGCCTAAGTCTCTTAAAGTTCTGGGATTACAGGCGTGAACGACTACGCCCGACCAGTGGTCATCTTTTTGCAATGAATTTCCCAGGCGTTCTTTGAGCTTCTCATGTTTGGATATCTAGATCTCTAGCAAGGCCAAGGAAGATTATTCCCCTCAAATATGTTTTCCAAACTTTTAGATTTATCTTCTTCCTTGGGAACATGAATTATTCTTAGGTTGGTTGTTTAACATAATCCCAAACTTCTTGGAGGTCTTGTTCATTTTTTAAAAATACTTTTTTCTTTGTCTTTGTTGGATTGGGTTAATCCAAAAGTCTTGTCTTTGGGCTCTTAAGTTCTTTCTTCTACTTGTTTGATTCTATTGCTGAGACTTTCCAGTGTATTTTGCATTTCTCTAAGTGTGTCCTTCATTTCCAGAAATTGTAATTGTTTTTGATTTACGCTATTTCTCTGGAGATTTTTCTGTCCATATCCGGTAACACTTTTTAAAATTTCTTTAAGTTGGTATTCACCTTTCTCTGGTGCCTTCTTGAGTAGCTTAGTAATTGATCTTCTGATTTTTTTTTTTTCTGGCAATTTCAGAGATTTCTTTTTGGTTTGGATCCATTGTTGGTGAGCTGGTGTGATCTTTTTGGCGTGTTAAATAACCTTGTTTTGTCGTATTACCAGAATTGGTTTTCTGGTTCCTTCTCCTTTGTAGACTATGTCAGAAGGAAGATCTGGGTCTCAAGGGCTGCTCAGATTCTGGATTTAGCTACCCAGTGGAGCGTCTGCGCTCTGGGCTGGTACTGGGGGGTGTCTGCAAAGAGTCCTGTGATGTGATTCATCTTCAGGTCTCTTAGCTGTGGATATCAGCACCTGCTCCGTTGGAGGTAACAGAGGAGTAAAGTAGACTCGCTGGGGTTCCTTGGTTGTATTATTTTTTAGTGCGCTGGTTTTGTGTTGGTTGGCCTCCAGCCAGGAGACGGCACTTTCAAGACAGCATCAGCTGCAGTAGTACAGGGAGGAAAACAGCTTGCCCTAGGGTTACCTGGATAAGTATTCAGGTTTCTCAGGTGGAGGATGGGGCCAGATAGCTTCCAAGAGAGTATGTCCTTCGTCTTTGGCTACTAGGGCAGGTAGAGGAACACCATCAGGTGGGGGCAGGGTTAGGGGTGTCTGAGTTCAGACTCTCCTTGGGTAAGGGTCGCTGTGGCTGCTGTGTGGGGGTGGGGTGTGGTTCTCAGGCCAATGAGGTTATGTTCCCAGGGGAATTATGGCTGCCTCTACTGCATCATGTGGGTCACCAGGGAAGTGGGAGAAAGCCAGCAGTTTCAGGGCTCACCCAGCTCCCATGCAGCCCAAAAAGCTGGTCTCATTCCCACTGTGTGCATCCCCAATCAATGCACAGTTTGTTTGCAGGCAGCAGGTGCGCAGGGCTGGGAACTCGCCCCAGGCTACAAGCCTCCCTGCTGAGAAAGCAAGCAGGGCTTTCAGGTTTCGTGCCTCCCCACCTGCTGCAGCTTCTGTGCTCATGTCTGCACTCACAGTTCACCCCCTCCCCTGAGTTCTGTCCAGGAAACTTCGTGTTCAGTTGAAATTGTTGCAAAGTTCAGCTGGAAGCTTCCTTCTCCCTGTAGTCTTTCCCCAATTCCGTTGGCAGCCCTCCCCAAGGACCCCTGTGAGATGAAGTCAGAAATGGCTTCCCTGGGGACCAACAGTACCCTCAGGGCTCTTCCTGCTGCTTTCTCTACCCCCCGTATTTCATTCAGCTCTCTAAGTTCATCTCGGCTCCAGGTAAGGTCAAATCCTTCTCCCATGATCTGGACCTTCAGATTCCCCAGTGAGGATGTGTGTGCAGGGGCGGATGATCCCCCCTTCACACTTTTCACACTTTGAGCACTCACAGTTTTTCAGCTGTCTCCTGGAGCCTGCAGCAGCAATGTGCTTCCTTCAAAGGGTCTGTGGGTTCTCTTGGCTTTCCTGGTATGTTCCTGCAGTAGTTCTTGGAGCAAAAATTCAAGACGTGAGTCTCCACATGCTGCTCTGTCCATCTGAGTGGGAGCTGCAAGTTAGTCCTGCTTCCTAGCCACCATTTTCTCCCCACATTAGCTTTTTGACTTTTCTTTATATATATATATATATATATATATATATATATATATATATATATATATATGTTTGTTTTTTTTAATTATACTTTAAGTTCTAGGGTACATGTGCACAACGTGCAGGTTTGTTACATATGTATACATGTGCCATGTTGGTGTGCTGCACCCATTAACTCGTCATTTACATTAGTTATATCTCCTAATGCTATCCCTCCCCCCACTTGACTTTTCTTTTTTATTAATTGCCTGTTCATATGCTTTGTCCATTTTTTTAGGGGTTGCTCTCTTGTTCATGTCAGAAGTTTCTTGTGCCTTCTAAATGGTGATCTCTTTTTGGTTTTGAACATTGTATAAGTCATCTTTTATAAATAGAAATTCTGAATTCTTATACAAGTTTCTGGATGACAGTGCCCTCTAAGCAAAAATTCTAAATTTTCCTATAATGAAGTACATCCAAATTTTGGTCTATGATTTGTGCTTCTGAAGTTGTGTCAAGAAGCCTTTTCTTTGTGTTAGATAACAAAGGTTATCTCTCATATTTTCTAGCCTCTCTAACCCTCTCTGTTTGTCCATCTGTTTCTGTATCTCATCCCATCTATATAGCTATTCATTAATTTCTCATTTAACTGATATTTGCTAGTTGTCACAACTGTGACTTGATGAAGATAACATAAACTCATAATAATATCCCTCAATAAGAAAAGGAACGATAAACTAGTGTCATTAGCTTATAAACCGTGTTAGATTAATTGGTGGATCAGAACACTTGAAATGTCCTGAAATCTTTCAGCTGACATTTGAAAGAAACTTACTATTATTTCTCCCCAAATTGGGCAAGAATCCTAGACAAATCATATGAAATTTAAATAAATAAAAGCTTTGAAGCTGAAAGAAATGTTTCTAAAGGATTAATAATGAAAAACAGATTTTGATCAAATATGATAAAAATGAAATTATTTTTCTTCCCCTAGAAAATGAGATTACAGGCCGGGTGTGGTGGCTTACACTTGTAATCCTAGCACTTTGGGAGGCCAAGGTGAGCGGATCATGAGGTCAGTAGTTCAAGATCAGCCTGGCCAACATGGTGAAACCCCGTTTCTGCTAAAAAAAAAAATACAAAAATTAGCCAGGTGTGGTGGCATGCGCCTGTAGTCCCAGCTGCTCGGGAGACTGAGGCAGAAGAATTGCTTGAACCCGGGAGGCAGAGGTTGCAGTAAGCCAAGATCGCACCACTGCACTCCAGCCTGGGCGACAGAGCGAGACTCTGTCTAAAAAAAAAAAAAAGAAAAGAAAAAGAAAATCAGATTACAAAATCATTTGATGATAAGCAGAGATAACTGAAGAGTATGAGGACAAAAGAATGTAGGAGAAGAACTTTATAAGGCATTTAAGACAATTGCTAAATTAAAAAATTCCACATCTTCTAAATTTTGCATTGATTTTGGTACTGTATACTCTTTTGAATAGTTCCCGTATTATTCCTTTTATCATTTAGATTCGCTATTTACATTTGTTATTTCTTTTCCCATTAGATTAATCTGGGTTATACCTAAGTTTATATTAAGAATCTTTTATTCTTTTTTTGTTTTTAAGAAGCTGAAGACCTCAGAAAACCTGATCAACATGAAATATGGTATGAAGTAGTACTCAATAAAGAGAAAACATGATGGTAATCTTGAAGAAAAGCACCATATTCATCTCTGTATGTCCTTCTGTGTCCCTCTCTGTCCCTGGGGGAGGGCCTCTCTGACCATCTCAGGCTGTTATAGTGGAGATTCTGGAACTCTGGAGTGGAAGGATTCCTGAGACCTTTCTGGGGGTATGCGAGGTCAAACACTAGTTTCATAATAATCTGTACACATTATTTACCTTTCTCACTCTTTTTTTTTTTTTTTTTTTTTTTTTTCTGAGATGGAGTTTCACTCTTGTTGCCCAGGCTGGAGTGCAGTGGCACAATCTCAGCTCACTGCAACCTCTGCCTCCCGGGTTCAAGTGATTCTCCTGCCTCAGCCTCCCAAGTAGCTGGGATTACAGGCGCCCGCCACCACGCCTGGCTAATTTTTGTATTTTTAGTAGAGACGGAGTTTCACCATGTTGTCCAGGCTGGTCTTGAACTCCTGACCTCAGATGATCCGCCCGCCTTGGCCTGATAAAGTGCTGGGATTACAGGTGTGAGCCACCACGCCTGGCACCTTTCTCACTCTTATTCTCTCACAAGCACAAGGTGGAATTTTCCAGAGCCTACATGCTGTGATATTGTAGCAAATTAAACCCTGAAGCAGATATGAGAGTCCAGCTGCCTTCTATTAAGCCAGACATTAAAGAGACTTGCAAAAGTGCATAACATTTTTTCTCACTAGTTTTTTTCTTAAAATATAGCTATTTTTCATTAAAATACATTATGTTAACATATTTATTATTGTTATTTAAAAATAAATTAATAACTGAATATTTTAAAGATTTCTCAGTTTTAATATCTACTGTGGTATCAATAGATATAGTTAATATAAACAAAAACCCATGAAAGGCCTTCAGTAATTCTTTTGTTTTGTTTTTTTTTTTCGATGGAGTTTTGCTCTTGTTACCCAGGGTAGAGTGCAGTGGCACAATGTTGGCTCACTGCAACCTTTGCCTTCCCGGTTAAGGTGATTCTCCAGCCTCAGCCTCCTGAGTAGCTGGGATTACAGGTGCCTGCCATCACGCCCGGCTAATTTTTGTATTTTTAGTAGAGATGGGGTTTCACCGTGTTGGCCAGGCTGGTCTCAAACTCCTGACCTCAGGTGATCTACCTGCTTTAGCCTCCCAAAGTGCTGGGATTGCAGGCGTGAGCCACCATGCCCGGCCCAATAATTCCCTTTTTTTTTTTTTTTTTTGAGACGGAGTCTTGCTCTGTCACCAGGCAGGAGTGCAGTGGCACGATCTCGGCTCACTGCACTCTCTGCCTCCCAGGTTCAAGTGATTATCCTGCCTCATCCTCCCGAGTAGCTGGGATTACTGGTGTGTGCCACCACACCCAGCTAATTTTTTTGTATTTTTAGTAGAAACAGGATTTCACCATGTTGGCCAGGATGGTCTCGATCTCCTGACCTCGTGATCTGCCCTCCTCGGCCTCCCAAAGTACTGGGATTACAGGCGTGAGCCACAGCGCCTGGCCCCAGCCCAATAATTCTTAAGAGTGTAAACATGTCCTGAGATGGCAAATGTTTGAGAACCACCGTTCTAGACATTTTCCTGAATTCTAGAGTGTGGGAGTGTAGAACCTGGAGCTTGGCTTCTGGAGCCTAGATTCTGGAATTTGGAGCTGGGATCTGAGGCTTGGCTGCAGCAGTGTGGGGCTGGCTTCCGGAACACAGATCTGACATGCTCATCTGCTGCGTGGGGTTTACTATCTGCCTTGAATCCTAAAGTCTGCCCCTGAGGAGTCTGGAATCTGGAATCTATTATCTTTAGTTGAACACCTGCAGTCTGCGTTCTGCTTTGCAGAGCTGGATTCTTTACCCGTGATCCGTTCTGGCATTTCAACTTCACACAGAATAGGCCACTTCATGGTACTGTTTTCAACCAATCAAGCAAATTAATCGTTAGAGCCCTTTCTAATTCCTCTAGTTGCAATGTTAAACCCAATATTTCTGTGTAGTGGGTCCATATTAATAAATTCAGCCTGATCTAACCTTATATTCCTTCCACCATTATTCCATACCAACCCTTAATATGCATTCCCACATATATTTCCTGGATTTCTGTCTATATAATGGGCAATCCCGGCTTTGCCAGTTTCTAGTGACCTAACATCTCTGTGACTCATGTTATTGTACTTTAAAGTGGAAATAATAACAGTTCCTGTACAGTTTAGGGCTTCCCAAGATGACCCTCCATTGACATCAGTTGAGATTCCAGGAGAGTCCAAAAGATCATCCTTAAGGTTCAGTCGTTTGCTAGGATGCTCATGGTTGTGGTTTATTACAGCAAAAGGATACAGATGAAAATCTGGCAAGGGAGAGGTGAATGAGGCAAAGACAAGGAGAACTCAAAGTGCGAAGCTTCTAGTTTTCTTTTCCCGGTGACATCGTGGAAAGCACTAGCATCTCTAAGCAATGATCTGTGACAATATTCACAGTGTATTGCCATCCAGGGAACTCAACTGAGCCTTGATGTCCAGAGATTTTTGTGTTTTTTTCTGAGACTGAGTCTCGCTCTGTGCCCAGGCTGGAGTGCAGTGGTGCAACCTTGGCTCACTGCAAGCTCCGCCTCCTGGGTTCACGCCATTCTCCTGCCTCAGCCTCCTGAGTAGCTGGGACTACAGGCACCCGCCACCACGCCTGGCTAATTTTTTTGTATTTTTAGTAGAGATGGGGTTTCACTGTGTTAGCCAGGATGGTCTCAGTCTCCTGACCTCGTGATCTGCCCACCTTGGCCTCCCAAAGTGCTGGGATTACAGGCGTGAGCCACTGCGCCTGGCCGATATCCAGAGATTTTTTGGGGGGCTCCATCACACAGACATGTTGACTGTCTTCATGGTTGACTTTTAGTATCCAGCCCCTCTAGAAATCTAGCTGATATAGTGTGGCTCAAAACCTTCAGCACAAATCACACCGTTAGACTATCTGGTGTGGCCCAAACCTTCAGGTGAACAAAGGCACTCTAAACTGGCAGGATATTCCAAAGCATTAGAGATGACCTCTTGCAAAGAAAAAGAAATGGAAAAGAAAAAGAAAGAAAGGAAAAAAAAAAAAAAAAAGAGATGACCTCTCAGGCTCTGAGGGGAAACGCCTGAGGTCTTTGAGCAAGGTCAGTCCTCTGTTGCACAGTCTCCCTCACAGGGTCATTGTGACGATCAAATGTGGTCACGTGTATGAGGCACCAGCACATGCCTGGCTCTGGGGAGTGCCGTGTAAGTGTATGCTTGCACTGCTGAATGGCTGGGATGTGTCAGGGATTATCTTCAGCACTTACAGATGCTCATCTCATCCTCACAGCATCACTATGGGATGGGTATTACTGGCCTCATTTGATGGAGAAACTGGCTGTGGCTCAGAAAGGGGGGACCACTAGACCAGGGACACTCTGGATGCTGGGGACTCCAGAGACCATGACCACTCACCAACTGCAGAGAAATTAATTGTGGCCTGATGTCCCTGTCCTGGAGAGGGTGGAGGTGGACCTTCACTAACCTCCTACCTTGACCCTCTCTTTTAGGGCTCTTTCTGACCTCCACCATGATACTAGGACCCCATTGTATTCTGTACCCTCTTGACTCTATGACCCCCACTGCCCACTGCATCCAGCTGGGTCCCCTCCTATCTCTATTCCCAGCTGGCCAGTGCAGTCTCAGTGCCCACCTGTTTGTCAGTAACTCTGAAGGGGCTGACATTTTACTGACTTGCAAACAAATAAGCTAACTTTCCAGAGTTTTGTGAATGCTGGCAGAGTCCATGAGACTCCTGAGTCAGAGGCAAAGGCTTTTACTGCTCACAGCTTAGCAGACAGCATGAGGTTCATGTTCACATTAGTACACCTTGCCCCCCCCAAATCTTGTAGGGTGACCAGAGCAGTCTAGGTGGATGCTGTGCACACGGGGTTTGTGCCACTGGTGAGAAACCTGAGATTAGGAATCCTCAATCTTATACTGGGACAACTTGCAAACCTGCTCAGCCTTTGTCTCTGATGAAGATATTATCTTCATGATCTTGGATTGAAAACAGACCTACTCTGGAGGAACATATTGTATCGATTGTCCTTGACAGTAAACAAATCTGTTGTAAGAGACATTATCTTTATTATCTAGGACAGTAAGCAAGCCTGGATCTGAGAGAGATATCATCTTGCAAGGATGCCTGCTTTACAAACATCCTTGAAACAACAATCCAGAAAAAAAAAGGTGTTGCTGTCTTTGCTCAGAAGACACACAGATACGTGACAGAACCATGGAGAATTGCCTCCCAACACTGTTCAGCCAGAGCCTTCCACCCTTGTCTGCAGGACAGTCTCAACGTTCCACCATTAAATACTTCTTCTGTCACATCCTGCTTATTTATGCCTAACCAAGGTTCTAGGTCCCGATCGACTGTGTCTGGCAGCACTCCACTGCCAAACCCAGAATAAGGCAGCGCTCAGGATCCCGAAGGGGCATGGCTGGGGATCAGAACTTCTGGGTTTGAGTGAGGAGTGGGTCCACCCTCTTGAATTTCAAAGGAGGAAGAGGCTGGATGTGAAGGAACTGGGGGAGGGAAAGTGTCAGTTCCGAACTCTTAGGTCAATGAGGGAGGAGACTGGTAAGGTCCCAGCTCCCGAGGTACTGATGTGGGAATGGCCTAAGAATCTCATATCCTCAGGAAGAAGGTGCTGGAATCCTGAGGGGTAGAGTTCTGGGTATATTTGTGGCTTAAGGCTCTTTGGCCCCTGAAGGGCAGAGGCTGGAACCATTAGGTCCAGGGTTTGGGGTGATAGTAATGGGATCTCTTGATTCCTCAAGAGTCTGAGGATCGAGGGTTGCCCATTCTTCCATCTTGCCACCTAATCCTTACTCCACTTGAGGGTATCACCAGCCCTTCTAGCTCCATGAAGGTGCCCCTGGGCAAGCACAATCTGAGCATGAAAGATGCCCCAGAGGCCTTGGGTGTCATCCACTCATCATCCAGCATCCACACTCTGAGGGTGTGGCCAGCACCATGACGTCATGTTGCTGTGACTATCCCTGCAGCGTGCCTCTCCAGCCACCTGCCAACCGTAGAGCTGCCGACATCCTCCTCTGGTGGGAGTGGCCTGCATGGTGCCAGGCTGAGGCCTAGTGTCAGACAGGGAGCCTGGAATCATAGGGATCCAGGACTCAAAAGTGCTAGAGAATGGCCATATGTCACCATCCATGAAATCTCAAGGGCTTCTGGGTGGAGGGCACAGGGACCTGAACTTATGGGTTTTCCCCAAGTCTATTGCTCTCCCAAGTGAGTCTCCCAGATACGAGGCACTGTGCCAGCATCAGCCTTATCTCCACCACATCTTGTAAAAGGGACTACCCAGGGCCCTGATGAACACCATGGTGTGTACAGGAGTAGGGGGTGGAGGCACGGACTCCTGTGAGGTCACAGCCAAGGGAGCATCATCATGGGTGGGGAGGAGGCAATGGACAGGCTTGAGAACGGGGATGTGGTTGTATTTGGTTTTCTTTGGTTAGATAAAGTGCTGGGTATAGGATTGAGAGTGGAGTATGAAGACCAGTTAGGATGGAGGATCAGATTGGAGTTGGGTTAGAGATGGGGTAAAATTGTGCTTCGGATGAGTTTGGGATTGACACTGTGGAGGTGGTTTGGGATGGCATGGCTTTGGGATGGAAATAGATTTGTTTTGATGTTGGCTCAGACATCCTTGGGGATTGAACTGGGGATGAAGCTGGGTTTGATTTTGGAGGTAGAAGACGTGGAAGTAGCTGTCAGATTTGACAGTGGCCATGAGTTTTGTTTGATGGGGAATCAAACAATGGGGGAAGACATAAGGGTTGGCTTGTTAGGTTAAGTTGCGTTGGGTTGATGGGGTCGGGGCTGTGTATAATGCAGTTGGATTGGTTTGTATTAAATTGGGTTGGGTCAGGTTTTGGTTGAGGATGAGTTGAGGATATGCTTGGGGACACCGGATCCATGAGGTTCTCACTGGAGTGGAGACAAACTTCCTTTCCAGGATGAATCCGGGGAAGCCTTAATTCACGTGTAGGGGAGGTCAGGCCACTGGCTAAGTATATCCTTCCACTCCAGCTCTAAGATGGTCTTAAATTGTGATTATCTATATCCACCTCTGTCTCCCTCACTGTGCTTGGAGTTTACCTGATCACTCAACTAGAAACAGGGGAAGATTTTATCAAATTCTTTTTTTTTTTTTTTTTTTTTTTGAGACAGAGTCTCACTCTGTTGCCCAGGCTGGAGTGCAGTGGCGCAGTCTCGGCTCACTGCAACCTCTGCCTCCCAGGTTCAAGTGATTCTCCTGCCTCAGCCTCCTGAGTTGCTGGGATTACAGGCATGCAGCACCATGCCCAGCTAATTTTTGTATTTTTAGTAGAGATGGGGTTTCACCAATGTTTGCCAGGCTGGCCTCGAACTCCTGACCTGGTGATCCACCTGCCTCAGCCTCCCAAAGTGCTGGGATTACAGGCGTCAGCCACCGCGCCCAGCCACTTTTGTCAAATTCTTGAGACACAGCTCGGGCTGGATCAAGTGAGCTACTCTGGTTTTATTGAACAGCTGAAATAACCAACTTTTTGGAAATTGATGAAATCTTACGGAGTTAACAGTGGAGGTACCAGGGCTCTTAAGAGTTCCCGATTCTCTTCTGAGACTACAAATTGTGATTTTGCATGCCACCTTAATCTTTTTTTTTTTTTTTTTAAATCGAGGTTTCAGTCTCATTCTATTTCCCAGGCTGGAGTTCAATGGCGTGATCACAGCTCACTGTAGCCTTGAACTCCTGGCCTTAAGAGATTCTCCTGCTTCGGTCTCCCAATAGCTAAGACTACAGTAGTCCACCACCATATCCAGATAATTTTTAAATTTTTTGGGGGGCCGGGCACAGTGGCTCACGCCTGTAATCCCAACACCATGGGAGGCTGAGATGGGTGGATCACGAGGTCAGGAGTTTGAGACCAGCCTGACCAACATGGTGAAACTCTGTCTCTACTAAAAAAAAAAAAAATAGAAAAATTAGCCGGGCGTGGTGGCACACGGCACCTGTAATCCCAGCTACTGAGGAGGCTGAGGCAGGAGAATCACTTGAACCCAGAAGGCAGAGGTTGCAATGAGCCGAGATTGCGCCACTGCACTCCAGCCTGGGTGACAGAGTGAGACTCTGTCTCAAAAAAAAAAAATTTTTTTTTTTTTTTTGTAGAGATGGATCTTGCTTTGTTTCTCTGGTTGGCCTTGAACTCCTGGCTTCAAGTGATCCTCCTACCTTGGCCTCGGAAAGTGTTGGGATTACAGGCGTGAGCCACCATGACTGACCTGTCGTTTAATCTTGAGGTACATAAACCTGGCTCCTAAAGGCTAAATATTTTGTTGGAGAAGGGGCATTGGATTTTGCATGAGGATGATTCTGACCTGGGAGGGCAGGTCAGCAGGCATCTCTGTTGCACAGATAGAGTGCACAGGTCTGGAGAACAAGGAGTGGGGGGTTATTGGAATTCCACATTGTTTGCTGCACGTTGGATTTTGAAATGCTAGGGAACTTTGGGAGACTCATATTTCTGGGCTAGAGGATCTGTGGACCACAAGATCTTTTTATGATGACAGTAGCAATGTATCTGTGGAGCTGGATTCTGGGTTGGGAGTGCAAGGAAAAGAATGTACTAAATGCCAAGACATCTATTTCAGGAGCATGAGGAATAAAAGTTCTAGTTTCTGGTCTCAGAGTGGTGCAGGGATCAGGGAGTCTCACAATCTCCTGAGTGCTGGTGTCTTAGGGCACACTGGGTCTTGGAGTGCAAAGGATCTAGGCACGTGAGGCTTTGTATGAAGAATCGGGGATCGTACCCACCCCCTGTTTCTGTTTCATCCTGGGCGTGTCTCCTCTGCCTTTGTCCCCTAGATGAAGTCTCCATGAGCTACAGGGCCTGGTGCATCCAGGGTGATCTAGTAATTGCAGAACAGCAAGTGCTAGCTCTCCCTCCCCTTCCACAGCTCTGGGTGTGGGAGGGGGTTGTCCAGCCTCCAGCAGCATGGGGAGGGCCTTGGTCAGCCTCTGGGTGCCAGCAGGGCAGGGGCGGAGTCCTGGGGAATGAAGGTTTTATAGGGCTCCTGGGGGAGGCTCCCCAGCCCCAAGCTTACCACCTGCACCCGGAGAGCTGTGTCACCATGTGGGTCCCGGTTGTCTTCCTCACCCTGTCCGTGACGTGGATTGGTGAGAGGGGCCATGGTTGGGGGGATGCAGGAGAGGGAGCCAGCCCTGACTGTCAAGCTGAGGCTCTTTCCCCCCCAACCCAGCACCCCAGCCCAGACAGGGAGCTGGGCTCTTTTCTGTCTCTCCCAGCCCCACTCCAAGCCCATACCCCCAGCCCCTCCATATTGCAACAGTCCTCACTCCCACACCAGGTCCCCGCTCCCTCCCACTTACCCCAGAACTTTCTCCCCATTGCCCAGCCAGCTCCCTGCTCCCAGCTGCTTTACTAAAGGGGAAGTTCCTGGGCATCTCCGTGTTTCTCTTTGTGGGGCTCAAAACCTCCAAGGACCTCTCTCAATGCCATTGGTTCCTTGGACCGTATCACTGGTCCACCTCCTGAGCCCCTCAATCCTATCACAGTCTACTGACTTTTCCCATTCAGCTGTGAGTGCCCAACCCTATCCCAGAGACCTTGATGCTTGGCCTCCCAATCTTGCCCTAGGATACCCAGATGCCAACCAGACACCTCCTTCTTCCTAGCCAGGCTATCTGGCCTGAGACAACAAATGGGTCCCTCAGTCTGGCAATGGGACTCTGAGAACTCCTCATTCCCTGACTCTTAGCCCCAGACTCTTCATTCAGTGGCCCACATTTTCCTTAGGAAAAACATGAGCATCCCCAGCCACAACTGCCAGCTCTCTGATTCCCCAAATCTGCATCCTTTTCAAAACCTAAAAACAAAAAGAAAAACAAATAAAACAAAACCAACTCAGACCAGAACTGTTTTCTCAACCTGGGACTTCCTAAACTTTCCAAAACCTTCCTCTTCCAGCAACTGAACCTCGCCATAAGGCACTTATCCCTGGTTCCTAGCACCGCTTATCCCCTCAGAATCCACAACTTGTACCAAGTTTCCCTTCTCCCAGTCCAAGACCCCAAATCACCACAAAGGACCCAATCCCCAGACTCAAGATATGGTCTGGGCGCTGTCTTGTGTCTCCTACCCTGATCCCTGGGTTCAACTCTGCTCCCAGAGCATGAAGCCTCTCCACCAGCACCAGCCACCAACCTGCAAACCTAGGGAAGATTGACAGAATTCCCAGCCTTTCCCAGCTCCCCCTGCCCATGTCCCAGGACTCCCAGCCTTGGTTCTCTGCCCCCGTGTCTTTTCAAACCCACATCCTAAATCCATCTCCTATCCGAGTCCCCCAGTTCCTCCTGTCAACCCTGATTCCCCTGATCTAGCACCCCCTCTGCAGGTGCTGCACCCCTCATCCTGTCTCGGATTGTGGGAGGCTGGGAGTGCGAGAAGCATTCCCAACCCTGGCAGGTGCTTGTGGCCTCTCGTGGCAGGGCAGTCTGCGGCGGTGTTCTGGTGCACCCCCAGTGGGTCCTCACAGCTGCCCACTGCATCAGGAAGTGAGTAGGGGCCTGGGGTCTGGGGAGCAGGTGTCTGTGTCCCAGAGGAATAACAGCTGGGCATTTTCCCCAGGATAACCTCTAAGGCCAGCCTTGGGACTGGGGGAGAGAGGGAAAGTTCTGGTTCAGGTCACATGGGGAGGCAGGGTTGGGGCTGGACCACCCTCCCCATGGCTGCCTGGGTCTCCATCTGTGTTCCTCTATGTCTCTTTGTGTCGCTTTCATTATGTCTCTTGGTAACTGGCTTCGGTTGTGTCTCTCCGTGTGACTATTTTGTTCTCTCTCTCCCTCTCTTCTCTGTCTTCAGTCTCCATATCTCCCCCTCTCTCTGTCCTTCTCTGGTCCCTCTCTAGCCAGTGTGTCTCACCCTGTATCTCTCTGCCAGGCTCTGTCTCTCGGTCTCTGTCTCACCTGTGCCTTCTCCCTACTGAGCACACGCATGGGATGGGCCTGGGGGGACCCTGAGAAAAGGAAGGGCTTTGGCTGGGCGCGGTGGCTCACACCTGTAATCCCAGCACTTTGGGAGGCCAAGGCAGGTAGATCACCTGAGGTCAGGAGTTCGAGACCAGCCTGGCCAACTGGTGAAACCCCATCTCTACTAAAAATACAAAAAATTAGCCAGGCGTGGTGGCGCATGCCTGTAGTCCCAGCTACTCAGGAGGCTGAGGGAGGAGAATTGCTTGAACCTGGGAGGTGGAGGTTGCAGTGAGCCGAGACCGTGCCACTGCACTCCAGCCTGGGTGACAGAGTGAGACTCCGCCTCAAAAAAAAAAAAAAAAAAAAAGAAAAGAAAAGAAAAGAAAAGGAAGTGTTTTATCCCTGATGTGTGTGGGTATGAGGGTATGAGAGGGCCCCTCTCACTCCATTCCTTCTCCAGGACATCCCTCCACTCTTGGGAGACACAGAGAAGGGCTGGTTCCAGCTGGAGCTGGGAGGGGCAATTGAGGGAGGAGGAAGGAGAAGGGGGAAGGAAAACAGGGTATGGGGGAAAGGACCCTGGGGAGCGAAGTGGAGGATACAACCTTGGGCCTGCAGGCCAGGCTACCTACCCACTTGGAAACCCACGCCAAAGCCGCATCTACAGCTGAGCCACTCTGAGGCCTCCCCTCCCCAGCGGTCCCCACTCAGCTCCAAAGTCTCTCTCCCTTTTCTCTCCCACACTCTATCATCCCCCGGATTCCTCTCTACTTGGTTCTCATTCTTCCTTTGACTTCCTGCTTCCCTTTCTCATTCATCTGTTTCTCACTTTCTGCCTGGTTTTGTTCTTCTCTCTCTCTTTCTCTGGCCCATGTCTGTTTCTCTATGTTTCTGTCTTTTCTTTCTCATCCTGTGTATTTTCGGCTCACCTTGTTTGTCACTGTTCTCCCCTCTGCCCTTTCATTCTCTCTGTCCTTTTACCCTCTTCCTTTTTCCCTTGGTTTCTCTCAGTTTCTGTATCTGCCCTTCACCCTCTCACACTGCTGTTTCCCAACTCGTTGTCTGTATTTTTGGCCTGAACTGTGTCTTCCCCAACCCTGTGTTTTTCTCACTGTTTCTTTTTCTCTTTTGGAGCCTCCTCCTTGCTCCTCTGTCCCTTCTCTCTTTCCTTATCATCCTCGCTCCTCATTCCTGCGTCTGCTTCCTCCCCAGCAAAAGCGTGATCTTGCTGGGTCGGCACAGCCTGTTTCATCCTGAAGACACAGGCCAGGTATTTCAGGTCAGCCACAGCTTCCCACACCCGCTCTACGATATGAGCCTCCTGAAGAATCGATTCCTCAGGCCAGGTGATGACTCCAGCCACGACCTCATGCTGCTCCGCCTGTCAGAGCCTGCCGAGCTCACGGATGCTGTGAAGGTCATGGACCTGCCCACCCAGGAGCCAGCACTGGGGACCACCTGCTACGCCTCAGGCTGGGGCAGCATTGAACCAGAGGAGTGTACGCCTGGGCCAGATGGTGCAGCCGGGAGCCCAGATGCCTGGGTCTGAGGGAGGAGGGGACAGGACTCCTAGGTCTGAGGGAGGAGGGCCAAGGAACCAGGTGGGGTCCAGCCCACAACAGTGTTTTTGCCTGGCCCGTAGTCTTGACCCCAAAGAAACTTCAGTGTGTGGACCTCCATGTTATTTCCAATGACGTGTGTGCGCAAGTTCACCCTCAGAAGGTGACCAAGTTCATGCTGTGTGCTGGACGCTGGACAGGGGGCAAAAGCACCTGCTCGGTGAGTCATCCCTACTCCCAAGATCTTGAGGGGAAAGGTGAGTGGGGACCTTAATTCTGGGCTGGGGTCTAGAAGCCAACAAGGCGTCTGCCTCCCCTGCTCCCCAGCTGTAGCCATGCCACCTCCCCGTGTCTCATCTCATTCCCTCCTTCCCTCTTCTTTGACTCCCTCAAGGCAATAGGTTATTCTTACAGCACAACTCATCTGTTCCTGCGTTCAGCACACGGTTACTAGGCACCTGCTATGCACCCAGCACTGCCCTAGAGCCTGGGACATAGCAGTGAACAGACAGAGAGCAGCCCCTCCCTTCTGTAGCCCCCAAGCCAGTGAGGGGCACAGGCAGGAACAGGGACCACAACACAGAAAAGCTGGAGGGTGTCAGGAGGTGATCAGGCTCTCGGGGAGGGAGAAGGGGTGGGGAGTGTGACTGGGAGGAGACATCCTGCAGAAGGCGGGAGTGAGCAAACACCTGCCGCAGGGGAGGGGAGGGCCCTGCGGCACCTGGGGGAGCAGAGGGAACAGCATCTGGCCAGGCCTGGGAGGAGGGGCCTAGAGGGCGTCAGGAGCAGAGAGGAGGTTGCCTGGCTGGAGTGAAGGATCGGGGCAGGGTGCGAGAGGGAAGAAAGGACCCCTCCTGCAGGGCCTCACCTGGGCCACAGGAGGACACTGCTTTTCCTCTGAGGAGTCAGGAACTGTGGATGGTGCTGGACAGAAGCAGGACAGGGCCTGGCTCAGGTGTCCAGAGGCTGCCGCTGGCCTCCCTATGGGATCAGACTGCAGGGAGGGAGGGCAGCAGGGATGTGGAGGGAGTGATGATGGGGCTGACCTGGGGGTGGCTCCAGGCATTGTCCCCACCTGGGCCCTTACCCAGCCTCCCTCACAGGCTCCTGGCCCTCAGTCTCTCCCCTCCACTCCATTCTCCACCTACCCACAGTGGGTCATTCTGATCACCGAACTGACCATGCCAGCCCTGCCGATGGTCCTCCATGGCTCCCTAGTGCCCTGGAGAGGAGGTGTCTAGTCAGAGAGTAGTCCTGGAAGGTGGCCTCTGTGAGGAGCCACGGGGACAGCATCCTGCAGATGGTCCTGGCCCTTGTCCCACCGACCTGTCTACAAGGACTGTCCTCGTGGACCCTCCCCTCTGCACAGGAGCTGGACCCTGAAGTCCCTTCCCCACCGGCCAGGACTGGAGCCCCTACCCCTCTGTTGGAATCCCTGCCCACCTTCTTCTGGAAGTCGGCTCTGGAGACATTTCTCTCTTCTTCCAAAGCTGGGAACTGCTATCTGTTATCTGCCTGTCCAGGTCTGAAAGATAGGATTGCCCAGGCAGAAACTGGGACTGACCTATCTCACTCTCTCCCTGCTTTTACCCTTAGGGTGATTCTGGGGGCCCACTTGTCTGTAATGGTGTGCTTCAAGGTATCACGTCATGGGGCAGTGAACCATGTGCCCTGCCCGAAAGGCCTTCCCTGTACACCAAGGTGGTGCATTACCGGAAGTGGATCAAGGACACCATCGTGGCCAACCCCTGAGCACCCCTATCAACCCCCTATTGTAGTAAACTTGGAACCTTGGAAATGACCAGGCCAAGACTCAAGCCTCCCCAGTTCTACTGACCTTTGTCCTTAGGTGTGAGGTCCAGGGTTGCTAGGAAAAGAAATCAGCAGACACAGGTGTAGACCAGAGTGTTTCTTAAATGGTGTAATTTTGTCCTCTCTGTGTCCTGGGGAATACTGGCCATGCCTGGAGACATATCACTCAATTTCTCTGAGGACACAGATAGGATGGGGTGTCTGTGTTATTTGTGGGGTACAGAGATGAAAGAGGGGTGGGATCCACACTGAGAGAGTGGAGAGTGACATGTGCTGGACACTGTCCATGAAGCACTGAGCAGAAGCTGGAGGCACAACGCACCAGACACTCACAGCAAGGATGGAGCTGAAAACATAACCCACTCTGTCCTGGAGGCACTGGGAAGCCTAGAGAAGGCTGTGAGCCAAGGAGGGAGGGTCTTCCTTTGGCATGGGATGGGGATGAAGTAAGGAGAGGGACTGGACCCCCTGGAAGCTGATTCACTATGGGGGGAGGTGTATTGAAGTCCTCCAGACAACCCTCAGATTTGATGATTTCCTAGTAGAACTCACAGAAATAAAGAGCTGTTATACTGTGGTTTATTCTGGTTTGTTACATTGACAGGAGACACACTGAAATCAGCAAAGGAAACAGGCATCTAAGTGGGGATGTGAAGAAAACAGGGAAAATCTTTCAGTTGTTTTCTCCCAGTGGGGTGTTGTGGACAGCACTTAAATCACACAGAAGTGATGTGTGACCTTGTGTATGAAGTATTTCCAACTAAGGAAGCTCACCTGAGCCTTAGTGTCCAGAGTTTTTATTGGGGGTCTGTAGGATAGGCATGGAGTACTGGAATAGCTGACCTTAACTTCTCAGACCTGAGGTTCCCAAGAGTTCAAGCAGATACAGCATGGCCTAGAGCCTCAGATGTACAAAAACAGGCATTCATCATGAATCGCACTGTTAGCATGAATCATCTGGCACGGCCCAAGGCCCCAGGTATACCAAGGCACTTGGGCCGAATGTTCCAAGGGATTAAATGTCATCTCCCAGGAGTTATTCAAGGGTGAGCCCTGTACTTGGAACGTTCAGGCTTTGAGCAGTGCAGGGCTGCTGAGTCAACCTTTTACTGTACAGGGGGGTGAGGGAAAGGGAGAAGATGAGGAAACCGCCTAGGGATCTGGTTCTGTCTTGTGGCCAAGTGGACCATGGGGCTATCCCAAGAAGGAGGAATTCAGAAATAGGGGAAGGTTGAGGAAGGACACTGAACTCAAAGGGGATACAGTGATTGGTTTATTTGTCTTCTCTTCACAACATTGGTGCTGGAGGAATTCCCACCCTGAGGTTATGAAGATGTCTGAACACCCAACACATAGCACTGGAGATATGAGCTCGACAAGAGTTTCTCAGCCACAGAGATTCACAGCCTAGGGCAGGAGGACACTGTACACCAGGCAGAATGACATGGGAATTGCGCTCACGATTGGCTTGAAGAAGCAAGGACTGTGGGAGGTGGGCTTTGTAGTAACAAGAGGGCAGGGTGAACTCTGATTCCCATGGGGGAATGTGATGGTCCTGTTACAAATTTTTCAAGCTGGCAGGGAATAAAACCCATTACGGTGAGGACCTGTGGAGGGCGGCTGCCCCAACTGATAAAGGAAATAGCCAGGTGGGGGCCTTTCCCATTGTAGGGGGGACATATCTGGCAATAGAAGCCTTTGAGACCCTTTAGGGTACAAGTACTGAGGCAGCAAATAAAATGAAATCTTATTTTTCAACTTTATACTGCATGGGTGTGAAGATATATTTGTTTCTGTACAGGGGGTGAGGGAAAGGAGGGGAGGAGGAAAGTTCCTGGAGGTCTGGTTTGGTCTTGTGATCCAGGGGGTCTTGGAACTATTTAAATTAAATTAAATTAAAACAAGCGACTGTTTTAAATTAAATTAAATTAAATTAAATTAAATTAAATTAAATTTTACTTTATTTTATCTTAAGTTCTGGGCTACATGTGCAGGACGTGCAGCTTTGTTACATAGGTAAACATGTGCCATGGTGGTTTGCTGTACCTATCAACCCATCACCTAGGTATTAAGCCCAGCATGCATTAGCTGTTTTTCCTGACGCTCTCCCTCTCCCTGACTCCCACAACAGGCCCCAGTGTGTGTTGTTCCCCTCCCTGTGTCCATGTGTTCTCATTGTTCAGCTCCCACTTATAAGTGAGAACATGTGGTGTTTGGTTTTCTGTTTCTGTGTTAGTTTGCTGAGGATAATGGCTTCCACCTCCATCCATGTTCCTGCAAAGGACGTGATCTTATTCTTTTTTATGGTTGCATAGAAATTGTTTTTACAAATCCAATTGATATTGTATTTAATTACAAGTTAATCTAATTAGCATACTAGAAGAGATTACAGAAGATATTAGGTACATTGAATGAGAAAATATATAAAATAGGACGAAGGTGAAATATTAGGTAGGAAAAGTATAATAGTTGAAAGAAGTAAAAAAAAATATGCATGAGTAGCAGAATGTAAAAGAGGTGAAGAACGTAATAGTGACTTTTTAGACCAGATTGAAGGACAGAGACAGAAAAATTTTAAGGAATTGCTAAACCATGTGAGTGTTAGAAGTACAGTCAATAACATTAAAGCCTCAGGAGGAGAAAAGAATAGGAAAGGAGGAAATATGTGAATAAATAGTAGAGACATGTTTGATGGATTTTAAAATATTTGAAAGACCTCACATCAAAGGATTCATACCGTGCCATTGAAGAGGAAGATGGAAAAGCCAAGAAGCCAGATGAAAGTTAGAAATATTATTGGCAAAGCTTAAATGTTAAAAGTCCTAGAGAGAAAGGATGGCAGAAATATTGGCGGGAAAGAATGCAGAACCTAGAATATAAATTCATCCCAACAGTTTGGTAGTGTGCAGCTGTAGCCTTTTCTAGATAATACACTATTGTCATACATCGCTTAAGCGAGTGTAAAATGGTCTCCTCACTTTATTTATTTATATATTTATTTAGTTTTGAGATGGAGCCTCGCTCTGTCTCCTAGGCTGGAGTGCAATAGTGCGATACCACTCACTGCAACCTCTGCCTCCTCTGTTCAAGTGATTTTCTTACCTCAGCCTCCCGAGTAGCTGGGATTACAGGTGCGTGCCACCACACCCGGCTAATTTTTGTATTTTTTGTAGAGACGGGGTTTTGCCATGTTGGCCAGGCTGGTCTTGAACTCCTGACATCAGGTGATCCACCTGCCTTGGCCTCCTAAAGTGCTGGGATTACAGGCATGAGCCACCGTGCCCAATCACTTTATTTATTTTTTATTTTTATTTTTAAATTTCAGCTTCTATTTGAAATACAGGGGGCACATATATAGGATTGTTACATGGGTATATTGAACTCAGGTAGTGATCATACTACCCAACAGGTAGGTTTTCAACCCACTCCCCCTCTTTTCCTCCCCATTCTAGTAGTGTGCAGTGTCTATTGTTCTCATGTTTATGTCTATGTGTGCTCCAGGTTTAGCTCCCACCTGTAAGTGAGAACGTGTGGTATTTGATTTTCTGTCCCTGTGTTAATTCACTTAGGATTATGGCTTCCAGCTCCATTCATATTGCTGTAAAGGATATGATTCATTTTTCATGGCCATGCAGTATTCCATATTGCGTATAGATCACATTTTCTTTCTTTTTTTTTTTTGAGACGGAGTCTTGCTTTGCTGCCTAGGCTGGAGTGCAGTAGCACGATCTCGGCTCACTGCAAGCTTCACCTCCGGGGTTCACGTCATTCTTCTGTCTCAGCTTCCCAAGTAGCTGGGACTACAGGCGCCCGCCACCACGTCCGGCTAATTTTTTTGTGTGTTTTTAGTAGAGATGGGGGTTTCACTGTGTTAGCCAGGATGGTCTTGATCTCCTGACCTTGTGGTCCACCTGCCTCGGTCTCCCAAAGTGCTGGGATTACAGGGGTGAGCCACTGCGCCCGGCCCATATATACCACATTTTCTTTAACCAATCCACCATTGATGGGCAACTAGGTAGATTCCATGGATTCCACAGTTTTGCTATTGTGTGCAGTGTGGCAGTAGACATATGAATGAATGTGTCTTTTTGGTATAATGATTTGCATTCCTTTGGGTATACAGTCATTAATAGGAGTGCTGGGTTGAACGGTGGCTCTGTTTAAAATTCTTTGAGAATTTTCCAAACTGTTTGCCATAGAGAACAAACTAATTTACATTTCCACGAACAGTATATAAGCATTCCCTTTTCTCCACAGCTTTGTCATCATGGTTTTTTTTTCTTTATTTTAAAAAAGAATATGTTGTTGTTTTCCCAGGGTACATGTGCAGGATGTGCAGGTTTGTTACATAGGTAGTAAACGTGAGCCATGGTGGTTTGCTGCACCTGTCAACCCATTACCTGGGTATGAAGCCCTGCCTGCATTAGCTCTTTTCCCTAATGCTCTCACTACTGCCCCACCCTCACCCTGACAGGGCAAACAGACAACCTACAGAATGGGAGGAAATTTTTGCAATCTATTCATCTGACAAAGGTCAAGAATATCCAGAATCTACAAGGAACTTAAGCAAATTTTTACTTTTTAATAATAGCCACTCTGACTGGCGTGAAATGGTATCTCATTGTGGTTTTCATTTGAATTTCTCTGATGATCAGTGACAATGAGCATTTTTTCATATTTGTTGGCTGCTTGTACGTCTTTTGAGAAGTGTCTCTTCATGCCTTTTGGCCACTTTAATGGGATTATTTTTTGCTTTTTAGTTTAAGTTCCTTATAGATTCTGGATATTAGACTTCTTATTGGATGCATAGTTTGTGAATACTCTCTTCCATTCTGTAGGTTGTCTGTTTACTCTATTGATGGCTTCTTTTGCTGTGCCGAAGCATCTTAGTTTAATTAGAAACCACCTGCCAATTTTTGTTTTTGTTGCAATTGCTTTTGGGGACTTAGTCATAAACTCTTTGCCAAGGTCTGGGTCAAGAAGAGTATTTCCTAGGTTTTCTTCTAGAATTTTGAAAGTCTGAATGTAAACATTTGCATTTTTAATGCATCTTGAGTTAGCTTTTGTATATGTGAAAGGTCTACTCTCATTTTCTTTCCCTCTTTCTTTCTTTCTTTTCTTTCCCTCTTTCTTTCTTTCTTTTCTTTCTTTCTTTCTTTCTTTCTTTCTTTCTTTCTTTCTTTCTTTTTGTCCTTCTTTCTTTCTTTCTCTTTCTTTCTCTCTTTCTTTTTTTTTTTTTTTGATGGAGTATTGCTCTGTTGCCCAGGCTGCAGTGCAGTGGCACGATCTTGGCTCACTGCAACCTCTGCCTCCTGGGTTCAACTGATTCTCCTGCATCAGCCTTCCAAGTAGCTGGGATTATAGGCGCCCGCCACCACGCCCGACTAATTTTTGTATTTTTAGTAGAGACGGGGTTGTGCCATGTTGGCCAGGCTGGTTTGAAACTCCTGACCTCAAACGATCTGCCTGCCTTGGCCTCCCAAAGTGCTGGGATTACAGGTGTGAGCCACTGTGCCCAGCCAAGAATGTCATTTTCTAAGAGGTCCAAGAACCTCAAGATATTTTGGGACCTTGAGAAGAGAGGAATTCATACAGGTATTACAAGCACAGCCTAATGGCAAATCTTTGGCGTGGCTTGGCTTCAAGACTTTAGGCTCTTAAAAGTCGAATCCAAAATTTTTTATAAAAGCTCCAGCTAAGCTACCTTAAAAGGGGCCTGTATGGCTGATCACTCTTCTTGCTATACTTTACACAAATAAACAGGCCAAATATAATGAGGCCAAAATTTATTTTGCAAATAAATTGGTCCTGCTATGATTTACTCTTGGTAAGAACAGGGAAAATAGAGAAAAATTTAGATTGCATCTGACCTTTTTTTCTGAATTTTTATATGTGCCTACAATTTGAGCTAAATCCTGAATTATTTTCTGGTTGCAAAAACTCTCTAAAGAAGAACTTGGTTTTCATTGTCTTCGTGACACATTTATCTGGCTCTTTACTAGAACAGTTTTCTTGTTTTTGGTGTTCTAGCTTGTGTGCCTTACAGTTCTACTCTTCAAATTATTGTTATGTGTATCTCATAGTTTTCCTTCTTTTGAGAAAACTGAAGCCATGGTATTCTGAGGACTAGAGATGACTCAACACAGCTGGTGAATCTCCTCATATGCAATCCACTGGGCTTGATCTGCTTCAGATTGCTGATGCACTGCTGCTAAAGCTATACATTTAAAACCCTCACTAAAGGATCAGGGACCATCATGGAAGAGGAGGAAACATGAAATTGTAAGAGCCAGATTCGGGGGGTAGAGTGTGGAGGTCAGAGCAACTCCACCTTGAATAAGAAGGTAAAGCAACCTATCCTGAAAGCTAACCTGCCATGGTGGCTTCTGATTAACCCCTGTTCTGGGAAGACTGACAGTTTGGGTCTGTGTCATTGCCCAAATCTCATGTTAAATTGTAATCCCCAGTGTTCGGAGGTGGGACTTGGTGGTAGGTGATTCGGTCATGGGAGTAGATTTTCTTCTTTGTGGTGTTACAGTGATAGTGAGTGAGTTCTCGTGAGATCTGGTCATTTAAAAGTGTGTGGCCCCTCCCCTCCCTCTCTTGGTCCTCCTACTGCCATGTAAGATACCTGCTCCTGCTTTGCCTTCTACCATAAGTAAAAGCCCCCTGAGGCCTCCCCAGAAGCAGATGCCACCATGCTTCCTGTACAGCCTGCAGAACCATCAGCCAATTAAACCTCTTTTCTGTATAAATTACCAGTCTTGAGTATTTCTTTACAGCAGTGTGAGAACGGACTAATACAAGGATCTCCAAAATTCCAAGTTTATGTATTCTTTCTTGCCAAATAGCAGGTATTTACCATAAATCCTGTCCTTAGGTCAAACAACCTTGATGGCATCGTACTTCAATTGTCTTACACATTCCTTCTGAATGACTCCTCCCCTATGGCATATAAGCCCTGGGTCTTGGGGGATAATGGCAGAGGGGTCCACCATCTTGTCTGGCTGCCACCTGAGACACAGACATGGCTTCTGTTGGTAAGTCTCTATTAAATGTTTCTTTCTAAGAAACTGGATTTGTCAGCTTGTTTCTTTGGACTCTCAGCTTCCTCAGACTTTGGGGTAGGTTGCACAACCCTGCCCACCATGAAACAAATGTTTAATATGATAAATATGGATAGATATAATCCACATAAATAAAAGCTCTTGGAGGGCCCTCAATAATTGTTAAGAGTGTAAATGTGTCCAAAGATGGAAAATGTTTGAGAACTACTGTCCCAGAGATTTTCCTGAGTTCTAGAGTGTGGGAATATAGAACCTGGAGCTTGGCTTCTTCAGCCTAGAATCAGGAGTATGGGGCTGAAGTCTGAAGCTTGGCTTCAGCAGTTTGGGGTTGGCTTCCGGAGCACATATTTGACATGTTGCGACTGTGGTTTGGGGTTTGGTATTTGCTCTGAATCCTAATGTCTGTCCTTGAGGCATCTAGAATCTGAAATCTGTGGTCAGAATTCTATTATCTTGAGTAGGACATCTCCAGTCCTGGTTCTGCCTTCTAGGGCTGGAGTCTGTAGTCAGTGACCCGGTCTGGCATTTCAACTTCATATACAGTGGGCTATCTTTTGGTCCATGTTTCAACCAAACAACCGAATAAACCATTAGAACCTTTCCCCACTTCCCTAGCTGCAATGTTAAACCTAGGATTTCTGTTTAATAGGTTCATATGAATAATTTCAGCCTGATCCAACTTTACATTCCTTCTACCGTTATTCTACACCCACCTTAAAAATGCATTCCCAATATATTCCCTGGATTCTACCTATATATGGTAATCCTGGCTTTGCCAGTTTCTAGTGCATTAACATACCTGATTTACATTCTTTTACTTTAAAGTGGAAATAAGAGTCCCTCTGCAGAGTTCAGGAGTTCTCAAGATGGCCCTTACTTCTGACATCAATTGAGATTTCAAGGGAGTCACCAAGATCATCCTCAGGTTCAGTGATTGCTGGTAGCCCTCATATAACTCAATGAAAGCTGTTATGCTCATGGCTATGGTTTATTACAGCAAAAGAATAGAGATGAAAATCTAGCAAGGGAAGAGTTGCATGGGGCAAAGACAAGGAGAGCTCCAAGTGCAGAGATTCCTGTTGTTTTCTCCCAGTGGTGTCATGGAAAGCAGTATCTTCTCCATACAATGATGTGTGATAATATTCAGTGTATTGCCAATCAGGGAACTCAACTGAGCCTTGATTATATTGGAGCTTGGTTGCACAGACATGTCGACCACCTTCATGGCTGAACTTTAGTACTTAGCCCCTCCAGACGTCTACAGCTGATAGGCTGTAACCCAACATTGTCACCATAAATCACATTGTTAGACTATCCAGTGTGGCCCAAGCTCCCGTGTAAACACAGGCACTCTAAACAGGCAGGATATTTCAAAAGCTTAGAGATGACCTCTCAGGAGCTGAATGCAAAGACCTGGCCTCTTTGGGCAAGGAGAATCCTTTACTGCACACTCTCCTTCACAGGGTTATTGTGAGGATCAAATGTGGTCATGTGTGTGAGACACCAGCACATGTCTGGCTGTGGAGAGTGACTTCTATGTGTGCTAACATTGCTGAGTGCTAAGAAAGTATTAGGCATGGCTTTCAGCACTCACAGATGCTCATCTAATCCTCACAACATGGCTACAGGGTGGGCACTACTAGCCTCATTTGACAGAGGAAAGGACTGTGGATAAGAAGGGGGTGACCAATAGGTCAGAGTCATTCTGGATGCAAGGGGCTCCAGAGGACCATGATTAGACATTGTCTGCAGAGAAATTATGGCTGGATGTCTCTGCCCCGGAAAGGGGGATGCACTTTCCTTGACCCCCTATCTCAGATCTTGACTTTGAGGTTATCTCAGACTTCCTCTATGATACCAGGAGCCCATCATAATCTCTCTGTGCCCTCTCCCCTTCCTCAGTCTTACTGCCCACTCTTCCCAGCTCCATCTCCAGCTGGCCAGGTGTAGCCACAGTACCTAACTCTTTGCAGAGAACTATAAATGTGTATCCTACAGGGGAGAAAAAAAAAAGAACTCTGAAAGAGCTGACATTTTACCGACTTGCAAACACATAAGCTAACCTGCCAGTTTTGTGCTGGTAGAACTCATGAGACTCCTGGGTCAGAGGCAAAAGATTTTATTACCCACAGCTAAGGAGGCAGCATGAACTTTGTGTTCACATTTGTTCACTTTGCCCCCCAATTCATATGGGATGATCAGAGCAGTTCAGGTGGATGGACACAGGGGTTTGTGGCAAAGGTGAGCAACCTAGGCTTAGAAATCCTCAATCTTATAAGAAGGTACCAGCAAACTTGTCCAGTCTTTGTATCTGACGGAGATATTATCTTTATAATTGGGTTGAAAGCAGACCTACTCTGGAGGAACATATTGTATTTATTGTCCTGAACAGTAAACAAATCTGCTGTAAAATAGACGTTAACTTTATTATCTAAGGCAGTAAGCAAACCTAGATCTGAAGGCGATACCATCTTGCAAGGCTATCTGCTGTACAAATATGCTTGAAAAGATGGTCCAGAAAAGAAAACGGTATTATTGCCTTTGCTCAGAAGACACACAGAAACATAAGAGAACCATGGAAAATTGTCTCCCAACACTGTTCACCCAGAGCCTTCCACTCTTGTCTGCAGGACAGTCTTAACATCCCATCATTAGTGTGTCTACCACATCTGGCTTCACTGTGCCTAACCAAGATTTCTAGGTCCAGTTCCCCACCATGTTTGGCAGTGCCCCACTGCCAACCCCAGAATAAGGGAGTGCTCAGAATTTCGAGGGGACATGGGTGGGGATCAGAACTTCTGGGCTTGAGTGCAGAGGGGGCCCATACTCCTTGGTTCCGAAGGAGGAAGAGGCTGGAGGTGAATGTCCTTGGAGAGGAGGAATGTGGGTTCTGAACTCTTAAATCCCCAAGGGAGGAGACTGGTAAGGTCCCAGCTTCCGAGGTACTGACGTGGGAATGGCCTGAGAGGTCTAAGAATCCCGTATCCTCGGGAAGAAGGGGCTGAAATTGTGAGGGGTTGAGTTGCAGGGGTTTGTTAGCTTGAGACTCCTTGGTGGGTCCCTGGGAAGCAAGGACTGGAACCATTGGCTCCAGGGTTTGGTGTGAAGGTAATGGAATCTCCTGATTCTCAAAGGGTCAGAGGACTGAGAGTTGCCCATGCTTTGATCTTTCCATCTACTCCTTACTCCACTTGAGGGTAATCACCTACTCTTCTAGTTCCACAAGAGTGCGCCTGCGCGAGTATAATCTGCACATGTGCCATGTCCCGAGGCCTGGGGCATCATCCACTCATCATTCAGCATCTGCACTATGCGGGCGAGGCCGGCGCCATGACGTCATGTAGCTGCGACTATCCCTGCAGCGCGCCTCTCCCGTCACGTCCCAACCATGGAGCTGTGGACGTGCGTCCCCTGGTGGATGTGGCCTGCGTGGTGCCAGGCCGGGGCCTGGTGTCCGATAAAGATCCTAGAACCACAGGAAACCAGGACTGAAAGGTGCTAGAGAATGGCCATATGTCGCTGTCCATGAAATCTCAAGGACTTCTGGGTGGAGGGCACAGGAGCCTGAACTTACGGGTTTGCCCCACTCCACTGTCCTCCCAAGTGAGTCTCCCAGATACGAGGCACTGTGCCAGCATCAGCTTCATCTGTACCACATCTTGTAACAGGGACTACCCAGGGCCCTGATGAACACCATGGTGTGTGCAGGAAGAGCGGGTGAAGGCACGGACTCCTGTGTGGTCAGAGCCCAGAGGGGGCCATGACGGGTGGGGAGGAGGCTGTGGACTGGCTCGAGAAGTGGGATGTGGTTGTGTTTGATCTCCTTTGGCCAGATAAAGTGCTGGATATAGCATTGAAAACGGAGTATGAAGACCAGTTAGAATGGAGGGTCAGGTTGGAGTTGAGTTACAGATGGGGTAAAATTCTGCTTCGGATGAGTTTGGGGATTGGCAATTTAAAGGTGGTTTGGGATGGCATGGCTTTGGGATGGAAATAGGTTTGTTTTTATGTTGGCTGGGAAGGGTGTGGGGATTGAATTGGGGATGAAGTAGGTTTAGTTTTGGAGATAGAATACATGGAGCTGGCTATTGCATGCGAGGATGTGCATTAGTTTGGTTTGATCTTTAAATGAAGGAGGCTATTAGGGTTGTCTTGAATTAGATTAAGTTGTGTTGGGTTGATGGGTTGGGCTTGTGGGTGATGTGGTTGGATTGGGCTGTGTTAAATTGGTTTGGGTCAGGTTTTGGTTGAGGTTATCATGGGGATGAGGATATGCTTGGGACACTGGATTCAGGTGGTTCTCATTCAAGCTGAGGCAAATTTCCTTTCAGACGGTCATTCCAGGGAACGAGTGGTTGTGTGGGGGAAATCAGGCCACTGGCTGTGAATATCCCTCTATCCTGGTCTTGAATTGTGATTATCTATGTCCACTTCTGTCTCCTTCACTGTACTTGGAATTGATCTGGTCATTCAGCTGGAAATGGGGGAAGATTTTGTCAAATTCTTGAGACACAGCTGGGTCTGGATCAGCGTAAGCTGCTCTGGTTTTATTGAACAGATGAAATCACATTTTTTTTTTCAAAATCAAAGAAATCTTATAGAGTTAACAGTGGACTCTTATAATAAGAGTTAACACCAGGACTCTTATTCTTGATTCTTTTCTGAGACACCAAAATGAGATTTCTCAATGCCACCCTAATTCTTTTTTTTTTTTTTTTTTTTTTTGAGACACAGTCTGGGTCTTTTGCTCTGTCACTCAGGCTGGAGCGCAGTGGTGTGATCATAGCTCACTGAACCCTTGACCTCCTGGACTTAAGGGATCCTCCTGCTTCAGCCTCCTGAGTAGATGGGGCTACAGGTGCTTGCCACCACACCTGGCTAATTAAATTTTTTTTTTTTTTTTGTAGAGAAAGGGTCTCACTTTGTTGCCCTGGCTGATCTTGAACTTCTGACTTCAAGTGATTCTTCAGCCTTGGACTCCCAAAGCACTGGGATTGCTGGCATGAGCCACTCACCGTGCCTGGCTTGCAGCTTAATCTTGGAGTGTATAAACCTGGCTCCTGATAGCTAGACATTTCAGTGAGAAGGAGGCATTGGATTTTGCATGAGGACAATTCTGACCTAGGAGGGCAGGTCAACAGGAATCCCCGCTGTACCTGTACGTTGTACAGGCATGGAGAATGAGGAGTGAGGAGCCACCGGAACCCCATATTGTTTAGTGGACATTGGATTTTGAAATAATAGGGAACTTGGTCTGGGAGAGTCATATTTCTGGATTGGACAATATGTGGTATCACAAGGTTTTATGATGAGGGAGAAATGTATGTGGGGAACCATTTTCTGAGTGTGGAAGTGCAAGAATCAGAGAGTACTGAATGCCAACGCTTCTATTTCAGGAACATGGTAAGTTGGAGGTCCAGCTTCTGGGCTCAGACGGGTATAGGGACCAGGAAGTCTCACAATCCGATCATTCTGATATTTCAGGGCATATTAGGTTTGGGGTGCAAAGGAAGTACTTGGGACTTAGGCACATGAGACTTTGTATTGAAAATCAATGATTGGGGCTGGCCGTGGTGGCTCACGCCTGTAATCTCATCACTTTGGGAGACCGAAGTGGGAGGATGGCTTGAGCCCAGGAGTTGGAGACCAGCCTAGGCAACATAGCCAGACCCTCTCTCTACAAAAAAATTAAAAATTAGCTGGATGTGGTGGTGCATGCTTGTGGTCTCAGCTATCCTGGAGGCTGAGACAGGAGAATCGGTTGAGTCTGGGAGTTCAAGGCTACAGGGAGCTGCGATCACGCCGCTGCACTCCAGCCTGGGAAACAGAGTGAGACTGTCTCAGAATTTTTTTAAAAAAGAATCAGTGATCATCCCAACCCCTGTTGCTGTTCATCCTGAGCCTGCCTTCTCTGGCTTTGTTCCCTAGATCACATCTCCATGATCCATAGGCCCTGCCCAATCTGACCTCACACCGTGGGAATGCCTCCAGACTGATCTAGTATGTGTGGAACAGCAAGTGCTGGCTCTCCCTCCCCTTCCACAGCTCTGGGTGTGGGAGGGGGTTGTCCAGCCTCCAGCAGCATGGGGAGGGCCTTGGTCAGCATCTAGGTGCCAACAGGGCAAGGGCGGGGTCCTGGAGAATGAAGGCTTTATAGGGCTCCTCAGGGAGGCCCCCCAGCCCCAAACTCACCACCTGGCCGTGGACACCTGTGTCAGCATGTGGGACCTGGTTCTCTCCATCGCCTTGTCTGTGGGGTGCACTGGTGAGATTGGGGGGATAAAGGAAGGGGGGCGGGTTCTGACTCTTATGCTGAAGCCCTTTTCCTCCCACCCAGTGCCCCAGCCTCGTCCCTTCAGCCCACAGTTCAGCCCAGACAATGTGCCCCTGACTCTTCCACATTGCAATAGTCCTCATGCCCACACTAGGTCCCCGCTCCCTCCCACTTACCTCAGACCTTTCTCTCCATTGCCCAGCCAAATCCCTGCTCCCAGCTGCTTTACTAAAGAGCAAGTTCCTGGGCATCTCTGTGTTTCTCTTTATGGGGTTCAAAACCTTTCAAGGACCTCTCTCCATGCCACTGGTTCCTTGGACCCTATCACTGGGCTGCCTCCTGAGCCCCTCAGTCCTACCACAGTCTACTGACTTTTCCTATTCAGCTGTGAGCATTCAACCCTGTCCCCTGGACCTTGACACCTGGCTCCCCAACCCTGTCCCAGGAAACCCAGATTCCACCAGACACTTCCTTCTTCCCCCCGAGGCTATCTGGCCTGAGACAACAAATGCTGCCTCCCACCCTGAGTCTGGCACTGGGACTTTCAGAACTCCTCCTTCCCTGACTCTTTGCCCCAGACCCGTCATTCAATGGCTAGCTTTTTCCATGGGAAAAACACGAGCACCCCCAACCACAACGGCCAGTTCTCTGATTCCCTAAATCCGCACCCTTTTCAAAACCTCAAAAACAAAACAAAACAAAACAAAGCAAGAAACAACTCAGGCAGAACTGTTTGCTTAACCTTGGACATGGTAAACCATCCAAAACCTTCCTCTCCCAGCAACTAAACCTCTCCACTGGGCACTTATCCTTGGTTTCTGGAACCTCTTATTCTCTTAGAACCCACAGCTGCCACCACAGTGTCCCTTCTCCCAGTGTAAGACCCCAAATCACTCCAAATGACCCAACCCCCAACCCGATGCCTGCTTCAGATGTTTCCCATGTCCCCTACTCTGATCTCTGGGGTCAGCTCCGTTCTCAGAGCATGAAGCCTCCCGACCTGGTCCAGCCACCAACCCGCTAACGCAGGGAATAGCTACAGAATTGCCAGCCCTCCCAGGACCCCTTGCTTGTGTCCTGGACTCCCAGTCCTGGTCCTCTGCCCCCATGTCTCTTCAAACCCACAGCTCAGCTCCCTCCCCTATCCAATTCTTTTGGGTCTGATCCCCCTGACCCAGCACCCCCTCCGCAGGTGCCGTGCCCCTCATCCAGTCTCGGATTGTGGGAGGCTGGGAGTGTGAGAAGCATTCCCAACCCTGGCAGGTGGCTGTGTACAGTCATGGATGGGCACACTGTGGGGGTGTCCTGGTGCACCCCCAGTGGGTGCTCACAGCTGCCCATTGCCTAAAGAAGTAAGTAGGACCCTGGGATCTGGGGAGGGAATGGCTGTGTCCCACAGGAATAACAGCGGGATGCTTCCCCCAGGGTCACTTCTCAGGTGAGGCTTCAGACTAAAGGAGAGAGGGAAGGTCCTGGCCCAGGTCGCACCCGGAGGCAGAGCTGGGGCTGGACCACTCTCCCCATGGCTGCCTGGGTTTCTCTCTGTGTCTGATCTCGCTGTGTCTCTTGGTATCTGGCTCTGGTTGTGTCTGTATGACTGTGTTTTGGTCTCTATGTCCCTCTCTCTTTTCTGTCTCCCTGTGTCTGTGTCTCCCCCGTCTCTGTCTCTGGGTCTCTCTGTGGCCATCTCTGTCACCGTGTGTCTCACCCTGCATCTCTTTGCCTGTCTTTCTCTCTGGGTCTCTGCCTCAGCCCTTCCTCATCACTACTGAACACACCCCGTGAGGGTGGGTGGGGAGCACCCAGAAAAAGGAAGGACTTTAAGCTCAATGTGTGTGCATGTGAGGGGGTGCCTGTCATTGCACAGCACTCTCTGCAGGACATCCCTCCACCCTGGGGAGACACAGGGAGGGCTGGTTTCAGCTGTAGCTGGGTGCACAATTGAGGAGGGAGGAAGGAGAAGGGGAAACAAGAAAGGAGGGGAAGGTGGCCGGGCACGGTGGCCCACGCCTGTAATCCCAGCACTTTGGGAGGCCGAGGTGGGTGGATCATCTGAGGTCAGGAGTTTGAAACCAGCCTGGCCAACATGGCAAAACCCCGTCTCTACTAAAAATACAAAAAGTAGCCAGGCGTGGTGCTGCGCGCCTGTAATCCCAATTACTAGGGAGGCTGAGGCAGGAGAATCGCTTGAACCCGGGAGGGAGAGGTTGCAGTGAGCCGAGATCGTGCCACTGCACTCCAGCCTGGGTGACAGAGCAAGACTCCATCTCAGAAAAAACAAACAAACAAACAAACAACAAAAAAAATCGAAAGGAGGGGAAGGGAGCTGGAGAGAGAAAGGGGGACGTGGCCCTGAGCTGTGGGCCGGGCCACCCGCCACTACAGAGCCCTCACTCCAGCCCCAGCTGCAGGTGAGCCACCCTCATGCCTCTCCTCCTCCCCCTGCTACTCCACACTCCTCAGATGCCCCCGTGGCCTCCCTCCTTTTTCTCTCCCACACTGTATCACCCCTGGCTTCCTCTCTGCTGTTTCTCCTTCTCTCTCTGACTTCCCGCATCCTTTTCTCATTTGTCTATTTCTCACTCCCTTCCTGGTTCTGTTCTTTCTCCCTTCCTCTTCCCCATGTCTATTTCTTGCTGTCTCTGTCTCTTCTTTGCTCATCCTAATTCTCACTGTTCTCCCTTCTGTTTTTGTCATTCCTCTGCCATTTTATGCTCTCTCTTTTCCACTTCGTTTCTTTCAGTTTCTGTCTCTGCCTCTCACATGATCACACTCCTGTTTTCTAACTCACTGTCTGTATTTCACCACGACTATATCTCCCCGACCCCTGTGCTTTTCTCACTGTTTCTTTTTCTTCCCTTTGGAGTCTCCCTTATCCTCCCCTGCCCCATCTACCTTTCCCCATTTTCTCTCTCCTCATGCATCCACCCCCTTCCTCCCCAGGAATAGCCAGGTCTGGCTGGGTCGGCACAACCTGTTTGAGCCTGAAGACACAGGCCAGAGGGTCCCTGTCAGCCACAGCTTCCCACACCCGCTCTACAATATGAGCCTTCTGAAGCATCAAAGCCTTAGACCAGATGAAGACTCCAGCCATGACCTCATGCTGCTCCGCCTGTCAGAGCCTGCCAAGATCACAGATGTTGTGAAGGTCCTGGGCCTGCCCACCCAGGAGCCAGCACTGGGGACCACCTGCTACGCCTCAGGCTGGGGCAGCATCGAACCAGAGGAGTGTACGCCTGGGCCAGATGGTGTAGCTGGGAGCCCAGATGCCTGGGTCTGAGGGAAGTGGGGCCAAAGAACCAGGTGGGGTCCGGCCACAGCCCAGTTTTTCTCTGACCCATAGTCTTGCGCCCCAGGAGTCTTCAGTGTGTGAGCCTCCATCTCCTGTCCAATGACATGTGTGCTAGAGCTTACTCTGAGAAGGTGACAGAGTTCATGTTGTGTGCTGGGCTCTGGACAGGTGGTAAAGACACTTGTGGGGTGAGTCATCCCTACTCCCAACATCTGGAGGGGAAAGGTGAGTGAAGACCCTAATTCTGGGCTGCAATCTGAAAGCTAACCAGACATCTGCCTCCCCTGCTCCCCAGCTATAGCCACGCCCCCTCCCCATGCCTCATCTGCCGCCCTCCTTCCCCCTTCCCTGACTCCCTCAACACAAGAGGTGATTCTCACAGCATAATTCACCCATTCCTGTGTTGAGCACATGCTTACTGGGCACCTGCTACGTGACCAGCATTGCCGTAGACCCTGGGAAGCAGCAGTGAACAGGTAGAGAGCAGCCTCTCCCTCCTGCAGCCCCCATGCTGGTGAGGGGCACTGGCAGGAACAGTGGACCCAACATGGAAATGCTGGAGGGTGTCAGGAAGTGATCGGGCTCTGGGGCAGGGAGGAGGGGTGGGGAGTGTCACTGGGAGGGGACATCCTGCAGAAGGTAGGAGTGAGCAAACACCCGCTGCAGGGGAGGGGAGAGCCCTGCGGCACCTGGGGGAGCAGAGGGAGCAGCACCTGCCCAGGCCTGGGAGGAGGGGCCGGGAGGGCGTGAGGAGGAGCGAGGGGGCTGCATGGCTGGAGTGAGGGATCAGGGGCAGGGCGCGAGATGGCCTCACACAGGGAAGAGAGGGCCCCTCCTGCAGGGCCTCACCTGGGCCACAGGAGGACACTGCTTTTCCTCTGAGGAGTCAGGAGCTGTGGATGGTGCTGGACAGAAGAAGGACAGGGCCTGGCTCAGGTGTCCAGAGGCTGTCGCTGGCTTCCCTTTGGGATCAGACTGCAGGGAGGGAGGGCGGCAGGGTTGTGGGGGGAGTGACGATGAGGATGACCTGGGGGTGGCTCCAGGCCTTGCCCCTGCCTGGGCCCTCACCCAGCCTCCCTCACAGTCTCCTGGCCCTCAGTCTCTCCCCTCCACTCCATCCTCCATCTGGCCTCAGTGGGTCATTCTGATCACTGAACTGACCATACCCAGCCCTGCCCACGGCCCTCCATGGCTCCCCAATGCCCTGGAGAGGGGACATCTAGTCAGAGAGTAGTCCTGAAGAGGTGGCCTCTGCGATGTGCCTGTGGGGGCAGCATCCTGCAGATGGTCCCGGCCCTCATCCTGCTGACCTGTCTGCAGGGACTGTCCTCCTGGACCTTGCCCCTTGTGCAGGAGCTGGACCCTGAAGTCCCCTCCCCATAGGCCAAGACTGGAGCCTTGTTCCCTCTGTTGGACTCCCTGCCCATATTCTTGTGGGAGTGGGTTCTGGAGACATTTCTGTCTGTTCCTGAGAGCTGGGAATTGCTCTCAGTCATCTGCCTGCGCGGTTCTGAGAGATGGAGTTGCCTAGGCAGTTATTGGGGCCAATCTTTCTCACTGTGTCTCTCCTCCTTTACCCTTAGGGTGATTCTGGGGGTCCACTTGTCTGTAATGGTGTGCTTCAAGGTATCACATCATGGGGCCCTGAGCCATGTGCCCTGCCTGAAAAGCCTGCTGTGTACACCAAGGTGGTGCATTACCGGAAGTGGATCAAGGACACCATCGCAGCCAACCCCTGAGTGCCCCTGTCCCACCCCTACCTCTAGTAAATTTAAGTCCACCTCACGTTCTGGCATCACTTGGCCTTTCTGGATGCTGGACACCTGAAGCTTGGAACTCACCTGGCCGAAGCTCGAGCCTCCTGAGTCCTACTGACCTGTGCTTTCTGGTGTGGAGTCCAGGGCTGCTAGGAAAAGGAATGGGCAGACACAGGTGTATGCCAATGTTTCTGAAATGGGTATAATTTCGTCCTCTCCTTCGGAACACTGGCTGTCTCTGAAGACTTCTCGCTCAGTTTCAGTGAGGACACACACAAAGACGTGGGTGACCATGTTGTTTGTGGGGTGCAGAGATGGGAGGGGTGGGGCCCACCCTGGAAGAGTGGACAGTGACACAAGGTGGACACTCTCTACAGATCACTGAGGATAAGCTGGAGCCACAATGCATGAGGCACACACACAGCAAGGATGACGCTGTAAACATAGCCCACGCTGTCCTGGGGGCACTGGGAAGCCTAGATAAGGCCGTGAGCAGAAAGAAGGGGAGGATCCTCCTATGTTGTTGAAGGAGGGACTAGGGGGAGAAACTGAAAGCTGATTAATTACAGGAGGTTTGTTCAGGTCCCCCAAACCACCGTCAGATTTGATGATTTCCTAGCAGGACTTACAGAAATAAAGAGCTATCATGCTGTGGTTTATTATGGTTTGTTACATTGATAGGATACATACTGAAATCAGCAAACAAAACAGATGTATAGATTAGAGTGTGGAGAAAACAGAGGAAAACTTGCAGTTACGAAGACTGGCAACTTGGCTTTACTAAGTTTTCAGACTGGCAGGAAGTCAAACCTATTAGGCTGAGGACCTTGTGGAGTGTAGCTGATCCAGCTGATAGAGGAACTAGCCAGGTGGGGGCCTTTCCCTTTGGATGGGGGGCATATCTGACAGTTATTCTCTCCAAGTGGAGACTTACGGACAGCATATAATTCTCCCTGCAAGGATGTATGATAATATGTACAAAGTAATTCCAACTGAGGAAGCTCACCTGATCCTTAGTGTCCAGGGTTTTTACTGGGGGTCTGTAGGACGAGTATGGAGTACTTGAATAATTGACCTGAAGTCCTCAGACCTGAGGTTCCCTAGAGTTCAAACAGATACAGCATGGTCCAGAGTCCCAGATGTACAAAAACAGGGATTCATCACAAATCCCATCTTTAGCATGAAGGGTCTGGCATGGCCCAAGGCCCCAAGTATATCAAGGCACTTGGGCAGAACATGCCAAGGAATCAAATGTCATCTCCCAGGAGTTATTCAAGGGTGAGCCCTTTACTTGGGATGTACAGGCTTTGAGCAGTGCAGGGCTGCTGAGTCAACCTTTTATTGTACAGGGGATGAGGGAAAGGGAGAGGATGAGGAAGCCCCCCTGGGGATTTGGTTTGGTCTTGTGATCAGGTGGTCTATGGGGCTATCCCTACAAAGAAGAATCCAGAAATAGGGGCACATTGAGGAATGATACTGAGCCCAAAGAGCATTCAATCATTGTTTTATTTGCCTTCTTTTCACACCATTGGTGAGGGAGGGATTACCACCCTGGGGTTATGAAGATGGTTGAACACCCCACACATAGCACCGGAGATATGAGATCAACAGTTTCTTAGCCATAGAGATTCACAGCCCAGAGCAGGAGGACGCTGCACACCATGCAGGATGACATGGGGGATGCGCTCGGGATTGGTGTGAAGAAGCAAGGACTGTTAGAGGCAGGCTTTATAGTAACAAGACGGTGGGGCAAACTCTGATTTCCGTGGGGGAATGTCATGGTCTTGCTTTACTAAGTTTTGAGACTGGCAGGTAGTGAAACTCATTAGGCTGAGAACCTTGTGGAATGCAGCTGACCCAGCTGATAGAGGAAGTAGCCAGGTGGGAGCCTTTCCCAGTGGGTGTGGGACATATCTGGCAAGATTTTGTGGCACTCCTGGTTACAGATACTGGGGCAGCAAATAAAACTGAATCTTGTTTTCAGACCTTATACTGTGTAATTGTAAGTGGACATTTAGTAATGTACAGGGGGTCAGGGAAAGACGGGGGATAGTGAATGCACCTGTGGGACTGGTTTGGTTTTGTGATTGAGTAACCCATGGAGTTATCTCTGCAATGATGAATTGTTTGAAAGAAACCTGATTGATTTTATACTGAATTAGAAGTTAATAAGCATGCTGAAAAATAAGAGAACATATTAGGAATATTGAGCAAGACTAACATACATAAAATATGAGAAAAAGGTAGGAAATATTAGGTGGGAAAAATATGATAATTGGAAAAAGTAAAAAAAATGGATTAATAGAATTGAGTAGAGGTGAAGAACGCAATAGTGACATTTTAGACTAGATTGAAGAAAAATGTCAAAGAAATACTGAATGATGTGAGTGCTGGCAGTGCAGATACTGAACACTAAAGACTCAGGAAGAGAGAAAAATAGGAAAGGAGGAAACACATGACTAAACACTGAAGGCAGGTTTTTTTTTTTTTTTTTTTTTTCGCAGAGTTTCACTCTTATCGCCCAGGCTGGAGTGCAATGGCTCAGTCTCGGCTCACTGCAACCCCTGCCTCCCAGTTCAAGTGATTCTCCTGCTTCAGCCTCCCCAGTAGCTGGGATTACAGGTGCACACCACCACACCTGGCTAATTTTGCATTTTTAATAGAGACGGGGCTTCTCCATGTTGGTCAGGCTGGTCACGAGCTCCTGACCTCAGGTGATCCGCCTGCCTTGGCCTCCCAAAGTGCTGGGATTGATTACAGGCGTGAGCCACCGCACCCAGCCTGAAGGTAAGTTTTATAGAATTTAAAATATCTGAACGACCTCAGATCAATAGAATCCATAGAGTGTGATTGAGTAGAAAGAAGGAAAGGCTATGAAACAAAAAAGAAAACTAGTATTGTCATTGACAAAAAATGTCATTGACAAAGCCCTGGAGAGAAAGGATGGCGGAAATATTGAAGGAAAAGAATGTAGAACTAGAATATAAATTCATTCCAACAGTTTGGCAGTGTGTATCAATAGCCTTTTTTAGACAATGCAACATTCTCATACATTGCTTAAGGGAGTATAAATTGGTATACTCATTTTAGAAAATGATTTAGAAGTATATGTTGCAGCTGAACATATGCATGACCTATCAGTATCAATCTTAGAAATATACCCCCTAGAAACCCTAGAAATACTTCATATTTTCATAAAAATCCTCGTACCAGAAAGTTCATAGCATCCTCAAACCAGAAACTGCCCAAAATGTTTATCTATAGGAGAATGGAGAAATAAATGGCATATTCATACCAATGAATAGTGTGTGTAATGAACAAGGATTATGTTTCATCCAAGACAGAGATGGGGCTTTAAAGAGACTGCCACAGGAACACAAAGAGAAAACCAGAGACGGAGAGACAGCAGGGGAAACAGAATCTGAGATAGACAATGACAAAATGGGAAGAGAAAAAACAAGGTAGCTGGAGACACACAGAGAGACACAGACAAACAGGAAGACAGTATCCCCTCGTGGTTAACATCACAGCTTCTGTTTATTAAGCACCTAATGTGTTACAACTGCACAGATCCCATTGAACCATGGGCCCTCTCCCTCACCTCCCCAAGGAGGCAGCATGCAGGAGCTCAACTAGGCAGAGAATCCAGGAGTCCTGAGGTGGTTGCATGAATGGACAGCATACACTAAATGAAGAAATGCTAGACCTGCCCTGGTGTACTGAGCATGAGGGATTTAAAGGCTTTGGGTAATGGGAACACGATCATACATTCATCATTGTGACCTGCACACCCACCCTGGGAGGCTCCAGAGGGCGCACCTTTCACTACAACAGGAGAAATGAATTTGTGAGGGGAGTACCAGCATCCTTGAAGAGCTATATGATCCCTCACCTCTGTAGGTCAGAAATTATGTGGGAATGGCTGACACTGAAGCAGGAAATCTCAATTCAGTGAGGATAACTGGATACCAAGATGGTTGAGGCCAAGTGACGCTAATTTCACCTAAACATCGGCATGGTTAGTACAATAGACAGCACAGTCAACACAGTAATCATGATAGTCTGACTTCGGAGAACTATGGTGCTGGCTAGTTGATCACAGTGTTCCTGGAAGAGAAATAGATTGGAAAAGACTAAATTATTTCTATGTAATCAGAAGACTTCTTGGGTCCAGTGAACAGAAGTATAATTTGAATCATAAAAGCAAAGAATCCTGGCCCATCGTTCAATTCATAAACTTGAGTCAGTTACCAGATGTTTTGGAGATTATTGGACACTGATTCTTAACTGACACTAATTACAAGAGACCCAAAACACCACTGTAGTCCAACAATCAGTGTGGCGCCTGGTGGAGGTCAGGAGTTGTGGCCAAGGCCCATCTCACAATGGGTCCCGTGGGTCTCTGAACCTACCCTTCCGGTATTTCACCAATTACAGAATAATGCATAACTGGGACAGGCATGCTGAGAAAGTGACAGAATTTCCACATGGGCTTCCAGACCTGTGGATGAGGGATGTTACACCAGACAAGTCCAGGTGGAAGTCGCTAGGACTTAGCCCCATCTAGGCTAGCCCCACCTAGCCCCATCTAGGAGGGATCAGGGGTTACACCAAGCTCCGGTCCTTCCTTTATCATGTGGCTGCACCCAGCTGAATCCCGTCGTATCTCCACACCTAGGGAAATCATAAACCAAAAGCAAGTCTGCGTTCCTGCAGGGATTACAGAGGTTGGTGACACTGTCAATGATTGAAGGACGCAGGAGTGGTGGTTCCCACTACATCCACATCCAGTTCACCTATTTGGCCCATGCTGAAAACAGACAGATCTTCGGGGATGATAGTGAGTTATCCTAAGTATAACCAGGCAGTGAATTTCATTACAGCTCTTCATGTGGCTTCATTGTTTGAGCAAATAACACATCTCCTGGTACCTCATATGCAGCTATTGACCTGGTTAATGTTTTGTTTCACCTCAATATCTTAATAAAGGCAACCAGCAGCAGTTCGTTCTCTACTGACAAGGCTTTATTATCCATGAATATCCTCTTGGTGTCTCAGTGATGATGCATCCACTGTCATTTCTGATCTTACTAACATGTATCTTCTGTTTTTTTTTTTGTCTTTGTTATCCTGGCTACAGAATTATCAATTTTATTGATCTTTTAAAAGAAACAGTTGTTTTAGTTGATTTTCTCTATAGGTTGTTTTTAATTTCGCCAATTTCTGCCATAATTTTTATTATTTATTTTCTTAGGTTTGCATTAGGCTTAAATTGCTCTCTGAGTCCATGGGAGGTTGGACTGGAAGCTGGGATTCAGAGTGGGAGTCTGGGAGTGGGTCCAGATAGAGGGTGTGGCTGGAGGTGAGTTCTTTGGGACTGGAGAAGATCTAGGGGCTAGGTGGGATGTGGCTAGCGTCTGATGGGCTGTGGGGCACCCAGGGGTCTGACCTGGTGTCTGAGGGAACAATAGATCATCGGAGATGTGAGATATGAAAACGAAGAGGAAGAACATGTTGGGCAGGAGAAAACACAAGGGTGGTAAAAGGAAGTTTTTTTACATAGCTGTTGGGATGAATTTGTATCTGGAGAGATTCAGGTGGGGCCAGGAAGGTTCAGCTTTGTCCTGGTTTACACTCCCCACAAAGGAGGGATCAGGGGTTACACCAAGCCCCGGTCCTTCCTTTATCATGTGGCTGCACCCAGCTGAATCCCGTCCTATCTCCATCTCCAGTTGTGCAGGTGCAACCTCAGTGCCCACGTGTTTGTCAAGAACTCTGAGGGGCTGACATTTTACCAACTTAGAGACAAAAAAGTTGGCCTGCCACACCTTCACGGGTATTGGCAGAACACACCAGAACCTGGCCAGAGACAAAGGACTTGATTACTTGACACAGCAGGCAGCGTGAGGTTCATGTTCATATGGGTTCATCTTGCCCGAGTCCTATAGGGTGACCAGAGCAGTCCAGGTGGATTTTGCACTCAAAGTGGTTTATGCCACTGCAGAGGGTCCTGAGTTTCAGAATCCTCAGTCTTATAAGTGGGCACTAGCAAACCTGCCCAGCATTTGCCTTTTGCTTTTTAAAGAGACAATGTCTCACTCTCTCCCAGGTTGGAAGGGAGTGGTGGGATCATAGTCCACTGCAGCCTCAAACTCCTAGACTCAAGCAGTTCTCCCACCTCAGCCTTATGAGTAGCTGGGACTACAGGCTTGCACCACCACACCTGGCTAATGTATGTAGGTATGTATATACTTATTTTGTAGAGAGGGAGTCTTGCATTGATGCCTAGGCTGGTCTTGAACTCCTGACTTCCACCGATCCTCCCACCTCAGCCTTGAATCTTTGTCTTTGGTGGTGATATTATTTTTATTACCCTGAACCACAAACAGAATTGCTGCACAGGGGCATATTATATTTATTGTCCTGGACAGTAAACTAGTCCATTCTGGGAAGACATTATTTTTATTATCCTGGACAGTCAGCAAACCTGCTCTGATGGAGATACCAACTTGAAAGACTGCTTGTTAGCCAGACATCCTTGATAGATATTATCGAGTAAGATAATGTTAGTACCTTTGCTCAAAATACATATAGAAATGTAAGAGACTCGTGGAAATTTGTCACTCACTACTCAGCTCCTGGCCTCCACCCTTCTCTGCTGGAGAGCCCCCCCTTTCTTCCCTTCCACCTCTCACTCACTGCACGTTCCTCCAGTTCTCCCAGTGTTCTGGGCCCTGTTTATGCCCATGGTAGATATAACAACAGTAATTCAATCGGGATGAGCAAACCCTGCCCTACTCTTCGGTGCATATGTGTGTGTGACTTTGACTTTGAAGGTCCTTTGACTTTGAAATGTCTCTGTTTGGTATCTGTGCATAGTGAAGCTCTGTGTGTGCATGTACATGGGTGGTGGGAGTGTGAGGCTCTGTCTGTCCACTACCTGCCCATATGTGTGCATTTGTCCTCAAATGCAAAACCTGATGAGTCACCTTCAATACCAAGTATCTCTGATGTGGGCACTGATCCAGACGTAGATTATTTCCTTTCCTGGCTGCCTGTGTCTCTAGCTACACCTTTGACCTTGAATGGCCAACCGTGTGTCTGGGTACTACCCTGGCATCTGCTCTAGTGGGTCCATATCCGAATGCCTGGCCTCTGGGACTGCGCCTGCAACTTTGAATCACCGCACACTGGCTTCTGCATGAATCGCAGTGTTGACCTTGACTGTCATATCCGGTCCTGTGATTATGTCTGAATTACTTCGGCCATATTTGTTTCTCAAATCTGAATATCCACAGATGCTATGTATCTCCCACCCATCTAACCTTTACAGCAACCTCCAATTTACAGACGAAATGGAGGCACAGTGAGATCAAAGAATTTTCTCAAAGTCTCAAAGCTGATATTTTTGAATGCAGGTGGTCAGACTCTGGATATAACCACCATACTCATGTCTGTGAATCAGTGTCTGGGACTCTGAGTGCATATCCCTGTCTCTTCCCTTTGTAATCTTATTAAAGACCCAACCTTGTACATCCAGACCCTGTGTGCAAGTGTGTACCCACGTGACCTTGCACACCCAGAGCCACACTGGAGGTTATGAATTTAGGTTTGAGCTCTTATGTCCAAATCTGTGTCTATGAATGTGTATGTGTGTGCTTACACCCATGCCTGTCCATATTTATATGCACATGTGATCACTTGGGCTCTTATTATATAAGCCACACGTACATGCATATGAATTTCTGCTTAAGGCACACAGTCTATATATGTATCCAAGCCTGGAAACCATCTTGTGCCTGTATGTATGTCCATGACCTTGTGTGGTCACATATGTGTCCTTCCCTGGCATGCTGAGTTTGGCTTAGATCTCCAGATTCTGAGGCCAAGAATGCTACCGTACAAATTGAATGGACACGTCTGTTTGAGGTCTCTGACATATGAAAGCAACCGTCTGTCTAAACCTGTATCCAGTGAACCTGTCTCCATCTCCAATCACAGAGGGAATTTTGCCCTCTGGTCCTTCATTTCCCTTCTGTCTGTCTCTCTCTGGCTCTCAGGAACCTATCACATGTAGGATAGGAGATGAAAGGAGAAGTTCTGGAAAAACAGGCTGCAGCTGTAAAACCTAAAGAGAGGAGAGTGCTTCAAAAATAACAGAGGCTGGGCACAGTGGCTCACTCCTGTAATCCCAGCATTCTGGGAGGCCAAGGCAGGCGGATCACGAGGTCAGGAGATCGAGACCATCCTGGCTAACATGGTGAAACCCGGTCTGTACTAAAAAAACAAAAAACAAAAAACAAAAAACGAAAAACATTAGCTGGGCGTGGTGGCATGCGCCTGTACTCCCAGCTACTCGGGAGGCTGAGGCAGGAGAATCGCTTGAACCTGGGAGGCAGAGGTTGTAGTGAGCCGAGATTGCACCACTGCACTCCAGCCTGGGCAACAGAGCAAGACTGTCTCAAAAACAAAACAAAACAAAACAAAAAAGCAAACAAAACTAACTCCCCCAAAAACCAAAGACTTCCGGATAAATTGTGGGAAAAGCATATGTGAATGGTTTTCACATATGTAGGTACTGTAGGGCACTGGGAAGGGTGGCCACATAGGAAGAAGTCTCTGTTCTCAGGGATCCTCTATTCCTTTCCGCAGAGGCTCAGGATGGCAATGGGGAGGTGTGGGGAGGGGTGAGAGAGACTCGAGAGAGAGAGAGAGATGGGCAGAGAGATGGGGACTGAGATACACAATGACAGAGATGGCCGAGAGAGAGAGATGGGCAGAGAGATGGGGGCTGAGATACACAATGACAGAGATGGCCAAGAGAGATGCAGAGAAAAACAGAGACGGGGAGACACAGAGACAAGAGACAGAGAAGAGAGAGGGAGATCAAGGCCGAAACACAGCCACACAGACACAGCAGAGCCATATACCAAGAGACACAGAGAGACTAGATGGACAGATATACGGTGAGAGACCAAGGCAGCCCCCAGGAAGGTGGTCCCCAATGCCTGTTCATGCAACCTGAACCAGAACCTTCCCTGTCTCTCTCCCTCTGTCCCCAGCCTCATCTGAGGGGAAATGCCCAACTGTTATTCCTGTGGGGCACAGACACCCCTCCCCAGACCCCAGGTCCCCACTCACCGGGTGATGCAGTGAGCAGTAGTGAGCACCCAGTGAGGATGCAGCAGGACGTCCTTGCACTGGAAGTTGCCGAAATGGTACAACCCTGCCAGGGTTGGGAAAGCTTCTCACACTCCCAGCCTCCCACAGTCTGGGACTGGATGGCAATCACAGCATCTGCAGAGGGAGTGCTGGGTCAGGGAGGGCAGGCTTGGCAGGAGGGCCCAGGGACTGGGCTAAGAGAGGGAGCTGGGCTGTGGGTTTGAAGGGGGCAGAGGACCAGGGCTGGGGATCCAGGGACACAGGAGGGCCTGAGATTCTGGACCATTCCTTGGGGTTTGGGTTGGTGGCTGTTCCTGGTGGGGAGACTTTGCTCTGAGAGCAGGGCAAACCCCAGGGATTAGGGTAGGAGACATGAGATTGCCTGGAGCAGGCATTGGGTTGGGAGCAAAGTATGTGGGGTGATTTGGGGTCTTGTCTAGGAGGCTGTGGTGGGGAGATGAAGGACAGAGTGCTTGTGGGTTTATGAGCTTCTTGAGTCTGGGATGTCCTGCTCCTATGGACAGGGGACATTTTCCCAAGTTAGCAGTTTTTTCAGCCAAATTACCTAATATGATGCTACACCCAGATCAGGGTGGCAGGAGAAGAGTCAGGAATGGGGACCTAGGGACAGACACCTGATCCAGTCCCCAAGGCTTCTCCTCTTCCTGGTCAGCACTCTCTGAAGACAGTGGGTCTCTTCTCTACTGGTTCCATGTCTCTGCCATTAGCTCAGATTCCATCTTCTTGTCCTTGTCTTTCCGTCTCCATCTCTGTCTGTCTCTTTGCATGTGTATATTTGTGTGTGTGTATCTTATTTTTTTTCTGTTTCTCTAAAAATCCTGTCTGAGAGAAACTTTACTAGTTGTTCTAGAGGAAGGAAGTCTTAAGGATGAGCTTTCTGAATTAGTTCTGGCATTTCTAGTGTTTGGAATTGGTTCTGTAATGCGAATAAATTAAAGGCACCACAACTCTATTTTCAGTAATACAAACAGAAATAAAAGTCCGTGGTGTAATGTGGCAATAGAGATATGCAAAATAACACCACTGGATATTCCGAATCAAATAAAGGAGAAATGACCAGGGTGATCATGTATATGACACTTTAGAATATTTTTTAAAGTAACAAGCATAATGAAATTGGATGATTGCTTCTAGTTGTGTTGGCAAAAGTGGAAAAAGAAAAGAATGAGCACAGGACTTTAAATTTCCAGATCTCAGACTGAAGAAATAATCTAAAGTTGCTATGTCTATGATGTTGAAAGAAACCTTTATCTCCTGTAGCCACAGAGCTGAGATTTCTGAAAATCAAACCTAGAATCTTATTGTGTGAGTGGCTGAATTACAGTGCTAATTAAATCCTCAGCATGCATGCTGTCTGCCATTAAAGTGAAGGCATAATTGAAAGGGTAGGGATCCCAAAAGTTGGAATGAAGACATGTGGGAAGACTCTGATTATGGTCAGGAGACTGGGGAAAGGGTCTAGTTAGAGGATGTGGCCTGAGGCTTTAAAAATGAAGATCCAGGGGACAGATAGAATGTGGCCAGTGTCTGGCAGGATGTGGGGCACTTGGCATCTATCCTGGTGCCTGAGGAAGCAGTGAACTCTCCCAAGAGGGAGAACCCAAGAGGAAGAGCATGTTGGGGAGGAGGAGAGACAAATGGCGAAAGGAAATTTATTATGCCAAAGGTGGGATGAATTTGTATCTGGAAGGATCCAGCTAGAGCCAAGAAGGTTCAGCTTCAGCTTGGCTTACACTATCCCCAGAAAAGTTCAACTCAGCCTTGTTCCCTCTTCTGTTATTTTGCTGTGCCCAGCTGGGGCCCCTCCTAACTCCAAGGGCCAAGAAAGTTCAACTTCAGCTTGGCTTACACTGCCCTCAAAAAAGTTCAACCTAGCCTTGGTCCCTCTTCTGTCATGTGGCTGTGCCCAGCTGGGGCCCCTCCTACCTCCCACCCTTCCATCTCCAGCTGGACAGGTGCAGCCTTAGTGCCCAACTGTTTGTCAAAAACTCTGAAGGGGCTGATATTTTGCCAACTGGCAAACAAATAAGTTAGCCTGCCACAGTTTTATGGATACTGGCAGAACACACTGGATTCTGGATCAAAGGCAAAGGACTTTATTACTCACAGCACAGAAGACAGCATGAGCTTTGTGTTCACATCAGTTCGCCTTGACCCTAAGTCCCACAGGAATGATCAGAGAAGTTTAGGAGGATCCTGTGACACGATGCTTTGACCCACAGCTGAGAAACCTGAGCTTAGGAATCCTGAATCGTATGAAGGGACTATTAATATTTGTCCGAGAGGGAGACACATTCTTCGTTATCCCGACCACAAACAGACCTGCTCTGGAGGAACATACTATATTTATTGTACTGAACACTAAACAAATCTGCTTTAAGGGACACATTATTACACTGGTCGGTAAGCAAAGCTGTTTTGTTGAAAATACCATTTGCAAGATGGCTTGCTAGCCAAACATCCTTGATAGTCCAAAGCAATTTTTTTTTCACTTTGAAGCCATGTAGAAACATGAGAGGCCCATGGAGAATTTTCTCTCAGAATCATAATTTAAATTCTCTAACCTTCCCTGCAAAACAAACTTATACTTTCTTCCTTATACCCCTTGTCTGCCACATCTGTTACCCTAGCCTCACCAGTGTGCCAGGCCCAGTTCCCAAAGATGGCAGGAAAAATATGGGGATCTGATCTGGATGTGCCCTATTGTTGCTGTCTGTTTATGTGTGGATTTGACTTTGAGGGGACATATCCACGTTTCCCAGTGTAGAGGCTCAGGGTCTTCTGACTGTGAAAAGTCCTTGTTTGGTACTTGTGCGTAGTGCAGTTCTGTGTGCGTGTGTGTGTGTTGTGTGTGTGTGTATGTGCATGCACATGTGTATGTGGTGGGTGTGCAAGGCCCTGCTGTCCACTACCTGCCCACACATGTGAGCCATGTCCCCATATGGGAAAACTGATGAGTAACCTTCAACACCAAGTGTCTGACTTGGGGGGTGATCTAGAGACAGATAAATCTTTCCTGTCCCAGCTGCCTGTGTCTCCAGAATATGTCTTTCCCCATAAATGCCCAACTCTGTGTCTGGGAGTAGCCAGGAATCTAACCTATGAAGCTGTATTTGAATGTCTGGCCCTTGGGGTTGGTGTCTGCAACTCTGAATCACCACTAAGTGGTTTTATGGATGAATCACAGTATTAGCTTTGACTAACTTTATCTGGGTCTGCACATATGTCTGATTTTGGCTATATTTGTTTTCAAAATCTGAACGTGCACACGTATGTACCATAACTAAGTCATGTGTCCTTGATTAAAATAACTGATATTTATTACTATGCATTACAGTTACTGTGTGCCAGGCATTATCATGCACACCCACACACAGGCATACACACAAAGACACATTTTTCTATTTAAGTCTTAAGGAAACCCCCATGAACAAATGAGGAAATGGAAAGACATTGAGGTCAAATAATTTTCTCAAAGATTCAGAAATAATATGTTTGATCCCAGGTGGTCATACTTTTGGATACAACCACCATACTATAGACCCATGTCTGTGAATTGCTTTTGGAGGGGCTACTCAGGATATGTCCCCTCAAAGTCAAACCCAACACTGCATATCAGTGTCTCTCTCCTGTGTACCTTTACTAAGGCCCCCACCTTGTACGTTCAGACCTTGTGTGCAAGTGTGTGCAACTGGAACACTGGGTATCCAGACCTACAGTGGAGTGTAGATTTTGGTCCAAGCTTCTATGTCCAAAGCTCTGTGTGTGTGTGTGTGTGCGCGTGTGTGCGCGTGTGTATGCACACATACACCTATGTCTTTTTTTTTTGAGACAGAGTTTTGCTCTTGTTGCCCAGGCTGAAGTGCAATGGCATGATCTTGGCTCAAGTCAACCTCTGCCTCCCTGGTTCAAGCTATTCTCCTGTGTCAGCCTCCCGAGTAGCTGGGATTACAGGCATGTGCCACCATGCCTGGCTAATTTTGTATTTTTAGTAGAGAAGGGGTTTCTCCATGTTGGTCAGGCTGGTCTTGAACTCCCAATCTGAGGTCATCCACCCACGTTGGCCTCCCAAAGTACTGGCATTACAGGCGTGAGCCACTGTGCCTAGCCACACCCATGTCTTAACTGTCCACACTTACATACAAATATCAATGTCCATATAGTGACCCTCGAAGCTGAGATCTATTTATATGTTACGTGAAGGTAAGCTGTAAATGCTGTACCTACCAATACCTAAGTTTGAAAGTCTGGTTGTGCATATATGTAGGTCCACAATCTAGTATGGCCACATCTGTGCCCTTGTATGACCCTGAGTTTGGCCGAGATACCCAAACTCTGGGACCAAATTTGTGTGTCATACATACTGAGTGTCACATCCATTTAATATCTGTGACAGATGAATGAGCCTGAATGACTGGCTCCAAGTGACCACTTGTCTGAACTCACTGTATCCAGTGACCTTATCTTCATCCCCAACCACAGAGAACTTCTTGCCCTCTGGTCTTTTCCCCTTTCTCTCTCTTTTGGGAACCTATAACACATGAGATGGGTGGTGGGAACAAAAAAGGATACAGTTCCAGGGAAAAGAGGCAAAAGTTTTTTAAAGCTAGAGAGAAAACAGTATTTTAAAAACATATCAGAGGCTCCTGGAGAAACTGAGGGGAAGGCATAAGTGAAGAATATGTAGGTAGATAAGGGCACAGTCAGGGAATAGGAGGTGAGAAGGACCCTGTCCTCATGGATCCTCTACTCCCATCCCAGAGGCCTAGGACGGTGACTAGGTCCTGGGAACTGAGGAGTGTATGCTCTGCTCCCAATCTTGGCAAGTGATTTTCTTTGAATGTGGACATTTTAACTGTGGTCCTTCATGCACTGTCCCCCGCTGTGAGCTCTCTGAGGCCCACTACCAAACCTGGTAAGAAGGCAGGGGTCAGGGTCCTGAAAAACGTGGCTGGGAGTAGGAACCCATGGGTTCTGTACCTGGAGTTGGAGAAGGCTGAAAGCCGGGAGTCCAAGGTCTTGGAGAAGGAAAATGTTGGGATTCTGGACTCCTGTATTTTAATGGGTTGGGGAGAGAGTCCTTGACTCCTCTGAGGACAAAAGTACTGGAGCTTGGGGACTACAGCCCAATGGGTGTGTGCCCACACATTGGAACTCTTAGCTATCTGAGAGGCAGGAGTAGGGGCCATTGGTACCAGGGCCTCAGGAGGTGGTAAGTGGAATTTCAGATTATCACAGGGCTTGGGGATCCCAGATTGCTAACATTTGGGTCTTTCTGTCTACTCCACACTCAGCTTGTGGGTAACCACTGGCCTGCTAGCTCCCTATAGTTGCTGGGCCAGCAGGAGCCCGACGAGCAGGAACTGCGCAAGCGCGCTGGTTCTAAACAGCTGAAGGGCGTTTGGCGCATCTTCTGACATCATCAGCACTATGAGGATCCCGGCGCACCACTATGGCGTCACTTCGGCGCAACTAGCCCACCATCACCCGTGCGCCTCTCCAGTCACATGTATCACATGGCACTGCCCACGTCTGCCCCCTTGTGGGTGTGTCCAACATGGTGGCTGACTTAGGCTTTGTGTCCATAGGGAGGAGCCTAGGACCACAGGGAGGCTTGGGTCACAAGATGCTTGAGAAAAGCCAGATGTGTCCAGTCTATGAAACCTGAAATACATGGCTTTTGGGAAGAGGGGCAGGGTCCTGAATGTATGGGTCCTTCTCAAGTTCACGGTCTTCCCTGGTGGGTCTCCTTGATAATTGTATTGTGCCAACATCAGCATAATTTCAGACACATCTGGTAACATGGACTACCCAGGGCACCTGATGGACACCTTAGTGTGTGCATGTTTGGAGGGCGGAGGCGCAAATGATCCTAAAATCTTGATCTTGGTTACTAATGTTGTTGGCTGTTCCCCTAAACTGCACATCCAGGGCAAATGTTGATTTGTTGCATCCTAGACCCTGCCCTCAGCTACACCCCTGTCTCCACCACAATCCATCCCAACACCATCCTCATCCCTAACTTTGTCACCATCTCCTGCCCTTGAGAGCTGATGAAAAGGAACGCCCAGAAAATGGAACTTACGGCCAGGCGCGGTGGCTCACGCCTGTAATTCCAGAACTTTGGGAGGCCAAGGCGGGTGGATCACCTGAGGTCAGGAGTTCAAGACCAGCCTGGCCAACATAGTGAAACCCCGTATCTACTAAAAATACAAAAATTAGCTGGGCATGGTGGTGCGCGCCTGTACTCCCAGCTTCCTGGGGAGGCTGAGGCTGGAGAATCACTTGAACCCAGGAGGCGGAGGTTGCAGTGAGCTGAGATCACGTCACTGCACTCCAGCCTGGGCAACAGAGGGAGACTCTGTCAAAAAAAAAAAAAAAAAAAAAAAAAAAAAAAAAAAAAAAGGAAAGAAAACAGGGGATGTGTGCAGAAAACCAGGAGATATAGAGTCAAGAAGCATCAGAAAAAAGGTCAAAACAAAAGGTCAAAAAGGGCCCCCGCCAACAACAACAAAAAAGAAAATGGAAGTCACCTGCCAACATTACCTAGTTACCCAGAGGCTGAGCTGGGATTCACACCCAGGGCTGACTAGGTCTTTCTCCTGCATCTCCTCCCCTTTTCTTGGAACACCTACGTCTCTCAGGTTATCCTTTCCTTCCGAAGCTTCCACAGTTGGCTCAAACCCAGGGTTCTGAGATAACCTAGTCTCCCTGACTCCATGGAGGCTCTGCTTCTCATTCAGACCTAGCAAAATCATCTAAAGCTCACTCCACCAATATTGAGCTCCTAGCCAGACCTTACACCAAGGTAAGCCCTGGCCCATGCTCAAGCCCCACCCCTCCTAAAGTCTTATCCCTGCTCAAGCCCTGCCCCTAGCCCAAGCCCTTTCCTCTGTGCAAGCTTCTGACCAAGGCGCTGCCCTCTGCTCAAGCCCCACCCCTTATCAGGCTCCACCCATCCCAAAGCCGTAATCCTGCTCAACCCCACCCCTGCTCAACTCCACCTGTGCCCCAGGCCCTTTGCACAAAAATTAGCTGGGCATGATGGTGCACACCTGTAATCACAGCTACTCTGGTGGCTGAGGCAGGAGAATCGCTTGAACCCAGGATGTGAAAGTTGCAGTGAACCGAGAGCATCATCTCTGACCAAGGCTCTGCCCTCTTCTTAAGCCCCATCATGCATAAGGCCCCATCCCTGCTAGCCTGCCACCCCTGGCCTGGGACTCTCCTTCACTCAAACTCTCCTCCAGCCAGCGCTTGCCTCTTAGCTGGCGCTCTGCCCCAGACCCACCCAGCACTCACTTCTGGAGGCAGTGTGCAGCCGACAGCACCCACTGTGGATGCTCTAAGATGCCCCAGCGTCTTAAAGTTTTCCACTGACGGTGCTGGCTGCCTGCCAGGGCTGCAAGTGCAGACTGTATTCCTGTTGCCACCAATGAGGACTTTGCTGGCACTGGAGAAAGTGCTTGGGAATGGAGTCTGGGATCCTTCAGGGGGAATCACAGCTCCTGGGGATGGAATCAGGACACAAAGTGGAGGGGTTCAGAGTCGAGGGTCAGGGTTAGGATTAGGAAGGTGTGGGTTGTATTGAGGGGTGTGATGGTTAATATCAAGCATCAACTTGATTGGATTGAAGGATGGAAAGTACTGTTCCCTGGGGGTGTCTGTGAGGGTGTTGCCAAAGGAGATTAAGATTTTACTTAGTGGACTGGGAAAGGCAGACCCACCCTCAATCTGGGTGGGCACCATCTAATCAGCTGCCAGCGTGGCCAGAATAAAAGCAGGCAGAAGAACGTGGAAAGACTAGACTGGTTTAGCCTCCCAACTTACACGTTTTCCCCTGCTGGATGCTTCCTGACCTCGACATTGGAATCCAAGTTCTTCAGCTTTGGGACTTGGACTGGCATCTTTGCTCCTCAGCTTGCCGACAGCCTATTGTGAGACCTCACCTTGTGATCATGTGAGTCGCTTATCCTTAATAAACTCCCCTTTTTATATACATCAATCCTATGAGTTCTGCCCCTCTAGAGAATCCTGACTAATACAGGGGGGAAAACATGGGCAGGGTATCCAGGTCTGCTTTTTGGGCTGGGGCATGATGAGGCTAAAGGACATGTCAGTTCTTTTTTTTTTTTTTTTTTTTTTTTGGAGACAGAGTCTTGCTCTGTCACCCAGGCTGGAGTGCAGTGGCGTGATCTCGGCTCACTGCAAGCTCCGCCTCCCGGGTTCACGCCATTCTCCTGCCTCAGCCTCCTGAGTAGCTGGGACTACAGGCGCCTGCCACCATGCCTGATGCCTGGCTAAGTTTTTGTATTTTTAATAGAGATGGGATTTCACCATGTTAGCCAGGATGGTCTCCATCTCCTGACCTTATGATCCACCCGCCTTGGCCTCCCAAAGTGCTGGGATTACAGGCTTGAGCCACCGTGCCCAGCCAGGACATGTCCGTTCTAAACTCCAGGCCCCTGGTCTGTCCCTCCGATACCTCCTCTTACACCATCCTCAGACACACAGTTTCTTTTCTTTTCTTTTCTTTTCTTTTCTTTTCTTTGAGATGGAGTCTCACTCTGTCGCCCAGGCTGGAGTGTGGTGGCGCAGTCCTGGCTCACTGCAACCTCTACCTCCTGGGTTCAAGCGATTCTCCTGCTTCAGCCTCCTGAGTAGCTGGGACTACAGGTGCCTGCCATCGCACCCAGCTAATTTTTTGTATTTTTAGTAGAGACAGGGCTTCACTGTGTTAGCCAGGATTGTCTCGCTCTCCTGACCTCATGATCCACCCACCTCAGCCTCCCTAAGTGCTGGGATTACAGGGTCTCCCAGCTAATAAATGGCAGGGCAGGGCTTTGAACCCAGGCAGGGCAACTCCACAGCCTATTTCCTTAACCACTGTCCCATAAGGCCTCCCAAGGCCCCAGTGAGCAGGGCATGACTAAACATGCAGCTACATGTCAGAACCCTGGAGTCAGGCTCAGGGACACAGGACCAGGTGACAGGCACAGGACACAACCTCCCATGTGACATCACGCTTGGCTACACACACTCTTGCAAAGCTGCAGGGTGACTCATACAATGTGGTCACACCATGATACACACAGCACATGACACTGAACCAGATAGGTACAACCACAAAGATCCAGTCACATGGTAAATTACAGTGATATCATAATCCAGAAACAGCCTCGGATGAATGGAAATGCCTATTCACCCCAATACACAAAAATCACACAAGTACAGCCACACAAGCACCCCCATACACACGTCATACGGGCATGTAAACTTAGAAGCAACCCTGTCTGCTTGAAGACGGTGACACTTTGGGACATACACATCACACACGCAAAGCCATGGACCAAATTGTGTCCCCCCCTCTCCAGACTTATATGTCAAAGTGCTAAGCCCCAAGATAGTGGCATTTGGGGCTGGGACCCTTGGGAGGTGAGGAGGGTTAGCTGAGGTTGTGAGGGTGGGGCCTTCATGATGAAATTAAGTGCCCTAATATGAAGAGGAAAAGAGGGAGAGAGAATTGAAACCTGCTAAACCTCAGACTTGGACTTTCCGGTCTCCAGAATGGTGAGAAATAAATTTCTGTTGTGGAAGCCACCTGTCTGTGTTATGTTGTTATGGGAGCCAGAGAAGACTAAGACACACACACTTACACCACTCTCCCACCACACACACACAACACACACACCTGTGACATTGTGGACGACATATCCCAGGAGCCTGGTGCAGGGGGTTTCTGCTGTGGTCATCAGGTTGGCACCTGGTGGGGAGGGGATTCTGGGATTCTTTAGCCGTCTCCCTTCTCCACCCTCCCACAGAATCTCTGGGCAGCAACAGCCATAAGGGATCCTCTCCACCTTAGGCGGTGAGACCCTGAAACCATAACCTAGGGCAGAATTTCTCAACCTGGCCGCTACTGACACTTCTGATTGAATCATTCTTTGTTGTGGGCACTGCCCTGTGTGCTGTAGGATATTACGCAGCATCCCTGCCCTCTGCCCACTAGATGCCAGTAGCACCCTCCTTGCCAAGTCATAGCAACCAAAAATGTCCCACTGTCCAGTGGTCTCTGGGAGAAGTCAGTGTTAGCAACATCTGGAATGAGAGGGAGTGATGGGGAGCTGGAGAGATGGAAACTCAGAGTGCAAGAAAGGCAAAGAAAGTCAGTGACAGAAACAGAGAAAGTTAGATAGGGATAGAGACACAGAGACACTGATACAGAGACACCAAGATGGAGGCTGGGGGAGACAGAGTCAGAAAGCTAGGATGGGGAAGATGGAAACACAGGCACAAAGAGTTCTCAGGGTCAGTGAGTCTGAAAGGTATGGAGACGGAAATACAGGTGTTGACAGCAGACACAGCCTACAGCCTCTGTGCCCAGGCATTGTTCTAAGCACTTGACATGCAGTAATTCACTTTCATAGGAACCTTACCTGGAAGATTTGATTATTAGCCCCATTTCACAGAGTTAAGTATCAGAGAGGTTAAGTAACTTGCCGAAGGTCACACAGCTATCAGCAGTTTATTCCATTTTTACTGCTGAATAGGATTCCATTGTATGGATGCACCATGGTTTATCTGTCCACTCGCCAGTTTATGGAACGTCTGTCACTGCTTTAACACTGCAAACTTCCCTCTCCCCAATCTTCCTTATTATTTAACTTATTATATATGATTTGTACTAATTTACAATATTATGTTAACACATATAAATGTATATCTAATTTGTTATTTATTTTATTGGATGTATTTTCTATTGTTTGTATCTTTCAGCTACAACAAGAACAAGGATCTTTGCCAGTTTTGTTCACTGGTTTATCCAAAGCCCCTAAAACCCTGCCTAGCACATAGTAGGTACCTGATAAGTACTTACTGAATAAATGAGAATGAATGGATGGCCACAAACTCTTTCTATCACTGTATTTCTCAGTTGAGCTTCTCGGTCAGGGTACTGCCTCTCTGGCTGTTTCTGTCTTTGAGACAGACAACTAACACACACACACTCTCTCTCTCTGTTTATATCTGTCTCTCTGTGGCTGACACTCTCTCCATCACTTTTTCCTGTCTCTTTCAGTAGATCTCTCACTGGAGAGATCTCTTAGTCTCTAGAGGGTGGTTGGGGTCTTGTCAGGGGTCTGGGGTTGGGAATCTAGAGCAGAGGAATGGAGTTTGGAGGCTGGGTCTGAGGTCTGGAGTCAACCTCCAGAATCTCCAGTTTGTGCTGTGGAATCTAGAGCTTGGAATCTGAATTCTGGGATTTTGGGGTTTGGAGTGAAGCATCTGGAATCTAGACGAGACATCAGCAAACTATTTCTGTAGAAGTCCAGAAAGTAATTATGTTAGGCTTTGTGGGCCAGACAGTCTGTGCTGTAATTGCTCATTTCTGCTGTCCCAGCATAAAAGCAGTCATAGACAACACAAGAAGGAATTAATGTATGTTCCAACAAAATGTTATTTACAAAAACACACAGCAGCTGGATTTGGCCTGCAGGGGTGATTTGTTTACTTCTGATTAAACTGGAACCTGGAAAATGGAATCCAGAAATGGAAGTCTTGGTTCTAGAGTCCAAAGACTGGTCTGATATCTAGAGCTTGGACCACAAGTCTGATCTCCAGGAAGATGAAGCTCAAAGTCTAGAATCTGAATTTGGTGACTGAGGTCCTCATTTTGGAGTTAAGATTTTTTTATGTAGATCACAAGAGACTGTCACTTCATTGCAGTACAGTTTAGCCCTGAAATTGGGGTTTAGCCAAGGAGGGTTCTTGGCTTCACTTAGGAAAGGATTCAAGGGTGCTGGTAGTGTGAGACAGCAATTTTCGTTGAATGGTGCTGCTCCTTGCGAAGCAGGGCTAACTCATAGGCAATGTGCCCAGAGTCAGCCACCTATGGGCTCTTGGCAACTATATTTATACTCATGTAAATCCACTTTCAATTACATGCAAATTAAGTAATGGGTCAATGTAAATTGAGGGGTCATTTATTTAGAACTTTCTAGGAAAAGAGCAGTAACTTCCAGGTCATTGGCATGGAAAGGAGCAGTAACTTCCGGGTCACTGCCATGGAAAGGGGAGGTAACTTCTGGGTCATTGCCATGGAAAGGGGAAGTAACTTTCAGGTCATTGCCATGACAGTTTATAAATGCCATGACACTGGTGAGGGTGTTCTATACCAATGAGCAATGAGAGCAGATAGGGATCACTTTTGTCTTCATCTGGTCATTCCTGCTGGTTTTTTTTTTTTTTTTTTTTTTTTTTTTTTTTTTAAGATGGAGTCTTGCTCTGTCGCCCAGGCTGGAGTGCAGTGGCACAATCTCGGCTCACTGCGAGCTCCACCTCCCGGGTTTACACCATTCTCCTGCCTCAGCCTCCCGAGTAGCTGGGACTACAGGCGCCTGCCACCACGCCTGGCTAATTTTTTGTTTTTTAGTAGAGATGGAGTTTCACCGTGTTAGCTAGGATGGTCTCGATCTCCTGACCTCGTGATCTACCTGCCTCGGCTTCCCAAAGTGCTGGGATTACAGGCGTGAGCCACCACACCCAGCCTTTTTTTTTGTTTTTTTGTTTTTTTTGAATTTTATCCTGCCTGGACTTGTTTTGGTCAGCAGGGTTGTGACCAGAAAACAAGTCCTGCCAGTCTCCTACCTGACCTTTATAAAACATTGTCTGGATAATCATGAAAAGTCGTTTGGTCTAGTTGTCAGTATAACACAGAGAGAGAGGTCTTCCCTTCCTACCACTGGGGACTCCTGCCTGCTCCCTGTGACTCAACATGTTTCTACCCAACTAACTGAGGTCTGGCATCGTCCTATGGAGTTGACCTGAACTGTCTGTCTTTTCTTCAGAGCAAGGAGTGCCGCAGGGGCCCAGGTGTCACCATTTTGTTATTATAGGCAACCCCTCCAGGCTGCTTGTAGAACCATCTAAGGCAAAATTACTGATCAAGTTCATGTCTATCCAGGTAAACCTGAGATGAGTAAAATGACCTGTCCATCCATTCACTAAGGTCTTATGAACTGTCCACTCATCCCCTGAGGTCCTATGAATGTTTTTTTCTTTTAGAGACAGGGTCTTGCTCTGTCACCCAGGCTGGTGTGAGCATAGCTCACTGGAGCCAAGAACTCCTAGGCTCAAGCAGTTCTCCTGCCTCAGCCTCCTGAGTAGCTGAGGCTATAGGTGCACACCACCACACCCAGCTAATTTAAAAAAAATTGTAGACATGGAGTCTTGCTATATTGCCCAGGCTGGTCTCAAACTCCTGGCCTCAAGCAATCCTCTTGCCTCAGCCTCCAAAGTGCTGCAATGCCTGGTGCCTGTGAATTTTTTTTTTTTTTTGAGACAAAGTCTTACTCTGTTGCCCAGGCTGGAGTGCAGTGGTGCCATCTTGGCTCACTGCAACCTCCACTTCCTGGGTTCAAGTGATTCTCCTGCCTCAGCCTCTCTAGTAGCTGGGATTACAGGCACGTACCACCAGGTCTGGCTAATTTTTGTTTTTTTAATAGAGACAGGGTTTCGCCATGTTGGCCAGACTGGTCTTGAACTCCTGACCTCAGGTGAACCGCCTGCCTCGGCCTCCCAAAGTGGGCTAGGTTTAGATTTCTATATGTAGAAATTGTATAGATAGGTTAATAGTGTTATGGAAATTTATGTCCTCATTCTTTTTTATTGTGGTAAAGTACACAAAATATAAAATTTACAATTAGTGGCATTTAGGACACTCACGATGTACAACCCTACCAGTATTAATCCAGAACATTTTTATTACCCCAAAAGGAAGCCTTGTACACATTAGCAATCACTCCCCACTCCCCCCGAGCCCCAGCTCCTGGCAATTGCTAATCTGCTTTCTGTCTCTATGGATTTGCCTATTCTGTATTTCATATAAATAGAAGCATAATTCAGCCACAAGAGATGGAATGGAATAATTCAGCCTTTTGTGGCTGAATTATTTCACTTAGCATCATGTTTTCAAAGTTCATCCATGTTTAGTATTTCATTCCTTTTTGTGACTGAATATTCATTGTATGAATATGCCAGAAATTACTTATCCAATTTACTAGTTTTACCTGTTGGATTGATTGTTTCCAGTTAGATGCTGTTATAAAAAAAAAAGCTTCCATGAACATATATATAGGCGCACATATATAGAGTCTAAATCATTATATATATCCTATATATTGCAGATATGCATAAGTTTCTTTAGTGCGTATACTCAGGAGTGAAATTTCTGGGCATTAGATATGCATATCTTGGCCAGGTGTGGTGGTTCATGCCTGTAATCCTAGCACTTTGGGAGGCCGAGGCAAGCAGATCACCTGAGGTCAGGAGTTCAAGGCCAGCCTGGCCAACATGGTGAAACCCTGTCTCTATTAAAAATACAAAAAATTAGCCAGGTGTGGTGGCAGATGCCTGTAATCCCAGCTACTCAGGAGGCTGAGGTATGAGAATCGCTTGAACCAGGGAGGCAGAGGTTGCAGTGAGCCGAGATCGTGCAACTGCAATCCAGCCTGGGCAACAAGAGCGAAATTCCGTTTCAAAAAAAAAAAAAAAAAAAAGATATGCATATCTTTACCATTTCTACTTGAGGTCATGGAAATATCCTCCTAAATTATGTCCTAAAAGTTACATTGTCTTGCCTTAATCAGGTCTAATCTACTTGGAACTGATTTCCGTGTGTGGTGTAAGGTAGGAGTTCAATGCCATTTTTTTTCCATACTGATACCCAATTTTCCCAGCAATACCTACTGAAAAGACATTTTCTCCACTGCTTTGCAGTGTGATTTCTGTTTCACATAAAGTGCCTATAAATGCATAGGTCTGCTTCTGGCTCTGGGTTCTATTCTATTGGTATGTTTGTCTATGTCTGTGCTAATATCACACTTCTCGTGATAAGTTACAAGTAGAAAAGGCTACCCTCCTTGCTTTTCTTTGGAAGTGTGCTGGCTGACCTTTGCCCTTGCCCTTTCTTCTTCATAAATTTTAGAAACAGTCTGTCAGGCTCCAGAAAAATCCTGCTGAGATTTTGGTTTGGAATACATTGAATTTTAAAATAAATTTGGAGATATTTCTCCTCTTTACAACATTGAGTTTTCCCCTCCGTGCACATGGAACAATATATCTCTCCATTTATTTTGGTCTTTCTTTTCTTTCTCCCCTCCCCTCCCCTCCCCTCCCCTCCCCTCCCTTCCCCTCCCCTACCCTCCCTTCCCCTCCCCTTCCCTTCTCTTCTTTCGAGATGGAGTCTTGCTCTGTTGCCCAGGCTGGAGTGCAGTGGTGCGATCTCAGCTCACTACAATTGTCGCCTCCCGGGTTCAAGGGATTCTCCTGTCTCAGCCTCCTGAGCAGCTGGGATTACAGGCGTGAACTGCTGCGCCTGGCCTTTGGTCTTCTTTAATATCTCTCTATGGTATTGGATATCTTTGAAGACTTATTTTTAGGGTCTTCATGGATTTTACATTTTTTGATTTTTTAAAATTTTGTGGCAGTTACATAGAAATGCAGTTGATTTTTTATTCATTTGCTTCCAACAATCTTGCTAAATGATATGATTATTTCTATAATTATTTATTGATTATTTGGGACTTTCTGCATTCACAATCATATCAACTAAAATGTTTTATTATTATTTTTTTGAGACAGAGTCTTGCTCTGTTGCCCAGGCTGGAGTGCAATGGCGTGATCTTGGCTCACTGCAACCTCCGCCTCCCAGGTTCATGTGATTCTCCTGCCTCAGCCTCCAGAGTAGCTGGGATTACAGGCACATGCCACCATGCCCAGCTAATTTTTGTATTTTTAGTAGAGACGGGGTTTCACCATGTTGGTCAGGCTGGTCTCAAACTCCTGACCTCAGGTGATCTGCCCACCTCGGCCTACCAAAGTGCTGGGATTACAGGTGTGAGCCACCACGCCCGGCCAGCTCTTTTTCTTCTATAATTATGTGCTTATGGCTGCATGTTTCTCTCCGAGCACTGTAGTAGGCATACGCAATACATGTGTATACATCTGGTATTTTCCTTAGCATTTAATTCCAAATATTTTCTAATTTCCATTATATCTCTTGTTTGAACTCTGGGTTCTTTAGAGGTGTTCTTTTAAAATCAAAACGCACAGTCCTAGATGAGATAACTCAGAAACAGCCAGTCAAATACCACATGTTCTGTCTTATAAATGGGAGCTAAACAGTGGGTACAGACAGGCATAGAGTGAAATAATAGACACTGGAGACTCCGAAAGGTGGAAGCATGAGAGGGGGTGAGGCGAAGGAGGAAAATGACCTGTTGGGCACAGTGCACACTACTTGGGTGATGGGTACAGTAAAAAGCCCAGAGTTCACCACCACACAACATATCCCTGTAAGAAACCTGCACTTGCGGGCGGGGCGCGGTGGCTCACGCCTGTAATCCCAGCACTTTGGGAGGCTGAGGTGGGAGGATCGCCTGAGGTCAGGAGATCGAGACCATCCTGGCTAACACGGTGAAACCCCGTCTCTACCAAAAATACAAAAAATTAGCCGGGCGAGGTGGCGGGCGCCTGTAGTCCCAGCTACTCGCGAGGCTGAGGCAGGAGAATGGCGTAAACCCGGGGGGCGGAGCCTGCAGTGAGCGGAGATCGTGCCACTGCACTCCAGCCTGGGCGACAGAGCCAGAGCGCGACTCCGCCTCAAAAACAAAAAACAAAAAAGTGCACTTGCACTCCCTAAGACCATTTTGAAAACACATGAGGATTTTCTGGTTATCATGATTTCTAGCTTAATTACATTGTGGTCAGACAACATACTCTATATATTCCAACTTGGAAATTTGTTGAGACTTGCTTCGTACCTCAGTAACAGGTTCACTTTTGTAAATGCTATGTGTGGTTTTTAAATTGAGGTAAAGTTTTTATTGAGGTATGCACAGTGTGGCGTTAGAGTTCAATGAGTTTTGGCAAATGCATACTCATGTAATCCTCACTCCTGTAAAGTTATGGAAAATTCCCATCACCCGAGAACGTTCTTTTACCCTTATTCCCAGTCTGTTTTTTTTTTTTTTACTTTTATTTTTGAGATGGAGTCTCACTCTTTTGCCCAGACTGCTGTGCAGTGGTGTGATCTCGGCTCACTGCAGCCTCTGCCTCCTGGGTTCAAGCAAGTCTCCCACCTCAGCCTCCAGAGTAGCTGGAATTACAGGCCCCCACCAACACACCCATCTAATTTTTTTTTTTTTTTTTGAGATGGAGTCTTGCTCTGTCACCCTGGCTCGAGTGCAGTGGCGCGATCTTGGCTCACTGCAACCTCCACCTCCTGGGTTCAAGTGATTCTCCTGATTCAGCCTCCTGAGTAGCTGGGATTACAGGCACCTGCCACTATGCCTGGCTAATTTTGGTATTTTTAGTAGAGACGGGGTTTCACCATGTTGGCCAGGCTGGTCTTGAACTCCTGCCCACCTTGTCCTCCCAAAGTGCTGGGATTACAGGTGAGCCACCGCACCTGACCCCAATCTGTTTCTATACCTATTCCCCTCTCCCATCCCAGCAACCAGGCCACATTGAATAATTTTGCCTGTTCTAGAATTTCATATAAATATAATCATATAGTGTATCATATTTTGTGTCTGGCTTCTTTCACTCAGAATAATGATTTTGAGATGCATGTATGTTGTTGCTTATATCAATAGTTTATTTCTTTCTGGTGCAGAGTAGCAATCCATTGTATGGATATATCACAGTTCGCTTATCCACTCACTTACTGATAGACATTTGCTGCATTTCCAATTTCATTATTATGCATGAAGCTACTATAAACATTCTTAGGGAAGTGTTTTCTATGGCTATTACCTAAATACCTAGGAGTAGAATTGCTAGCCGTCATGTGGATGTATGCCTGTCTTTCTAAGAATCTGCCAAGCTGTTTTCCAAAATGGTTGTAGCATTTTACCCCCTACCCCCAGCAATGTAGGAGAGTTACAGCTGCTGTAGATATAACCAAGACTTGATGCTGTTATTCTTTTCAATTTTAGCCATTCTGGTAGCTGTATGTCTTTTGAAATGATTCTATATTTTTCAGATACTGGGTGCAACATTCCATATATGACCATTAAATAGAGTATGTTAATCATACTGTTCAAATTATCTATATACTTATTCAGTCTCCCATCTCCTTGCCCCTCAGTTGCCCCATTGTGCCCCTCAAACTTCCCTCTTTCTACTCCTTGGTCTCTGTTGCTGTCACTCACAGTAGCCCTCGCCACAATTCTCCCCACTAGACTCTAGCTGCAGCAGCCAACTTCTGAGACACATGCAAATTAAAAATTCTTGAAATGCAGTTAAGAAGACAAAAATGAATATAGATCAACTAAAGCTGAATAGTTAAACTAAGCAAGAAAATCTCTACGGTTACCATTTGCTGACCTGACTTTTCAGAAACTGGACAACATCCATGGCACTGGTTTCTCTTAACTATCCAGGGAATGGCCCCTCCCTCTGAAACTCTGTGGCCCTCCTGGTCAAAGCTCGCATTTCCCAGATAGGGAAATGCGACCCATGGAGGGAAAGCCATTTGCTGGAATCTCTTGAATGGAAGGGGAAGCAAGGAGGACACTACAAACAGAACCTGCGCTTCTCTTAGACTTTATTTCTGGATCTAGGGGAAAGGGACAAAAAATGAAAAACCAACTGGTAAGGTTGGGTCAACGTGCCACAAGGGGGCACTGTGTACAGGGAGAGTCTAGGTGGCATTGGACCGCTGGGTCTGAGGGAGGAGGGGCTGGGACCTGGACCTCTGGGTCTGGGGAAGGAGGGGTTGGGGGCCTGGACCTCTGAGTCTGAGGGAGGAGGGGTTGGGGGCCTGGACCCCTGGGTCTGAGGGAGGAGGGGCTGGGGGGTCTGGACTCCTGGGTCTGAGGGAGGAGGGGCTGGACTCCTGGGTCTGAGGGAGGAGGGGCTGGGGGGTCTGGACTCCTGGGTCTGAGGGAGGAGGGGCTGGACTCCTGGGTCTGAGGGAGGAGGGGCTGGGGGGTCTGGACTCCTGGGTCTGAGGGAGGAGGGGCTGGGGATCTGTACCCTTGGTTTGAGGGAGGAGGGGCTGGGGGCCTGGACTCCTGGGCCTGAGGGAGGAGGGGCTGGGAACAGATATTCCTGAATTCCTTCCGCAGGATGTATTTGGGGGTCAATTTCATGGGTTCCCAGTCCCCAGAGTTAACTGGCCTGGACGGTTTTCTCTATCCACTCAGTGAATTTGCAGAGGTTGGTGTAGACACCTGGCACGCCAACTTGGCCACACGGGGCTTTTCCGAAAGACACAAGGCCCTGCAAGTACCCGTTGCAGATCAGGGGCCCCCCAGAGTCACCCTGTTGTGAAGAGAGGGAGAGTCAGAATTCAAAACACAGAGAGGTGGAAATGGATGTGGGCTCAGAAAGGAACTAAATGAGACTGAGAAACAAAGACAGAACCATCATCAATAACAACATAGCCCAGCAACATATCTGTTGGAAGTCCCATTCCAGATCCCTGACTTCATCTAATCCTGCTTCCCGATGTCCTATGTCCTGAATGCTGGCTGCTTCTCTTGGGCTTGTGGTCTGTCTGTTTCTGTTTGTCTGTCTCTCCTTTGTCTCCTTTGTGGCTTGTTTATCTGTCTCAGTGTCTCTGCATCTCTTTGTAAAGTCTTTTTTTTTTTTTTTTTTTTGAGACAGAGTCTTACTCTGTTGCCCCAGCTGGAGTATAGTGGTGTGATCTCAACTCACTTCAACCTCTGCCTCCCATATTCAAGCAATTCTTCTGCCTCAGCCTCCCAAGTAGCTGGGATTACAGGCGCCTGCCACCATATCCAGCTAACTTTTGTATTTTTAGTACAGACAGGATTTCACCATTTTGGCCAGGCTGGTCTTGAACTCCTTACCTCAAGTGATCTGCCTGCCTCGCCTCCCAAAGTGCTGGGATTACAGGCATGAGCCACCCTGCCCAGCCTCTTTGTAGAGTCTTGATTTTTCCTGTTTCTCTTCGTGTTTCACCTCTATGAATCTGTGTCACTGTTTCCCTCTGGGTACACAGTTGACCCTTGAACAACCCTGGTTTGAACTGCACAAGTCCACTTATACTTGGATTTTTTCAATAAACACATTAGAAAAATTTTAGGAGAGTTGCAACAATTTAAAAAAATTCACAGACGAACTGTGTAGCTTAGAAATATCAAAAAATTCCAACAAAGGTATATCATGAATGCATAAAACGTATGCATAAATCGACTATTTATGTTATTGGTAAGGCTCCCCGTCAACAGTAGGCTATTTCTAGTCAGGTTTTTGGGGAGTCAAAAGTTATAAGAGGATTTTCTGTTGGGTGGAGGTCACCGCCCTCAGGCCCCATGCTGTTGGAAGGTCAACTGCATTTCTATGTGTGTGTGTTTCTGCCTCCCCATGTCTGTTTCTGTTTCTCTCTTCCTTTGCTTCTCTTTATTCCTGTGTTTATTTCTCTGTTTCTCTCAGTTTCTCTCTCTAGTTGTCACTGTCTCCCTGTGTGTCTCTCCATCTCTGCATCTCGCCATGCGGCCCTGTGTGTCTCTGTCTCCCCCTTCTCCACCCTTCCCTGAGTCGCCTGCCCTCCCCTTTCCCCTCTCTCACGTTGCAGGAGTCCTTCTGGTCTTGCCCTCCGCCGGCGCAGAACATGCTGGGGTGGTACAGCGGGTCATAGAGCTTACTGCAGACCTCCTCAGACACCACCGACACGTTCACGCACTGCAGCACGGTAGGCATTCTGCCTGGGACGCAGAGCTCTGGGTCAGCCCCCGCGACTGGGCAGAGGACCTCCTTGAAGAGGGCAGACACACACCCGTGAGCTCACCGTTCGCCAGCAGACCCCAGCCAGAAACGAGGCAAGAGTTCCCCGCGGTAGGGCACTGCGAAGCAATGCTGATGCTCCGGATGGTGTCAGACTCGGACACGGATTCGTCCAACTTGATGAGCATGAGGTCGTTAGCGAGCAAGGGTCTGTTGTACTCTGGGTGCCGTACGGAGAGGCTGGCCTCCACCATCTGGCTCCCTGGCTCTTGGTCGGCCTCAAGACTGTGCAGGCCCAGCCCGATGGTGTAGGAGCTGTGGGCCACGGAGGGCAGGTCAGTTTTGTGGCAACTACATCCTTACCTCCATTCTCATCTTCAACCCCATTCCCATCCCCATCTCCTAACCCCAACCCCACCCTCTTCGCTAAACACCCTAAGAGCTACTTAACCATGGTCTCAAATCCTCATTCACAAAAATTCAGGGACAAGAACTTGCCTTAGTTCACTAGAGACTCAGCACTGGGCTGAGATTTCAAGTCAGGACTCTCTGAGTCCTTCCGAAGCAAGATTCCCGCCTCCCAGCCCTTCCCTCTGGGGCTCCCCGGATCCAGGCTCATTCCGTCCTCCTCCCAGAGCCTTCACCGCTGTTTCCCCCTGAGCACCCCAAGATGAGCCTGATATTAGGCCCCGCCCCCGGACCCAGGCCCTGCCCACTCCCCCTACCTCTGCACTCACTTCTGGAAACAGTGTGCGGCTGACAGCACCCACTGCGGATGCACCAGGACGCCCGAGCAGAACAATTCGTTTTCCATGACCAGTGCCGCCTGCCAGGGCTGCGAGTGCGGGCTGCAGTCCTCGCCGTTTATGATTTGGCTGCAGCTACCAGAGACGAGCGATCCTGAGGGCGGAGTCAGGGATGGGATCGGGACCAGGAGGCGGGCCCAGGGTTCCTGGGGGTGGGCTTACCGAGCAGGGGCGTGGTCAGAGGTTCAGGAGCAGTCAGGGCTCCTCGGGGCGGAGTCAGGGCTGGGAACGGGCTCAGGAGGCGGGCCCAGGGCTCTTGGGGGAGGGGTTACCGAGCAGGGGCGTGGTCAGGGCTTCAGGAGCAGTCAGGACTCTTGGGGGGCCGAGTCAGGGCTGGGGGCGGGCCCAGGGGGCGGACCCAGGGCTCCTGGGGGTGGGGTTATGGTGCAGGGGTCATGATCGGAGCTTCAGGGGCTGGTCCAGGATATAGGCCTAGGGCTCCCAGGGGCGGTGATCACGGTGCAGGAGCCTGGTCAGGGATTCAGGGTAGTCAGGGCTCCTGGGAGGAGAGTCAGGGCATGGGGGTGGGCTGAGAAGGCGGGATCAGTGCTCCTAGGGTTGGGGTTACAGCGCAGGGGCGCCATCAAGGCTTCAAGAGCTGGGTTATGGCTAGAGGCAGTCTCAGAAGGTGGGACCAGGGCTTCTGGGGCGGAGTCAGGGCTCTGGGGTGAGCTCTGGAGGTGAGACTGGTGCCATCGCGGTGCAAAGCCACGGTCAGGAGGGGTTCAACAGAGGAGTCTAGGCTCATAGCAGTAGGATCGGGTCCTTCGGGGTGAATTAAAGCTCAGGGGGTGGAGTTGTTGCTGGGAGCAAGGATCGGGTCACTTGTCTGCGCAGACTGATGCTCAAAGAGTCGGTCCTGCGCCGAGTCACTCCTATCCTCTCCCAGCCTTGCCCACAGTCACACCAAGCCACAAGCCCATGCACACCAAAACACCGTTTTATAGTCCTGTGAGGTGAGTTCCTTGGGGATGGGAGAGGGGGATCTCAGGACTGAAGACCCAGGAAGCAGGCACAGATTCCCAGCAATGGATCACGCCCCAGGAAGCACAATCTCCTGCACCCTCGGCTTCCCCTGTCCCCATATCATCATTACACTGTTGTCACTCCACCAGATATTCAGAGGCACAAACTGTCAGAGTCTCACAGGTACAACCACACACCCAGGCACACTGCCACACACAAATTTACCACGATACAAGGAGTTGCAGGGGCACAGCCATGGGGGACGGATAACACGGTACCGTCTCACAGGCAGCTTTGCAGTCACAAGCAAGAGGACACTGAGTCACACCTGAACATTAACAAACACTGTGCCCCCAAGCACGGACAGACACACACACGCATACTCAGATACCTGCGACACCAAGGATGAGGTACCCCAGGAACCAGCCCCAGGGATTTCCTGCTGTGGCCATCACGTCAGCACCTGGGGATGAGGACTGAGACTTAGCCGTGTCTGGGGATCTTCAGCCCAAGTCTCTCCATCCCTCTCTTTGTCCCTCCCTTTCTTCCCTCTGGGACGTTATTAGGTAGGCAAGAGCCTAGACCATCTACCCCCTCTCCCATCCATGGACCCAGAACCTAGAGAGACAGATTTAGAGACTGAGAGAGAAAAAGAGAGAGAGAGATGGGAAAAGAGAGAGAGAGAGAGAACTAGGTAGAAAGGAAAGTTTAGAGAAAGCATCTAGCCATCTGTGAATGGGGAGAGATGGTGTCTAGCCACCCACAAACAAGCATGGAGGGAAGACACACAGAGAATCAGAGCCGGAGAGACAGAGTGCTTGAGAGATATCCTCAGAGACAGTCTGAGAGTTAGACATGGAGATATAGATTCAGAGAGACAGAGAGACCCCTAACTAGAGACAGTGACTCCTAACTAGAGACAGTGAGAGATCTGTCTAGAGAGATGTGGAGACAGAAGGCACAGAGGCTGAGAATCCAGCGACATGGAGCTGTAGGGAGAGTTGGATCATGAACACTGCAGGCTTTTAGTGGGGGACCACCAGGCCTCTTACCCGGCCACCTCTGGGCTCCTGGATTCCACTGCTGGGCTGAGCTCCAGCCTGCTGCCTCCCGCAGGGGCCTCCTTGGGGCTTATAAGCATCCTCAGCCTGGGCTGGCCTGCCCCCAGGGGATGTGTTCCAGGGGTCAGGTGCTGCAAACTTCCAGCTCAACTCTCTCAGGCTGCCTCAACTCTGACCAGGCAGTGGTTGGGGGCCCAGAAGGGGCTGGCAGCAGGGTCTAGGGACCCAGGGAGGAGACCCCTGCCCAGATCCTAGACTCCACTCTCCTTTTTCTTTCTCTCTCTCTCTCTCATTCTTTCTCTTTTCATGTTCTTATTCTCTCTCATGAGATACCTCTCTCTTGCCTGTATCTCTCATTTTCTCTTTCTCTTCTTCTTTCTTTCTCTCATTCTCTCTCTCATTATTTTTCTCGTGTTTTCTTTCATTTCCTCTCATTCTCTCCTGTTCTCTCTCATGTTCTTTCTCTTTTTAAATTAAATCTCTCTCTCTCTCTCCCCTCCTCCTTCATCCCTCTCTTTCTGTGCTTCTCCAGCAAATTTCCCCAGGTTCGTATCCAGCCTACATCACGAACTATTTTTGGAACCTTGGGCAAGTGACTGCACCCCTGTGAGCCTGTTTTTCCAACTGTAAAACTGGAGTGACCATTATGCCCCATTTCCCAAGTGGATTCAAAGAGGTAATTCAGGGAAAGGCACACAGTGCCAGGCACATTGTAGGCTCTCGGTGAGCGGGAGAACTAAAAAGTCTTCGCTCAGTGAAAAGCAGCTGAGTGCCTACCACACTCCGAGCTCTGCGGCAGGTGCTGGGGCCACAGGAGGAACCAGCAAAGTCCTCGTCACTGGGGATCGCGTCCTACCCGGGGGCACAGACCATAAAGGAAAACTGCAGGGACCAGCATATAAGGTGGTGGTCGGGGAGACTCAGAGAAGGGGAACATTTAAGCTGAGATCCCAGGGAAGAGGAGGAGGAGGGTCGCCGCAGCAGGGGCGGTTGCGGGGTGCAGGGGAGAACTTGGCTCCAGCCAGAGGAGGGCAGGGCGGGTAGGAGGGCAGGGCGGGTAGGAGCGCAGACCGGGAACCGGGCGGGCCTGCAGGAGTTTACGTACCAGGATTAAGGAGCTTGGGTTTTACTTAAGTGCAATGGATTTTAAGCACGAGGATGGAGTGACATAATCTTATTTACTTTTTAAAAACTTCCAGCTTGGAGAGTGATGGTGGGGGCGGGGCGGGGGGCAGTGGCAACAGCCCAGGTGGGAGGTGACGGGGTCAAGGGAGAAGAGAGGTGAATGGACACGGGGTCCCCTCTGCATGTGGAGCCAAGTTACTGCCCGATGGATGGAAAGTGGGGGGCCAGGAGCAGAGGGGCCAAGGATGGCGTGGAGGCTTGGTCTGCTGGCTTGCGCTCTACGGATCTTGTGGAGACGCATAGGTGCGGGAAGGGGGGTGGGGGGTGAGAGGGTGCCGTAGACCGCGGAGGGTGCACGGAGGGGCAGGCCGAGGTCAGGACTGCCGAGAAACAGCGGGGACTCATCAGGGGAGAGGTGGTGTTTACAGCCACGAGGCCGGGTGAGATCATCCAAGGAGTGGGTGGGTGTAGACCGCGGAGCCGGCGCGGGTGAGGGATAGTGCCCGCAGGTGACCGCGACGAGGCAGGAATGTCTCTGTGTCTCTCTGTCTCTCCTGGGTCTCTAACACTCTTTCCTTCTCCTTCCTTACTTCTTTCCCCCACAGCCCACCCCGTGTGTCTGTCTCTCTTTCTCTCTGGCTCTCTTTTCCTCTGCCTCTCTGGTCCCATCTCTGTCTCTCTCCCCCTTGTCTCTGTTTCTCTCACCTGCCAGACTGGAAGCATCCCAAGTGAGACCCTCCCCCAACTCTGTCCTGGGCCCGTGCGCCCCCAGATAACTCTGGGCAGGACGGGACATAGGCTGGGACCACAGAACAGGAAGCCCTGGCAGGTTTCTGTCTCTGTCTCTCTTTTCCCTGTCCCTGTCCCTTTCTCTCTCTGATCCCTTCTCTCTCGCTCTCCCTCTGACCTCTGTCTGTGACCCTCTGATCTCTGTCTGTCTCTGTCTGCCCCTGTGTGTCTCTCTTTCCTCCTGTCTCTGTCTCACCTTGCCTTCTCTCTCTGTCTGTGTCTCTGCACCTGTGTCTGTCCATCTTTCTCTGTGTCTCTCTCCTCCCATCTCTGTCTCTGTCTGTGGCTCCGCACCTGTCTCTGTCCATCTTTCTCTGTGTCTCTCTCCTCCCATCTCTGTCTCTGTCTCTCTGTCTGTCTCCGCACCTGTCTGTCCATCTTTCTCTGTGTCTCTCTCCTCCCATCTCTGTCTCTGTCTCTCTGTCTGTCTCTGCACCTGTGTCTGTCCATCTTTCTCTGTGTCTCTCTCCTCCCATCTCTGTCTCTGTCTCTCTGTCTGTGTCTCCGCACCTGTGTGTCTGTCCATCTTTCTCTGTGTCTCTCTCTCCTCCCATCTCTGTCTCTGTCTCTCTGTCTGTGTCTCCGCACCTGTGTCTCTGTCCATCTTTCTCTGTGTCTCTCTCTCCTCCCATCTCTGTCTCTGTCTCTCTGTCTGTGGCTTCGCACCTGTCTCTGTCCATCTTTCTCTGTGTCTCTCTCTCCTCCCATCTCTGTCTCTGTCTCTCTGTCTGTGTCTCCGCACCTGTGTGTCTGTCCATCTTTCTCTGTCTCTCTCTCCTCCCATCTCTGTCTCTGTCTCTCTGTCTGTCTCCGCACCTGTCTGTCCATCTTTCTCTGTGTCTCTCTCCTCCCATCTCTGTCTCTGTCTCTCTGTCTGTCTCTGCACCTGTGTCTGTCCATCTTTCTCTGTGTCTCTCTCCTCCCATCTCTGTCTCTGTCTCTCTGTCTGTGTCTCCGCACCTGTGTGTCTGTCCATCTTTCTCTGTGTCTCTCTCCTCCCATCTCTGTCTCTGTCTCTCTGTCTGTGTCTCCGCACCTGTGTCTCTGTCCATCTTTCTCTGTGTCTCTCTCTCTCCTCCCATCTCTGTCTCTGTCTCTCTGTCTGTGGCTTCGCACATGTCTCTGTCCATCTTTCTCTGTGTCTCTCTCTCCTCCCATCTCTGTCTCTGTCTCTCTGTCTGTGTCTCCGCACCTGTGTGTCTGTCCATCTTTCTCTGTGTCTCTCTCCTCCCATCTCTGTCTCTGTCTCTCTGTCTGTGTCTCCGCACCTGTCTCTGTCCATCTTTCTCTGTGTCTCTCTCCTCCCATCTCTGTCTCTGTCTCTCTGTCTGTGGCTCTGCACCTTTGTCTCTGTCTATCTTTCTCTGTCTCCACTTTCCTCCTGTCTTCTCTCATGTTGCTCTGTCTTTGTTTTCCATGCGCTTCCAACACTTCTCCCTTCGCTCTCTTCATTGTGTCTCAACTCAAGTGTTACTTCTTCAGAGCCCTTCCCTGAGCCCTCCCCTAGTCTGATTCAGGGTCTTCACTCCCCTATTTGTTTTTTCATCTTATAGCATCCTACATGCTCCTTTAGAGAATTTGGTACAATGTATACACGTATTATTATGTGTTTCTTTTTCTTTTTTTTTCTTTTTTGTTTGTTTGTTTGTTTCTTTGAGATGGAGTCTCACTGTGTTACCCAGGCTGGAGTAGAGTGGTGCGATCTCTGCTCACTGCAACCTCCGCCCCCCGGGTTCAAGCGATTCTCCTGCCTCAGCCTCCCCAGTAACTGGGATTATAGGTGCCTGCCACCAATTCTGGCTAATTTTTGTATTTTTAGTAGAGATGGGGTTTCACCATGTTGGCTAGGCTGGTCTCAAACTCCTGACTTCAGGTGATCCGCCCACCTTGGCCTCCCAAAGTGCTGGGATTACAGGCGAGAGCCACCGCGCCCGTCTTGTGTGTTTATTTTTCTAGTAGCTGTTTCTTTCATTAGTGTGGGAGCCCCTTGGGGACAGGGCTGGTGTCTGTTATGTTCACTGATAAAAACTATTCACTGCAGATGTGTTGAGTGGATGGATAAAGGGAGATACAAAAATAGAGAGAGACAGACAGGAGAGGGAGAGATGAAGGCTGACGGAGAGAGAAAATAACAACAGACAACAATGGTAGCTTACTATTAATTAACCTTTAGAATATGTTAAATTAATTGTAAGGAGGTCAAGAACTTACCTTATGTCTGGCCCTCTTCTAAGTATTTTAAATGCAATAACAAATGTATTCCTCAAAAAAATCTAAGAAGTAGATGCTGCTATGAACTTTGTTTGACAGATGGAGAAACTGAGGCACAGAGAGGGTAAGTAGTTTACCAAGGTCACAGAAAGACTGAGGCCAAAAGAGAAGAACAGACAGAAGTGGGTAGATGGAGAGTAGGAGAGAGCTGGGAACACACTGAGAGATGTGGCCAAAAAGATAGGAAGACGCTGAAAGAGAGACACGTCTCAGGAATTAGGAATAATCATCACTTTAAAAATAATAAAATATCAGGTTGGGCGCGGTGGCTCACGCCTGCAATCCCAGCACTTTGGGAGGCTGAGGCGGGTGGATCATCTGAGGTCAGGAGTTCGAGACCAGCCTGGCCAACATGGCAAAACCCCATCTCTACTAAAAATACAAAAATTACCTGGGCGTGGTGGTGGGCCCCTGTAATCCCAGCAACTTGGGAGGCTGAGGCAGGAGAATTACTTGAACCCGGGAGGCAGAGGTTGCAGTGAGTCGAGATCGCGCCATTGCACTCCAGCCTAGGTAACAAGAGTGAAACTCTGTCTCAGAAAACAAACAAGTAATAATAATAATGATAAAATATCTAACATTTATCTATCACCTCTCTTCTAGTTGTCATGGTAACAATTTTATACAAGTTAACTAGTTTTAATTTTCATAACTCCCTGAGGTACTCATCATTATTCCCAATGTGATGAAAGAGGAAATGAACGCACAGAGAGGGCAAGCTACTTATTGAAGATCACACAGCAAAGCAGCCATGCACATGGGCTGCCTGACCCCAGAGCCCATATCTTGAGCTGTTATGCCACCTCTCTCTATAAGTCAGGAAACAGAAGCTGAAGCCAAAGGACAGGTGGGCCTTCCTGTAGATACACAGGTCATGGGGGCCCACCCTGGCCCACTATCCATCATCTGAGTCATCTGAGTTCACCCCCACCTGCGGATGAGATGCAGCCTCAGCCAGAGAAGCCAGGGAGTATTGCTGGGGAGGGGAGGGAATGCGGCCACAGACGGGGCCACCCGCCCACCGAGAGAGCCCGCTCTTACTGTATAACTGGAAGAACAAGCCCCTTCTACCTCCCATCCCCCTGGGGGCTGGCTGAGCCACAAGAGGCATGAATCTCTGGATGCAGTGGTGCCGCTGCACTAAGGCCCCGAGGCAGCCCCAGCCATCTCTGCTGAGGTGCCCAGAGCAGCCCTTAGGGAACTGACCCCTGAGTTTTCCTCAGTAACCTCAGGGAACTCCTGTCGGCTGGATTTGAACAAACCTCAAGGGTGGAAGAAGGCATCACTCTTGCTTTTTTTTTTTTTTTTTTTTTTTTTGAGATGGAGTCTCGCTCTGTCGCCCAGGCTGGAGTCCAGTGGTGGGATCTCGGTTCACTGCAACCTACTCCTCCCAGGTTCAAGCAATTCCCCTGCCTCAGCCTCCCGAATAGTGGGGATTACAGGCACACACCACCACACCCGGCCCATCCTTGCCTTTTATTCAATAACATAAGGCTACCTTGGGGCAGATTGTATTACACAAGAAAAGTCTTTTCCTTCCTTAGTATGGACGATAGGATATTCAGTAGGAAGAAAACTCAAAAGTCCTGGTGTGAGTGGCTCCTTTTCCTGCTCCGGTCTCAAGAGGAGAGAGGCTGGGACTGAATGGTGCAATCCTGGGATCTCCTCCAGAAGTGGGGAGGAGGATGGAGAGACGGACTTTGGGAGAAGGAAAGATGGAGCTCACTCCAGCATGAGGGAGGTGCAGGGAGGCAGAGAGAACACAGCCTGTTTGCCAGCAAGATGGGAGGATGGCTGTGGGCTGGGGGGACCACTCTGGGGAGGATCTTCTAGCCACTCTGCAGCAGCAAGTAGAAGAACCCCAGTAAATAATAAAGGAGGGCTGGGCACAGTGGCTAACGCCTGTAATCCCAGCACTTTGGGAGGCTGAGGCAGATGGATCACTTGAGCTCAGGGGTTCGAGGCCAGCCTAGGCAACATAGCAAGACCCCGTCACTACTAAAAATAAATTAGCCAGGCATAGTGGTGCACACCTGTCGTCCCAGCTACTCAGGAGGCTGAGGCAGGAGGAGGATCGCTTGAGCCCAGGAGTTCAAGGCTGCCGTGAGCCAAGATCACACCACTGCACTCCAGCCTGTGAGAGCAAAAACAAACAAGGCTGGGCATGGTGGCTCATGCCTGTAATCCTAGCACTTTGGGAGGCCAAGGCGGGTAGATCACCTGAGGTCAGGAGTTTGAGACCAGCCTGGCCAACATGTTGAAACCCCGTCTTTATTAAAAGTACAAAAAATTAGCCGGGCTTGGTGGTGCGTGCCTGTAATCTCAGCTACTTGGGAGGCTGAGGCACGAGAATCACTTGAACCCAGGAGGTGGAGATTGCAGTAAGCCAAGATCACGCCACTGCACTCCAGCCTAGCGACAGAGTGAGACTGTCTCACACACAAACTCACCAAAAAAAAAAAAAAATATCACCCCAAAACCCCACAAAAACCAAAGGAGCAGAAGTTATGATGGTGGCCTCATTAACCAAGGGCCTGGGCATCCCCCATTTTTCTAGCAGCAACCAAGCTGAGTCATCAGACATCACTCTACAGAAGAAGGAGGATGGATGGGACCCCAAAGTAGCTGTGACATTTCTTGCCAGGCAGATGGGGACAGGGGCAGTGGGCCTGGAGCAGACTGAAATCAATTAAGATCTAATTGTGCAGGCCATAGTGGGCAGGTGTGGTCAAGGGACTAGCTTTTAAATTTTATTTAGGTTTTTTTTTTTTTTTTTTAGATGGAGTCTTGCCCTGTCGCCCAGGTTGGAGTGCGGTGGTATAATCTCGACTCACTGCAACCTCCACCTCCTGGATTCAAGTGATTCTCCTGCCTCAGCCTCCCGAGTAGCTGGAAATACAGGCACACGCAACCACACCTGGCTAATTTTTTTGTACTTTTAGTAGAGACGGGGTTTCGCCATGTTGGCCAGGCTGGTCTCGAACTCCTGACCTCAAGTGATCTGCCCACCTTGGCCTCCCAAAGTGCTGGGATTACAGGTGTGAACCCTCGTGCCTGGCCTTATTTAGTTTTAATTAATTTAAATGTAAACACCCACACCTGATTCAGTTATTGGGAGAGTTTTAATTAAGTATGTTTGGAACAACGTGGGTGCGTGAATCATCTTTTTCAACTCTAAACTTTCTGGGCTCTGAATGCAGATCAAATATTTCTGAAAAAACTTAGCATCCAAATTGCAATGTGCTGGGAGTGTAAGTATATACACTGGATTTCGAAGAACTGGTGTGGAATAAAGAATGTAAATTCTCTTACTGATTTTTTTTTACATTGGTTACATGTGGAAATGACAAGTTTGGATATATCAAGTTTAATATGTTACTAAGATTAATTTTACCTGTTTCTTTTTCCTTTTTAAATTTATTTATTTATTTATTTTTGCAGAAACAGGGTCTCACTAGTTGCTTAGGTTGGTCTTGAACTCCTGGGCTCAAGTGATGTGCCTGCCTCAGCCTCCCAAAATGTTGGGATTACAGGCGTCAGGCACTGCACCTGGTCCAGGTTTCTTCTTAAATGTTCCCTCCTGACCACCTGTCTAGAATGGCTCCATCTCTTTACCCTGATTTTATTGTTATCAAGTATGTAAGTCTGTATTCATTTCATTTCCCATTGCTGCCGGAGTAACTACCACACGCTTAGTGGCTTAAAACAAAAGAGATGCATTCTCTTACAATTCCAGAGGTCATAAGTCCAAAGTGTCTAAAGTGGGCTAAAGTCAAAGTGTCAGTAGAACTGATTCCTTCTGGAGGCTTCAGAGGAGGCTCTGTTTCACCCTTGTTTCCAGCTTTAAGATGTCACCTGCCTACCTTGGCTGGTGGCCGCATCCTCCATCTTCAAAGCCAACAGTCGCCTGCATCATCCTGACCTCCGCTTCATGTACTCACCCTCCTTCTCTGACTGACTCTTCTGTCTCCCTCTTATGGGTGATCAAGGTGATCTTTGTGATCACCTGGAGCCCCCTCGGGTAATCCAGGATAATCTCCTCATCTCCAGATCATCCACTTAATCCATCTGCAAAGTCTGTTCTGCCACGTGAGGTCACATATGCACGGGGTCTGGGGATTGGGACATGGACATCTTTGGAGAGGGGGTATTATTCTGTGTACTCAAAAATCGCGGCATATTCAGTGATTTGCTCGTTTATTGTGCCTGCCTCTGCTAGACCATAAGCTCCATGAGGAACAAAACATGACCCTGTCAGGGTCACCATTGTATCCCCAATGCCAGGGACGATGCCTGGCACATAGTAGTTGATCAGTAAACATTCACTGAGGACTGGCCTGGTGCGGTGGCTCACGCCTGTAATCCCAGCACTTTGGGAGGCCAAAGTGGGCAGATCATGAGGTCAGGAGATCGAGACCAGCCTGGCTGACACAGTGAAACCCCGTCTCTATCAAAAATACAAAAAATTAGCCAGGCTTGGTGGTGGGCACCTGTAGTCCCAGCTACTCAGGAGGCTGAGGCAGGAGAATGGCGTAAACCCGGGAGGCAGAGCTTGCAGTGAGCCGAGATCGTGCCACTGCACTCCAGCCTGGGCGACAGAGCGAGACTGTCTCAACAAAACAAAACAAAGCAAAACAAAACCATTCACTGAGGACAAATGTTCCAAGGACAGAAAAATTCATGCTCTTATGAACAAGTGATTTACAGTAACAGAAACCGTTTTGAAATTGGCATTGCGTTTTACACTGATTAAGAGACGGACTCTGGAATACACACTTGTCATAGTTCAAATCTCTGCTCTGCCATTCACTAGCCGGGCAACCTTAGGCAAATCGTACTTTCTCTGTGCCTCGATTCCTTATCCGTGAAATGGGGATAGTTACAGTAGTTGTCTCATAGAATGTTAGAAGGATTAAATGAATTAGTACATACAAGGCAGTTAGAACTCTGCCAGGCGCAAAGGAAGTGCTTCATAAGCGTTAGCTTTCATTGTCATTGTTAATATTATTCTGCAAATATCTGAAATGATATTTAACAAAACATGATGCAAACCCAAGCATAGGGGATTCGTTTGTAGTTCCAAATAGATTAAACATCTCAGCAACACTTTGGAAGATTCTTATTGTCTCCACCTTGAGCTCACCATGAACTCAAGGAGCGAGAGAATACAGTCCGTACAAGTTGTGAATCCTGAAAATCTGAGACAGGTCTCAGATTTTTCAGAAAGTTTATTTTGCCAAGGTTGATGACGTGTGCCCGTGACACAGCCTCAGGAGGTCCTGACGATGTGTGCCCAAGGTCAGCAGAGCACAGTTTGGTTTCGTACATTTTAGGAAGGCATGAGACATCAATCAACATATATAAAATGAACATTGGTTTGGTCTGGAAAGGTGGGACAACTCGAGCGGGGAGGGGGCTTCCGGGTCAAAGGTAGATAAGAGACAAACGGTTGCATTCTTCTGAGTTTCTGATTAGCCTCTCCAAAGAAGGCAATCAGCTGTGCATTTATTTATTTATTATTATTATTATTATTATTATTATTATTATTATTTGAGATGGAGTCTTGCTCTGTTGCCCAGCCTGGATTGCAGTGGCGTGATCTTGGCTCACTGCAACCTCCACCTCCCAGGTTCAAGTGATTCTCCTGCCTCAGCCTCCCGAGTAGCTGGGACTACAGGTGCCCGCCACTAAGCCTAGCTAATTTTTTTGTATTTTTAATAGAGACAGGGTTTCACCATGTCAGCCAGGATGGTCTCAATCTCCTGATCTTGTGATCTGCCCGCCTCAGCCTCCCGAAGTGCTGGGATTACAGGCGTGAGCCACCGCACCCCGGCCAGATATGCATTTATCTCAGTGAGTAGAGGGTGGGTTTGAATAGAATGGGAGTCTGGTGGGCTCTAAGCAGTGCCCAGCTGGACTTTTCCCTTTAGCTTAGTAATTTTGGGGGCCCCAAGATTTATTTTTCTTTCACGAACTCATTTCAAAACTGAGTCTGGATTTCATTCTCCTAGCTTGACAAATTCAGCTGCCAAATTGCTGATTAAAAGCAGATTTCCTTCTTAAAGGGGAAAGCCATGGTTTTTTTCTGAAAGGAGAGGAGAAAGCCTTATCGTTTCTGTTTCATAAAAGGAAACTTTCATGAACTGCTTCCTGGCTCCTCTGGTTATGGAGTGAAATTCATTGCAATTTCTTAGGATCTCTACCCGGGCCACCCACAGAGGGCTCTTGAACAACATGCAGGCTGCAGACACATCTGGCCTGTCTCGTAGAGTCTGGACTTTTTTGTTTGCTTGTTTGTTTGTTTGAATGGATCACGAGCATTAAAAGGTCAAGAGATTGCAAGTTTCTCTTGAAAAGGCCACGGTATCAGTCAATATCACGCCTGCATTCCCACGTGGCCATAATCCAGCATCAGCAGGTGCTGAGTGGCCACCCCGGGGGCACCCTGTGGTTTTCCTTGGCCCACACACAGTCAGCTTCCCTCATTTATACTTCCTGCCTGGCCCCAGGAGGTGGCTGAGTTTGTGACCTCGGTGGAGAAAAAAGCATGGACACACAGAGACATGGATATAAAGAGATCAGAGGGAAAGAAAGTCACAAATAACGAAACAACACCACAAAAGGAGTCATCCATCACCCTGACCATGAACATCATCATCATAGCTACTCTTGTAACGTACTTTATCTTGTGCCAGGCATTATTCTAGGCTCTTTGTAAATGTGAACTCATTTAATCTCCATGAGGTGGGAACTATTATCACCCTCACTTTATAGATTTAAACAAAGAGTCACAGAGAAGCTCCCGGGTTGTTTGCAGAAAACAGCGGGCAGGTGAGAGCGCTGGGCTGGGCACTCCCCAAGCTCGGAGCAAGTGCGCCTACAACTGTGCAATACTGCCACCTAGTGGAGCCGGAGAGACATACTCGGGGAGGACTAAAGGTTGTGGGCCCAGGGTTCTCTTGCGCCAGTCACCCTGGGCCGCAGCATCCGGCTCAGGATCCAGAAACGGGAGCAGAGGTGGCAGGAAGCAGGGCTGGCCGCCACCAGAGCTTTCCACCTGGGGACACCAAGTCATGGTCCTGACTTTGGGTCTCTCAGATGTAAAGGGAGGGGTTCAAGCGTGACATCAGGCGAGGGCTGAGTGTCTGGCCTCATGGTCGGCTTTCCTCAGCTGAGGATAGCGACATCGCATGGGTTTATGTGAAGTTTCAATGGGGACGTCCACACAACACGTTGGACACACAAGAGCCCGGCAAATGGTATCTCCAATTATTGCTATGAATACAATGAAGTCACATGGTGACCTTGGTTGCCCTTCGCCATCTCCCGCTCCGCTGTGCACCCATATAGTCAAATAACAACCATGCAGATAATAATAATAATTAACTTCTCACATAATTGAGTGGCTATAGTCATTTTTTAAAAATAGAGACAGGGTCTCACTACGTTGCCCAGGCTGGTCTTCAACTCCAGGCCTCAAACCGTCCTCCCACCTCGGCCTCCCAAGTGCTGGGATTACAGGTGAGTCACTGCACCCAGCAGATTCTTTAACTTGAGTTGTTGTACTTAATATTATAGGATAAAATCATAAGCCTGTCTTAAAAAAAAAATGGTGCAGGGCCGGGCATGGTGGCTCATACCTGTAATCCCAGCACTTTGGGAGGCAGAGGTGGGCGGATCACCTGAGGTTGGGAGTTTGAGACCAGCCTGACCAACATGGAGAAACCCTGTCTCTACTAAAAATACAAAATTATCCAGGCGTCGTGCTGCATGCCTGTAATCCCAGCTACTCCGGAGGCTGAGGCAGGAGAATTGCTTGAACCCGGGAGGCAGAGGTTGCGGTGAGCTGAGATGGTGCCACTGCACTCCAGCCTGGGCAACAAGAGTAAAACTCCATCTCAAAAAAAAAAAAAAAAAAAAAAAGTGCAGATCCCCAGCGCTCTCACCTGCCACTCTGTTGTCTGCAAACAATCAATTTCTGAATTGATTTCTTTCCCCATTTGAAAAGGAAATCAGCTTTTCTCCGCAAAATTCTCACTGGCTAGATTTGTTAGATTGGGGAAAGGTGAGAAGAAAGCAAATCTTTGTTTGGTTCCACACTTACTGAAGTGGGAGAACACTGCCGCTAATTGGTAACACATGCTAAGTGTGTGTGCTGTACCATAGTCTTAAGGGATTTGCAGGAATGAACTTGTTTATATTCCCAGCCACCCTAGGAAGTTGCTACTGTTTCTATCGCCACTATAAATAGGAAGAAACTGAGGCAAAGGGAGATTAAAGTTATTTTCTAAGTCAAGGTGCCATGGTTCACACCTTTAATCCCACCTTTAATCCTGGGAGGCGAGGAGGGAGGATTGCTTTAGTCCAGGAGTTCGAGGCCAGCCTGGGCAATATAGTGAGACCCTTTCTCTATTAAAAAAATTTTTTAAGTCATTTTCCAAGGTCACACAGTAAGGAGCAGCCAGGTTTGGACACAGGGACTCTGGCACAAGTGTGTGTGTGTAACATCATTTCTATTTAATTTTTTGAATAGAAAATATTTTCGGCCAGGCACTATGGCTCATGCCTGTAATCCCAGCATTTTGGGAGGCCAAGGTGGGTGGATCACTTGAGGCCAGGAGTTCAAAACCAGCCTGGCCAACATGGCGAAACCCTGTCTCTACTAAAAATGCAAAAGTTAGCTAGACATAGTGATGCGTGCCTGTAATCCCAGCTACTTGGGAGGCTGAGGCAGGAGAATCGCTTGAACCTACGAGGCGGAGGTTGCAGTGAGCTGAGATCGCGCCACTGGACTCCAGCCTGGGTGACAAAGTGAGACTCCATCTCAGAAAAAAAAAAAAAAAGAAGAAAATATTTTTACATGGTAAAAAAATATGTTTATAAAAAATACAGAGTGATAAACCTCCACCTAACTTTGTTCCCCAACCTGTCCTGTCTTCATCCCTCTTCAAAACACAAAAACTAGAATATGTTTTTTTGGATCATCTTCCAGGATTTTGTGGCACAGGGACAGATGCATACAAAGATGTGTTTTTATTTTTTTTTCTCTTGCCTTTAGCCACCAGGCTGGGTTTCGCACCAAGAAACGTGTCTCCCGGAGCTTAGACCACTTGGTGAATTCTCTTTCTTGTTATCAGAATTGAAGACCTGTAATGCCTGGTTAGTGTCAAGGTTTGTGAAACACTGTTTGGATAATTACACAAGTTATAAAACAATAGCTGGTGTGAAAATTACAGATGATTCATAATTACACATATGGCTGTCAAGCTTTCTGCTAGAGAGTCTTTCAGCCTGCGAGAACTCAGTGGGAGGAACTTTTTTTTTTTTCCTAAAGGGATCTCATTGCTCATTCTGCAATGATTAGAGCTGGCCAGAAAATAGACACTGGCAATACAGCAAATAAAGTCGAAGGGAAAATGCAATCAGAGAGATCTAGGAGGACGACAATATTTTTTACTGAGCACTTCCGATATGCCAGACACATTTTTATTATGACATTTTATTTTGAAACAGTTCAAAACTCACAAAAATTGCAAACTAGTGCAATAATGCCCATGTACCCTTCATCCAGATTCTCCCAATGGTAACATTTTTTATAAGGATAGTACACTGTCAAAACTAGGAAAACATCGTTGATACCATGCTGTTAACTCACATAGAGACCTTATTTGGATTTCATCATTTTTTACATCTCTCTCTCTGTCTCTCTCTCCACCCCATCCCCACCATCTGTTTGTCTCTGTTTCTCTCTGTCTCTCTTTTCATGTATCTAGTTCTTATAGCTCTATAGATAAAGGTAACCATCACCACAGTTGGGATACAGAACTACTTCATCACCATAAAGAAATTTTCAGGCTGGGCGTGGTGGCTCATGCCTGTAATCCCAGCACTTTGGGAGGCCGAGGTGGGCAGATCATCTGAGGTCAGGAGTTCGAGACCAGCCTGGCCAACATGGTGAAACCCCGTCTCTACTAAAAATACAAAAATTAGCCGGGCGTGGTGGCGCACACCTGTCATCCCAGCTACTCAGGAGGCTGAGGCAGGAGAATCGCTTGAACCCGGGAGGTGGAGTTTGCAGTGAGCCGAGATCATGCCACTGTACTCCAGCCTGGGCAACAGAGCAAGGCTCCATCTCAAAAAATAAAATAAAATAAAATAAAAAATAAAATAAAATAAGGGAAATATTTTTAAATTGCAATTTTAAAGATATTTTAAGTTCTGTGGACTATATGGTTTCTGTTATCAACCAGTCAACTCTGCTTCATCGAACAACTCATACTCAATACATACATGAATAAGCATGGCTGTGTTCCAATAAAACTTTATCTACAAAAGCAAAACAAAACAAAACAAAAGACCACCTTTGAGTTGGTCACAAACTTTGTGAAACATCATTGAGTCAGTTGCGTAAGTTATACAACAGTGACTAAGTGTGAGAACTAGTGATGACTCCCTTCATTGTTATCAGTGGAGATAGATGATGCAGACCTGGCTTATTTCTTAAGGTGCACTGTTTCAAAAAGCTACAAAAACTCAGGACAAGCTCCTAATTGTGAAGATGAACAATTTCACTCATCTTGGTCTACTGCCTTGCAGGGGTGTTTTGGTAGAGTGGTTTCTCGACAGTTTTTCTTGAAACCCAAATCCAAATCCAAAGCTTTGCTGAGTAATCCATTATCCTTGAAACAACCCCGTGAAGTTGTACTATTATTCTTGCATTTGTACTATTATTCTTGTATTTTGGCTCGGAAGACTGTGTGCCTAGCTGCTCTGCTATCCTGTCTCTGTCCAGCACACACATACACACACACGCACGCGCGCACGCACACAAATGTCAACATTGGTTTCCTCTGGTTGGTGAGATCATGGGGTGTTTTTTCATTTTTGTTTTTTGAGACAGAGTCTTGCTCCTTCGCTCAGGCTGGAGTGCAGTTTTGTGATCTCGGCTCACTGCAACCTTCACCTCCGGGGTTCAAGTGATTGTTCTGCCTCAGCCTCCCCAGTAGCTGGAATTACAGTCTCCCACCACCATACCTGGCTAATTTTTGCATTTTTGTTAGAGACAGGGTTTCACCATGTTGGCCAGGCTGGTCTCGAACTCCTGGCCTCAAGTGATCTGCCCACCTTGGCCTCCCAAAGTGCTGGGATTACAGGCGTGAGCCACTGCACCTGGCCCAGGCTGGGGTTTTTATTATCAGAAACTGCTAGACTTTTTCCCGAAGCGGTTGAACCATTTGACACTCCCTTCAACCAGGTATGAGAGTTCGAGGTGCCCCACGAAGTGTGCAACATCTTGGCGTTTTCATCTTATTTATTTTTATTGAATTTATTGTAGTTTTTTGTTATTTAGTTTTTATTTCATAATCATAAACTTAACTCTGCAATCCAGCTAGGCATGGAAGGGAACAAGGAAAACATGGAACCCAAAGGGAACTGCAGTGAGAGCACAAAGATTCTAGGATACTGCAAGCAAGTGGGGTGAAGGGGTTCTCTCCCAAGCTACAGAAGGAATGGTCTGGTCGTTAAGATAAAATACAAGTCAAACTTAGAGTTGTTCACAGTCAGCAATGGTGATCTCCTTGCTGGTCTTGCCATTCCTGGGCCCAAAGTACTCCATGGCCTCCACAATCTTCATGCCTTCTTTCACCGTGCCAAAGACCACGTGCTTGCCATCCAACCCCTCAGTCTTGGCAGTGCAGATGAAACACTGGGAACAATTTGTATTGGGTCCAGCATTTGCCATGGACAAGATGCCAGGCCCTGTATGCTTTAGGATGAAGTTCTCATCATCAAATTTCTCCCTGTAGAGGGACTTGCCACCGGTGTCTTTATGGCGTGTGAAGTCACCACCCTGACACATAAACCCTGGAATAATTCTGTGAAAGCAGGAACCCTTATAACCAAATCCTTTCTCTCCAGTGCTCAGAGCATGAACCTTTTCTGCTGACTTTGGAAACTTATCTGCAAACAGCTCGAAGGACACGTGGCCTAAGGGCTCTCCATCAACGGCGATGTCAAAGAACACGGTGGGGTTGACCGTGGCTGATAGTACAGGACTCGCAGCGGCAGTGTCTGCAAAGCCTATTTTAATTTTTTAAAACCGATCTGATGGGTGGGTGGTAGCGTCTAATTGTGGCTTGAATTGGATTTCCTCTCATGACGAAAGAAGTTGAGCATTGTTTCGTGTGCTTTATGGCCCTTTGTATGTCTGCTGTTGTCAAGTGGACCTGTGTACACCGAGAGCTGACCCACTCGTGTATCAGTTCTGTGGGGCTGCTGTAACGAACTAGCACAAACTGGGTGGCTTTAAACAAAAGAAATGTATTCTCTCAGAGCTCTGGAGACTGTAAGTCTGAAATCAAGGTCCCCATGGTGTCGGCAAGGCCACACGCCCTCAGGCTCTGCGTAGAGTCTTTCCTGGCTTCTGTTGACGGCTGCTGACCACTGGCCTTCCCTGGCTGGCAGCTGCAATACTCCAATCTCTGCCTCTCTCTTCACATGGCCCTCTCCCTTTGTGTCTGTCTTCATATTTTCTTCCCTGTTTTTATAAGGACACCAGTCATACTGGATTAAGAGTCCACCATACTCTAGTAAGACTTCAACTACTTATACCTGAAATGACTGTATTTCAAACTAAGATCACATTCTGAGGTCCTGGCGATTAGAACCTCAACATATCGGCTGGGCGCGGTGGCTCACGTCTGTAATCCCAGCACTTTGGGAGGCCGAGACAGGTGGATCACCTGAGGTCAGGAGTTCAAGACCAGTCTGGCCAACATGGTGAAACCCCATGTCTACTAAAAAAAAAATACAAAAACTAGCCAGGCGTGGTGGTGGATGCCTGTAATCCCACCTACTTGGGAGGCTGAGGCAGGAGAATTGCTTGAACGTGGGAGGCGGAGGTTGCAGTGAGCCAAGATTGCACCATCCACTCTAGCCTGGGTGACAAGAGCAAAACTCCATCTCAAAAAAAAAAAAAAACAAAAAAAACAAAACAAAACAAAACAAAAAAACTTCAACATATCTTTTTGTGGGGGAACACTTCAACCTATAACATTATGGATTCAGTAGCCTGCCCTTTAAATAATGTCCAGGCTCTAGGCTACATCTCAGATGCGTCAGTGATGCATTCCAAAAGTGGTAGTGTTACCATGCAACCAGTGGGCTCACAGCCCCATGTGCATAGAGGCCAATACCATAGCACCGGCTTTTGAGAAAAGAAAAACTTAATTGCACGTTGATCAGCAAAAGGACATAGGAGGAAATACCTGACTCTGTCTCCCTGAGCTGGGGGCTGGAGCAGGTTTTATAAGCATGGAGTAAGGAGGCGTGATCTGATTGGATCTGGCAATAAGGTGATGCTGGAGAAGCATGATCTGACTGGATCCTGCCATGGGGTGACACCAAGGCTCAAATCTGATCGGATCCTGGATCCTGCCATGCAGTGTCAGCTTCTTAATTCAGTCCCTGCTCCTCCATCCAAGCACTTTGGTTCCCCCTGTGGTTGCACGCATGGTTCATCTGGGTGTACTCAGGTTATATGACCTGAAATACCATGGCAACTGAAAAACATCTCACAACTTTGTTACATAAAAGTGGAACCAGGCTGGGCACAGTGGCTCACACCTGTAATCCCAGCATTTTGGGAGGCCGAGGCAGTTGGATCACCTGAGGTCCGGATCACCTGAGGTCAGGAGTTTGAGATTAGCCTGGCCAACACGGTGAAACCCCGTCTCTGCCAAAAATACAAAAAAACATCGCTGGGCATGGTAGCACGCACCTGTAATCCCAGTTACTCAGGAGGCTGAGGCAGAAGAATTGCTTGAACCCGGGAGGTGGAGGTGGCAGTGAGCCGAGATCGTGCCACTGCACTCCAGCCTGGGCGACAAAAGTGAGACTCTGTCTGAAAAAAAAAAAAAAAAAAAAAGTGAAACCAGATTGGTCTGTGCCAACTCTGGGGCAGGCACTGTGCATGAGGTGGAATTGTCATCTTGGTGTTACAGGTGAAGAGTGTGACCTATACACCATGGCTCAGAGAGGTCAAGGAACTTGCCCAAAACTAGACAGCTGGGAATGGCTCGCAGGATTGTAGGACTCCAAATTTCTTTTTCTTTCTTTTCTTCTTTTTTGAGACGGAGTCTCGCTCTGTCACCCAGGCTGGAGTGCAGCAGCACGATCCTGGCTCACTGCAACCTCCGTCTGCCAGGTTCAAGCGATTCTCCTGCCTCAGCCTCACAAGTAACTGGGATTACAGGCGCCCGCCACCACGCCCGGCTAATTTTTTGTGTTTTTAATAGAGACGGCGTTTTGCCATGTTGGCCAGGCTGGTCTTGAACTCCTGACCTCAAGTGATCCACCGGCCTCGGCCTCCCAAACTGCTGGGATTACCGGCGTGAGCCACCGCGCCCGGCCCTGGATTCCAAATTTCATGCCCCTCCCACAACTTTCCCAGGTCCCAGTTCAGTTCTTGCAAAGGCCTCCAGGTGGCGCGATAGAGCAAATGGTGGATTCCGCTAACTTGGGTTTACAATTTCTTCCTGGGAGGCTTGCAGGGTGGGGCACTTACTTGAACGTGCACACGAAACACCAGGGGATCTTATGGAAATGCCGCTTCTGGTTCAGTTGGTCTGGAGTGGGACTGTGTTTTTTAATATGCTTCCAGGGCATGTCGCTTCAGCTTTGAGCAGCAAGAGCTTCATTCAGTGGGATAAACAGCCCTCGCCACACCTGTGCAGGCAGCCAACTCCAGAACAGTAACTAATGACGTTCATGACAATCACAGAAACAACGATTTCCACATGTTTATTCTGTGCCGGCCTCTGTGTTCTTGTCTTTGCCTTTATGCGCATTCTCTCCTTTAATGCTCAAGGCAGTCTCATGAAGTAGCATCATTTTACAGAATAGGAAACAGGTAGGATTGAACCAGTCTGTGTCTATTGCACCCCTTCCCTTTTTCCTACAGGATAGATGCCATCCCTGGGGGACTCAGCCCAAGGCATGGGGGAAGAGAGGCCCGGGCTCTGGGGGATTGGCTGCAAGGCCAAGCGGTGGGACGAGGCCGCTTAGGCAGCGGGATTGTGGGGATTAGGAGGAAGAGTGAGATCAATAATATGCAAAGGGCCGGGCACGGTGGCTCACGCCTGTAATCCCAGCACTTTGGGAGGCCGAGGTGGGCAGATTGCTTGAGGTCAGGAGTTCGAGACCAGCCTGGCCAACATGGTGAAACCCCGTCTCTACTAAAATACAAAAAAATTAGCCGGGTGTGGTGGTGAGCACCTGTAATCCCAGCTACTGGGGTTGGGGGTGTTGCTGAGGCAGGAGAATCACTTGAACTCGGGAGGCACAGGTTGCAGTGAGCTGGGATCGTGCCGCTGCCCTCCAGCCTGGGCAACAGAGCCAGACTCCTCTCAAATAATAATAATAATAATAATAATAATAATAATAATAATAATAATATAATAAAATAGAAAGATCTGCAAAGTAACCCCAGATCCTGCACTACCTCCCTTACAACTCTCACCAAAGGAATCCTTTCTCTCTCTCTCTCTTTCTCTCTCTCTCCCTTTCATTTCTCCCTCTCTGTTTGCCCTTCTCTTTCCAGATCTCTCTCTGGGTCTCTTTCTCTTCATCTCTCCTCCTCCCTCCCTCCTTTCCTTCCTCAATCCTCTTGCTCTCCCTATGTCCTTCTTCCATCACTTTCTCTATGATCAGTGTTTCAGTCTCTTCTCTCTCTCTGTTTCTCTCTCTCTCTTTGAATGTCACCAAAGCTAGCTCTTCCCCTCTTTCTGAATCTTTCTCTACCCTCCCCACCCCCAGTCTCTTTAAACTTGAGTCTTTCTGTTGAGGTGGTATGAGCCTACAGTCCCAGCTACTCCAGAGGCTGGGGTGGGAGGATCCCTTGAGCCCAGGAGTTTGAGTCCAGCCTGGGCAACATAGCAAGATTCTGTCTCCAAAAAAAAAAAAAAAAATCTGAGTCTGTTTGTCTCACTCTCCCCAAGTTTCTCTCTTTAAGTCTCTCTGAGTCCATCTGCCTTAAATCTATTCCAGTATATCTCTCTGTTCCTCTCTTTCTTCCTTTTCCTCCCTTCCTCTCTCCCTCCTTCCTCTCCCCTCCAAATCTGTCTCTCTCCATCTCTCTCTGTCTTTACATCTGTTTGAGTCTCTTTCTTTTCTTTTCTTTCTTCTTTTTTCTTTTCTTTTTTTTTTTTGAGATGGAGTCTCGCTCTGTTGCCTAGGCTGGAGTGCAATGGTGCAATCTCAGCTCACTGCAACCTCTGCCTCCTGGATTCAAGTGATTCTCTGGCCTCAGCCTTCTGAGCAGCTGGGATTACAGGCACCCACCTACATGCTTGGCTAATTTTTGTATTTTTAGTAGAGACAGGGTTTCACCATGTTGGCCAGGCTGGTCTTGAACTCCTGACCTCAGGTGATCAGCCCGCCTCGGCCTCCCAAAGTGCTAGGATTACAGGTGTGTGAGTCACCGCACCTGGCCAAGTCTTTCTTTCTTTAAAGTTCTCAGAGTCTCCCTACTTCCCCCATTCCTACCCCTTCACCTCACATCCTTATGGCTTTGGCCCTATGTACCTATGTTTGCTTTCGCTGGCTCAATCTAGTGTTGTGGTTACCGGCACGGGCTTAGGACTCCTACGCCCTTGACTCAAATTCCGGCTCTGCCAAGTACCGGCTGCAGAAATTGAGCCAAATGCACCAAACCTCCCTGCTCCTCAGCCTCCTGGCTGGCTGAGGGCCTCCCTCCTAAGGTTTCTGTCAGGACCAGGAGGAATAAGCATGCAATGAATGCAGTGAGGTGTCTGGCACTGGATGAATGGTAGATGTTGTCATCATCATCATTATTATTATTACTAATAAAAGGTAACCCACAGCCAGCCTCTCTGTAGCCAACAATTAGATGCTTATCTGGTGTGTGGAATGCAGGGGGGGAGGGCCCTCCCACCAATAAAATTGGGGCCACTCCCTGACCTCGGTTTCTCGCCAGGATCAACCACCCCAAGAGCGAGGACCGGGTGGAGGATGTGCCAGCTTTCTGAGCCACACCTGCTGACACTTTTCGCCCTCAGTCAAAGCCTATCTGAGATCTTCAGCCAATTCTGTGCATTTCATTTTTTTTTCTTTTATAAAAAGTGGTTTATCTATTTCCCTTTTTATTTTAGAGACAGGTCTTACTATGTTGCCCGGGTTGGTCTTGAACTCCTGGGCTCAAACGATCCTGCTGCCTTGGCTTCCCAAAATGCTGGGATTACAGGTGTGAGCCACAATTTTGTACATTTCAGAGAGGTATGTATTCAAGTGAGAATCAGCCACCGCTGGGTTACATTAAGTGTCTGGTTTAGCAAGTCAGGGATATAAAACAGCATCAGAAGGTGGCCACAGTGAGCAGGAACCACAACACACAAACACACACACACACTAGTCTCACGGGTGGCTCAGCCCCAGGTCAACATCCATTCAAGCTATGGCTTGACAATTTGACAAGCTACTTTTTACTCCATTTATAGCTTAGGTGAAGAGGTTGAATATTAAATGCATTATTATCATCACTGGTTCAAACAGATTCCTTTCTTCATTTTCTTTTCTTTTCTTTTCTTTTTTCTTTTTTTTTTTTTTTTAAGATGGAGTTTTGCTCTTCGTGCCCATGCTGGAGTACAATGGTGCGATCTTGGCTCACCGCAACCTCTGCCTCATGGATTCAAGCGATTCTCCTACCTCAGCCTCCCAAGTAGCTGAGATTACAGGCATGCGCCACCATGCCTGGCTAATTTTTTGTATTTTTAGTAGAGGTGGGGTTTCTCCATATTGATCAGGCTGGTCTCGAACTCCTGACCTCAGGTGATCTGCCCACCTCAGCCTCCCAAAGTGCTGGAATTACAGGCATGAGCCACCATGCCCGGCCCCTTTCTTCATTTTCTCTCTCTCTTTCTGTGCCTTCTTTTCCTCCCTCCCACTCTCCCTCAGTCCTACAAAATGTGCAGTGTGGTTCTTATGTATGAGTGAATGTGTGACTTTAATTTACTTAACTGGCATTAGGTGATATTCTTACTCTATCCTAAGCCACTTTGCAAATAGCACTATGTTTTTAAGGCCCACCCGTGTTGTTACGTGTTCATACATGTGTTCGTTGCATCTGACTTCTGCATAGGAACTTCATGGCGGGACGTCCACCACATTTACACAATTCCCCTACTGATGGGCACTTGGTGGCTTCCAGTTTCTGGCCACTGCAAAGAACACTGCAAAGCACAAGCTTGTACGTGTCCCCTTGTGGGTGTGTAAGAATTTCTTTGGGATGTGTAGCCAGGAGAGAAATCGCTGAGTCATTGGGTGTGTGTATACTTGTTTGATGAAATAGCATCAGCTCCGTCTTCATAATTGGAGACACCACACTCAACCCAGTTGCACTTGAACATTCGAATGTCTACACATCCCTGACAGCCCTTGACCTTGTCTGCCCTTCTCAAAATGAGAAGACTACTTGATGTAAAGTCACATCTCAAGTTACAGTATCTAAAAAGTTTGAACATCTCTCTCTCTTTTTAGAGACCAGGTGTCAGTCTGCGATCACAGCTCATGGCAGCCTCCCAGGCTCAAGTGATCCTCCCACCTCAGCCTCAAGAGTAGCTGGGACCACAGGCTGACACCACCATGCCTGGCTAATTTTATTTTATTTTTTATTTTTTATTTTTTTTTGAGACGGAGTCTCGCTCTGTTGCCCAGGCTGGATTGCAGTGGCGTGATCTCGGCTCACTGCAAGCTCCGCCTCCCGTGTTCACGCCATTCTCCTGCCTCAGCCTCCCGAGTAGCTGGGACTACAGGCGCCCGCCACCACGCCTGCATGCCTGGCTCATTTTTAATATTTTTTTATAGAGGCCGTGTTTCGCCATGTTGCCCAGGGTGTTCTTGAACTCCTGAGCTCAAGTGATCCGCCTGCCTCGGCCTCCCGAAGTGCCGGGATTACAGGCACGAGCCACCGCGCCTGGCCTTGAACATCTCTATGTGCATGTTAGCTTTTGGAATTCTGCTTCTGCAAATCACCTCTTTGTAGCTTTTATCCATTTACCTATAAGGATATCCATATTTTTTCTCATTAATTCACAGGTGCTTCTTGCATATTACAGGTTCTAGTTCTTTGTCCATTTTGGATGTTACAAATAACTTCTCCCATTCTGATAAATGCCTATGAATCGTCCTTACCTTCTCTTAAACCAAAGTGTTTAATTTTAAAATAATCAAACTAATCAATGTTTTGTCATATGATGTGTGTTTTTTTTAGGTCTTAAGAAGTCATCCCCTATCACAGAGATTCAAAAATAGGCCGGGTGTTGTGGCTCATGCCTGTATTCCCAGCACAGGGATGCCAAGGCAGGAGGATCACTTAAGGTCAGTAGTTTGAGACCAGCCTGGCCAACATGGCAAAACCCCCATCTCTACCCAAAAATAGAAAAAGCAGCTGGACGTAGTGGCATGTGCCTGTAGTTACAGCTACTTGGGAGGCTGAGGCATGAGAATCGCTTGAGCCGGGGAGGCAGAGGTTGTAGTGAGCCCAGATCATGCCACTGCACTCCAGCTTGGACGATAGAGTCTTCAAAAAAATAAAAAAATAAATAAAATAAATATATATTCACCATGATTTTTTCTATTAATTTTATAATATTATCTTTCAGTGGTCTTTAATACAGCTGGAATCCAATTTCATGTGTAGTATTAGAAATCTAGGTTTCTTTTTCTCTGCACAGCAGACGAGTTTTTCTAATGCCACTTACTAAATATACCATCATTCTCCCACTAATTTGTGTTGATATTTTATCTTATATTAAGTCCCTAATATATTATATGATGATACATCAGTTTCCTATGATTCTCTTTCTGGGACCTCTCTCCTGCCTCTCTGGTCTACTTGTCTGTTCTTGCACTGATCCCACCCTTTTTTAAAAACACTGATTTTGTTTTGTAGCATGTCTTAATATCGAGTAGGGCGAGGAGCTTATTTCTTGCACCGCCACAGCCGCATTTTTCTCACCACTTACATCACCATGCAGGAAATACACTGATCTCCTCCACCCTTAATGGGAACAATTTACAGACATCTGTCCCCTCCTGGTTCTGGATCCAGCCTCCATGTTAAAAAGACATCTTCATCCAGGAAAAGAAAGTCAAGGCTGCCCAGGAAAATCTGCACAATGTCTTAGCTCATCTTTCAGTTTCCAGAAGCTTCATTTCCCATACCATCCTCTCTATATCGGCATATAGAAAACCAACTACGGTAGCCCGGACACCCAAGATTGTATTCTGCCTGTTCCAAGCCCAGATGTAGGAAGTCCATGCATGGAGCTCCGAAGGAAATCATCAGAAATGTGAGCTGCTTTCTGTAATCCCATCTTTATCCTGCGGCTTTTATTCTCATCATGCAAGGTGGCTGGTCCGTCTCCAGGCACCCATATTCCAGGTGAGAAGAGGTGGAAGGGAAGGTCCAAAGGTCCAAACATTACTCTCTCTCTCCTATTTATTTATTTATTTATATTTTTTATTTTTTTAAGACAGAGTCCTGCTCTGTCGCCCAGGCTGGAATGCAGTGGTGCGATCTCGGCTCACTGCAACTTCCACCTTCCGGGTTCAAGCAATTCTCCTGCCTCAGCCTCCTGAGTAGCTGGGATTACAGGTGCCCACCACTGTGCCCAGCTAATTTTTGTGTTTTTAGTAGAGATGGGGTTTCATCATGTTGGCCAGGCTGGTCTCGAACTCCTGACCCCGTGATCCACCTGCCTCGGCCTCCCAAAGTGCTGGGATTATAGGTGTGAGCCACCACACCCAGCCTACTCTTTCTCTTTTATCAGCAAAACAAAAACTTTCCCAGAAACTCCAGCTTTGTCTTCTTGCTTATAACTGGATGACATGGCCACCCGGATGTATCCAGGTCATATGCCAATCTGAGCAATACTCGGGCTCGTCAGTAATGCAGTGGGAAGAATGATAAGCACATCTCAGTTGCACCCAGCTTGCCCTGTGCCAAGTCAGACAAGTCACAAAACACCAACCTCTGCCTCTTAGTCCACACACATCTCCCCTCTGTTCGCCTGTTTGCCCTTGAGCCTGAACTTGATGGGAAAATGCATCCAGGCTCTGCCATTAGCAACAATCAGCGTGGGGATAGTGCTTGCATCTTTGGTGGGCAGAGAACCAAGCACACTGTTTCTCCTAAACTCTTGGTTTATTTTTCTTGAGACAGGGTCTGGCTTTGTTGCCCAGGCTGGTCTCGAACTCCTGGGCTCAAGCAATCCTCCTGCCTCAGCCTCTGAAGTAGTTGGGATTACAGGTGTGAGCCACCATGCCCGGCCTCTCTTCTTTTCATCACGGTTGTAGCAATTGTTCCACAAGTGTATTACCTTTACAACTGTTAAAGAAACTAGAAACTATCCAAATGTCTCCTCATAGTAAAAAAATGGCTCAATAAATCGGAGTACATTTACACAATGGTATACTGTGCAACGATGAGAATAAAACATTTACAACCATAAACAAAAACCTGGGCGGACCACACAATATATAATACTGAGAAAAAAAAAAGCCCAACACAAAATAATATAAGACACTCATTGCTTTTTTTGTTTGTTTGTTTTTTTGTTTTTTTAGACAAAGTCTCACTCTGTCACCAGGCTGGAGAGCAGTGGCACGATCTCAGCTCACTGCAACCTCTGCCTCCCAGGTTCAAGCAATTCTCCTGCCTCAGCCTCCCAAGTAGCTGGGATTACAGGTGCATGCCTCCATGTCCGGCTAATTTTTGTATTTTTAGTAGAGACGGGGTTTCACCATGCTGGCCAGGATGGTCTCGATCTCTTGACCTCGTGATCCACTCGGCTCAGCCTCCCAAATGATTTATTTATATAAACTTATTATACTTCTATATGTCTATGTAAATAAATTTATATTTATATGTTGTTCATAAATGGGACAAATTAATTTATGGTGATAGAAGTCACAAAAGTTGCTACACTTGGGGAGAAGTCATGAAAGTCGCTACCCTTGCAGGCGAGGGATTTAGGTAGTAATGGAAGCGGCTACATTTGGCAGGGGAGGTAGTGACTGCAAGGAAGACCCCACTGGTTTTTCTGAGGAGATGCTTAGGTTCCGTGGCTCTGTCTGAATGCTGGTTACAAGGGTGTGTTCTGTTTTGTGAAACTTCACTGCCATTTATGATACTTCTGTGCATGTTTCTTTCTTTCTCCTTTCTTTCTTTCTTTCTTTCTTTCTTTCTTTCTTTCTTTCTTTCTTTCTTTCTTTCTTTTTTTGTTTCTTGAGACAGTCTCATTCTGTCATCTAGGCTGGAGTGCAATGGCGTGATCTTGGCTCACTGCAATCTCCACCTCCCAGGTTCAAGCGATTCTCTTGCCTCAGCCTCCCGAGTAGCTGGGATTACAGGTGCCCACCACCGAGCCCGGCTAATTTTTGTATTTTTAGTAGAGACAGGGTTTCGCCACATTGGCCATGCTGGTTTCGAACTCCTGACCTCAGGTAATCCACCCGCCTCGGCCTCCCAAAGTGCTGGGATTACAGGTGTGAGCCACCATGCCCGGCCCTGTGCATTATCTTTCAATAAAAGTTAATTTAAAATATTGCTGCAAGGGCATCTATGGGGCAGACATCATTGGTTGTTCCTCCCGTTCTTTGATGTCGGAATCCTGATTTCTCTCAAGGAGCAGCTTCTACATGCTTTAGGGGAGGTCCTCCACTCCATCGTGAAAGAATAATCCTGTTTGGTTCAAATCAACCATGTTAACCTCTCCACCCCACTCCCCACCCCACCCCACCAGTCTGTGACTGGTTTAGGAAAGGACATGTGACCCAATTCTGGCCAGTAAGAATAAGATAAAATTCTGCTGGGGTGGTTTCTGGAAAAGCATCATCCTTCTCAAAGACAGACCCACTACGGGTGTTGATCTTAAGGATGATGACCCCCCGCCGAGGAGAACCAAGCGAAACACAGCCTGACGCCCTGTGTCTGGAGCTGCCCTTACCTGGATTTCTTGATATGTGAAATTAAAACTTATTTACTATTGAAGCCAGCATGAATCTTCTCTTGTTCCTCAAAGCAGCTTAACCGGAAACATCATTTTGGAAAATGTGCTCAAGACTGCCCCTTAGCTAGGATTCTGCTCCTATCTAGATTTTTTTAAGATTAAGAAAAAAAAAATTGAGGCCAGATGGCTCACGCCTGTAATCCCAGCACTTTGGGAGGCTGAGGTAGGCAGATCACCTGAGGTCAGGAGTTCGAGACCAGTGTGGCCAACATAGCGAAACCCTGTCTCTACTAAAAATACAAAAATTAGCCAGGCATGGTGGCTCACACCTATAGTCCCAGCTACTCAGGAGGCTGAGGCATGGGGATTGCTTGAACTGGGGAGGTGGAAGTTGCAGTGAGCCGAGAATACGCTACTGCACTCCAGCCTGGGTGACAGAGTGAGACTCTGTCTAAAGAAAAACAAAAACAAAAAACAAACATTGAATTACAACTGTCACCCAGTACTATTTGCCCCTATTTTCACACCACACCACACACCCTGGCAGCCCAGTCTTTCTGGAATGTCCCCTAAAAAGTCGTGAGGACTTGTAAATGGCTAGGCACAAAGGGGAAGATAAAGGTGACAATTATTGGATCATTTTGATGTATGTGTCCTTCTCTCACACCTTTGACTGTTCATCAGGCAGACACTTCTTATCTCTTCTTCCTTGCTGGTAAGGACTGCACCCGTGACAGAGAAATGTCAGAAACTCACTTTCTCAGCTTCTCTTGAAGCTAGAGTGTCAGCATTGGGACCTTCTCCAATGAGTGGTCATTGAGACCCAAGAACAGATCCAGGGGTGTGGGGGGACTCTGGAAAAGACTTTCTTTCCTAATGAAGAGAGCTCTGCCAACAGAGTCTCTCCTTCCTGCCTTTTGTCATGGTGCGTGAGGATGTGATGTCTGGAGCTGTGGCAGCCATTTTACAGCCACGAGATTACAAGCCTAAAGGAGAAAGCTGACATATTTTCTTCTTCCTGCTAGAACATAAGCTTAAGGAAGGCAGGGGTTTGGTGTCTGTTTTATTAATCAGTCTATCCCAAGTGTCTATAATATTACTTGGCTCTCATAGGTGCTCATGAGTTGAATAAATATATGAATGAATGAATGCAGAGGGCAGTAGAGAAGAAAGATGGGTCCCTAATGATGTAATGTAGGAATCACCAAACCACAGTACTTCCCTCTTTTGGGGCTTCTTATTATGTGAAATAATACACGTCCTTATTGCTTAACCCACTTTGAGTTGGGTATTTTGTTACTGACAAAATTTTCTAGTGTAATTCCTTTTCTAGAGTGTTCAATTTCCAAAGTATTCCCTGGAGTGACTTTCTATAACCACCTGTGAGTATCTTGAGAAATCTTAGAGCTGGATTGGCACGTGGAGATCATTACGTTTCAATCCTCCCATTTTACAGGTAGAGAAACTGAGGTCCAGAAAAAGTACAAATGACCTTTACACAGGTCACTCAGAAAGTGCTGAAGACTAGAATGTCCATGTGTTGATGTGTTGTCCATTTCAATGACTACCACGCCCACAACCTTCTTAGGGGCCCTGCCCTGCCCACTGCTATGGATGAAGGGGTGGCTGGGGGATCCATGTTGCACTCTGTGGGCCCACCTTTCAGACTAGAGATAGAGTCTGCATCTGACCCTAGGACAGCCAACCAGATTTTTTCTCTAGGGGCTATGAACAAAGAAAACCCAGTAACTGGAGCCAGTTATGGGGGAGAGAAGAGATGCTTTGATAGGCAACAGGCAGTCAATGTAATGAGAAAACAGAGGTGGGATGAGAAGAAAGAGACCGTGAAAGACACATACCTAGGGGAGAAGGGATAGAGATCCCACAGGCAGCTGCTTCTGCCCTGACATTTTCCAATTTAAATTAATGGATATTCTTTTGATAACTGATATGGCCTGGCCCTGTGTCCCCACCCAAATCTCATCTTGGATTTTAATTTGAATCATAATCCCCACGTGTTGGGGGTGGGATCTCATGGGAGGTGATTAGATCATGGGGACAGTCCCCCCATGCTATTCTTGTGATAGTAGTGAGTTCTCACAAGATCTGATGGTTTTATAATTTTCCCCCTTCAGTTTGCCCTTCTCCTTTCGGCCACCCTGTGAAGAAGGACATGTTTGGTTCCCCTTCTACCATGATCGTAAGTTTTCTGAGGCCTCCCCAGCCATGCTGAACTATGAGTCAATCAAACCTCTTTCCTTTATAAATTACCCAGTCTTAGGTAGTATCTTTGCAGCAACTTGAGAATGGACTAATACAATAACCTACCTCCCGTTTCTACCCTGGCCAACAAGCAGCTCCAGTTTGTTCTCCACAAAGAGCCAGAATGTTCTCCTTTGTGCATGAACCAGATCCGGCTGGAAAACCTCCAATGACTTCCCAAATTCTCAGAGAAAACAAACAAGTGTCCAGCTCTATGGGTCTTCTTTCAGCTCCTGGAGAATGTCCAGCATGCTCCAATCTCAGCACTTGGCACTTGACCTCCTCTCTGTCTGGAACATCAGTGCCCCAGATGTTCATGGGGCTGGCCACTTTCTTTCTTTTTTTTTTTTTTTTTGAGATGGAGTCTCCTTCCATCACCCAGGCTGAAGTGCAGTGGCGCAATCTCGGCTCACTGCAACTTCTGCCTCCCAGGTTCCAGTGATTCTCCTGCCTCAGCCTCCCAAGTAGCTGGGATTACAGGTGTGCAACACCACGCCCAGCTAGTTTTTGTATTTTTAGTAGAGACAGGGTTTCACCATGTTGGCCAGGCTGGTCTTGAACTCCTGACCTCAAGTAACCACCTACCTCAGCCTCCCAAAGTGCTGGGGTTATAGGCATGAGCCACTGCGCCCTGCCTGGGGCTGGCCACTCTATCCTCTCAGTCTCAAATGGTACCTCCTCGGCGAGGCCCTTTGTGTTTGTTACAGTGGCTACTGTAACAAATCACTGAGAGTCTAGTTGCTTAAAACAACACAGATTTATTCTATTGTAGTTTGGGAGGTCAGAAGTCCTAAAGATCTCACTGGGCAGAAATCAAGGTGGTCGGCAGGGCTGGTTCCTTCTGGAGGCTCTAGGGGAGGGTCCATTCCCATGTCCTCCTGCCTTCCAGAGGTTGCCCATATTCCTTGGCTCATGCCCCTTCCTTCACCTTCATCATCATCATCATTATTATTATTATTATTATTATTATTATTACTATTGTTAGAGATTGGGTCTTGTTCTGTTGCTCAGGCTGGAGTGCAGTGATCCTCCTACTTCAGTCTCCCGAGTAGCTGGGACTGTAGGCACACACCACTACACCTGGCAAATTAAAAAACATTTTTTTTTTTTTTAGAGATGGGGTCTCCCTATGTTGCCCAGGCTGGTCTTGAACTCTTGGCCTCAAGCCATGCCCCTGCCTTGGCCTCCCAAAGTGCTGGGATTACAGGCGTGAGCCACCATGCTCATCTTCCTCTGTCTTCAAAGCCAGCAGCATAGCATCTTCCAGTCTCTCATTCTGATCTTTCCGCCTCCCTCTTATAAGGACCCTTCTGATTATATTGGGTCCACCCAGATAATCCAGGATCATCTCCCCATCTCAAGACCCTTAATCACATCAGCAAAGCCCCCTTGCTATAGAAGGTAACATATTCACAGGCTCCAGAAATTAAGATGGCGTTTCGAGGTGGGAGGGAGGCATTATGCTGCCTCCCATGCCCTCCTTGATCATCCAATGTAGAGACCCCCCCCACCAACTCACGACATTTCCTCTCTTGCCTTATGCCCTGCTCTCATTGTGTTCATGTCACTTACATAATTACTATGGCACATACAAGTTTATCTCTCTCTCTCTTTTGTTTTTTTGAGCTGGCATCTTACTGTCGCCAGGCTGGAGTGCAGTGGCGTGATCTCTGCTCACTGTAATCTCCACCTCCCAGGTTCAAGCAATTCTCCTGCCTCAGTCTCCTGAGTAGCTGGGATTACAGGTGCATGCCACCATGCCTAGCTAATTTTTGTATTTTTAGTAGAGAGGGGGTTTCACCATGTTGGCCAGGATGGTCTCGATCTCCTGAACTTGTGATTCGCCTGCTTTGGCCTCCCAATTATCTCTCTCTTTATTGTCTGTCTTCCACTCCTGGAATGTGAGCTCTACAAGGCAGGAACTTTTTGGTCTGTTTGGCCCAATGCCTTATCCCCAGCACATGGAACCATTCCTGGTGCAAAGTAGCCACATGGGCCCGGGTGTGGTGGCTCATGCCTGTAATCCCAGCACTTTGGGAGGCTGAGGCGGGCAGATCACTTGAGGTCAGGAGTTCGAGACCAGCCTGGCCAACATGGTGAAACCCTGTTTCTACTAAAAATACAAAAACTAGCTGGGCGTGGTGGTGGACGCCTGTAATCCCAGATGCTTGGGAGGCTGAGGCAGGAGAATCGCTTGAACCTGGGAGGTGGAGGTTGCAGTGAGCCGAGATTGTGCCACTGCACTCCAGTGTGGTTAACAGAGTGAGACTCCATCGCAAAAAAAAAAAAATAATAATAATAAATAAATGAAAATAAAAAATAGCCACCTGGCCAATATTTATGAAGAAGGTGAAAAGTAGTCTGACTGGACCTCTGTTTCTCACAACCCAAGTGACCTCATAGACAAAACACATGAGCCTGGAGGCGGAGATATGACTTGTTCACAGCCACCCTGCACAGGGAGGAGACACAGGAAGATTCCACTTCTCAGTTTATTTCTGGGACTAAATTTGGGTCAGAGCTGCAGAGAAGGGATGGGCCCTGAGCTTGAGGATGAAAGTGCCCCAGGGAGATTGAGACGCAACCCCCGCCCTGGACAGTTTTGGAAATTGTTCCCAGGGTTCAACTAGAGAGACACGGTCAGCCCAATGTGGGGGAAGCAGACCCTGAGTCCAGGAGACATGGGGTCAGGGGCTGGAGAGATGAACATTCTCAACATCTCTGGGAAGGAATGAGGGTCTGAAAGGAGTGTCAGGGCTGTCCCTGCAGCAGGTGGGGATGCCGGTGTGCTGAGTCCTGGGATGACTCAGGAGTTGGCCTGGATGGTTTCCTGGATCCACTTGGTGAACTTGCAGAGGTTCGTGTAGACACCCGGTCTGTTGGGCCGGGCACAAGGGTAATCTCCCCAGGACACGAGTCCCTGCAGGGAGCCATTGCAGACCACAGGCCCCCCAGAATCACCCTGCAGGAGAGAAAGGGGGGCATGAGAGAGGCAGAGATGTGGCAAAGTGGGCAGAAGGAGACATGAGAGACCCAGAGATGCCCATAGATGGAGAAGCAGATGGGAACAGACACACAGAGATGGAAAGTACAGAGATGAAGAAATGCAGAAAAAGACAGAGATGGAGACACAGGCAAAAGGAGAGAGAGGGAGAATGTTATTAATATTTCACTCCAAATCCAGCTTTTTTTTTTTTGAGATGGAGTCTTACTCTGTTGCCCAGGTTGGAGCGCAGTGGCCTGACCTCAGCTCACTGCAGCCTCCATCTCCCGGGTTCAAGCAATTCTCCTGCCTCAGCCTCCCAAGTAGCTGTGACTACAGGTGTCCATCACCACACCCGGCTAATTTTTTGTATTTTTTTTGTAGAGACGGGGTTTCACCATGTTGGCCAGGCTGGTCTCGAACTCCTGGCCTCAAGTGATTCGCCCACCTCAGCCTCCAAAGTGTTGGGATTACAGGCGTGAGCCACCATGCCTGGCCTCCAAGTTCAACCTTTAGACCCCATTTGTCACTCTCCACTCCATCTTCCTCTTCCAGATTCCTGTTGTCCACACATCATTTCGGGGGGGTCTGTGACCCTTCCTCTCCACATCTCGAATCTTCGTCTCTACTTTCTGTTCCAGCCTGTCTCCCTCATCGTGTATCTCTCCGCCTCCCTTTCTCTCTCACTCTCCCCTCCAGCCTGTGCAGGCCTTATTTCTCTTACTGGACACACACCTTCCTTCCCCATTCTCCACCAACCCATCCTTATACCTCCCTTCTGCAAAAATACGGTTCTCAGCCCCTGGATGAGGGTTCCTCGATCTGGGCACTGTGGGCATCTGAAGCTGGATAATGGTTTGTTGTGGAGGCCTGCCGTGTGCATCATAGCATGTTGAACAGCACACTTGGCATCTATCCATTAGTTGCCAGTAATGCCCCTCCATATAGTTGTGACAACCAAAAATGTCTCCTGGTATTGCCAGTGTCTTCTAGGGGCAGAATCACTCCCAATAGAAATCCATTCGCTTGGACTAATTTGTGTTTCCTGTCTTCAATTCCCCATACCTCCCTATAATTACCCTCCTATAATAATACTCACTGCTCTTCAACAGTCATTTTTTTCCCTCTTTTCCTTCTTTCCTTCCTTCCTCTCTCTTTTCTTTCTTCTTTCTTTCTTTCTTTTTCTTTCTTTCTCTTTCTTCCTTTCTTTCTCCTTCCTTCCTTCCTTTCTTTCTCCTTCCTTCCTTTCTTTCTCCTTCCTTCCTTCCTTTCTCTCTCCTTCCTCCCTTCGTCTCTTTTTTTTTTCTTTCTGACAAAAACGTCTTGCTTTGTCACCCAGGCTGCTGTCTGGAGTGCAGCAGTGCAGTCATGGCTTACCGCAGCCTCAAACGTTTGGGCTCAAGCAATTCTCCCACCTCAGCCTCCCAAGTAGCTGGAACTACAGGTGCAAGCCACCACACCCGGCTAATTTTTTTTTTTTTTAATTTACTACATATTTATCTATCTCTTTATTGCCTGTCTTCCACTTGGGGAACATGAGGTCCACGCGGCAGGAAGTTTTTGGTCTGTTTTGCCTGATGCCATATCCACAGCACCTGGAACCATTCCTGGTGCAAAATAGCCACTCGGCTAATATTTATGAAGAAAATGAAAAGTAGCTTGAGTGGACCTCTGTTTGAGGTAGAGAGAAATGTCTATCTCCCACCTGGGCACGGTGGCTCACACCTGTAATACCAGCAATTTGGGAGGCCGAGGCAGGCAGATCACTGGAGGTCAGGAGTTCAAGACCAGCCTGGCCAACATGGTGGAACCCCATCTCTACGGAAAAAAAAAAATAGCCAGGCATGGTGGTGGGTGCCTGTTATCCCAGCTACTTGGGAGGCTGAGGTGGAAGAAATGCTTGAACCCAGGAGGCGCATGCTGCAGTGAGCTGATATGGTGCCATTGCACTCCAGCCTGGGTGACAGAGCGAGACTCCGTCTCAAAAAAGAAAAGAAAAGAAAAGAAAAGAAATAAATATGTACATACTACAATAATGATGTAAGTGGTATGAATAAAATCTACTAAAATAAAAACAATTAGTATTTTTATTTTTTTAATTTTTAGTTGCCCAGGCTGGTCTTGAACTCCTGAGCTCAAGTGATCTTCCCACTTCAGTCTCCCAGAGTGCTGGGATTACTGGCATGTGCCATTGCACCCGGCTTCATTTCTTACTTACATGCATGCAAAATATGAATTACAGAGTCCTGGTATCAATTATTAGGAAAGCCAAGACTTGCCTTTTTCCCAGTAGCAGACACTGTTTCAAAGCAAACAAGCTTAGCTGCCTGTACCTCTAAATTTCAACTTTCTTGTGGTTTAATTTCTCTCATTATTTTTTAAATTTAATATCTCTGCAGAGTTTCTTTTGAGAGGCTGTTAGTTAACTGCTCTGAGCCTTGGCTCCTTGTTTGTAAAATAGGGCCAATAATAACAGGTAAATGAGTTAATGAGCTGAGGCATGCAAACCACTTAAAACAGTGTCCAGCAATTAGCCAGATGCTATTATTTTTATACTATTGGTATTAGTATTGTTGTAGTTGTTATTATTTCTTGCTTGTAGCTTTTAGTGGCCACACCCAGACCACACACCGGTATGAAAAAACAAACAAAAAAACACCTTGAGGTCTGGAAAAACAAGATACTAACCTTGCCTACAGAAAGGCTAAATAGTTTTAAATGCCACCACTTGAATGAGATGTGATTTCTTTTCTTTTCTTTTTTTTTTTTTGAGACGGAGTCTCACTGTGTTGCCCAGGCTGGAGTGCAGTGGTGCAACCTCGGCTCACTGCAAGTTCCGCCTCCCGGGTTCAGGCCATTCTCCTGCCTCAGCCTCCCGAGTAGCTGGGACTACAGGCGCCTGCCACCACGCCCGGCTAATTTTTTGTGTTTTTAGTAGAGACAGGGTTTCACCGTGTCAGCCAGGATGGTCTCCATCTCCTGACCTAGTGATCCACCCGCCTCGGCCTCCCAAAGTGTTGGGATTACAGGTGTGAGCCACCACGCCCGGCCGAGATGTGCTTTCTTCTGTTAAAAGTTTTCCCCCTCGCAACCCACCCCCCCACACCCAGGGCACAGAGAAGAAATGGGGAGAGCTGGGGAGGTGTTGCATTTGTCAGGTTTGTACAATTTGGGGGGAGCTTTTCATAGCCATGGGACTGGAGTACTCCTGAATCCCCAGCTTCCTAACTACTGTTGAAACACACACCCTGCTAATGAGAGCTTGTTAACTTACGTCCTTCTAGATCCCTTGGGAGCCTGAATACAGAGAAGGGTGCTGGTTGATGTAACAGTTTGATTTTAAATTCTGTCTTCCTCAACAGATACAGCTTCCATTAGAACATAGGGAAGCTCTGTGTTGGTGACCAAGAAATACTTGCAGAGCATTCGCCCCTGCCTACACCTCCAGCGTCACTTTCTACTGTTGCCCCCACTTTTGTTCTCCAGTTGCATTGGTTTCCTCTTCTTCTTTGAATCAGCCAAATTCCTTACTGCCTCAGGGCCTTTGCACGTGCCTTTTCTTTCCCCTTAAACTTCACGAGTTTAGCTTCTTTGTGTCATCCATTCTCTGCTCAAATGCCACCTCTCCAAGGAGGCTCCCCTGACCACCTTTTTGAATATTGGCCCTTATTGTTTACTATCCTAAAACCATGTTTTATTTTGGGGTTAACCTTTACCACTCTCTGAAATTGCCCTATTTATGCAGATTCTTGACCACAGAGTTTTTTATTTTTTAACTTTGTTCCTCCAGCCCTTCCAGCAGCTTTGCAATTAATCCCCTGTATTAAATATTCTCTTGTAAAAATACCTACCAGATTTCTCTTTTCCTTCCTCAAGATATTTTACCAGCACTTGCTAGAAAACTGTCATATTACAGATTTTGTTGAAACAAGACACTTAACTACCACACGCCTGAAAACTGCCAAAACTGACATCTGTAACACGGAGTGCCCCTATTAGATATGGTATCTTTATGCAGTGCACAACCTGCCCAACCATACAAAACAGCCCTGATCTTTCCCTCTAGATCCGTGCCATCCAATACAGTAACTGCTAGCCACATGTGGCTACTGAGCACCTGAAATGTAGCTAGTCCAAATTGAGATGTGCTGTCAGCATAACATATATACTCACTTTCAAAGACTTAATATGAAAACAAGAAAAGAATGTAAAGTATCTCATTCATAATTGTTTTATATTAATTACACTTTGAAATGATTGTATTTGGGATACATTGGGTTATTAAAGTTAACTTCACCTGTTTCTTTTTTACTTGTTTTTTTTTTTCTTTTTGAGACAAAAGTGTCACTCTGTCTCCCAGGTTGGAGTGAGTGGCACGATCTCAGCTCACTGCAACCTCCACCTCCTGGGTTTAAGTGATTCTTGTGTCTCGGCCTCCTGAGCAGCTGAGATTACAGGCGCCCGCCACCATGCCAGGCTAATTTTTGTATTTTTTTTTAGAGACAGAGTTTCGCCATGTTGGCCAGGCTAGTCTCAAACTCCTGACCAAAGGTGATCTGCCTGCCTCAGCCTCCCAAAGTGCTGGGATTACAGGTGTGAGCCACTGCGCCCAGCCTTTTTTACCTGTTTTAATGTGGCTACTAAAAAACTGGAAATGACATAAGCAGCTCAGCATTATTTCTACTAAACACCACTACTCTAGGGTATGAGCTCTGTGAGAACAGGGGTCCTGACTGTCTTGGCAATTGCTGGATTCTCAGAATTTGGCAACGCTCCATGTTACCGAGTTGGCACTCAGTGTGTATCTGCTGAATAAAGAGAGGTGTCCTCACCTGGCAGGAGTCTCTACCTGCTTTGTCACCGGCGCAGAACATGGTGTCATCTATCTGTCTCGGGTAAGCATCCTCGCACCTTTTCTGACTTAGCACGCTGATATTCAAGCACTGGAGGACCTTAGGGAAGTGCACTGTCAAACAGGAACACAATGAGAAGTGGAGAAAGATGGAAGGCGGCAGAGATGGGTCGGTATCAAGAAGAACCTGGACACTCACCTTGGGGGCTCTTGGTTGTCCCCCAGCCAGACACCAAGCACTTTGTCCCAGCAGAGGGACAATGAGAGGAGACGTTGATGGGTCTGACATCTTTAGTGGGACGAATTCTTCTGTTCAGTTTGATGAGCATGAGGTCGTTAGAGTGGCCAGGGTGGGAGTAGCCAGGGTGGGGGATGGATTTGACCCCCTGGAACATCTGCTGCCCAGATTCATAAACTGGTGACAGGGAGTAGTGGCCGAGACGGACTCTGAAAACTCTGAGGAAGATGGGGCAGGTCACCACCAACCCTGATCTCTATCTCCACGTCCAACGCCAATCCCAACCCCACACCCAGCCCCAGCCCCACCCCCATCCCCACCCCCGGTCCCCAAACCATCCTCAACTCCCTCTTGGTCTCCAATCCCATGCCTGTCCCCATCCCAGTCACAATTCCAAACCCATCCCATTCCCAACCCTAATTCTTTCCCTACCCAGAAGCCATCACCATATGCATTCTCAAGCCCAAATCCAACCATCTCCAACCCCACCCAAAACTCCAATCCCCATCCTTCATTCTATATCTGCTCCCAATCTCAACCCTATCTCCATGCTATCTTCATTTCCACCCCAGCCCGATTTTCACCCACCCCCAATTCTAAAGCCAATCCCAATTCCACCTCCATCCCAAACCATTCAACAAATATATGCTCCTAACCCCAAATCCAACCCATCCTTGGCTCCTTCCCATTCCCTACCACAACACTCTCCCCTCTCCAACCTCATCCTCCCACCTTGCTCCCCCGCAAAACTCCATCCTTAGTCCTATCCCCAACTCGACCTCCTCCTGCTCCCACATCCCCAACCCATCCCCACCAACCCTCACCTTCCATGACACCCCCAACCCCACTTCCCCGTCCCCACCAGCCCTCACCTCCATGACACCCCCACCCCCACTTCCCCACCCCCACCCCCACTTCCCCGTCCCCACCAACCCTCCTCTTGGAACTCCCACTCACTTCTTCCTGCAGTGGGCGGCCGTGAGCAGCCACTGTGGATGCACCAACACCGCCCCGCAGTAGAGCTGGTTGGGCCTTAGCAACAGCGCGGCCTGCCACGGCTGGGTGTGCATATCGCAGTCGGATCCATTGATGATGCGGCTGCTGCTGTCATCCGACCGGGCGTCTTCCCCGGCCCCAGCTCCCAGGTCCTGGTTGCTCCCAGAGGGCACGGTGTTAGAGGGGTGGTCACAGGAAACATCATTGTTGGCGAGAACATGCTCTGGGAACGGAAAATGGGTTGGGCGGGGCTCAGAGGCGGGGCTTGGGCTGGGGGTGGGTTTCAGACTCAAGAGGCCAGACCAGCTAGAGGGTGGGTGTCTGACATGCTGAGGGGGCAGGGGCAGGGCCTGGAGAATAAGAGTGGCACCTCTCAAGCCCAGGCTCAAGCTCAAGGACAGAGCCCAGGCTCAGGTAGGGTTACTGGACTCTAACTGGACCTCACAGATTCCTGGAATTGGCTAGAACTACATGTGAGGGTAAAATTGGGTACAGGATTCCTGGACAAGCTCAGGGGTAGTGCCAAAGCTGTGGGGGCTGGAGCCTGGGGATGGGAGGGAGACCAGGGCTTTAGGGATGGAACTGGTCTCAAGAAGTGGGGTCAGGCCTCAGTGAGTGGGGTCAGGGCTGGAGGCAGGAAGGGGTTTGGAATTGACTTAGTTAGGGCCAGGGTCAGGGTTACATGTTAGAGTCTCCTATAAAGAGCTCTGACTTTGGGCTGGGGGCGGTGGCTCACGCCTGTAACCCCAGCACTCTGGGAGGCCGAGGTGGGCGGATCACCTGAGGTTGGGAGTTTGAGACCAGCCTGGCCAACAAGGTGAAACCCTGTCTCTACTAAAGACACAAAAATTAGCCAGGCGTGGTGGCGCGCACCTGTAATCCCAGCTACTCAGGAGGTGGAGGCACGAGAATCACTTGAACCTGGGAGGCAGAGGTTGCAGTGAGCCGAGATCACGCCACTGCACTCCAGCCTGGGAGAGAGAGCAAGACTGTCTCCAAAAAAAAAAAAAAAAAAGCTCTGACTTTGAAGGGGGTTCTAGAAGGTACCCACAGAATAGGGGGTGGAGCCTGGCCCAAAGGGGTGTGGCCTTAGGCGGGGTCCACTAGAGTCTGGCCTAGGGGCGTGGTTGAGGAAAGGAGGTGGGGTCAGAGCTCATGGGCGGAGCTAGGGTTCCGAAAGCAGGACCAGGAAAGAAGGGCTCAGCTTAGGGGGCCACATGGAGGGGAAGAGCAGGCCTAGGTTTCTGAATTCTCAGATGAAAACATGCCTTCTCAATCCTGTCAATCTCCTCCTCTCACACACAGACCTACAGACTACATGCATGCCCCACTCCATCATCAGTCCTCCCGTGCCCATTCACTGGTTCTTACCCTTTTTTTTTTCTTTTTTTCTTTCGAGACGGAGTTTCGCTCTTGTTGCCCAGGCTGGAGTGCAATGGCGCGATCTCGGCTCACCGCAACCTCCACCTCCCGGGTTCAAGCGATTTTTCTGCCCCAGTCTCCCGAGTAGCTGGGATTACAGGCACGCGCCACCACACCAGCTAATTTTTTGTATTTTTAGTAGAGACGGGGTTCTCCATGTTGGTCAGGCTGGCCTCGATCTCCCGACCTCAGGTGATCCGCCTGCCTCGGCCTCCCAAAGGGCTGGGATTACAGGCGTGAGCCACCGCGCCCGGCCTGGTTCTTACCCTTGCTGATGGCCCTGGCACCACCATCATTCACGAACTCACCCCAAGAACCACGCGCACAACAGCAGTAACAGCCAAGCACGCACGCAGTTCTGCAGACACGCCCATGTTGCCTCCACAGGTGCAGCTAACATACAGCTCTGTCTCCAGGTACACACGCTCCCGGGCAGCCTAGCGGGATCGCACACCCTCATCCACAGTGTCTCAGTGCCACGCACAGATGCCGTGTGTGCACAGATGTTCAGACTGCCACATACTCTTCTGCACACAGGCACACACTGCAAGTCAGTCACCTGGCACCCATCTCCCAGAGATAGCTACCCCTGCACCCTCTATCCCTCCAGGCAGAGACAGAAACTCCAGACACACAGCTGCACCATCACACATACAGTAGCATTTACACGGCCTCACACAGACACACACAGTCACATACAGTCACCCCTACACAGAGCTTCAGGTAGTCACACGGTCACAAATACGGGCATCCATAACGTCACACTCAGCCACAATCACATAATCGCCTGCAAGCAGCACACAGTCACAGCTTTCCATGGTGATGACCACTTTTGTTGCACGCAATCCCGGGACCTCAGGGACAGGAACTGCAGATACCTGCAGTCATATACAATGCCAAGTCACCACACACAGCCAAACACACAGTGAACACCCCCAGTGCTACATGCATTCACCCACACAGCTGTGGAGCCACACACAATCTTAAATGCACACACAATCACAAAACCACACACACAGCCTCAAAGGGTCAGTGCCACCTGCCGCACAGTCACCTGATATGGGAAAAGGCATCCCCCTCCCCGACACACACCGTGGCAGTCACAGGGCCACATACGATCGCACAACCACAAGTACAGACAGAGACTCACATTCACCCGGTCCCGGAGTCATGCCCAGGCTCACACAGTTCCCCAGGGGACAGGCGCTCTAGTGCCGCAGAGACAGTCCTCCCAATCCCACAACCCTCCCACCCCAGAGTTCTGGTTACCTGTGACCCCCAGAAGCAAGGCTGTGATCAGAGCACAGAGCACCCACATCCAGGGGGGTCTTGCTGTAGCCATGGCCGCTGCACCTGGATGGGGAATGTCAGAGGGTTGGGAGGCCCAGGCGATCCGGGGAGCCCTTAACCCACTTCCCCTCCCTCCCCTACCTTATTTCCCCAGGTAGAGAGGAACCACAAGGACGGGCCACCATCGGCACTGCGCTGAGACCCAGGCACTATAGAATTCAGAAGATAGGAGTCTAGCAGCCTCCAGACAGGGCAAGGAGGGGACAGAGAAAGATGTGGGTGCAGGACGCACAGACACCTCTCCTTCCCTGCCTGCTGAGCCACCCTCACCAGGTCTCACTTGCCCTGTCCCCCAGGTAGGGGGTGGGGGATTTGCTCCCAGCTCAGCCGCAGACTTCTCAGGCCTGTGCCTTCCTGGCCACTGCCTCCTCCTGGGCTCTGGGCACCGGGCCTGAGTTATAACCACCCACTGCTCCCTGGGGCACATTCCCGGGCAATGAGGTGCCTATCGGGCCTTAGCAATAGCTCCTCCTGCTCCCCCTATCTCCACCCCCAGAGCACCCCCCACCCAGTCCGGAATGTCACTCCCTACCTCCCTGGCCCGGAGAATGGGGAGGGGTCTCCGGAAGCCAGGCCAGCCCCTTCCCTGCCTCCCCCAGCCTTAAGGATCTGGCTTCTCACCAACTCTGGGTCACTATTCTTGGCGCCTGGATTGCTTGCTTTCTTCTCTGCATTTTGCTCATTCCACCACTGTCTGTTCACCCTCGATACTCCTCTTTCCATCTTTGTCTCTGGTTTTTTCTCAGAGTCTTCTTCCATCTCTCTGTGGTTCTCCCTCGGCTATCTTTCTGAGTCTCTCTCAATATCTCGTGTCTCTCTCCACCCCTCTCTCTCTTTCTATCCCTCTCGCCTCTCTGTCTCTCTGTCTCTGTCTCTCTCTCTCTGTCTTTTTCTCTGTCTGTCTCTCACTCACTCTCTCTCTCTCTCCTCCTGTCTGTCTTAGGAGCCTTGTTTTGTTCTCCTTGGGCCACAGGTGTTTCTGTCTCCCTGTTCCTCCCTGTCTTTCTATGCCTCTGTGATTCTTTCTTTTTTAAAGGTTCTGAATGATTTGTCAAATATACCTTAGAGTTCTTGGCCCATTTATTTTCCTTTATTTCACTTCTGCTCTATTTGTTGACAGCATTTTTTTTTTAGATATAACTAAGGTACAACAAACTGCTTGTTCGTTTGTTTATTTATTTATTTGAGACAGAGTCTTGCTCTGTCGCCCAGGCTGGAGGGCGGTGATGTGATCTCGGCCCACTGCAACCTCCGCCTCCAGGGTTCAAGTGACTCTCGTGCCTCAGCCTCCAGCATAGCTGGGATTACAGGTGTGCCCCACGACACCCGGCTGATTTTTTTTTTTTTTTTTTTTTTTTTAGTAAAGACAGAGTTTCACCATGTTGGCCAGGCTGGTCTCAAACTCCTGGCCTCAAGTGATTCACCCACCTCTGCCTCCCAAAGTGCTGGAATTACAGGCATGAGCCACGGTGCCTGGCCCAAACTGCATATTTAAAGGGTAGAGTCTGATGGCTTTAGGTACTTGTCACATCAGCATAGTCAAGAAGATGATCATGGCCGGGCGCGGTGGCTCACGCCTGTAATCCCAGCACTTTGGGAGGCCGAGGCGGGCGGATCACGAGGTCAGGAGATCGAGGCCATCCCGGCTAAAACGGTGAAACCCCGTCTCTACTAAAAATACAAAAAAATTAGCCGGGCGTAGTGGCGGGCGCCTGTAGTCCCAGCTACTTGGGAGGCTGAGGCAGGAGAATGGCGTGAACCCGGGAGGCGGAGCTTGCAGTGAGCCGAGATCCCGCCACTGCACTCCAGCCTGGGCGACAGAGCGAGACTCCGTCTCAAAAAAAAAAAAAAAAAAAAAAAAAAAAGAAGATGATCATAGACACCACCCTGAAAACTGTGCTTCTGCCCCTTTGCGTGTATCTGGGACTCTGTTAATCTCTCTTTCTTTACACCTCTGTGTCTCCATTTGTGTCTTTCTCTATCTTCTCTTTTCTCTCTGACTCTGTGTGTCCCTGTGTCCCAGGCTCTCTGTGTGTTCTCTCTGTGTTTCTGTAGTTGTGTTATTCTGTCTCTCTCTCTCTCTCTCTTTCTTCCCCACCCCTTCCTCCTTCCCTGTCTTTCTGCCTCCCTCTCCCTGCATTTTAGGCAGGGGAGACTCAAGCCACTTTGCAGAGGGAGCTCTCAACTCCTTCTCTTGCCTTCACTCTGGGCCCAGGCCGTGGAGCACAAAGAGGCAGGGACCCAGTCTGGGAATCTGCAGGTGCCGTGGCCCGGCTGGTGTGGCCAGGCATGGGTGAGAGAGTTGGGCAGGGCTACTTGTTATTGGGAAAATAGATCAAGAGGCCAGGAGAGGGGCAGACGGCTTGGGAAATGGGCATTGGGTGGGGAACCCGAAAGGTGGCTTCTCCCTCTCCACTCCTGAGCCATCTGAGGCCACCTCTCCTGACCTCGTCTCTACGCCAGCTTTTCTTTCCATCTGCCGCCAGCTCTTTGCATCTGTCTTCGTGTCTCCTTGTCTCTGTCCTCACTAGGAAGCAAGAGCTAATGAAACATTCATCTGTGATGTGCCAGACACAGGTGTCTGTGAACAATCAGACTCAGGTGTCCGTGAACAAAATGACAAAGACGCCTGAAGATGCTGCCTTCTTTGAGCCCTCATTCCTTGAGGGCAAAAAAACAACCGAGCTGTGTTGCTCACATCTATAATTCTGTTAAAGGGGAGATTTTAGAGCACTCAGGACTGGTTTTAGTGCACAGGGAAAATACCAAAAAACCCAAAATAACAAAAACCTATTCTGAGGTTTATTTTGATTATGACAATTAATATTTCATTCATTAAAGTGACAAAACCGTGGCCGGGCGCAGTGTCTCACCCCTGTAATCCCAGCACTTTGGGAGGCCAAGGCAGGTGGATCACAAGGTCAGGAGTTCGACACCAGCCTGGCCAACATGGTGAAACCCTGTCTCTACTAAAAATACAAAAATTAGCCAGGCGTGGTGGCGGGTGCCTGTAATCCCAGCTACTCAGGAGGCTGAGGCAGGAGAATCGCTTGAACTTGGGAGGTGGAGGTTGCATTGAGCTGAGATCACGCCACTGCAGTCCAGCCTGGGTGACAAGAGCGAAACTCCATCTCAAAATAAATAAATTAATTAATTAATAAAGTGACAAAACCAGCAACCTATTTCTTCCTTAGTCTTTTAAGTTGTTTGCAACCCATTTTGGTCTAGATAAATCTTTTTTTTCTTTCTTTCTTTTAGACATCAGTTGCTTTTAAGTTTTTTTTTTTTTTTTTTTTTTTTTTTTTTGAGATGGAGTCTCACTCTGTCTCCCAGGCTGGGTGCAGTGGTGCGATCTTGGCTCACCGCAACCTCCGCCTCCTGGGTTCAAACGATTCTCCTGTCTCAGCCTCCTTCCTGTGTAGCTGGGACTACAGGAGGCACACCGGCTAATTATTTTTTTGTATTTTTAGTAGAGACGGGGTTTCACCGTGTTAGCCAGGATGGTCTCCATCTCCTGACCTCGTGATCCGCCCGCCTCAGCCTCCCAAAGTGCTAGGATTACAGGTGTGAGCCACCGCACCCGGCCTATGGGGTCCTCATAATAATGCTTGGTCCTATTCACAAACTAAGTTAATTAAACACCTTCAGACATTTTAAACTACATTTCTAAAACCAACATATTCAATCTCTTCTGGAAGTCCCTTGATTTTTAGGCACCACTTCCAAAGCATTGAAGTGAGTTTGTACATCTGAGTGTATTACACTCATAAATATGACCCATGTTGCATTCTTTCAGATATCCCAATGCTGGATATTAACTTGGCGTAACTCCATCTTAAAAAAATCACAGCTCAATTATTACACATTTAAAGCTGAAGTCACAAGGCTTTCCCTATAACAGGTGAAATTCTCTTAGACACACAAGCACCTAAAATACCAAAAGTGTAGAGATTCTGCTTCAAAAAAATAAAATTCATAAGAAGGGTTGGATGTCTAAACATTTTAATGCTCAGTTCCAAAACATCTCAGAATTACAAGAAGACTTCAGCACAGAAGAGTGGTTAGGAGCCCAAACTGTGGAACCAGCCCCTAGCATTTAAATTCTGGTGTAGCCATCTACTAGCTGTGAGGCTTTGATCACACCATGGACCCCCTCTGTGCCTTGGTTTCCCTGTCTGTAAAATGGGAACAATAATGGTATCCACCTCACAGGCTTGTGATGAGGATCAAATGAGTTAATATATGTAAGGCACTTAGAATAGTACCTGGTAAGTGCTAATCAGTATATTTTAAATTATTATTATTACTGTTGTCATGACTATCATTATTCTTATTATCCATTCAGAAAGTCAATTTCTTTCTGAATGGCTCACGCCTGCTATCCCAACATTTTGGGATTCTGAGATTCATGGATCACTTGAGGTCGGAAGTTTGAGACCAGCCTGGTCAACACGGTGAAACCCTGTCTGTACTAAAAAAAAAAAAAAAAAAAAAAAAAAAAAAAAAAAAAAAAAAAATTAACTGGGTGTGCTGGCACACAGCTGTAATCCCAGCTACTTCAGAGGCTGAGGCAGGAGAACTGCTTGAGCCCGGGAGGCAGAGGTTGCAGTGAGCCGAGATCGTGCCATTGCACTCCACCCTGGGTGACAGAGTGAGACTCTGAGACTCTGTCTCAAAAAGAAAAAAAGAAAGTCAATTTTCTCTCAATTAACTGCAGCTGATTTTGGTCTGGACCGTCATTGGCTGGGTTCCTCTTGGTGACCCTGGTGAATTTCACGGCTTTTCCGGAGAAGGTTGCTCAAGGGGGGCCCAGGTCATTCACATGACTTCATAATTCCATCAAGTCACAAAGTCAGCCACTTCCTTCCATCACGTCCCCATGATAGAATGTTGCATTTCTCTGATTCTTAAGGCAAAGATCATAGGGTCTTTCTAAAGCCCAGATCCGACCACGTCCTTCCTTTTCTCCAGGCCCTCGGGATCAGGTCCAAGTTCTTCTGCCTGGCGCTCAGTGGCATCATCTTCCGCTGACCTACATTTCCAGCCATATCATTCATTTCTCCCACCTCAAACGCCAGCCTCCACCATCCAGGACGATTCACAGGTGTCCTCACACCCCCAGGATTGTCTACATGTTGTTCCTTCTGTGAGAATGCCACCCACCCGAACTTCTCCAAAGGGTGACCTCATATCCAGCCTTCCTTTCCACCCCTCCTGGGCCCAGCCCCACCTCAACTCTCATCTTCTCTCCCTGCATCATCACCTCAACCTCCTCCCCAGCCCCAGCCTCCAGGGTCTCCCCTCTGGTTCATCCTGCACATGGCCCTAGGGCTGCCCCAGCTCACAGACTTTCCATGGCTCCCCAGTGCCCTCAGGAGAAGGTTTCAGCCTCTCATGCTGGCATCTGAGATCCTTGGGGATCTGATCCCTGCCCTCCTCTCCCATCACCGTTACCCATGCATGGTGGTCTTCCTACCCTCCCACCTTCCTGGTTTGGCTGTGACAAAAGTTTAGGCTGGGCGCGGTGGCTCACACCTGTAATCCCAGCACTTTGGGAGGCCGAGGTGGGTGGATCATGAGGTCAGGAGTTCGAGACCAGCCTGGCCAACATGTTGACACCCCGTCTCTACTAAAAATACAAAAACTAGCCGGGCATGGTGGCACGTACCTGTAATCCCAGCTACTCAGGAGGCTGAGGGAGGAGAATCGCTTGAACCCGGGAGGCGAAGGTTGCAGTGAGCCGAGATGGCGCCACTGCACTCCAGCTTGGGTGACAGAGCAAGACTCCATCTTGGGGAGGGAAAAAAAAATTTAGGGGCAAAAGCCATCTTTGAGGTATAGCACAAGGTGGAGGCATCAAGAGTGCCTTCCTGGAGGGGAGGAAAAATCAAATTGGCTGTAAAGGAGAACTGAGAATATCTAGATTTCAGAAAGGTGGACGTCAAATCAAAGCAAAAAGCCCCACTCATAATAAAATTCATTCTTTATTGAGTGCATGGTGGCCCAGGTGCTATTCCATGTATGTCATAGGTGTGAAACCTTAAATCTTTCCAACAGCCACTGCCTTATGGAGACTGTATCATCCTTATCTTCATCTTACAGGTGAGAAATCTGCAGTGAAGAAAGGTACATCCCAAGGGGACACCGACAGTAAGCAGCGGAGCTGGGATTCCAGACACGTGGCTGGGCCTCTGCAGGAAGAAATCAAACGTGTGGAAGGGTTGGGGAGAGGAGATGCCTAGAAGGGATTTTCCTGTATTCTCTTAGTGGTGGGGGTAAGACCGAGGACCCAAGTCCTCACTCATCACGTCCTCCCCAGTGATGCAAGGATGGAGCTGGGGTAAAACCAGGGAGAATCAGGACCCTCACGTCGCTGCGTTTATTAAGCATCAGGGTCAGAGCTGGGCAGGAGAGGAGGGGAGGCAAGGTCTAGGTGAGAGACGTTCTGGAACCAGCCAGTGGGGTGGTAGGTCGGGAGGTAGATGTCACATGTCAGGGTCACTTGGCCTGAATGGTTTTTTGGATCCAGTTCGTGTATCTGCAGACGTTGGTGTAGACTCCTGGCTTCTCCTTTGATCCACAGGGGATGTTACCCCATGACACAAGGCCTCGGAGGTGGTCTCCACATACCAGCGGACCCCCAGAATCACCCTGCAGGAAAGAGGGAGAAAGTCAGATACAGATAGAAACCCAGAGACTGTGTGTGTGTGTGTGTGTGTGTGTGTGTGTGTGTGTGTGTGTGTGACAGAGAGAGAGGTAGAAAGGGACAGAGGTACTTACTGAAAGATGGAGAGAAAGACTCAGGGACAGAGAGACAGAGAGAGAGACAGTAAGACACACAAAGGCACAGAGAGAGAATGGTAGAGAGAGAATAAAGGAGACTCAAAGACACAGAGATAGGAATGCCAAGATGCAGAGGAACATAGAGAGCAAGAAAGAGAAACAATTTAAGAATGGAGACTGAGAGGTGTGGAGAGAGGCAGAGGTGTAGAGACCGATGGAGAGAGAGGAGGAGGAAGAGGAGAAGGAGGAGGAAGAGGAGAAGGAGAGGAGGAAGAGGAGGAGGAAGAGGAGGAGGAGGAAGAGGAGGAGGAAGAGGAGAAGGAGGAGGAGGAGGAAGAGGAGGAGGAAGAGGAGAAGGAGGAGGAGGAAGAGGAGGAGGAAGAGGAGAAGAAGGAGGAAGAAGAGGAGGAGGAAGAGGAGGAGGAGGAAGAGGAGGAGGAGGAAGAGGAGGAGGAGAAGGAAGAGGAGGAGAAGAGGAGGAAAAGGAGGAGGAGGAAAAGGGGGAGGAGGAAGAGGAGGAGGAGGAAGAGGAGAACGAGGAGGAGGAAGAGGAGAAGGAAGAGGAGAAGGAGGAGGAGGAGGGGGAAGACGAGGAGGAGGAGGGAGAGGAGGGGGGAGGAGGAGGGGGAGGAGGAGGGGGAGGAGGATGGGGAGGGGGAGGAGGATGGAGAGGGGGAGGAGGATGGGGAGGGGGAGGAGGGGGAGGAGGAGACGATAAGACCCAGGTGGGAGAGGTAGGGAGGGCCCAGGGAGAGATATGCCTGGCACTATTCTGTCCAGGGACACCTCTCCACCTCGTGTCTTGAGGACAGTCTCGCCCACCTGCCCTTTCTTTGCGTCCAACTTGCTATGTATCGCTTTCCCTGTCTCTGTCCCTGTTTCTGCCTGTGTCTCCGTTTCTGCCTGTGTCTCCCCCTTGGTTGGTCTCTGCACATCCCTCAGTGCATTAGTCATTCTGGCATAAAGAGGAGAGCCTGGATGGATGACAATGGAGGAAACCCAAGTTAAAGTATTCGGGAGGGAGTCCCCTTTCCCCAGCTAGTGTCTCCCTCCTCCAGAGCCTGGTCGTTTCTGAGCAGGACTCGTGGGGGCTCTGTTTGAGGAAGGACAGTCCCCTCACACCATCTGCTTCCTTACTACTTCTCTTTGGTTCTTTTTGTTTTTAGACAGAGTCTGGCTCTGTCCCCAGGCTGGAGTGCAGTGGCGTGATCTCAGCTCACTGCAGCCTCTGCCTCCTGGGTTTAAGCAATTCTCCAGCCTCAGCCTCCCGAGTAGCTGGGACTACAGGTGTGTCCCACCATGCTTGCGTAATTTTTGTTTTTTGGTTTTTTTTTGAGACGGAATCTTGCTCTGTTGCCAGGCTGGAGTGCAGTAGCATGATCTCGACTCACTGCAACAACCTCCGCCTCCAGGTTCAAGTGATTCTCCTGCCACAGCCTCCTGAGTAGCTGGGACTACAGGCGCCTGCCACCACGCCCAGCTAATTTTTGTATTTTTAGTAGAGATGAGGTTTCCCCATATCGGCCAGGCTGGTCTCAATCTCTTGACCTGGTTATTCACCCACCTCGGCCTCCCAAGGTGCTGGGATTACAGGCATGAGCCACTGTGCCCATCCTAATTTTTGTATTTTTAGTAGAGATAGGGTTTCACCATGTTGATCAGGCTGGTCTCGAACTCCTGACCCCAGGTGATCCTCCTGCTTCGGCCTCCCAAGGTGCTGGGATTACAGGCATGAGCCACTGTGCCCATCCTAATTTTTGTATTTTTAGTAGAGATAGGGTTTCACCATGTTGATCAGGCTGGTCTCGAACTCCTGACCCCAGGTGATCCTCCTGCTTCGGCCTCCCAAGGTGCTGGGATTACAGGCATGAGCCACTGTGCCCATCCTAATTTTTGTATTTTTAGTAGAGATAGGGTTTCACCATGTTGATCAGGCTGGTCTCGAACTCCTGACCCTAGGTGATCCTCCTGCTTCGGCCTCCCAAAGTGCCGGGATTACAGGCATGAGCCGCTGCTCCTGGCCTCTCTGGTTCTTGATCCCGCGGCCTCCATCCTTGTCTCTGCACTTCCTGTCTCTGCTGGCTGTGTCTTTATATCTCTGCATATCCCTGACTGTGTCTCTGTGTGTTGAACTAAGTCTCTTCTTTTCAAGGCTTGGGTTCTCCCTCAGCCTGTCTCTATCTGTCTCTGTAAAGCTCTCTTTTGGCCTGTGTCTCTCTCTTCCTGTGTCTGGCCATGTTTTTGTGACTTCGTCCTGTCCCTGGCTGTGTAAGTGGCAGATCCGGGTCACCTCACCTGGCAGGAATCCTTCCCGTACTTCTCATCCCCAGCACACAACATGTTCTGGGTGATCTGGCCAGGGTAGGCATGCTCACACTCCTCACGGGACACCAGGTGGATGTATGCACACTGGATGGTGTCAGGGAAATCACCTGTTAGGGGAGAGATGGGCCAGACTCAGCCCAGGCCTTGCACTCCCCTCATCCTCCCCAGTCACCCCCCAACCCCTATAAGTCCTCCATCCTCTATTGGTCCCTCTTTTCTATTGGCACCCCTCTTCCTGTTTGTCTCTCATTCTTACATCTCATTACCATCGTCCCTGCCTCCTAATTGGTCCCTCTTTCTATCATTCTTCCCCCCCATTGGCTGTCTTCCTCATTAATAGTCTCTTCTCCAGGAGTCCTCATTTCCTATTGGTTTTCCTTTTCTCTTAGGTCCCTCCTCCACTTTTCTCTCTTCCACTGGTCCCACCTTCTTCAGTAGTTTCAGTTGACCTGGAGGACTCTTCCTCTGTTACGCCCTCCTCTACTGTACCCCTCCTGATCAGTAGTCCATTCTTCATTGGACACTTCCTGCCCATTGATTCATCTTGATTGGTCACTCTGTGACCATTGGTCTTTTCCTAACTGGCCATGCCCTCTCCCATTGGTTCTTCCTTTCTATTGGTTCTTCATCCAATGGTCCACCTCCATCATTGGTCCTTTTCTAACTGTCCCCACCCTCCCTCATGGATCCTCCCTTTCTATTGGCCCTTCCTCCAATGGTCTACCTTCCTCATTGGTCCTTTCCTAACTGGCCCTGCCCTCCCTCATTGGCTCTCTCTTCCTATTGGTCTGCTTCCCTCCTTGGTCCTTTTCTAACTGGCCTCACCATCCCCCACTGGCTCTCCCTTCCTATTAGCCCTTCATCCAATGGTCCACCTCCCTCATTGGTCCTTTTCTAACTTGCCGCATCCTCCCCCATTGTCTCTGCCTTCCCACTGGCCCTTCATCCAATGGTTCACCTTTCTTATTGGCCCTTCACACACAGGCCCACCTTCATGGATCCTGCTGATCTATTGGACCTGTTTTTTCCTCTAGTGACTCCTCTGGACCATTGATCCTTTCCCCTTAGTCCCTCTTCCATCAGCTATACCCCCATTCACTGTCTCAATTCACATCCTTCAGTTGGCTTTTGTGCTTTATTGGTTTCTCTTCTTCCATCAGTTCCTTCTCCATTATTCCTTCCTGCTGTTCAATGAATCCTGATCAGTCCCCTTTGACCTTTGACATCCTTCCTGATTAGCATCTCCCCACTGACCTTCCCTCTTTATTGAACCTTCATCTTATGTTCCATCTCTCCCATGCTATTCACCCATTGGTCTACATTTTCCATTGGCTGTTCACTCACTGGCCCAGCTCCCAAATTCACTCTCCCTCCCCCTTGACCTTTCTCCCATTGAAACCCTGTCCCATTGGTCCTCACCATTAGCCCATCTTCCCATGGCCCCTCACCAATTTTCCCACTCCCCATCCTTTGGCACACTTCCCCAAGTAGCCAGTAGCCTGCTCCCCACCAGCCTCCCACTACTGACCATCTGCTGTCTTGCCCCAGCCCAGGATGTGGCAGCTGGTGGTGTTGGCTGAGCAGTCCCTCTCCAGGGGAAGGGGCTGGATGAGTTCAGAGAGTTTGGCTGGGCGTGCCAGGCGCAACAGCATGATGTCCTGGTCATGGCTGGCGGCATCATAGTCAGGGTGGATCACAGCCCGGACAACAGAACTCTGCTCCTGGGAACTCTCCCTTTGCCGAAGGTTATGCTTCCCCAGGAAGACCTGAAGATTCCTGGGAAGGAAGAGGGCTGGGTCTCACCTGGAGCCCTTGGGCTGCAGTTGAGGCTTCAGAGAGGGCTGGGAAGTCATGAATCGCTGGCCTGCTCCTCCCACAGTCTTCCCCAGCTGGGTAAATGGCAATTCCATCCTTTCAGAATAATCTTGGGGGCTATTCTTCACTCTCTTTATTTCATGCCCTACATCCAAGCTGTCCAGAATTCCTTTTGCCTCTCTGAAGCATATCCAGAATCTGGCCACATCTCACCTTTCCCACGGCTACCATCTTGGTTTGAGCTGCCTTTTCACTTCCTACCTGAACTAGAGCAGTAGCCTCCTCACTGGGCTCCCTGCTCTGTCTCTGGTCCCCCACAGTCCATCCTCCACAAAGCAACCAGAGATATTTTAACAATGTAAGTTGGTCCTGTGCCTCCTCTGCTCAGCCCCTCCTATGACTCCCATCTCACTCAGAATCAAAGCCAAAGTTCTCAACGTGGCACACCAGGCCTTGCAAGCACTGCCCCATCATCTCACAGACATCTTCTCCTCCCACTCTCCCCTTCTCTCCCTCTGCTCCAGCCAAACGCTGGCTTCCCTGTCTTGCCTTGAACACAATAGTGATCTTCCCACCTCAGGGCCTTTGCACTGCTGTTCCCTCTGCCAGCAAGTCTGTCCTCCAAGTATCTGCATAGCTCACTCCCTCACTTCCTTTAAATGTCGCCTCTCAGGGAAGCCTTCCTTAGTTGCCCAATTAAAATACAAATACCTGTTAGTAGGCAATTCCTATCTCCCTCCCCTGCTTTCTGTTCCACCAGAGAACCTATCACAATCATCCGACCTGCTATATATTTATTGTTAAATATTTACTCATTGTGTTATTTCTCCTCCTTGCAGAGCAATGCTGTCCACTAAATGCTACGATGCCATGATCTCGATCTGCACTGTCCAGAGGTGGCTGGGGGAACCACAAGCTACAGGTGGCTGCTGAGTACTTGAAATGTGGCTTGTGGATTTTCCATTTCATTAATTTCAATGTAATTTGCTATATGTGGCTGATGGCTACCATATTAGACAGTGCAGCTCTAGGATGTCAAGATGGGGATTTTTGTTCTATTCAGATATAGTATCTCCAGTGCGTTGATCAGCACCTGGCACAGGATAGGTGTTTGATACATATTCCTGAAACAGAGAGTCACTCCCTTGCTCAGACATCACCCATGGCTCCCCATTGTCCTAAGAATAAAGCCTGGGCTCCTCCACTTGGCACTGGAGCCCCTGTGTGATCTGGCTGTAGTCACTTTCCAACCTTATCTCCCAGCACCTTCTGCCCCCCAGTGAACGGGAAATTTTATTTTCTGAGAATACTCAAGACGGTTCTCACCTCAGGGGTGTTATCACAGCCTTTCCTCTGCCCTGAACATTCCTTTTCCCATCTTCATGCCTCCGCTTGGATTTTATCTCATTAGAAAGTCCTTCCTGACCCTCCTCCATCTAAAGTAGGTACCCGTATTCTTTTCCTTCATAATTTGTAATTATATGGGGTTTTGAAGGGTTTGCTTCTTTTGTTTGTTTGTTTTTTTGAGACAGGGTCTCGCTCTGTCACCCAGGCTGGATCTGCAGTGGTGTTCTGTAGATCACAGCTCACTGCAGCTTTGTACTCCTGGGCTCGAGTGATCCACCCGCCTCGGCCTCCCAAAGTGCTGGGATTACAGGCATGAGCCACCACGGCCAGCCCAATTTGCTGCTTCTTTCTTTCCTTTTTTTTTTTTTAGACAGAGTCTCGCTCTGTGGTTCAGGCTGGAGTGCAGTGGCGCGATCTCGGCTCACTGCAACCTCCGCCTCCCACGTTCAAGCAATTCTCCTGCCTTAGCCTCCCAAGTTGCTGGAATTACAGAAGCCCACCACCACGCCTGGCTAATTTTTTGTATTTTCAGTAGAGACAGGGTTGAGCCATGTTGGCCAAGCTGGTCTCGAACTCAGGTAATCCACCCACCTCGGCCTCCCAAAGTGCTGGGATTACAGGCGTGAGCCACCATGCCCAGCCCTCACTTTGCTTGTCTGCACCTTTCTGTCCTTGTGCTCCCGAGGGCAGGGATGACGTGTGTGTCCCATCCATTGCTGAATCTCCACTGCCCAACTCGAATGTGGCACTTAGCAGGTGCTCTTAGTCAATGTACATCAAAGGAATGAATGATGGTGGTGAGAGTCATCCAAGGTCTCCTTGGGGTCAGGGGAACCACCCCAGGGATTGTCACTTGCTATTTCCCTGCACCTCAGTTTCCTCATTTGCAAAATGGTGCCAAGAGTCCCTTGTGGTGGGCATTCCAGGAAAGGTGTGTACATGGTTTCACTCAGCACCTGATTGGTAGTTAGCATCAAACAAGTGGCAGCTGTCGTGAATCTGACTAGTGAGGATCAGCGCCCAGGGTTTTTGTCCTGGGCCCTCCAGCTCCTCCAACTATGCCAGCTTTTTGGATGATCTCATCTAGTCCCATGGCTTTAAATACACCTGTTTGCTGACGATGCCTTCATTTTAACCTCCAGCCCTGACCTCTCCTCTGAGCTCCAGAGTCCTCCCTGGCCTCCCTGCTGGGACATCTCCCCGGCATCTCCAACTCATCGTGGCTAAAGCAAAATGTCAGATGCTCCCCTGCCTACACCCGGCCTGTTTCTCTTTCCCTCTCCCACAACTCAGAGAAAGACGTGGCAAAACACCCAGTTGTTCAGGACAAATACACGGAAGCCAGCCGTGCTTCTTCCTCTCCCTCCTGTTCCTCGTTGCCAGATTCTGCTGGCTCAGTCTCAGAATTCCACATCCCAAGATATTCAACATCCCTCCATCCCCACTGCGACCGCCTGGGTTCAAGCCACCCTCCTATGTCGCCGGATGAAAGCAACAGCCCCCACGTGGGCCTCCCTCCCTCTCTCTTGCCCAGACCACGTTCCACGTGGTAGCCAGGGTGCTTGTAAAAATGTAAATCAGGCTGGGTGTGGTGGTGGCTCATGCCTGTAATCCCAGCTCTTTGGGAGGGCGAGGCGGGCGGATCACCTGAGGTCAGGAGTTCGAGACCAGCCTGGCCAACATGGTGAAACCCCGTCTCTACCAAACATACAAAAATTAGCCAGGCAAGGTGGTGCACACCTGTAATCTCAGCTACTTGGGGTGCTGAGGCAGGAGAATCGCTGGAACCTGGGAGGCAGAGGTTGCAGTGAGCTGAGATCATGCCACTACACTCCAGCCTGGGTGACAGAGCGAGACTGTGTCTCAAAAAACAAACAAACAACAAAAACAAAACTGCCCAGTGGCTTCCTACTGTGCTCAGAATTAAATCCAAATGCCCATCACGCCCTGCAGGTCCCCAAATGATCCAATTCCCCCATTAGAAAGTAAGTTCAGGAAAACAGCAATTTTGCTTGTTTTTTTTTGTTTTCTTTTTTTTATTTTCTTTTCCACTGCTATGCCCGCAGGGCCTGGCACACATTAAGTACTCAATTAAGCAACAGCCGAATGCACCTGGCTATCAGATGGCCTCGTGCTGGGATGGGGGGGATGCCTATGTCACCTCCTGCCTGACATCTATAAGACACCCTCAGGGTTCAGTCGCATCTGCTGTTCATTTACAGTGTAGACTCACGGTTTTTTGCAGTGGGCAGCTGTGAGGACCCACAGTGGATGGATAAGGACCCCACCACAGAGCAAGTGGCCCGAGGTGTAGAGGGCAGCTTGGTAGGGGTGAGATGTCTTGTCGCAGGGTCCGCCATGCACCAACTTATTCTGCTCCTCTGCCCAGGCTGAGGGAGAGAAGATCTGAGTCAGAGAGGAGTTCTGGAGAAACCAAGCGCATCCCCCTCAACATGAACTCCAGTCAAGATTGGTCAGGTGCAGTGGCTTATGCCTGTAATCCCAGCTGAGGCAGGAGGATCGCTTGAGCCCAGGAGTTTGAGACCAGCCTCGGTAACACAGTGAGACCTCATCTCCACACACACACACACACACACACACACACACACACACACAAATTAGCAGGGTATGGTGGCATACGCCTGTAGTCCCAGCTACTTGGGAGGCTGAGGTGGGAGGGTCACTTGAGACCCAAGAGTTCAAGTCTGCAGTGAACTATGGATCATGCCACTACACTCCAGCCTGGGTGACAGAGTGAGACCCTGTCTCAAAAAAAAAAAGCTTCTCTGTATTTCCACTCCCAAACTTACCCCATTCCCATTACAAACCCAACTGTATCCCCTATTCCCGGGCTCTCTCCAACTTTCCAACCTACCTCCTACCTCTTCTATGTTTAGATCCCCATCCCTAAAGCCAACCCCACCCCAAACCCTCATATCTTCAAACCCACCTCCCACCACCCTCCCTATCTGTATTCCCCACCCTTAGCCTAATCCCCAACGTCTTCCTCATTTCAAAGCTCCCCCACCCCAACCCTGTGCATATCCCCATCCCCAATACCAGCCTCTTCTCCATCAACAAGCCCAACCCTGTCTGCAAGCCTCCCCCATCCAAATGCCCTTTCCCCACCTGCAGCAATCAGACTCAGCACCACCATCAGCTTCTTCATGGCCGCTCCTGAGAGGGGAAGCCACATGGTCCATTAGTCACTGCCTCGACCCTCCCCCCATCCCTCTGTCTGCTCCCTCTGCATCCTCTCCTTCCTTCCTGGCCTGCTATGGTCTCCTGCCTTGACCTCTGTCCTTCCCATCTAGCCTCCTGATTTATTCTTCCTCAGCCCACATCTTCCATCAGAGGATCCCACGAAAACAGTGCCAAAGAGAATTCAGAACTACGTCCACTGGTCCAGTAACCCATGGTGAGATTCTGATTAGATCTTTCTACTTTCTTGGGCACTGATTTGCCTTCCTGTCGACAGGAGAGGGTTACCCTAGGGGGCCCTAGCGTTCTTCCTCTGTATGGGAGTTTTCCTCGGAGCCTGGCTCTGTGCGCAATGGCCACCCACCCCGCCCACCCGGCAGGTTCTGTGATGTCTGTGATCTCACCTGCTGCAGGCCTCCGGGCTCCGGGGATTCTTGAGTCGGGGGAAGGAACAGCTTTGAGACGAGGAGGCAGAAAGAGTTAGAAATGCGGGGAGCCGTGAGGAGAGAAGACACTCAGATGCAGTGGCAGAGCCAAGCGGAGGACGCAGGGGCCGCAGAGCCCAGGGCTGCAGGGACTGCCAGACACACACCCCCAGCTCCCAGGCCTCCCTGGAAGAGGCTGGTTCTGTCCCCAGATGCTTCTGGAACGTCCTTTTAACCCCTGTCTCTCAGGTCCCTGAGCCAGGAGACTGGCTACACCCTTTTCCTCCTTACCCAGGCCTCCCACACACATTCCTCCCGCCCCCACGCTCTGCTCTTGGTGACCCCTGACCAGGCCTCCAGGGAAGGGAGCACTGGTCCCTGAGTGCAGTGAGGGCCTGGACTCCTGGGTCTGAGGGAGGAGGGGCTTGGGGGCCTGGACTCCTGAGTCTGAGGGAGGAGGGGCTGGGGGCCTGGACCCTTGCGTCTGAGGGAGGAGGGGCTTGGGGCCTGGACTCCTGGGTCTGAGGGAGGAGGTGAGAACTTGGACTCCTGGGTCTGAGGGAGGAGGGGCTGGGGGCCTGGACTCCTGAGTCTGAGGGAGGAGGTGGGAACTTGGACTCCTGGGTCTGAGGGAGGAGGGGCTAGGACCTAAACTCCTGGGTCTGAGGGAGGAGGGGCTGGGGCCTGAATCTGAGGCAGAGGAAGTTCTAGTCGGCTCAGTCCTTAGACCTCCGGGTTTTGGAGAAAGAAAGTGTCTGAAGACAAATTCCGGCCTCTGGGGCAAGCAGATGGTGCCCCAGGCCTCCCTGCACCCCCAGCACTCTCTGTGCCACCCAGGGACCTGCAGGCCCTCACTCCGGGCTCTAGAGCCCTCCGGCACTGGGAAGCAGCCTGCCCAGGTTCAGTGCGGTTGGGGTGACTCACACACCTGCCCGTAGGTCCCTCTGTGTGCTGCCTGCCGACCTCTGTGTCCCCAGGAGAGAGCGAGCCAGCCAGCCGGGGAGACAGCTACAGCGTGTGTCACCACACTGGCCCCCGCCCCTGCCCCGGGCTGGGGAGCAGGCCCAGGCGCGATGGGGAAAGGGCCCAGGAACAATCGGGCTTTGTCCGCCCCCAGCACCCCAGTGCCATGCTCCCAGCAGCTCCGGCCTCAACCTCTCTTCCGGCGGGCAGGCGGGAGGGCGGTTACATCAATGGCTTCCTTTTGTCCCTGTCTGACAGTCCTCCTTTGCAGTCTCTGACTGCCCACCTGGCCCTGACTGGAGATTTCGGCACTCCACATCCTCCTGGTCCTTCTCCTCCAAGTCTGCCCACCCCTGAGGTCTCTTGCTCCATCTGTCTCCCTGGCCATGGAGGGGAGGGAGCTTCCATCTCTCTCTCTCTCCCATCTCAGTCTCTGTATTTGTGTCTCTCTCCCTCTTTTTTTCTCTCTCTCCCTTCCTCTCTCCCTTCCTCTCTCCCTTCCTCCCTTCCTTCCTTCCTTCTTTCTTTCCTTCCTTCTTTTCTTTCTTTCTTTCTTTTTTTTTGACGGAGTCTTGCTCTGTCACTCAGGCTGGAGTGCAGTGGTGTGATCTCAGTTCACTGCAACCTCCGCCTCCTGAGTTCAAGCAGTTCTCCTGCCTCAGCTTCCCAAGTAGCTGGGATTACAGGCACCCACCACCACGCCCGGCTAAATGTTTTTTGTATTTTTAGTAGGGAAGAGGTTTCACCATGTTGGCCAGGCTGGTCTCAAACTCCTGACCTCAGGTGATCCACCCACCTTGGCCTCCCAAAGTGCTGGATTACAGGTGTGAGCCACTGTGCCCGGCCTCTCTCCCTTTCTTTCCCCTTGATTCTCTGACTCTCCGTGCTTATCTTCTCCTGGGTCTCTTCTTAGATTTCCCCGGGGGTAGCACTGTGTGTGCCCAGAAGGGAGTCAGTTTCCCCAGGAAGTAGCGGGGATGATTCCCGAGCGATGAGGAAGCTAGCAGGATGGAAGAGGACTTGAGGACTTATTGATGAGATGCGGACACACAGCGAGAGGCATGGAGTTAAGCAGAAATCGGAGAGCACTTGGGAACGACGTGGGGCTGTGATAAGATGGTGGTGCTGGGCAGTAGCAGAGGGATCTGGGAAGATTTAGGGAGGTGTCTTTGAACTTGGGCCTAGAAAGCTGAGCCAGGCGTAGGTCAGGAGGAAAGGCCGTGAAAATGCCTGGCCTGGGTGCACATGGGAAACCACAGGCAGTGGTTGGGGTGGTTGGTATGGGCTGGAGGGTGAGGGTGTGTGCGTGGCAGAGTGGAGAGAAATGAGGAGGGGGAAGTCACTGCGTAATAAGGACAATGATAGGAATGAAGTCTGGCTCAGCACCTGCTTGGGCTGGGCACTACAGGTAACTTAAAAAAAAAAGTTCTTTTTTCTTTTGAGACAAGGTCTTGTTCTGTCGCCTAGGCTGGAGTGCAGTGGCACGATCCTTGCTCGTGGCAGCCTCAACCCTCCTGGGCTCAAGCGACCCTCCCGCCTCAGTCTTCCCAGGAGCTGGGACCATAGGCATGAGCCACTGTTCCCAGCCAACCCTTTTCTTTGTCTTGCATTGAATCTAATTGTCATCTTGCATTGTGCACCCCCCATCACTCCAGGGATGAAGACTACTTCGGTATTCAGTATACTCTCCGGGTGCTCCCTCTCACATTTGGTCCCCACTGACCTCAGCACCTTCTTCTCAGGACGTGCTATCTTCACAGACAGCAAGTCTGATGTTGCACAACCCAGTGACCAGGCCCTATCCCTCTGCCTCCTCTCTCTGGGGGGTCCCTTCCTCTCTGTACCCACACCCTCAACCCCAACTCAGAGCTGCACCTCTCCCACCTGGACCAGGATCCCTCTGTTCTCTGTATCCCTTGCCCCAGAGAGACCTTCCTGTGCCTTGTGCTGACCTTGCCCCTCCTCTCACAGACGTGCCCTGGGTCCCCATCTCCCTTGGGACCAAGTCCCAGCCCCCCAGCCTGGCATTTGAGGACCTTTAGCATCCAGGGAAGTCCTGGCCAATGAAATGTGATGCCAAGCACGCATGCACATTTACATTTTCCAATCACCATACTTTTTTTTTTAAGTCAGAAGATTTTTTAAGTGTCCTTACCACAAAAAATAAGGGTGTAAAATAATGCATATGTTAAATAGCTTGGTTTAGCCATTCCACAACATATACATACATATATCAAACATGATGTTATACACCAGAAATATATACAATTTTTACTTGTCAATTAAAAAATAAATTTAAGGCCAGGCATGGTGGCTCATGTCTGTAATCCCAGCACTTTGAGAGGCCAAGGTGGGTAGATAGCTTGAGTCCGGAAGTTCATGACCAGCCTGGGCAACATAGTGAGAAACCATCTCTGCAAAAAGTAAAAAAATTAGCCAGATGTGGTGGTGCACACTTGTAGTCCCAGCTACTCCGGAGGCTGAGGCGGGAGAATTGCTGAGCCTGGGAGGTCGAGCCTGCAGTGAGCTGTGACTATACCACTGCACCCCAGCCTGACATGGCTGGGCAAGGTGGCTCATGCCTGTAATCCAAGCACTTTGGGAGGCAGAGGTGGGAAGATCACTTGAGCCTAGGAGTTCGAGACCAGCCTGGACAATATAGTGAGACCCTATCTCTAAAAAAAAAAACAAAAAAAAGAAAAGAAAAAAATTACCTAGGTGTGGTGGCACACATCTGTGGTCCCAGCTATGCAGAAGGCTGAGGTGGGATAGTTGCTTGAGCCTGGAGGCCCAGGTTGCAGTAAGCCATAATCACGCCACTGCACTTCAGTGTGACAGAGCCAGACCCTGTCAAAAATTTTTTTAAAAGGAGTCCTGAGTGGTGAGTGGCCCTCACACTGCATGACACAGCTATGTCTACGTCTCCGTGTGGCTCCAGCTTTCTAGAACACATCAAGCTTCCCTGACCCATGCCATGCCCTCTGGCCTCTGGCCCTTCACTGAATGCTATTCCCTCTTCTTCTTGAGATGGAGTCTCGCTCTGTCGCCCAGGCTGGAGTGATGTGGCGCGATCTCTCTTCGCCTGCTGGGTTCAAGCAATTCTCCAGCCTCAGCCTCCCGAGTAGCTGGGATTACAGGCACACACCACCATGCCTATATTTTTAGTAGAGATGGGGTTTCACCATGTTGGCCAGGCTGGTCATGAACTCCTGACCTCAGGTGATCTGCCTGCCTCGGTCTCCCAAAGTGCTGGGATTACAGGCGTGAGCCACCGTGCCTGGCCTATTCTCTCTTCTTAGCATGTTTTCCCCACCTTTTCCTGGCAATAACCTGTCCTTCAAGTCTTTACTTGGACATTACCTCCTCCAGGAAACCTTCCCTGAACACCACCCAGCTGCCACCTGCTGTAGTTGGATTACTCATTCTCTCACGTAGGTTCCCACAGCAGGTGTCTCCCTCAACCCAACCTGGACGGGGGGCCACCTGGATTGACATTCGTCATCTCTTCCACTGGACCGTGAGCTCCTTGAGGGCAGGTACGGGACTGACTCATCCCTGTGTCCCAAGCAACCACACAGGACCTTGCCCAGAAGAAGCCTTAGGCAAGACTGACCAAATGACTAAATGACTTTATCACACCCACTCCCATTTTACAGATAAGAAAACTGAGGCTCAGAACGGGAAGTTCATTGCTCATCATCAAACATCCAGGAAATGGTGGAGCCTGAATGGGAACTCAGCTTCCAACATGGCGTGGATGTGGCCCATCCCTTGGTGGCCTGGCTGGGTCTATCTTATGACAGTACGAGGTGAGTGAACTTGGGAGGAATTGTTGAGAGCTGGGTGGGGAAAGAAGGGAGGTGTTAGGCTGTGGGGAGTGGAGGGACTTTGAAGAGAAAGAAATTTCTAACTCTACCTCTTCTCTGGTGACCTTCATGGTTTGCCATCTCTGCATACTTTGAATGCTTATTTACTGGATAGTTTGCTCCAGATTGTCTTGCTCTGCAAAACTCTTCACTAAATAAATTCTTCTGTCTCGGTGCAGTGGTTCACACCTGTAATCCCAGCACTTTGGAGGGCTGAGGTGGGAGGATTACTTGAGCTCAGGAATTAGAGACCAGCCTGGACAACATAGTGAGACCCCGTCTCTACTAAAAAAAAAAAAAAAAATCAGCCCAGGCATGGTCCCAGCTACTCGAAAGGCTGAGGCAAAAGGATTGTTTGAGCCCAGGAGACTGAGGCTGCAGTGAGCTATGATCATGCCACCAAACTCTAGCCTGGATGATAGAGCAAGACCCTATGTGAAAAAAAGAAAAAAAAAATTATAAGGAAACTTCATGAGACTGTAAGCAGAAAAAAGTGCCAGAAGTCATAAACAATAAAAACCAATGCCTGGGCCAGGCGCGGTGGCTCATGCCTGTAATCTCAGCACTTTGGGAGGTCAAGGCGGGCAGATTGCCTGAGGTCAGGAGTTTGAGGACAGCCTGGCCAACGTGGTGAAACTTGGTCTCTACTGAAAATACAAAAATTAGCCGGGCATGGTGGCAGGCACCTGTAATACCAGCTACTCAGGAGGCTGAGGCAGGAGAATCACTTGAACCTGGGAGGCAGAGGTTGCAGTGAGCTGAGATCGCGCCATTGCACTCCAGCCTGGGTGACAAGAGCAAGACTTTGTCTCAAAAAAAAAGAAAAACTAAACTAAACTAAACTAAACTAAAACCAATGACCATTGAAGGAAGGCTTACCTCGTGCCACACAATGTTTGAGCACTTTCTGTATATTAACTTATTGAATCTCTGTAATAACCCTAGAAAGTAGGTGCTTTTTCTCCCATTTCAAGGATGAAGGAACAGGGACAGGGGAAGTAATGAGCTTAAAGGAAAATAGCTTGTAGGGACTAGAACTGGGATTTGAACCCAAGAAGCCAAGATCCAGAGCTAGTCCCTTAACTACCACACTATACTGCTTACCCAAAGAAAAATGAATTACTTAAAAAAAATCAACATTAGTACCATCTCAGTCATTGCAAACCAATCTACCTGTAGCTTGCGTATAGGAGAGCAGAGGGCCAGGGCCAGGGATCTCCAGGCTGACTTAGTGCAAATGCAATGTTTTGTTACTTTTTAAAATTCCAGATTGAATGTTGGAGTGCCTTGCAGAAGAGAGAGAAAATGTTGCTAAAACTTCAGGGGAATGACTGGTCGAAAATGTTTGACATTCTTAAACTTGACAGGCCCAGAAACAGAAGGGGCTGGGGACCTGGGCTCCTGGGTCTGAGGGAGGAGGGGTTGGGGCGGGGGGTCTGGACTCTTGGGTCTGAGGAAGGAGGGGCTGGGGGGGAGCCTGGACTCCTGGGTCTGAGGGAGGAGGGGTTGGGGCGGGGGGTCTGGACTCCTGGGTCTGAGGAAGGAGGGGCTGGGGGGGATCTGGACTCCTGGGCCTGAGGGAGGAGGGGCTGGGGGGAGTCTGGATTCCTGGGTCTGAGGGAGGAGGGGCTGGCGGCGGGGAGCGGTCTGAACTCCTGGGTCTGAGGGAGGAGGGGCTGGGGGGAGTCTGGACTCCTGGGTCTGAGGAAGGAGGGGCTGGGGGCGGTCTGGACTCCTGGGTCTGAGGGAGGAGGGGCTGGCGGGGGGGGGGGTCTGAACTCCTGGGTCTGAGGGAGGAGGGGCTGGGGGTAGTCTAGACTCCTGGGTCTGAGGGAGGAGGGGCTGGGGGGGAGTCTGGACTCCTGGGTCTGAGGGAGGAGGGGCTGGGGGGGAGTCTGGATTCCTGGGTCTGAGGGAGGAGGGGCTGGCAGGGGGGTCTGAACTCCTGGGTCTGAGGGAGGAGGGGCTGGAGGGAGTCTGGATTCCTGGGTCTGAGGGAGGAGGGGCTGGTGGGGGGGGTTCTGAACTCCTGGGTCTGAGGGAGGAGGGGCTGGGGGGAGTCTGGATTCCTGGGTCTGAGGGAGGAGGGGCTCGTGGGGGCAGGCCTGCACTCCTGGGTCTGAGGGAGGAGGGGCTGGGGCTGGTCTGGACTCCTGGGTCTGAGGGAGGAGGGGCTGGGGGGAGTCTGGATTCCTGGGTCTGAGGGAGGAGGGGCTGGGGTTCTGGACTCCTGGGTCTGAGGGAGGAGGGGCTGGGGGGAGTCTGGATTCCTGGGTCTGAGGGAGGAGGGGCTGGGGGGTCTGGACTCCTGGGTCTGAGGGAGGAGGGGCTGGGGGCCTGGACTCCTGCGTTTTCTGTGTTAGCCTCCTATATGGGAGAATCAGAATTAGCGGCTGCAGAATTTCTGCAATATGACAGGGCTGTGGTGCCTGGGTTAGGAGAGACTCAGAGGGAGATGAGATAAGGAGGGGAAGGATCTGGAGGATCTTGGTGGGGAGGGAATTCTGGGAGAAAAACAGGAAGAACAGGTAGGAGGGCGTGTCCTGGGCTGGAGTGGCTCCTCGGTCAGCAGCGTCTGAGGTGTGACCACACAGAGGATCTTTGATGTTAGATGGCTGGGGCTGTGGCCAGGCTCTGAGTCACAGAGGACTCCTCCCTCATCCTACCCGCTTCCCGAGGTTCCTTTCCCTCCCTTCTTGGGGAGCAGGTGCCACCATCTTCCTCCGGCACTGTTTGCTTACTTCTGGCAGACCCCCGTGGGACCCCTGTGTCCTGTCTACTGTCATCCCAATCCCTCTGAAAACCGCCAGCCTCCCTCCTCACTTGTCACTCGTGAGATGCTCAGAAACACTTTCACACCCCTTCCCACGCTGATGAAGTTGGCCTGTTCTCTCCTCCCTCCTCCCTTCCTTCTTCCTCTCTCCATCCTTTCCTCTCTCTCCCATTTTACAGACAGGAAAAACTGAGATCTGGGAAATGGAAATATGCCCTGGAACAGGGCCGGCAGGACCAGGGCTCAAAACCAGGCACATATTTCTTTCTAGTCTCCCTTCCTGAAAGGTCACCTCTCTCCAATCTTAGATCTTCAGACTTTTTTCCCCACCTTTATTTTTCATGTTATAAAAGTGCACATTCAAGGAAAAGTACACAGAAGGAAGGAGACACCTCATGACGACCCCAGTATGCAGTCTGGGACATGTGTTTTCAGATCTGATTCTGTGAATATTTCATTTTTTATGGGTAGGGTCACATACATATATATTTTTGTCCTTCCTTTTGTCATTTAACATCCTATAGCCTAAATGTTCTTGAATAATACTGACAATTCTGTCTAAGTATCATTTTTAATAGGTTTGTAATATCATTGTGGGCTGGCCGTGGTGGCTCATGCCTGTAATCCCAGCACTTTGGGAGGCCAAGGTGGGTGGATCATCTGAGGTCAGGCGTTCAAGACCATGCTGGCCAACATGGTGAAACCCTGTCTCTAGTAAAAATACACAAAAAATTAGCCTGGTGTGGTGGTGCACACCTGTAGTCCCAGGTACTTGGGAGGCTGAAGCACGAGAATCACTTGAACCCAGGAGGCGGAGGTTGCAGTGAGCCAAGATTGCATCACTGCATTGCAGCCCAAGCAACAGAGACTCTGTCTCAAAGAAAAAAAACATCGTTGTGCCAAGCCAGACTATTATTTAAGCCATCTGGTACTTTTGGAACATGTTTGATGGTTTCACTTCATTTCTGTGATAAATAATATCATGGTAAATTCAAGTCTTGTTCTACATTTTGGATTTTTTTTGTTTCAGTAGGTTCTTCCTAAGATTAGAGTTACTGGGTCAAAGGTGGTGAATAAGGGTCTCGGTGTACGTTGACCAAGTGTCTTCCGTAAAGACTGTACGAACGTCCAGTTCCAGTGTTTGAGAGTGCTGGTCTCACTGACTCTTCTCCAGCACTGAGGGTTTTGTGTTTCTTTATTTGTTTTGGTTTTAGGTCTTTACCAATTTGATTGGTTTATCAACAGGGCATGAGGTTGGTTTAAATATATCTTTGAGGAAAGGTAAAGTCAAATTTGACTTCATAGGTCATCGGCGTCCTCACTCCTGTGCATTTTCTGTTGGAAGCACACAGTTAATTAACTCAGTGTGGCGTTAGCGATGCTTTTTCATGGTGTCATTTATCCACTTGGTGAACTTGCACACTTGAGTGTAGACTCCTGGGTCATTGGGTTGGCCGCAAGGGAAAGTTCCCCAGGACACCAGACCTTGCAGGGTACCTCTGCACACCAACGGTCCCCCTGAGTCACCCTAGAGGGAATAGAGCCGGAGATTAACTTTGGCTTCAGATCAAAGCCCAACTCATTCTCATACATTCCTCAGTTATCGGTCTTTGTCTTGCAGATTATGGACTTCCACCATAGCCAATGAGAAGAGACTCATTGTCTCTGGGGACTAATGGGAGAGCTAGTGCTAGGGACACACTAGGTCCTTTGAAGACACTGGTTTGACCCTTGGCCAATGAGACCAATTGCAGAGAAGGGGTGGGGCTTCCAGGATCAGAGCACTCTTTATTTTCCAATGTTAAGGACCCTGCTCCAAGCTAGTGGGAGAAGGAACATCATCTCCAAGGGGTGGATGCGTGCCCTGTGGCGCAGGAAAGGGGGACACGATGGTCTCGGAGACCAGGGTGAAGACCAGTTACATAATTTACAGGACTTGGTGCAAAACGAAAATGCAGGGCCCTTTGTTCAAAAATTATTGAGAATTTCAAGACAACAGCAGGAATGCATTAGACTAAGTTTGAGACCCTTCTGAGTGTGGGGCTCTGTGTCCGTGCAGAGCTTGCACATTCATGAAACTGGCCCTCACCAGGGGAGAAGGGGAACACCCTATTCTCTAGGACAGTCATCTCTCTCCCATCTCCTCTATCCCTAACACTCACCATCCCACATCCCCTGACAGCTGAAGGTGCAGATGTGAGCAAGGAGGATGGGTGTGGAGAGACAGAGAGAGTTGGAGGTGGAGAAGAAAGAGGGAAAGGAGAGAGAGACAAAGAGAGATGAGGAAGAGGGAAAGGGTATGGGGAGAGAGAGAGACAGAGAGATGGGGGTGGAAAAGAAGGAGGGAGAAGAGAGACAGACAAAGAGATGAGGGAGATGGGGAGGGTGTGGGAAGAGAAGAGAGAGAGAGATGGGGGTGGAGAAGAAAGAGGGAGAAGAGAGAGACAAAGAGAAAGGGGGGGAAGGTGTGGGGAGAGAGATGGGGTGGGGGTGGGGAGAGGAGAGAGAGACTGGAAGAGAGGAGGAGAATAAAGAGAGAGAAAGAAAGACAGAGATGGGGGAGCGGCAGGGAGAGGAGAGAGATAGAAGAAAGAGAAAGAGAGAGACAGTAAAAAGGAGGGGGCAAGGAGAGATGAGGGAGAGAGATGAAGAGAGACAGAGAAGTGGGGGAGAGAGAGAAAGAGGAGAGGGCCAGAGAGGAGACAGAGAGAGAGGAAAAAAGAGAGAGCAGGGGGGCAGGGAGAGGAGAGAGGGAGGGGAGGAGAGAGAGAGAAGCAAGAGAAAGAGGGAGAAGACAGAGAGCAGAGAGGAGGGCATGGAGAGAGAACAAGGGAGGGAGAGCAAGCTAGCTCAACACAGAGAAAAAACAAAGAGGAAAAGAATGAAATGAAATTATGTCACAAAGAGAGATGTGGGAAGACTGTTCAGAAACAGAGGGGATGACAAAAGGCCAGAAAGAGGGAACAGAGAGGAGGTGGAGAGAAAGAGTGTTTTCCCCGGGACCAGGGCCAGGGTCAGGTGAGTGAGTCATCAGCTTCAGGCACAAAATCTCAGTAACTGCAATACACAATACTTCAATGCAGTACTTAACGAAATCAAATGTAATACATAAAACTGCATGATGGGCATGGTATCCACATTTTAAATGAAGACAGTGCCAGTACAGCGCTGTGCTGAGCCACGCTAGTACTTACGGCAAGGGAAAATTCAGTAAGATCCACCTGCTCTTTATTTAAAATGTGACATTTTGTCCATCATGGACTTCTGCATGAGTTTTTATTTTTATTTTTAAATATTGCATTATGATTTATCTCAATCACTGAGGTTTTTGGTGCCCCCTTAAGGTTTGGGCCTGAGGCCAGCACCTCAGTCTCCTTCCCTGGTCCCACCCCCACTTTCTCACCCCTATTAAACTCTCTGTCTCATCCCCAGGGCCACATTGGCCCCTAAGTAAACTCCCACCCCTGACCTAGGCAGAGAATGAGGTGGAAAAAGCTGAGGAGGCCAGGCCTGGGGGGAGGGCAAGGCCGGGCTTGGTACCCAGTCACTCGGGTCAAGCTCTGTCCCTGGGGCATGCAGACAGGGTACCCAGGACTGGGGAGGAATTGGGGGGGAGGGTCTCACATTGCAGGCGTTTTTCTTGGAGTCGGGGATGCCAGCGCACAGCATGGAATTTTCCAGTAAGTCCTTGTAAACCTTCGTGCAGTCCTGGGGGGAGATGAGCTTGACATCCACGCACATGAGGTCAGAGGGAAAGGTCACTGCAGGGAGGAGCAGGGAGAGCTGTCAGTCAGAGAGGATGGGGGCGAGGACCAGAAGGGCTGTTGTTCAGGCTCCTGGTTCCGAGGGAGGAGGGTCTGGGGCCCAGGACTGCTGGGTCTGAGGGAGGAGGGGCTGGGGTCTGGACTCCCGGGTCTGAGGGAGGAGGGGCTGGGGGCCTGGACTCCTGGGTCTGAGGGAGGAGGGGCTGAGGCCTGGACTCCTGGGTCTGAGGGAGGAGGGGCTGGGGGCCTGGACTCCTGGGTCTGAGGGAGGAGGGCTGGGGCCTGCACTCCTGGGTCACTGAGGCCACCTACCATCTGGGCTCGTGGTAGTGCCCCAGCCGGAGACAGTACAGGTGGTTCCAGGGGGTTCGCAGCGGGAGGGCAGCCTGACTTTCTTCACCATGGATGACAGCCTGGCCTGGCTATTGAGCTTCACGAGCATGAGGTCATTAACATGGGTCTGTGTGGAGTAGCCGGGGTGGCGGAATGACTTCGAGGCCTTGATCCTCTGAGCTCTCCTGTCGCCCAGCGTATCACTGCCCAGGTGCACGGTGTACTCACTGCGAGGAGTGACATTCACAGATTCAGAAGAGACACTGTGACAGAGAGGGTGTGCAAAGACCTGGGGGACGGGGTGGGGACAGAGACCCAGAGAGAGGAGGGGGGACAGAGACACAGAGAGAGGAGGGGAGACAGAGACCCAGAGAGAGGGGAACAGAGATCCAGAGAGAGAGGGGGACAGAGCCCCAGAGAGAGGGAGACAGAGACCCAGAGAGGGGGGGACAGAGACCCAGAGAGAGGAGGGGGGAGAGAGACACAGAGATAGGAGGGGGGACAGAGACACAGAGAGAGGAGGGGGGAGAGAGACACAGAGAGAGGAGAGGGGACAGAGACCCAGAGAGAGGGGAACAGAGACCCAGAGAGAGAGGGGGACAGAGATCCAGAGAGAGAGGGACAGAGACCCAGAGAGAGAGGGACAGAGACCCAGAGAGAGGGGAACAGAGACCAGAGAGAGAGGGGGACAGAGCCCCAGAGAGAGGAAGACAGAGAGCCAGGGAGAGAGGGGGACAGAGCCCCAGGGAGAGGGGGACAGAGATCCAGAGAGAGAGGAGGGGGAACAGAGACCAGAGAGAGAGGGGAACAGAGACCCAGAGAGAGAGGGACAGAGACCCACAGAGAGAGGAGGGGGAACAGAGACCAGAGAGAGAGGGTGACAGAGACCCAGAGAGAGAGGGTGACAGAGACCCAGAGAGAGAGGGACAGAGACCAGAGAGAGAGGAGGGGGAACAGAGACCAGAGAGAGAGGGGGACAGAGACCCAGAGAGAGAGGGACAGAGACCCAGAAAGAGAGGAGGGGGAACAGAGACCCGGAGAGAGAAGGGGACAGAGACACAGAGGGGAACAGAGATCCAGAGAGAAAGGCAGACAGAGACCCAGAGAGAGGGGGACAGAGCCCCAGGGAGAGGGGGTACAGAGGCCCAGGGAGAGGGGGACAGAGATCCAGAGAGAGAGGGGGACAGAGACCAGAGAGAGAGGGACAGAGACCCAGAGAGAGAGGAGGGGGAACAGAGACCTAGAGAGAATGGGGGACAGAGACACAGAGAGAGGGGAACAGAGATCCAGAGAGAGGGGGACAGAGACCCAGAGAGAGGGAGACAGAGAGCCAGGGAGAGAGGGGGACAGAGCCCCAGGGAGAGGGGGTACAGAGGCCCAGAGAGAGGAGGACAGAGACCCAGAGAGAGGAGAATAGAGCCGTAGGCACAGAAAGACTGCCCTTCCACCCCCATAGCGAGCTGGAGACGCTGGTGCACCTCCAGCAGAGACTTGGGCGGCACCTACTTCATCTTGCAGTGGGCGGCAGTGAGCACCCAGCGCTCATTGACCAGGACGCCTCCGCAGTGGAGCTGATTGCCACTGAGCAGGGCCACCTGCCATGGGTGGGAGCCTCTTGCACATGGGGCGCCATCAATAATCTTGTCACCCTGGGCTGGATGGAGACATGGAGGAGCACGTGGGTAGCTAGCATTAGGGGAAGGCTGAGGCTGCACCTCAGGGATTCCCAGAGTCAGAGATGGACAGAGACAGATGAAAATGTGTGGAGAAATACAGAGAAAGCAAGAGATAGGGATAGAGACAGACAGAAGGAGCCCACTCAGAAACCCAGGAGGCGCATCTCATCTGGGGAACCACAGAGAGACCCTGAGCACAGGAGGCAGGGCCTGGAGGGGACAGAGACCCCCTGAGTCAGCAGAAGCAGGAAGAGCGGGGGCTTCAGCCGACAGTCTGGTCCTCCCAGGATGGAAGCTGTTTGAGGAGGGAAGGGTTCTGACTCAGGGACTCCTTGGAGAGGGTCAGTGGGGGCCCTGAGGTGAGGTCAGACTTCCCAGTCCAGCTTTCACCTTCTTCTCCTGCAGTTTCCAAGGCTAAGGATAGCAGTAAGATCTGCAGGGGCAGGAGAAGGGATCTTGCCATGGTGCCCTGCTGAGCCGCTCAGGGGCTGCCAGGCGAGGAAGGGCCTCTCCTGCTGGAGCTGAGAAGGAGAAAGCATTCAGGCCCAGCCCCTCCCCACTCAGACCCAGGGGTCCAGGCCCCAGCCCCTCCCCCCACAGACCCAGGAGTCCAGGCCCCAGCCCCTCCTCCCTCAGACCCAGGGGTCCAGGCCCCAGCCCCTCCTCCCTCAGACCTAGGGGTCCAGAACCCCAGCCCCTCCTCCCTCAGACCCAGAAATTCCTTTCTCTGGCCTCTCCTTCCTTACACTCAGAAGTCCAGACCCCTAACCTCCTCCTCCCTCATACCCAAGAGTCCAGACCCTAGCACCTTCCTCCCTCAGACCCAGGAGTCCAGGCCCCCAGCCCCTCCTCCCTCAGACCTAGGAGTCCAGGCCCCCAGCTCCTCCTCCCTCAGACCTAGGAGTCCAGGTCCAAGTCCCTCCTCCCTCAGGCTCAGGAGTCCAGGCCCCAACCCCTCCTCCCTCAGACCCAGGAGTCCAGGCCCCCAGCCCCGCCTCCCTCAGACCTAGGAGTCCAGGCCCCCAGCTCCTCCTCCCTCAGACCTAGGAGTCCAGGTCCAAGTCCCTCCTCCCTCAGGCTCAGGAGTCCAGGCCCCAACCCCTCCTCCCTCAGACCCAGGAGTCCAGGCCCCAGCCCCTCCTCCCTCAGACCCAGGAGTCCAGGCCCCCAGCTCCTCCTCCCTCAGACCCAGGAGTCCAGGTCCCAGTCCCTCCTCCCTCAGACCTAGGAGTCCAGGTCTCAGTCCCTCCTCCCTCAGGCCCAGGAGTCCAGGCCCCAGCCCCTCCTCCCTCAGACCCAGGAGTCCAGGCCCCAGCCCCTCCTCCCTCAGACCCAGGAGTCCAGGCCCCAGCCCCTCCTCCCTCAGACCCAGGAGTCCAGGCCCCAGCCCCTCCTCCCTCAGACCCAGGAGTCCAGGCCCCAGCCCCTCCTCCCTCAGACCCAGGAGTCCAGGCCCCAGCTCCTCCTCCCTCAGACCTAGGAGTCCAGGTCCCAGCCCCTCCTCCCTCAGACCCAGGAGTCCAGGCCCCCAGCCCCTCCTCCCTCAGACCCAGGAGTCGAGACCCCCAGCCCCTCCTCCCTCAGACCCAGGAGTCCAGGCCCCCAGGCCCTCCTCCCTCAGACCCAGGAGTCCAGAACCCCAGCCCCTCCTCCCTCAGACCCAAAATTCCTGTTCTTCAGATCCCTAGAGACCCAGGAATCTAGGCTCCGATCTTGCCCTTCCCTGTGGAACCCAAACTTCTGACTCTGTAGTTCGTTTTTCCCTAAAAGGCCCCAAATTGCAGACTTCCAGGCCCTCACTGCTCAGGACCGGGAGTCTAGGCTGCAGCCCCTACCTCTCGAGAGCAGAGTCAGGCTTGGAGCCAGCATCACCCTCTCCCCTACAGGTGCACCCTTGATGAAGCCTCTTCTCACCTCGAGAGGATCTGATGTGATCCAAGTTCCGACTTGGGCTGGCACACAGCTGGGCTCCAAAATCTTCATCCCTCTGCTGGGCCGTCCTCTTATATCACCCCCCGCCCCATGCCCGGCCCCAGCGCCCTGGGGTGCAGGCGGAGCCGACTCTGGGACACCCCCGCCTGCATTTGCGGTTCTGGTTATCTGGAACCCTGACGCAGCGAGAGCAATTGGCACCACTGCACTCTCTCTCCACCCTCCCTCCGAAGGACGGGCGGTGCCCAGCTCCTGCGCCCCCGCACATTCTGGTCCCACAGTCCCTCCTGGCTGCTCTCGGGGGAGGGACCCGGTGCGCTGGGTCTGAGGGGCAGGAGCGGGATTCAAGCAGTCGCTGAGCTCAGAGAATAGGCTCTGGCTCGGGTCCTTCTCTGGGGCGGTTTTCTTTCTTTCTTCCCTCCTCCCTCCCTCCCTTCCTTTCTTTTTTTTGGATGGAGTCTCTCTCTATCGCCAGGCTGGAGTGCGGTGGCGCGATCTCGGCTCACTGCCAGCTCCGCCTCCCAGGTTCAAGTGATTCTCCTGCCTCAGCCTCCCGAGTACCTGGGATTACAGGCACGCACCACCACTCCCAGCTAATTTTTGTATTTTTAGTAGAGACCGGGTTTCACTATGTTGGCCAGAATGGTCTCGATCTCCTGACCTCATGATGTGCCCGCCTCGGCCCCGCAAAGTGCTGGGATTACAGGCGTGAGCCACTGCGCCCGGCTTCTGGGGCCATTTTCTTGCCCTCACCCCCTCTCAGGGGTGGCCTAGACCCTACATCCTAATTCTGGCCCGCCTGGGGGAACTTGTCCAAGCTGATCCCAGTCGTGCCTGTAATTACGCCTGAACCCATTCCCAACTCTAACAGAGAGGTGTAAGTTAAAAACAACGCTTTCCCTAACCCCACCCCACTAATATTTGCCATGTTTAGGATCTATGTTCTTATGGTCATTTTAATCATGTTATACATAGATTTCTTTGTATATTATGTATTTATAACAAAAATGTCTGTACTTAACATTATCTAATAGAACATTTTTGAGGGCTTCATTTATTAATTTATAAGCAAATATTTATTTTTCTTTTTTTAACTTTTCAGTTCGGGGGTACATGTGCAGGATGTGCAGGTTTGTTGCGTAGGTGAACGTGCGCCATGGGGGTTTGTTATACAGATTATTTAATCACCCAGGTATTAAGCCTAGTACCCATTAGTTATTTTTTTCTGATCCTCTCCTTCCTCCCACTCTCCACCCTCTCATAAGCCCCAGTGTGTGTACCCAAAGGAATATAAATCATTCTGTTTAAAGACACATGGACACGTACGTTCATTGTAGAACTATTGACAACAGCAAACACAGGGAATCAACCTAAATGTCCATCAGTGATAGACTGGATTAAGAAAATGTGGTACGTATACACAATTGAATACTACGTAGCCATAAAAAAGAACACGATCATGTCCTTTGTAGGGACGTGAATGGAGCTGGAGGCCATTACCCTTACAAACTAAAGCAGGAACAGAAAACCAGATATGGCATGTTCCTACTTACAAGTGGTAGCTAAATGATGAGACTGCATGGACACATAGAGGAGAGAAGAATCTTTCTTATTTTTTTTTTTTTTTGATGGACTCTGGCTCTGTCACCCAGGCTGGAGTGCAATGGCACGATCTCGGCTCACTGCAACCTCCACTCCCCCGTGTTCAAGTGATTCTCCTGCCTCAGAGTCCTGAGTAGCTGGATTACAGGCGTGCACCACCATGCCCAACTAATTTTTGTATTTTTAGTAGAGATGGGGTTTCACCATGTTGGTCAGGCTGCTCTCCAACTCCTGACCTCAGGTGATCCACCGGCCTCGGCCTCCCAAAGTACTGCGATTATAGGCCTGAGCCACCGCGCCCAGCCAAGGATTTTTGCTAAATGAGTAGATTATAGCTGCTCTTGCCACAGGGGAGGAAAATGGGTAACTATGTGAGATGATGGACATGTTCATTTGTTCAGCTATAGTAATCATTGTCCTATGTATATACATCGCATATGATCATATTGTACACTTTAAATATACACAATAACATTTATTTTTTAAAAAGAGGAAAACTTTTCCCTCTTTGTACATTTAGATTACTTTTCCTTCCTTTATAATGGTTGTGTAATATTCCATACTATACTTGTATCATGATGCATGTCATCTGCCTCAAATTGAAATACACTTGGATAGTTTTAATTATAATAATGCTGAGATGAACTTCTTTGTACATTCATCTTTGTTCATTGTAGTCATTCAAACAGCATCCATTGAGCATCTACTCTGTGCCAGAAACTATTCAGGCTCTTGGAGACACAGCAGTGATAAAACAGAGAAAAATTTCTGTCTTCATAGAGGTTTTTGTTTTGTACTGTCAGGTCAGCACAAAAATAAGCAAATAAAATGTAGAGTTTGTTAGGTGGTTGTAAGCGCTATAAGGGAAAATCCAAGCAAGGAAGAGGGTTGGGGAGTTACTGATTCCCTCTACCCTCGAGGATCCCTGAGGTTATAATATCAGGAAGGTTGGCTGCAAAGACCCCACGTGAAGGTGATATTTGAGCAAAGTCTTGAAGGAGATGGTGGAGGGATCCAGGTGGCTGCTTGAAGGTAGTGAGTTCCAGGCAAAGCGAGCAGGCAGGTGTGTTAGCCAAGGAGCATATCTGAAGTGCCTCAGCAGACAAATCACTGCGACCAATACAGAGTGACCAAAGGAGATGAGGGCAGGTGATGAGGCCAGAAATATAACAGGACTCTGATGACATGCGGTCTGAAAGGTCTTTGGCTTTTATTTTGAGTAAGACAGGAACCATTGTTGGACACACTTCTAAAGTTGGAATTGACCTCAACCTCTAAATTATATCCCCAAAATGGGATTTATTTCTCCACCCTGGACCTAAAACTTATCTCAATCCTGACCCCAACTCAATTCTTTTTTTTGCTTTGTTTTGTTTTGTTTTTGTTTTTGAGATGGAGTTTTGATCTTATTGCCCAGGCTGGAGTGCAGTGGTGCGATCTCAGCTCACTGCAATCTCCGCCTTCCAGGTTCAAGCAATTCTCCTGACTCAGCCTCCCGAGTAGCTGGGATTACAGGCATGTACCATCACACTTGGCTAATTTTTTTTTTTTTTTTTTTTAGTAGAGATGGGGTTTCTCCATGTAGGTCAGGCTGGTCCCTAACTCCCGACCTCAGGTGATCTGCCTTCCTCAGCCTCCCAAAGTGCTGGGATTACATGTGTGAGCCACCACGCCTGGCACCCCAACTCGATTCTACATTTGACCCATAATAGTAGACATTATTGTTGTGTCCCCAGGCATTCACTCCTTCTGCCTTTCTATCAGAGGCTCCATTTTGTTTGGATAATACTTTATCCTCATCAGGACTATAAGCCTCAATGAACCAAGCATTGAAGCCATATTTCGTTTGCTTAATTAGTTGGAAAATGGACATGTGCTGTTCTTCTGGCCAATGAGGAGGAGGGGAAGACCACTGAGGCACTTCTAGGAAAGACTTTCTCATTTTCAAAAAGAGGCACTGAAAGGGGACTTTTTTCTTCTGCTAGATGGTGTCTTTTCTGGATGCAAATTCTGGAACTGTGGCAGCACCCCAGGGACCACAGAGGGAAGTGACCAGAGGACTAAGTCAAAACACTGCAGGTAGCCCACCAGAGAGGTGAGGATCAGCTGGGTCTTTGATGAAGTCACTGAGCTGGTGAATTAACCAACGATGGAGCCTCTTCATGTCATGATTTTTCAGATTCCCCTTCTGGGTTAGAGTTGCTTGGTCCTTGTAGCCAAAATCATCTTTATAAGACCTCAATGTTCAATCAGAATATTGACTCAGATCCCAAATCTGATCCCAAGCCACAAATCCAAATCCGATTCTAACTTGATTCCATATCTTGAAGCCACATAAATCAACAAACTCAACCATGCCTCCAGTCTTAGCTCTCTTCCCAACCCTCATCCCCATATCCCATTTCAGCCCATATCCCATTTTGGCCATTGTTAATGTGAAGATGACCAATTTAATTTTTAGAATAGTCTTTTTTAAAAAAACAAATTAGTAATTTGGATCCTATAGCTGACTACCTCTCATCTAAATTTAATTTTTTCTTAGTTTTTCTTCTATACAGTGGATTTCTTATTTTTTAGGGAAAAGTTGTTGATTGTTTATGCAATAGTTTAACACCAATCCTTTATATATTTAACAAATATGGATTGGGTGGTAGCTATCTACCAATGAGGATACAATGGTGTGCAAACCTAGATAGTGTCTCTTCCCTCAAGGAGCTGATAGTGTCATGTAAAAGAAATACAGTCAATTCATAAACAAGTGTAAAATTACAACTACAAGGCATGCTCTGAAAGACAGGTGCAGGGTATTATGAAGGCACTTCCAGAGGGGTTAGACCCAGGAATTGACTATGAGCTGAGATTTGAAAGAATATTAAACTAGAAGAAATCTTCTAGGAACTAGAAGTAGACTAGAAGAAATCTTCTAGTAACTAGAAATAGTAAACTAGAAGAAAATTTCTTCTGGTAACTAGAAGAAAATTTCTTCTGGTAACTAGAAGAAAATGGGAGGAGAATGGGGAGTGTGTTGTGTAGAGAAAAGAGCATGTGCAAAGGCCCAAGGCATTATTGCTGGAGCTCGGAGGCCAGAGGTTAACTGGGACCAGATAATGACGAGCTCTGTATGTCATTGTGAGTCTTGCTTTATCCTGTGGATAATGAAGAACTATTTGAACCTTAGTCAGAGAAATAACATAACAAGATTTGTATTTTCAAAACATCAACCTAGCTACTGTATGAAGGCTGGATTTGGGTGGGATGTGAAGATACTGGGCAACCATGGGGGAAGTCATTGTTGTTGTCTAGATGAGGGAAGATGGTGACTTGGATACAGGTGGTTGAAAGGTGGAGACGATGTTAAGTACATGGGTTCAAAATGCACTTAGGAGAGAGAATCAACAAGCCTTGGTGATGGATTGAATGAAGGTTGTGTTGAGGTAGTGGAAGATGTTAAGATTTCAAAGTCTGTTGCTCGATGGACAGTGATGCCATTCATTGAGAAGACATGGTAGATGTGGTCAAATGGTTCTGATATGACAAGAAAAGACCTCAGACCCTGACTTCAAGCAGAACCCTAAATCCAACCTTTACTTTGACACAACTCCCAACACGTATTTTGACATAAGCCCCAGCCTTTTTGTTTGTTTCAATAGCTTTCGGGGTACAAGTGGCTTTTGGTTACATGGATGTATCGTATAGCAGTGAAGTCTGAGATTTTAGTGCACCCATCACCCAAGTAGTGTATATTGTACCCAATATTTATAGTGTTTTATCCCTTATCCTCTTCATACCCTCCCCCTTCTGAGTCTCCAGTGTCCATTATACCACTTGGTACCCACTGCTTAGCTCCCACTTACACATGAGAACGTAAGGCATTTGGTTTTCCATTCCTGAGTTACTTCACTTAGAATAATGGCTTCCAACTCCATCCAAGTTGCTTCAAAAGACATTATTTGATTCTTTCTATGGTTGAGTAGTATTCCGTGGTGCATACACATCACATTTTCTTTATCCACTCATCAGTTGATGGGCACTTACTTTGGTTCCATATCTTTGCAATTGTGAATTGTACTGCGATAAACATACGTGTGTATGTGTCTTTTTGATATAGTGACTTCTTTTCCTTTGGGTAGATACCCAGTAGTGGGATTGCTGGATTGAATTGTAGATCTACTTTTAGTTCTTTGAGAAATCACCATACTGTTTTCCACAGAGGTTGTACTACTTTACATTCCCACCAGCAGTGTATAAGTGTTCCCTTTTCATCACATCCATGCCAACATCTATTGTTTTTTTGACTCTTTAGTAAGCCCCAGTCTTAACCCCAAACCTTAATCTGTACCCAATCCTGAACCTCAAATTCTGCTTTATCCTTGATGAACCCCAATTTGTATCTCAACCAATAACCTAAATCTTGACTGAGTTCTTGACTCCAAATATCAACTCAGGCTAGGATCCAGACCTCAATCAAACTTAACCCTCCTGACCCTTGACCTTAACCCTGAACCATTAGCCATAAGCCAAACTCAACCTTGACCTGAGCAGTGAATGTCACCATAGCCTGAGTATCAAGCCTGCCACGGGATAATTCAGACATTAGTCTCCATTCCCATCATATTCTAGGAAGCCCACATTCATATCCTCCCCCATGAACCCATTCCCTCACATCCAACACCAATTCTAACACTCTCACCCCATCCCACCCCTATTCTCATCCTCAACCCAATTGCTACCTAAAATCCCATTCTCATTTCCATCCCCAATTCTTTTCCCAGTTCCATTTTTATTTCTCCAGCTCACCACACAACTTTGACTCTTCATTTTACAAAAACTCTAAAATAAAGTCTGCCAACGAATATCTTGCTAACATTGATGCTATACTAACTCAACTCAAGCCGAGTCCCAAAATCTTCTGAGACATTTACTGTCATCGAATCCAAAATCAGATCCCCGAACTTGGACATCTAGCCCTGCCCATTCCACAGCAGCAATCTGGTCGTGAAGGGTGTCAACATTCCTGACCTGGGCTCCCAAATCAAGGAGAAGCAGACTCCAGCCCAGTTGACCTCACAGCTCCATGATTCAGCAATCTGTATCTTTCCTTCCTGGCTTCTCAAAGACAGAAATGGTAGCAAGACTTCCAGTGTATTATCTACTCCCTGCATCTTCATCCTTAGATTCTCTCCTCCCTCAGTCCTCTGCCTCCTTAGTATCTGTTAGAAAGAGGAAGGAGCCAGGCTACTCTAGAGCCCTGTTATTCACTCCTAAGTCACCAAAACGTCTATCCTCTGCTTTTCATCATCTATCATTCTGTAAATTATATTCCTAATTATTTAACCTGATTTTGTTGCCAAACACTGGTCATCACAAGCAGAGGAAATGTGTGTGGGGTTCTTTTTTTTTTTCC